>NC_000016.10:4385000-5010000 GCF_000001405.40 Homo sapiens
AGGAAGCCTTCCCTGGAACAGTGTCTGGAGTGTGCCATCAGATCAGGGCTTCGGGGAAGGGGAGAACCCAGCCAGGGGGCGACCAAGCTGAGATGCAGCCTCGACCCGGGACAAGCCCCCCGACTCTAGGCCAGGGACCAGGGGCAGACGTGGGGGTGTGCGAGCCCCCATCACCAGGTGCTGACTGCAGCAGGCCCTGGGCCATGTGGGTGACACATGCTCTTGTTTCATGCCCGGCGACCTCGTCTATTGAAAAGGAGTGGCCACAGGGAGGGAAGACAACATGCTCACAGTAAGTGGAGACAGGACCCCAGCACCTGCTCCCCAGCCACGGGTGGGGCTGCCGGCCACGCGGGAGGGCTTAGGGCCACTGTGAGCTACAGAAGCAATACACCCTACTTCTATGGGGGTAGGGGGTGATACAGTTCACCCAGCCCCCTCACAGGCATTCACACACTCATCCCCGCTCAATTCACACCCAGAAGCGTGGCACCCAAGACAGGTGTATCTCTGCATCTCCAAGACCAAAGCATGAGCTGTTCCTTCAGTGCAGGCTGCCAGTCCCTCTCGTTATCCCCCCACCTCCACCCTGCGCCAAGCATGGTACCAAGCACACAAAGTGCTGGGCAGCCCTCCGTGGAGGCTGCCTGAGCACAGACAGGACCTTGGTGTTCGAGGCTGGCCTGGCTCCCAGCCCCTGCTCCTCTCACTGTGGCTGGCTTCCCCTTAGATACTCCACAAATGTCAGGGGAAGGGCATAGGTGGGACCACAGCGGAGGCCCCTGGGTGAGGATGAGGAGGGGACGGGGTGTGTGCACGAACCCTGGCCTCCTCTAGCTCTCATAAGGGCACACACTGTTCTGCCCAAGCCAAGATGGAAAATCTGTAAAACAGAAGAACTCGAGGGTGGTGGAGTGGATGCAGTTGCCAACCTCCCCATTAGCCGTGCCCACAGATGACACTCCAGACTTTCCATGCTCAGCCTAGATTTGCTCAGAGGCCCCGGCACCCCAGGGAGTTAGTGGGGGGCTCCAGCTTCCAGGACGCCTGGGGGTGCAGGGGACCTGCCACCTCTCAGAACAGCTGGGGGGCTGGCACACATCCTTGGCATCCACCAGCTTCATGGGGGCTGGCAGAGCAGGGGCCAGGGCTCGGGGGCAGAGGGGAGAGGACCCTAGCCTGGCCACCCATCTGGGAGTGATTTGAGAAATTCCAGTCCTCACTGGTCCTTCGAGGCTATTCTTAACTGTGGTAATTACAGGGTCAGCCTTGGCCAGTGGCACCGTGAGGTCTGGGCATCATTAACTCCTCCAGAGGCCACACTGGGGCCGGGCAGGAGACGCTTTCAGGGGATGGGGACCCTGTCACTGGGGGCAGAGCCTGGAAGGCAGGAAGTGGTGGGTGGAAGTGACTGGTGCCAGGTCCCTTCACACAAATGCCTCCACTGGGGGCCCTGCAGGGAAGGGGCTGTCTGACCTAGAAAGGTCTAGAAGACAAGATGCCAGGCAGCTCCGGGCCTGGGATGGGGGACATGGGGCCAGATCCTAGACGTGGAGTCTGAAGGCCCGGGAGCTCCGACTCCTCAAGGCGGGGCGGGTCCCACTGACTCCTCCCTGAATCTCCAATGCCCAGAGCAGGCAGGAGGCTGAGGGCAGCCCTGACTCTGCCTCTTACCCTCCATATGGCTTCAGGGAAGGTGCCGAATCTTGCTCACCTTTGCCTCCCTCATCTGTAAAATGGGCCTTGCCAGCTTCTCAGCCCCTCCCTGGGTGTGACAGGGTGGGAAAGGGCGTCACTGTCACCCTGACCCCTACCCCTCCTCTGGGCGGCTCTCAGCCCGGGGAAGCCCTTGGCAGGAGCTCTCGCTGGTACTCAGGTGGGAGCTCTTCTGGGGACTCCCCGGAAGATCCCGCAGCCTTCCTTACCCCCAGACACATACCCTTGCTGCTCCCAGAGCCTGGACAGGTCACTGTTGCCTGTGACTCAGTTTCCTCAGTTATGCAATGGAAGAATGAATAAGCTTGCCAAGTACCACCCCTTTCCTGGCTCTGACATTCTCGGATCCCCCTGCCTGTGAAGATTCCAGCAAGGCCCTTATAAGTCACGGTTGAAGTTTCAGAAGGCGGATGGAGTCCCTGTCTCTCCACCCCGGCCCTGCCTGGCTACGTCTCTGAACACCCCCCCCAGCCTCAGTCTCCCCAGCTGTGTTGTGGGTGGTCTGAACAGATGAGTCACTCATAAATGCTTGCCCTGGGCCTCCTGGTGTCTGGCTCCTGAGCCGCAGTGGGCCAAGGCCATCTCGGCACACAGCTGACTGTGCCTGGCCAGGACCCCGCCAGGCACTGCCAAAAGCCCTCTCCACACACTTCTGGGGGCAGATGGAAGGATGAGGTGCACCTGGAGCCCCCCAGGCTGCCTGGGCACCAGCCCCACCTGGGGACATACCTCAGGATAGAACAGGACAGCCATGTGGCTGGTGTGGAGTAGGCCGCATAAACCTCAGTGGGCCGCATAAGCCAAGGCCCACCTCCACCTCCACCTCCACCTCCACCCCCACCCCCACCCTGCCAGGCTGTCCAACAATGCCCACGTCCACCCTCCTATCATAGCCTGGAGCCTCCCTGGGCCTCAGCCCTGCCAGAACATCCACAGAAAAATGAAGCGTATTCTTGCACTTCTGGATCACACCCTCTCCCTGAATGCCAAGCATACCTGTGTCAACCCCCAGCCATGAAACCTCTGGTGACCAAGGGCCCACTCTGCTACCAGGGGCCAGAGGGGCACCTGAGCACCTGCTGCTCGTGACATCTGGAAGCTCCGGGGGTACAGGGCCAGGTGTCTGTTGCAAGGCCTTGCAGCCCAGATCAGGTACCCCAGAACACCCCGGAGATCAGCCCGCCTCACTGACAGGCCGGATCAGGTGCCCTCACCTGCGGCGCCTTGGGTCATCAGCCCCCCAGCCCACCTGCGTGCCGCAGCTCCTACCCAAGCGAGGTGTCCAAGGTGAGGGAGGCCAGGGCGCTGGAGAAGAACCGCGTGTCCCACAGCTTCACTTCGCGCTCACGCATCTGCAGGGAGGGCGAGAGAGGGGCTCAGAGGGGCCTGTCCCTCAGCCCCACCCGGGGGGCTCCCAGGGAAACCAGCGCCTGAGGGTGCAGCCTGACACGGGGCACCTGCCCCAGAGCAGGGCTTGGAGTGGGGGTGGGAGTCACCCCAGGGAAAGAGAATCTGGGTTTTCATGTTCTGCCCCTTTAAGAACCCTTAGGTGACAAAGGATGAGGGGCGGTTCCCTCTGTGTTCTCGGGTCCCTGTAGGGCCACTATGGCTCCTGGGGTCAGGCTGAGCTATTACAAATGGAATCTGCCAGTTTTCAGCAGCCGTCAGTCCCCTGAGGCTCTGAGACCCGGCAGCACAGCCAGGCCGTATATGGACAGGCCTGGAACTGGCCCTCAGTCCCCCGCCTCCCATTGGTTTCGTCCCCGCCCAAAGGGCTGGACATGTCCCCACCTGGCCGTGCCCTGCTCCTCCAGGAGGAACCCCCTACCTGGTTGAATCCAGTAGACACAAGGTGCTCCCAGGTGCCCATCCATGCCAGCCGGCTATCCCTGCTGTTCTCATGGGCCTGCGTGCTCTGCAGGAGGCAAGAGGTGGACCTGAGCCCCCAGGGCCCTGCTGGTGGGCGGGGCCCCCTGGAATGGGCCTGAGCTGGGGAACTTCTGCTGCCCACCTGCCTGAAAGCCTCACAGAGGGTGGGAAGGGCTGGGTCCTTCTCCACGTCCCCACTGGGACCAAGGGTGGTCTCCGAAGCACCCCGGGGATCAGCCCCGCCTCCGCCCCAGTTGAGGGCAGCTCTGCACCCAGAGGCCAACCTGGCTGCTCCTCCCGAGTGTCCCTCCTACCAAGGAGAGGGCTGCCTCACTCCCCAGCTCCAGGCCCCTTCCCTGCTGCGCCAGGGGCTAAAGGCACTGGCACTTTCTTGCCCCTAAGAGCTGTGTGATCCTGGGGATGTCACACTCTGTCAATGCCTCATTTCTCTCGCTTGTGTAAGGGGCTCACGATGCGGTGCCACCCGCTTCCCAGGGCTGTCACCATGTGGAAGGGCAGGGCTTGTGGCAAAGCACCGTGTAAACTGGGGGATTTCGAGGATCACTGTGGCTGCCCCAGGCAAGAGGCAGGGCCTGGGACCCACCTCTGGGCAACGTCCAGAGAGCGCCAAGTAGTGCCTCTCCTGGCCCTCCCGAGGTGCTGGAGCTGCCAGCAGGAAGGCTCCCGGCCCCTGGGAGGAGAGGGAAGCTCACATGGTGGGTGGGGCCCTGTCCTCCTGGGCCCTGGCAGTGGGGAGCTGAGGGGGCCAGAGGAAATGCAAACAGCTCCTCCCAGTCACCCTGGCCCCTGGAGCCTGAGACGAAGGACCCTGTTACCAAAAATAGCTCACCCCAAACCATGGCCAGCTTCCTCCGAACTTCCCACGATCTCCTTGGGAATGAATGAGGGAGGGAAGCAGCCTGCGAGGAGCTGGCCTGGGGCCCCCTCCCCAGCCCGTGGAGGCTGACTCCAGCGTGGGAGACCATCGGAAACGGCTCCAGGTCCCGTCCTTCGAGGGGCTTTTCTCACTGTTCCCTTCCCACCAGGCTGTGGCCGGCACAGGAAGTTGGGGCTGGAGCCTGAGAACCAAGGCCCCACTGCCCTCTCTCCACGTAAGAGGGGATATCGGGTCAGGACAAGGGTCGAGCCATTGGCCAGCCCTGCCCTCAACACCCGGAGAGGGTCACAGTGTCATTCAGGCTCCTGCCCTCTCGTTGGTGTTTGTTGTGCAAATATCTGCGTGTGTGCAGCCCACCAGGTGGCTCTTAGCTTGTCCAAAAGTCACTCATTCATTCAAGAAACACACAAGGCCTCCCAGGGGCCAGAACTGTGCTAGGAGCTGGCAGTGGGGCCGGATGGTTCTCAGATAGAGGGCAGGTGCTGGGGGGAAGCAGTGCCCCTCACTCATCTGTTCTCTCGTCATATGGGTATTTGAGCCACACACTATTCGAGATGACATGGTGAATAAAATGGGGAAAGTCCCTGTGCCCGTGGAATAAACACATCGGGGAGGTAGATGTAGGCCAAAGAGAAATCAGTGTGTCATTCCCTGTGACTATGCATGCCATGGGGGAGCCGCACGGTGTTAGGGGAGGAAGCTCTGGAGGTGGACCCAGGAGAGCCCCAGCCTGGCCACCTCCCTTGGTGGGTCAGTCACTAGCTCTGTGCCTCAGTTTCCATGTCTGTAAAAAGCACTGTAACAGAATTTACTTTTTTTTTTTAACCTTTCCTATGGTGCTGAAGGACCTACTTTTGAAGACGGCCACAAGGAGTAAGAGGGAACACTTGTAGAAGGCTCAGGATTGTGTCTGACACGTGTCAAGTGTGCATGTCTCACAGCTGATAGCAGGGTACCGCCAGACTGTAAGTGAGGGAAGACCTAGCGTCATTCCTGCTAGGCTGGGAGGGTTGATAGGCGTGAGCCAGGTATGGGAACTGGCATCTGCAAAGAGTTGGAAACTGGAAGCAGAGAGACCCGCTCAGCCAGCAGGTGGGGACGAGGGAGGCGGAGGCTGGGCCAAGCCTGCAGGGTCCCCCAGGGGCTGCCACTGAGCACTTTTCACCTAGGGGCACAGGCTAAGGCTAGGGGTGGGACGCCCTTGGCCTGTAGCTCCCACCTTCCTAATTCACATGTGGGAAGCCTAAAGGCACAGAGAGACGAAGCCATGGTGCAAAGTGGCTTGGCCCCAGCTGTCTCCTCCACCTGCACAAGATGGACGTGAGGCTCAGAGTGGTGATGAGGCTTGCACAAAGTCGCAGCTAGGAGGCAGCAGGGAAGGGAGGAGGAGCCGCCCAGGACCACAGCTGCCCCAGAAACGCTCTGCTTCCAGCAAACATCCTGGGCCAGCTCTTGCTCCCTGGAGCATTCAGCCCAGCCTTCAGAGGTCCAGGTAAGAGCTTTGTCCGTGCCCAGCCACTCCCCAATGTGGGTACACCCAGCTCAGTTTGCCCAGAGACCACAGGAAGCCCCCAGGTGAGGGAGGGGGTCAGTGGCCCACCCCTTACCCTGTAACTCCTCATCAATGGAGTGATCACCAGTATCAAAAATGAGAGGTGGGCTGGGCGCAATGGTACCTGCCGTAATCCCAACACTTTGGGAGGCTGTGGTGGGAGGACGGCTTGAGCCCAGGAGTTCCAGAGCAGCCTGGGCCACAAACTGAAAACTTCTCTCTTAAAAAAACAAACACTAGGCCGGCACAGTGGCTCACACCTGTAATCTTGGCATTTTGGGAGGCCGAGGCGGGTGGATCACCTGAGGTCAGGAGTTCAAGACCAGCCTGGCCAACATGGTGAAACCCCATCTCTACCAAAAATACAAAAATTAGCTGGGCATGGTGGCAGGCGCCTGTAATCCCAGCTACTCGGGAGGCTGAGGCGGGAGAATCGCTTGAACCTGGGAGGTGGAGCTCGCAGTGAGCCGAGACTGTGCCCCTGTGCTCCAGCCTGGGTGACAGAGCAAGACTCTATCTCAAAAAACAAACAAACAAACAACCCAACTAGCTTGACGTGGTGGTGCGTGCCTGTAGTCCCAGCTACCAGGGAGGCTGACGCAGGAGGATTGCTTGAGCCCAGGAGGTCAAAGCTACAGTGAGCCGTGTTGGCGCCACTGCACTCCCGCCTGGGCGACAGAGCGAGACCCGTTTGCCAGCCTCAGCAAGCCTCAGAGAAGAGCCGTCTCCCCAGCTCCTCATTCTCCTGCATAGGGGGCAAGAACAGGGGCTGCAGCTGGGACCCAGGCATCCTGCTACCCTGCAGCCCCAAGAGGGCCCCCACCACCTAGCTCTGAGAATAGGAGGGGCTGTGGCAGGGCAGGAGCAGTGTCAGCCCCGCAGGGGGTGCAGGAGGGGAGGCGCGTGCCCGCCCCTTCATCACCATGGCGACACTTCCTGTGCAGGGCAGGATGGTTCCAGGAGCAGCCCTGGCTCCTTGCTGGGGTGAGGGGACCTGCTTCAATAGTAAGACCCCCCACTTACCCCCTTCCCTCCTCTGAGGTTCACCACCCCCCACTGGCCTGTCTGATGCACTGAGATTCCTAGAGGGCTCAATCCGGGGCCCCCTCCCGCCCAGACAAGGGTTCTGAGGCCTCGACACTCATTTGGGGCTGCCACTTTCCCAGAACAGCCTGGGCTCCAGGGCCTCACCCAGCCCCAGCTGGGCCGGTTGTAAAGGGAAGGGGCGGCAGTGGGGGTCCTGGGGGTTCTGCATCCAGAGGGGCGAGCCTGCCTCTGTCACCCTGAGGTGGGACCATGGAGAAGCCACAGAACCATCCGACTCTCGGGGTCTGCACCTCCGAGGAAGTGGAATATGCCAAGTGCCTGGCGCATAACAAAGGGTCATACATGCAGTATAAGAACCAAGCATGGGTGTGAGGAGGAGCCTCCCCAGGGTCCCCTGCTCAAAGCTCACGCCTGAGGCAGGGCTCCAACAAGACAGTGGAGGGCGGACTCCCTGGCCCACTCTGGGCTCCGGGATAGCACCAGGGCTCAGGTGGGGTGGGACCCACAGAGGACAGAGGTTGGATGGAGGGCAGGCGGCCCCGCTCCCTGACCCCCAGCCACACCCCACTAGGCAGGAAGGAGGATTGCCAGAGAAGGAGCTCCCAGAAGGCCTCTCCCTCGAGCCGGCCCCTCGGCTCACACCGGCCCTGGCTGCCAGCAGCGGTTTTCCTAATAGAAGCCAGGTGTGGGCCAGATGCCCTGGGCGGAAGTGGGGGGCAGGGCCACACGGAGAGCGGCATTCCAGGCCTGCTGCCCCCGCACCAGGGCCCGAGCACAGGCCCCAGCCAGCAGCTGGAAGGGGTGGGAGCCACCCACGCTCTTCCCAGGTCTCCTCGCCCCAAAGCCCCGCAGGGGGGCTCCCTCCAGAACCAGATCCTCTCCCTCTCTCTTCGAGGAGCTGGGAGCCCCTTGGATAGCAGCCACTCTATCCCCACCTCGGCATCAGTCACCGCCCCAGCCCTGCTGGAAGAGGAGGGGAGAGGAGGAGGAAGGCTGGAAAGAGGGGGCGGAGGAGGGGAGAATAGGAAGAATCACGTGGGCCCAGTGAGCTGGCTCAGAGCCATGCCCGGTAGGTCGGGGGCAGAAGCATAGGTGCCCCAGCAGTGCCCTGGGCTCTGGAGAGGAGAGTGCAACCTGAGAAAGTGAAGGGGGCCGGGGGAAGCCTCTGTGGCACCTTCAAGCTGAGCCTGGGCCCCGCTTTCTGGGCAAAGGCTTGGAGGTCAAAGAAAGCTACCTAGTGAGGATACCGTACACACCCACACTGCCTTGAGATGCAGACAGCCACCATCTACCAGGCCCAGGTCCCACATGACGAAGAGGTCAGCCAGCCTCACCAGCAAGTACGACCAGGGTGTGGCCAAAACCACCCTGCCTGGCTAGTTTCACTGCTTAAATGGGAGTCCTCTCGGTCTTCAGCTGGACAAAAGTGGAACTGACTGTACCGTTTGGACTAAAAAGCTGCAATCTTCCATGTGACTGGGTTTCTCTCCTGAGTCTTGTGTGTGTAGGGGGCTCTGGGGCTCCGGGCTACCACTAGTTTGGTTTGGGCTGGTGGTTTGCCCTTGACCCCGGGTGGGGAAAACGTCCTAGAAATGGGGAGGGGGTATCTATGATGGGCCTAGGTCTTTGCTGGGGAGCTCCTCTCCTGAGCTAACAGTAGGACCCTAAACTTCACCTTCCTCAGGGAATAAGCCTCCTCAGCTTCTAGAAAGTTCTTTTTAGAAATGTAAATCCATGGCCAGGAGCGGTAGCTCACGTCTGTAATCCCAGCACTTTGGCAGGCCGAGGAGGGTGGATCACAAGGTCAGGAGTTCGAGACCAGCCTGACCAACATGGTGAAACCCCGTCTCCACTAAAAATACAAAAAAATTAGCCGGGCATGGTGGCGGGCACCTGTAGTTCCAGCTACACAGGAGGCTGAGGCAGTAAAATCACTTGAGCCTAGGAGGCGGAGTTTCCAGCGAGCCGAGATTGCGCCACTGCCCTCCAGCCTGGGTGAAAGAGCAAGACTCCATCTCCCCACCCAAAAAAAGAAATGTAAATCTACTCATCGCACTTCCTGCTTAAAACTCCCTAATGGTGGCCGGACACGGTGGCTCAGGCCTGTAATCCCAGCACTTTAGGAGGCCAAGGCGGGAGGATCACGAGGTCAGGAGATCGAGACCATCCTGGCTAACATGGTGAAACCCAGTCTCTACTAAAAATACAAAAACAAAAATAGCCGGGCGTGGTGGCGGTCGCCTGTAGTCCCAGCTACTCGGGAGGCTGAGGTGAGAGAATGGTGTGAACCCAGGAGGCGGAACTTGCAGTGAGCCGAGATCACAACGCTACACTCCAGCCTGGGCGACAGAGCGAGACTCCGTCTCAAAAAAAAAAAAAAAAAAACTCTCTAATGGCTTCCCACAGCCCAGGTAACCATGGGCCCGTATCCCCCAGCGCCCCTCGCGCAGACCCCTCAGACAAGCCCGTCCTCCTTCAGGCCATCTATGTCTGCCCCCTTGGCATTACTCAGGCCTCTGCTCCCGGGCCAGTTACTCAGGGAAGCACTAAACCAGCCCAGCAAGAGAAGCCCCCAGCAACTACCTGCCTAGCACAGGCAATGTTTACGGAGCCAGACACAGGGCCCTGTCCCAGGGTTGTTGCTCCTGCCTACAAGGTCTCTGTAGGGCAAATGAACGGTGTCCCAGTGGCTGGATGCCTGCAGCATGAGCCAGGTCCCAGCTTCCCCGCTTGGAACTGAAATGGCCACGCACACTCCATGCACAGACACAAACCAGAACACGCTCAGTCCCTGGACCCTGTACGTTTTGACAGGTCCCACCCAGGGTCTTCCTGCAGAGGACAGGGGTTGTTTCTTTTTGGCTCCTCTGCAGCTGGTCTCTGCTGACCGTGCCAGGGTGAAGGTCTCAAAGGAAGGAAGTGGGAATCCCAGATCGCTGCCTGAAGCCACACGATGGCCTCCGTGGAGAGCCTGGGGGAAGCTTAGCTTCTGCCACCCGGTGATCAAAGCCAGGCCCTCCCAGGACCCACAACACACTTCACAGGAAGAGCTCCCAGCAGTGGTGGTCCACCTCCTGGGGACCCCTGGTGCTGCAGAACATGTCTGCCAGGACCCCAGGCCTGCCCCTACCTCCACCTGCTAGAACCACTGGGTCCTCAGCCTCAGTGGAGGCTTCAACCCACCCCAGCTTGCCCACACAACTCACCTGAGAGGCCCGCGGCTTTGTTCTGGGGTCAAAGATCCGCAGCTGCTTGTCCTGGAAAAGCAGAGAGGAGGAAACAACTTGCGATTAGGGCTGGAGGGTCCCTGGAAGCCAGCCTGCTCCCCTCACCTCCCAACCCCCAGCTCTGAGCAGCCCATCCCCAGCACGCAGGGCTGCCATCACACACCAGGGCATCCCTCCTCAGCCCTGTTCCTCCTCCTCAGCACAGCAGCAACCACCACCCAGTCCCCCAGGTTTCTGTGAGGAGTGTTCAGCTGCCTGAGACCTACTCAGTGAGGAGTGTTCAGCTTCCTGAGACCTGCTCCACGTCAGGCATCCCAGACACTCGACCCCTCCTACTCTTCCAACTACCCTATGAAGTGGTACTATCACCATGATCCCTCACAGACAGACAAACGGAGGTCCAGAACCAAACTCTAGGCTGTCAGCGCCCCACACATGCTCAGCCCTGTACTAGGCCCAGCCTGGAGAGGCTCATATGACGACCTCATTTCTGCACTTACAGAATTTAGCACTAACCAGGAAGACGAGCTTACACTTCCGAACCATCCATTCGGCAGTTATTGATTCAGATTATCCAAAGGGAGGATGGAAACAGACAAAAAGCAGAAAAAAATGTACTGAAATAAAGCACTCATGCTTTGTATAGACCTTCTTTCTGTGGAACAATGTGTGTGTGCATGCACACGTTGTGTGTGTGTGTGTACACAAACATTCATGCATAAAGAACCAGGGCACAATCTGTATCCACTACTACAGGCTGGGCCATAATAATTTTTTTTTTCTTTTTTGAGACAGAGTTTTGCTCTGTCACCCATGCTGGAGTGCAATGGTGCAATCTTGGCTCACTGCAACCTCTGCCTCCCTGGTTCAAGCGATTCTCCTGCCTTAGCCTCCCGAGTAGCTGGGATTACAGGCGCCCACCACCACATCTGGCTAATTTTTGTATTTTTGGTAGAGACGGGGTTTCACCATGTTGGCAGGCCGGTCTCAAACTCCTGACCTCAGGTGATCCGCCCGCCTCGGCCTCCCAAAATGCTGGGATTACAGGCGTAAGCCACCATGTTTGGCCATAATAAATTAAGTGCAAAAAGGAAGTTGTAGAATAACATGGCATAGTGTGATTCTACTGTGGTAAAAATCAACAAAAATCTCCATTTGTGTGACCACGATCCTGTTTGTTTTTATTGATACCCAACTATCATACAGCCCATACATTTTACAAGTTTGCTGAGCAAGGAGAAAGGTCTGGACTAACACAGGCCTGTGTGCTAATGCTAGGTATCAAGGGTGGGGAAGATGGGGGCTGGTTAACTTTTCCTTTTTACGTCTTAGCACAGGTCTATTTTGTTTCATTCAGCACAGATTCCTGTTTTCATATTTTGAAAAACAGTAAACAACTGGAATTTGAAATGAAAAACACCACCAGCCAGGCATGGTGGCTCACGCCTGTAATCCCAGCACTTTGCGAGGCTGAGGTGGGTGGATCACCTGAGGTCAGGAGTTTGAGACTAGTCTGGTCAACATGGTGAAACCCCGTTTCTACTGAAAATAAAAAAATTAGCCGGGCATGGTGGCAGGCACCTGTAATCCCAGCTACTCAGGGGGCGGAGGCAGGAGAATCGTTTGAACCTGGGAGACAGTGGTTGCAGTGAGCTGAGATTGCACCACTGCACTCCAGCCTGGGCAACAGAGTGAGACTCAATCTCAAAAAAAAAAAAAAAGAAAGAAAGAAAGAAAAACAACATCATTTGCACCAGTACAGATAAAAAAAACTTGAAATACTCATGCTCCTCAACATACAATGGAGTTACATCCCAATAAACCCGTCTTAAATTGAAAATATAGTAAGTATGGCCAGGAGAGGTGGTTCATGCTGGTAATCCCAGCACTCAGGGAGGCTGAAGCGGCAGATCACTTGAGGTCAGGAGTTCGAGACCAGTCTGGCCAATAAGGTGAAACCTCGTCTCTACCAAAAATACAAAAATTAACCGGGCATGGTGGCACGCACCTGTAATCCCAGCTACTCGGGAGGCTGAGTCAGGAGAATCACTTGAACCTGGGAGACGGAGGTTGCAATGAGCTTGCAGTGAACCGAGATCGTGCCACTACACTCCAGCCTGGGAAACAGACTGAGACTCCGTCTAAAAAAAAAACAAAAAAGCTGCCGTAGGCCAGGCACAGTGGGTCCTGCCTGTAATCCCAACACTTTGGGAGGCCAAAGTGGAAGAATCACTTGAGCCCCGGAATTTGAGACCAGCCTGAGCAATACGGCAAAGTCCATCAATGGACATTTCTCTCTTTTTGTATTTGTTTTTGTTTTTGAGATGGAGTTTCATTCTTGTCACCCAGGCTGGAGTGCAGTGGCGCGATCTCGGCTCACTGCAACCTCTGCCTCCCGGGTTCAAGCGATTCTCCTGCCTCAGCCTCCCGAGTAGCTGGGATTACAGGTGCACGCCACCACGCCAGGCTAATTTTTTGTATTTTTACTAGAGTCGGGGTTTTGCCATGTTGGACAGGCTGGTGTCGAATTCCTGACCTCAGGTAATCTGCCTGCCTTGGCCTCCCAAAGTGCTGGGATTACAGGTGTGAGTCACTGTGCCTAGCCTTTTTTGTTTGTTTGTTTTTGAGACAGAGTCTCGCTCTGTTGCCCAGGCCCAAGCGCAGCAGTGCAATCACAGCTCACTGCAAATCAACCTCCTGGACTAAAGCAATCCTCCCACCTCAGCTTCCCAAGTATGTGGGACCACAGGCACAAGCCACCAGGCCCTGCTAATGTTTTAATATTTCTTTCGTAGAGATGAGGTCTCACTATCTTGAGCAGGCTGGTTTTGAACTCCTGGCCTCGAGTAATCCTTCTGCCTCAGCCTCCCAAAGTGCTGGGATTACAGGTGTGAGCCACCAGGCCTGGTTTGAATATACATTTTAAAAATATATATATAGAAATGGCCAAAAAGCGTATGAAAATATGTTCAATATCACTAACCATTAGAGAAACACAAATCCAAACCACAGTAAGATATCCCCTGACACCCATTAGGATGCCTATTACATTTTTAAAAATAGCAAGTATCAGGCCGGGCGCGGTGGCTCACGCCTGTAATCCCAGCACTTTGCGAAGCCAAGGCTGGGGGGAATCACTTGCGGTAAGGAGCTCGAGACGAGCCTGGCCAACATGGTGAAACCCCGTCTCTACTAAAAATACAAAAATTAGCCGGGCGTGGTGGCGTGCACCTGTAATACCAGCTACTCGGGAGGCTGAGGAAGGAGAATTGCTTGAACTCAGGAGGTGGAGGTTGCAGTGAACCGAGATCATGCCATTGCACTCCAGCCTGGGCAACAGAGCAAGACTCCATCTGAAAAAAAAAAAAAAAATTGCAAGGCTGGGCGTGGTGGCTCACACCTGTAATCCCAGCACTTGGGGAGGCCAAGGCGGGCGGATCACAAGGTCAGGAGTTCAAGACCAGTGTGGCCAACATAGTGAAACTCCGTCTCTACTAAAAATACAAAAATTAGCTGGGTTTGGTGGTGTGAGACTGTGTTCCCAGCTACTGGGGAGGCTGAGGCAGGAGAATCGCATGAACCCAGGAGGCGGGGGTTGCAGTGAGCTGAGATGGCACCATTGCACTCCAGCCCAGGTGACAGTGCGAGACTCCGTCTCAAAAAAAAAAAAAAAACAAAACCAACTGTTGGTGGGTACGTGAAGTTAGAACCCTTGCACACTGTTGATGGGATTGTAAAATGGTGCAACTGCTATGGAAAACAGTATGGCAGTTCCTCAAAAAATTAAAAATAGACCTAGCATGTCTTCCAGCAACCCCACTTCTGGGTACATATCCAAAAGAACTGAAAGCAGGCCATGAAGAGATATTTGCACACCCATGTTCATAGCAGCACTACTCGCAATAGCCAAGAAGTGGAAACAACCCAAGATCTACTGATGGATAAATGGATAAACAAAATGTGGTCTGCGCATACTATGCAGTCTTCAAAGGCAAGGAAATCCTACTGCACGCCACGAGTAACCCTTGACGATGCAGCATTTCATTATGCTCAGAGAAATAAGTCAGCCCCAAAAGAGCAAATAGTATATGATTCCACTTATGTGGGGCATCTAAAGTAGTCAAATTATAGACACAGAAAATTATAGACACAGAAAGTGGAATGCCAATTCCTAGGGGCCGGGAGGTAGGGCAAAGGGGAACTGCTGTTTAATGGGTATAGAGTTTCAGTTCTGCAAGATGAGAAAATTCTCAAATCTGTTTCACAACAGTGTAAATATACTTAACACTACTGAACTGTACACTTAAAAATGGTTAAGATGGTGAATTTTGGCACTTTGGGAGGTCAAGGCGGGAGGATCATTTGAGCCCAGGAGTTTGAGACCAGCCTAGGCAACACAGTGAGATCCCTGTCGCTACAGAAAATTTAAAAAGTAGCTGGGCGTGGTGGCACGTGCTAGTAGTCCCAGCTACTCAGGAGTCTGAGGTGGGAGGACTGCTTGAGCCTTAGAGTTTGAGGCTGCAGCAAGCTAAAAAAAAAAGAAGAAGGTAAATTTTATGATATGTGTTTTCTTACCACAATTTAAAAAAATAGCTATTAGCCCACAAAAATACATTGCTAAGTTAAAGAAGCCAATCTGAAAAGCTACATACTACATACCATATAATTCCAACTATATGACATTCTGGAAAAGTCCAACATACAGACAATGAAAAGATCAGTGCTTGGCAGTGATCTGGGAGGAGGGCGGAAGGGATGAACAGGTGGAACCCAGGGGATGTTAAGAGCAGTGAAACTACTCCGTATAGTGGTTACATTATGTCATGCATTTATCACAACCCATAGAACATACAACACAGACTGACCCCTCATGTAAACTGTGAGCTTTAGTTAATAATAATGTATCAGGCTGGGTATGGTGGCTCAGGCCTATAATCCCAGCACTTCGGGAGGCTGAGGTGGGTGGATCACTTGAGGTCAGAAGTTTGAGACCAGCCTGGTCAACAAGGTGAAACCCCATCTCTAAAAATACAAAAAAATTAGGCCAGGCATGGTGGCTCACACCTGTAATCCCAGCACTTTGGGAGGCCGAGGTGGGTGGATCACCTGATGTCAGGAGTTCGAGATCAGCCTGACCAACATGGAGAAACCCCGTCTCTACTAAAAATACAAAATTAGCTGGGTGTGGTGGCACATGCCTGTAATCCCAGCTACTCGGGACGGGGAGGCAGGAGAATCACTTGAATCTGGGAGGCAGAGGTTGCGGTGAGCTGAGATCGTGCCATTGCGCTCCAGCCTGGGCAACAAGAGTGAGACTCTGTCTCAAAAACAAAAACAAAAACAAAAACAAAAAAACAAAAAGTAGCCGGGTGTGGTGGCACGTGCCTGTAGTCCTAACTACACAGGAGGCTGAGGCATGAGAATCACTTGAACCCAGAAGGCGGAGATTGCAGTGAGCTGAGATCGTGCCAATGCACTCCAGCAGTGCAATAATAATAATAATAATAATAATAATAATAATAATGTTTACCATTGGTTCCTCAATTGAAACAACGTACCACACTCACGCAGGATATTCATCACAGACACTGGGGGAGGAGGTAAGGAATATGGAAAATCCTTATACAACTTGCTCACTTTTTCTGTAAACTTAAAACTGTTCTCGAAAATAGTCCATCAACTAAAACAACCCAAAAAGAAATGCAGGGGAAAACCAAGTGAATTCCCGCTCCATGTGCAGCCCCTCCCTGAGAGATGAGTAGCCTCCCTGCTACTACCAAGTTCCAGGCTAAGTGCTGGACTCTGGGGCCTGGAGGTTGTCACGGGAAACCGCGGGGAAGAACTTAGACCTGGTCATGGAAGGACAAACAGAGCTTGTGCTGGGAAGGCAAAGGCATTCGAGGAAGGTAAAATAGCATGAGCAAAGAGGTGGAGAAAGGAACTTGCTGGTGTGTGGCGTTGGGGGAGGAGAGGCCACGTGAGGAGGCAGATGGTGGGAACCAAGGGGGCCGTGGGCACACGCATGGCTGGCAGAGGCGGGGGCCTGTCTGGAGAGGGCCTCAAAAGCCAGGTCTCCCTGGTCTGCCTCAGCAGGGCCCTGGTTTTATGCCGCTCCTGGCAAAGCCCTGCCAGCTGCAGTTTACCAAGCACCTGCTGCGTGCCAGGCGGGCACCAGGTACAGTCCAGGGACTGGCTCTTAAAACTCCACTACTCCACACCTCGGATTCAGAGGGATGGCGAGGGACAGAGAGAGGAGGATGAGAGACAGAAGACAGAGACCAGAGAGAGAACAGCGAGGGACAGCAAGGGATGAGAGAGGACAGAGTGGGACAGAAACAGAGCACAATGACAGAGCGGGCCAGAGAGAGCAAGTAGAGATCAAGGACAGATACAGGGGACAGCAGGAGACAGGCAGGACACGAGCGACAGCAAGCGACAGAGGCTCTCAGGAGATGAAGGGCAGGACACGACATCCAGCAGTCAGGGCTGCTCCTGCCCCACAGAGGTGCAGAGACCGACAGCCCGAGTCCAGATGCCAACACCACCACTGACCAGCTATGACGTGGGCAAGCCCCCGAGCCCCCTATGGTTTCTTTTTTTCCTTTTTTTTTTTTTTTGAGGTTTTAGTTTGTTTGTTTGTTTGTTTTGAGACAGAGTCTTGCTCTGTCGCCCAGGCTGGAGTGCAATGGTGTGATCTCGGCTCACCGCAACCTCCACCTCCCAGGTTCAAGTTATTCTCTTGCCACAGCCTCCCAAGTAGCTGGGATTACAGGTGCATGCCAACATGCCTGGCTAATTTTTGTATTTTTAGTAGAGGAGGGGTTTCACTATGTTGGCCAGGCTGGTCTTGAGCTCCTTACCTCAGGTGATCCGCCTGCTTGGCCTCCCAAAGTGCTGGGATTACAGGCGTGAGCCACTGCACCCGGCCAGTTTTGTTGTTGTTGTTGTTGTTGTTGTTTTTTAAGAGAGAGGGTCTTGCTCCATCGCCCAGGCTGGAGTGAAGTGGCTCAATCCGAGCTCACTTCAGCCTCGAACTCCTGGGCTCAAGCAATCTTCCTGCCTCAGCCTGGGACCACAGGCGCGTGCCACCATGCCTGTCTAATGTTTGCATTTTTTTTGTAGACATGGGGTTTCACCATGTTGCCCGGGCTGATCTTGAACTCCTGGGCTCAAGTGATCCTCCCACCTCGTCCTCCCAAAGTGCTGGGATGACAGGCGTGAGCCAGCGACCGGCCACCCGCCCAGCCCTGTGAACTGTGAGGATGCGGACAGCGCCACCCCTGGGCAGGGCTGGGCGCTGGGGCTAAGGGCGGAACTCACAGCACACACTCCATGAGGGCAGCTGGGCCACCCTCATGGAGGAGCTTAACGCGGGGTCCAAACCAGGGTTCAGAGTGGGCACTGAGGCTGCTCTGGCTCAGCGGAGAGGAACTGGGCTGCAGAGGCCGCGTCCTCCCCGGCTCATCAGGCTCAACCATGCCGGGAGTCAGGAGCGCAGCAGGCCGGAATGGGCCATCCGTGAGGAGAGCGCGCCCCCTAGCGGCCTCCTGCCCCTTCTCTCCCAGCTCGGGAGGCCCCTTCACCCAGTGGGAGTAGCTGAGAGGGAGCAGGAGGGGGCTTTGGTGGTCCTGGGAGGCAGACCTGCTCACACAGAGGCAGGACAGGAGTGGAAGCCAGGGGCACGGAGGCTTCCCCGCCAGGAAGGAGATGGGGCGGGGGTGGGGGCACACTCTGGTGGAAAGTCCCATGACCCCCCACCCCCATCCCCATCAGGCAGCCCGTGGCATGAGCAGCTCCAGTGCATAAACCCAGAGCCAGGTGCGGCTGCAAAGAGGGGCTCACGCTCGCTCCTGGTGTGGGGTGGGCCCATCCAGCAGCTCCAGCCACAGCTCAGGACAAGCCCTCGCTCTCTGCACACTCATGGGCATCACTGGCTGCCCTACCACAGTCAGGCCGCCCCCCACTCCCGGCTCCATACTGCCAGGGTTTCCAGTGTAGGATGCCCCCACCAGGACCCCGATGTACTCCCTTTACAGCAAAAGAAGGTGGCAGCCGACCCAGGGCTGAGGTACCCATTGGCCCTAGACTGTGCTGACAGGTGCGGCTTGGAGGCAATGCTGCGTCCCCGCAGGCGGAATTCCTAGGTCCAGGAACCAGGGAAGGAGGGGGAGTCGTTCCACTAAGCATCACTCCCACGACCCACTTAGGAAATGTGTGCTTCTCGTCCCTGCAACTTTAAGCTCTGGGTTTAGCGGGGGAAAACACATCCACTGGGGAAGCAGCAGGAGCTCCTCCGTCTGTGACTCCTATGACTCTTCCTGCAAGACACCAGTAAGCAAGGAGAAGAGTGGCCAAGCCGGTGGCCCATGGGGCTGCTCACTGTCCTTCCCTACACAACTGTGATAGTAAATAGGGCTCGGACCCCCAGGAGGAGGGCCTGGACCACCACACCTGTGACAGAGGGGCAGAGACAGTTTCTCAAAGAAAGATGTCACGGTCCCAAGGCAGCCATCCCTGAGTCCTGCTGAGACTACCCAGGCCATCCCCTCTGCCTGGGACGCCCGTCCCCTCCTTCTCAGCCAGGGCTCATCCCTCAAGGACCGGCCTCGAGCTCACTCTGCCTGGGAAGCCGTCCCCAGCAGGGTTAGGTCAAAGCACGCATACCAGGTCTCCCCAGAAGGGGCTCCCTGGGGGCCTTATTGGCCCCCAGAGCTTAGGCCAGTCTCTCAGGACTCTCTGCTCAACGCACACCACAGAGGAAAAACTGATCAAGACTGGGAGATGCGGCTTCCACAAAAGCAGAGTACAGAAAAGAAAGTTAGACTAGGGTCCCTCCAAGTATGCAGAGCCCTGGGGCGGAATGCTCAGGTCTGGTAGGCCTCCCTGCCCTGCTAGCTCCTGTTCGGCTCCATTCCCAGGCCTCTCAGCCATTCTTCATGTGTCTTCAGGCTCGGCACACCTCCAGAAGGGCCCTGATGGGTGCCCTCATTCCCAGCAACCCCGACAGGTCTTCAGAGACCCTTGGTGGTACCCACGGCCGCCTCCCTGGGGAAGCCCTTTGGCCCTGGTTTCAGGCTCCAGCCTGGTCCTGGCTTTCCTCCTCCCACCTCCTCCCCTGCAGGCTCTTCTCATCCCCTCCTGGGGGCAGCACTATGTGGTCAGCAAATCAAACAAACGGGACCTTTTCACCTGCAGCCGGATTCTGCTCAGAGCCCCTCTGGGCCCAGACTCCACTGACACCTCCAGGTACCGCCGGCAGCTCAGCAAGGCTGCAGCCACCCTGGAGCGGCTCTGCCTAGAACATTCACACCAGGTGCTCCTCTAGCGCCCCCTCTCTGCCACAGCACATCCCCGTCCCAGTGACAGGCCTCTCCTACTGCCTCAGGACCGCCACGCCTCCCACCCAATCCTTCTCCAACACTTGGCTTCCTCCTCCCAAAGGTCTCCGCCACTCCCGGCAGAGAACAGCTCTCACCTCCCCGCAGGCTGCCACGCATCCCCCTGTAGACACTGCCCCTCCTGCCACACACTGTCCATGTGGTTCCAAATGCGAATCCGCTCCCCTCACTGCACCACCTGCCCTACTCTGGCCTTTAACACTTCATTGCCTTCCCATTACCCCTACGGCAACAGGCACAACCCTTACTCACCACCCAGCACCCGCCTGCCCCGCACCTGCCTGTCCTGGCCCCGATCCCTGCCTGAGGCCACGCGTCCCTGGCCTGTCCAACCAGCTCAAAGCACCATGTCCCTCTTGCAGAGCCCAGGTCACGGGTCCTCTTGTCTGTACTGTCCTCGACGGAAGTCACCTCCCCAGCAACTGGGGCCTGGCCCAGCACCTGCGGCCGAATGCTGCTTAACAAGAGTCTTGCAGAAAGGCTGGCGGTTCAGACAGACCAGACAGGCGGCCAGAGGAGGCTGCCTGAGGGTGGCGACATTAGGGCGCAAACCAGGGACCAGCGTGGGCTCTCATCTGACAGGGGCCTAGGCAAGGTAGGGGCTTCCAGATGTAGGTGAGCGGGGGTGTGAGGAGCAGCTAGGGGGCAGGGCACACAGATGACCATCCTGACCTCAGTGCTCCACTGCCTCCTAAACAACAAGCCTGGAAGGCCCAGCCCAGGGGGTCCCAGCCCAGGAGGCCTGCACAGAGCCCCACAGGGCATCCCCACCTGCCTGCTCACCTTGCACGCCGTGCCCACCAGGGCTCCATCTCGGCTCCAGACGGCGCTCTGCACCAGGTCCCCATGGGCTGCCAGCTCTGCAGAGAAGCAGTCACAGTCAGGTCCCGGGCAGTGAGGGCACCAGGGAAGTGGGTGGGGGCGGGCCTTGCTGGGGGGAACTCCCAGAGCAAAGGCAGCAGCTACGAGGGTCCTTTTCAGCCAAGGGGGCAAGGGCAGCAGCTTCTCCCAGACAGGCTTCCCCTGCACCACAGGCTGCTTCCTTCACCCCACCTTTGTGCAGCCGTACATCACTCAACTACCTTCCGAGGCTTCCCGCTCCTGGCCTGGCTCTCTCATCCCTCCCAGGCTCACTTCCAACATAGCTCCCCACCAACAGGGTCACTCCTGCCCTAAGCCTCTATTCCTGCCATCTATACTCTCCCTCGCTAGTGTGAGGTCTTAAAATACTTCTCTACATTCTCTGCAACTCCTGTTCCAGGTTAAATTGTGCTCCCCTAAAAAGATGGTGAAGTCCTAACCCCCACTACTTTTCGGAGGCTTGCTCTGTCACCCAGGCTGGAGTGCAGTGGTGCAATCTCAGCTCACTGCAATCTCCGCCTCCTGGGTTCCAGCAATTCTCCTGCCTCGGCTTCCCAGGTAGCTGGGATTATAGGCACCTGCCACCATGCCCAGCTAATTTTTGTATTTTTAGCAGGGACGGAATTTCACCATGTTGGCCAGGCTGGTCTCGAACTCCTAACCTCAAGTGATCCGCCCACCTCGGCCTCCCAAAGTGCTGGGATCACAGGCATGAGCCACCGTGCCCGGCCTATTATTATTTTTTGAGACAGCATCTCACTCTGTTGCCCAGGCTGGAATGCAGTGGTGTGATCATAGCTAACTGCAGCTTTCACCTCCTGGGTTCAAGTAATCCTCCCACCTCAGCCTCTTGAGTACCTGGGACACAGACAGGCACACGCCACCACGCCTGGCTGATTTTTTAATTTTTTGTAGAGATTGTGTCTCACTATGTTGCTCAGACTAATTCTCAAAATATTGGGCTCAAGCGATCCTCCCATTTTGGCATCCCAAAGTGCTGGGATTACAGGTGTGCGCCACGACGCCCATCCAAGAAGGTTTTTTTTTGGTTTTTTTGTTTTTTGTTTTTTGTTTTGAGATGGAGTCTTGCTCTTGTCCCCCAGGGTGGAGTGCAATGGCACGATCTCTCTTCGCTCTCCATAGCCACTGCAACCTCTGCCTCCTGGGTTCAGGCAATTCTCCTGCCTCAGCCTCCTGAGTAGCTGGGATTACAGGCACCCGCCACCACACCCAGCTAAGTTTTTGTATTTTTAGTAGAGACGCGGTTTCACTATGTTGGCCAGGCTAGTCTCGAACTCCTGACCTCGTGATCCACCCGCCTTGGCCTCCCAAAGTGCTGGGATTACAGGCGTGAGCCACCGCGCCCGGCCAAAGTTATTTTTTATTTTTATTTTTTTGAGACGGCATCTCACTCTGTCACCCAGGCTGGAGCGCAGTGGTGCAATCTCGGCTCACTGCAACCTCTGCCTCCTGGGTTGGAGCAATACTCTTGCCGCAGCCTTCTGAGTAGCTGGGATTACAGGTGTGTGCCACCACGCCCGGCTAATTTTTGTATATTTAGTAGAGACGGGGTTTTGCCATGTTGGCCAGGCTGGTCTTGAACTCCTGACCTCAGGTGATCCACCTACCTCGGCCTCCCAGAGTGTTGGGATTACAGGCATGAGCCACCGCGCCCGGCCATTATTTTTTTAAATGGAGAAAAACAACAGAAAAAAAAAAAAACAGGTAAGAGGATGAAACTGATGGCTACGGAGAGCAAAGAGAGATGGGGTGTTTATTACAGCCTCATAGAATCTTAAGACTTTTATACTATGTAAGTGTAAAACTTTGATATCTGTTTTTAAATTTATGTGACTAAACATGCCAACAAAGAAACGGAGTGCTGTCCAGAGTGGGGCTGCCCTGGGAAGGGCAGGCCAGGGTGGCCTGTACCTGTCAGGGGCTGCTGCTTGGCTGCGTCCCAGACCTTCACAGTGGTGCCTGCTGCGCTCACCAGAATGCCGTCAGAGGTGGGGTGGAACTGCAGTACCTCCACTGGGAGGTCCTCGGGGCCCAGCACCACCCCGGGTGCTGAGGGCAGGGCCTGGCCAGGCCCTGGCAGTCGCCAGAGTTTTACCTGCAAGAAAGACCAAGTCCGTGAGCACAGGGCTGAGGGCCTCACTGCCTTGAGTCAGCTGCCGTGACCCCAGTGAGGTCCCGTGTTGGAACTAGGCTGCTCCAGGAGACCACACACCTTGGCCTTGGGAGGAGCGCCCACCCGCCTCAGCTTGCTTGGGCCAGGGGCTGCATACCCCACATCCGAGAAAGGAGGGAGGGAATCTCAGCTCCTAGACCACACGGTGTGGTCCCAGAGTTGGGGAAGTGGCTCTACTGTTTCTGGCAGCATCCCCACCTGCTGTCCTCGGGCTCCAGGTCAGGTCAGAGCCACGGCTCCAAGCAAGCCCTTGGGAGCCAGTGTGGGACCAGGAATTCAGACCAGCCCCGCAGCCCTGGGGAGTGGGGTGGGGCTGGACTGGGAGGCAGCAGAGCCCTGTGGGGATGGCGCTGGGGCTCAGAAGGCCCTGGACTACGGGCTGGGACATAGAGCAGCTCTTCCAACTGGCTCCACTCACCGTCCTGTCAGCCGAGCCTGTGGCCAGGAGGAAGTCATCAAAGGGCGAGAAGTCCAAGTCGGTGACTAGGTCTGTGGGAGAGGAATGGCTGAACCCACCGGAATGTCCTGTTTCCAACCCAGTATGAAGCAAAGCCCAGGGCTTCCGAGGTGACACTTTTGTGTGCACACAGAAACAGGCTACAAGTCTACAAGGGCCCTCTGGACACCATGGGGGCAAATGCCACAGGCCCCTCCTGCGACATACGTCCCCGAGGGCCCTGCTGACCCAGGGTGGCCAAGGGCTCTGGCATCAGGAGGTTGGCAGGAAATGGGCAGGAAGCCGCTTGAGTCACCAGGCACCTGCAGGAACGCAGCTGCCCAGCCCGACCCCTCCTAGGGCAGCACAGCCCACTGCTCCTTCAGTCGTGGAAGGTCCCCAGGACTCAACTAAGAAATTGCTTTTTGGTTAAGCAAGCCGGAGTTGGCTTTAGTTCTTTGCAACCAAAGAACCTGAATGGTGGCCGGGCATGGTGGCTCATGCCTGTAATACCAATACTTTGGGAAGCCAAGGTGGGCAGATCACTTGGGCTCAAGAGTTCAAGACCAGCCTGGGCAACACGGTGAAACCCCGTCTCTACAAAAAATATAAAAATTAGTTGGGTGTGGTGGCGGGCGCCTATAGTCCCAGCTACTCAGGAGGCTGAGGCAGGAGAATTGCTTGAACTCAGGAGGCAGAAGTTGGAGTGAGCAGAGATCACACCACTGCATTCCAGCCTGGGCAGCAGAGCCAGACCTTGTCTCAAAAATTAAATACTAAGAACTTGAACGGCTCAGCTCCAGAGGTGGGGAGGGGTAGGTGGGGTGCACAGAGTGAGCCAGACCCCAGAGGGAAATGCGGTGGGTGGTTGGGGAGGTAGAGACTAGGCATGGAGGGTGGCGGGGTTTCGGGGTGTGAACAGGACGAGAGGTATCACCAGAGCTGGGAGCACAGCGACCACCTGCTGCTGTCTGCCTCCCAACAGGGCTGAGCAGGACTGTCTTCCTCCCGGCCTCAGGAGACAGGGAAAAGATAGGACGGACGTGCACAGGCACATCTTGGGATAGCCCTGGCCTGGAATCCCAGCTGGCAGGACCACAACATTCCTGGGCCTAAAGCCACAGAACCCCTGCTGCCCTCACTCTGGGGTGTGCTTGCTGGGCCCTGCAGGGCAAAGCAGGTCCCTGGGCAGGTGTAGCAGCTGGCACAGGCGGGCTGGCATCTCAGGCGTGAATGAGATGTGATGACATAAGCAATCTGAGTGCTCAGCATGTGCTGGCACCACAGATGCCCAGGGGTTGACACGCAGGGACCTCACTGAATCCTCATAAGGATGCAGCAGGTGGCACTGCAGCAGCATCCCCTACTGGAGGATGAGGACGCCAAAACCCAGAGAGGGTGAGTAACTGCCCCAAGTCACGCGGCTAAGAGACAGGGCCAGCTTCAGAACCTGTGCTGCTCAGCATGACATGCTGCTGCCTTTTCCCACTGGAGCGGGCCCCAGCTGCCGCCCCACAGCCTGGACATCAGAAACGCACCCAGAAGTTGCTCACCCTCTGCTCCCCTGGCTGCTGGGCGGAAGGGCAAGAGTGGCCCTGAGCTGAGAGGCTGAAGGGGCCTCTGAAGGCAGGGCAACAGCCAGAGCCCCACCTGGCCATTTCTCCCGACACCGGCACCTCTGAGGCAGAAGGGCACCTGGTGCCTCTAGGGCAGGTTCCAGGGGTGCTGGAGCTCACCTTCCCATGAGCAGTTTCCCGGCAGGGCTGCTCATGCAGGCAAGGCTCTGAACAGTTGCAGCCACAGTGAGGCTATGGACTTGCCTACAGGACCCTGGTCCAGCTTCTACTTGAAGAGCCCTAGTAGCAGAGGGCTCACCACCTTGCAAGCATCACCAACTTGGGCTAGCTCCCTCATAGATAAAAAGCATCAAAAAGTCAAACATGAAGCCAGGTACATTGGCTCATGCCTATAATCTCAGCACTTTGGGAGGCCAAGGTGGGAAGATCACTTGAGGCTAGGAGTTCAGGACCAGCCTGGGCAACACAGCAAAACCCCATCTCCACAAAACATAAAAAAATCAGCTGGGCATGGTGGTGTGTGCCTATAGTCCCAGCTACTAGGGAGGCTGAGGATAGACGATCCCTTGAGCCCAGGAGTTCAAGACTGCAGTGAACTATGATTGCACCACCACACTCCAGCCTGGATGACAGAGACAGAGACCCTGTCTCTAAAAAGACAAACCCAAACACAGGCTCCTATAGACCTGGGTTCTGATTCTGGCCCTGCCATAACAATGGGTAAGTTCCTAACCTTGCAGGAGTCTCAGTTTTCATAGCTATAAAATGGGTTGTTTTAAAACCTACTTCAAAGAGATCTGAGATTAGATGAGAACAGACTTGTTATACAAGCTGCCACACACATGTATCTCTAAAACAACATGCTACGTGAAAGATGCCAGATTCCAAAGACCGTGTATTGTGCGATTCCATTTGCGTGAGATGCGCAAAAGAGGCCCCTCTATAGAGGAGAGGCCAGTAAACGTCTCCTGCGAAGGGCAAGGCGGTAAATATTCTAGGATTTCAGGGCTCAACAGTCTCGGTCACAACTCAACTCTGCAGTTGTTGCAAGAAAGCAACCACAGACTATACATCAATGAATGGGCGTGGCAGCGTTCCAATAAAACTATTTACAAAAACAGGCAGCCAGCTGGATCTGGCCGTGACAGTAGTTTGCAGACCTCTGCCACAGAGGCAGGAAGCAGATCAGCTGTTGCCTGAGGCTGTGGTATTGGAGGTGGAAATGGATTAACTGCAAAGGGGCATGCGGGATCTTTTGGGGATGATGGAAACGTTCCAAAACTGGATGGCAGTGCACATGACTCGGTCACTTTAATAAGAATCATCAGGCTCTTTACTTAAAACAGGTAATCTGACGGGGCCCCAAAACTTTGGGAGGCCAAGGCGGGAGGATAGCTCGAGGCCAGGAGTTCAAGACCAGGCTGGGCAACATAACAAGACCCCATTTTACAAAAAATTTTTAAAAATTAGCTGGAGGGGTGGTGGCATAAACCTGTGGTCCTGACAACTTGGGAGGCTGAGGTGGAAGAATTGCTTGAGCCCAGGAGGTCAAGGCTACAGTGAGCCATGATTATGCCACTGCACTCCAGCCTGAGTGACAGAGCAAGACCCTGTCACAAAAACAAACAAAAAACAGGTAACGTTGGCTGGGCCTGGTGGATCACACCTGTAATGCCAGTACTTTGGGAGGTTGACTTGGGAGGATTGCTTGAGCCCAGAAGTTTGAGACCAGCCCGGGCAATATAGCAAGACCTCGTCTCTATATACTTTTTAAAAATTTTTTAAAAAAGTTTAGATGAGAAAACTCAGCTAACGTACTTAGTACAGAGAGCAATCTCCATAAATCTTTACTATTGTTATTAACCACCATCATTATCATATCAGAACCCCTCCACGACCCTGCACACCCAGCCTGAGGACCAGGCATCAACTGCCTTCCCTCACCCGAAGGCCTCCAAACAAGCAGCCAGAAATGCAGGCCAGAGAGACTGGGCCCGCGGCCGCTGCAGCTGGACAGTGAGAGGCGAGGCCAGCTGGGCTGCTCTGCCTCCATCTGAGGCGAGCAAACTGTTCCCTCGAGGCGGACAGCCTGCCAGGCAGGCTGCTGGACGCCCCCAGAAGCAGCTGCGGCACACAAAAGGTCTCTTTGTGAGGGCCCATCTCCACCCCTGCAGCCCAACACAGCGACCTCCTTGGAGGGCCCCGAGCGGCTGGGCTGGGGAGGATGCCTGGTGGAGAGGGGACTCCAGCAGAAGACGGAGGGCTCAGAGCCATCCAACGTGGAGTCCTCGGCAGGGACAGGGAGCCAGCATCAGCCTGGAGCCTGGGGCGGCCACTGCACACCCCGCTCCATCCAGCTCACAACCGGAGCACACAGCTTCCCTCCTCACTGCCCAGGCCGGAATTCTACACCAGGAGGAAGCCTTCTGAGCCCCACTGTCTCTCAGAGAGTGCACAGACAGGGCGACAGGAGGGACCTGGCAAGCCATGCGGCAGTGGGACCAGGTGAGGATGAATTTCTGGCCCTGGAGAGGGAGGTGCAAGTTTCAGGCTTCACCCACTAGTCAGACACCCACTCACCTGAATGGCAGCCCAGGTGGGCCACGCGTCGCTTGTCCTCTCCTTGGCCTTGCAGAGGCACAATGCCCAGTACACCTGTTAAACAAACACGGGGACTCTGACTTCAGGCCCCACAGGGCCACCCACCTCCTTGCCCAGGGATCCCAGAGATGAAATCCAGCAGCTCAGCCTCGGACCTTCCCAGAGCCTCTACCAATCACAAGATCATATCCTCTGCACGTAGCAATGGCCTGTGGGTAGGTTCTGGCCCCATGCATGAGCCATCCATGCCTCAGATGGATACAGAAGACATTAGGCGAGAGGTCCTCTCTTTTTAACACGGGTCATACGAAAGGGGCGTGGGGCTTTCGTATGGGGCTTGCAGCTACCGTCAGCCACTTTTCGCACTTTTACTTGAGAAAGAAGCCAACACCCAAGGTGGCAGAGCTGAGAGACCCAGAGAGGTCAGGGCCGACAGTACATGTGAGCCTTTGGGCACCGATCTGCCTGAAGCCCCTGATCTCTTAGTTAGGCTGAAACATTATCCATTTTTTGCTTAAGCCAGCTTGAGGGTCTGAGTTACCACTAGCAATCAAGAGAGTGCCAACCAACACACGGGCTTTTCAAGCCTTTCTGTTCCTACTGTCCCCAGCCATCCAGGGCCCAAAGATGAGGAGCAGGGAGCACAGAGGGACAGCTGGAAATACAAGCGTCAGTCCCCTCCCAGCCCTCCTGGCCATGCTCTTGCCTGTGGTTTGTACACACATATGTCCTAATCAAAAGCAATCAGATTACTGCGCCTGGACCAGTTTGTGGGGGTCTAAGGTCTGGCATGGGGCTCACCTCTGAGCCCCCCAAAGCAGTTCCGTTCCAAGTCTCCAAATACACCAAGCCTGCCCCTGCTCCCCACCCCATCTATGGTGACGATGACCGAATATGTGAGCAAATATCCACACTCATGGCCATTCCCTACCAGGACGGTCGGAGTTGAAGGCGATCAAGCTGCAGCTTGATTTGATGTGGTTCCTGCATGAAGGGGCGGTTCCTGCTCGAATGTCACTGATCCAGGACTGAAAATCAAGAGTAAAGAAGTATGTGGTGAGAGCCAGGGTTCCACCTCCATGCATGCCTAAAGCAAGAGGTGGGGCATAATCTGGGGAACTCTAGCTCACAGCTGCACCATTCGAGATGCATTCTTTTATTTACTTTTTTTTTCTTTTTGAGACAGGGTCTCACTCTGTCACCCAGGCTAGAGTGCAGTGGCGCGATCTTGGATCACTGCAATCTCTGCCTCTTGGGTTCAAGTGATCCTCCTGCCTCAGCCTCCTGAGTAGCTGGGATTACAGGCGCCCAACACCAAGCCCAGCTAATTTTTGTATTGTTAGTAGAGATGGGGTTTCACCATGTTGGCCAGGCTGGTCTCGAACTCCTGGCCTCAAGTGATCTGCCTGCCTTGGTCTCCCAAAGTGCTGGGATTACAGGCATGAGCCTCCGCCCCCAGCCGTGTTGTGTTACTTCAAATCAAACTCTGTCCCCACTCACGAAGTCCCTTAGGAAATGTAAAATGTGGGCCAGGTGCGGTGGTTCATGCCTGTAATCCCAGCACTTTGGGAGGCTGAGGCAGACAGATCATCCTGAGGTCAGAAGTTCGAAACCAGCCTGGCCAACATGGTGAAACCTTATCTCTACTAAAAATACAAAAATTATCCAGGCATGGTGGCGGGCACCTACATACAATTCCAGCTACTCAGGAGGCTGAGGGAGGAGAATCACTTGAACCTGGGAGGCGGAAGTTGCAGTGAGCCGAGATCATGCCACTGCACTCCTGCCTGGGCAACAGAGCGAGACTCCATCTCAAAAAAAAAAAAAAAAAGAAAATGCAAAATGTGGCCAGGCCTCCTCCAAGTACCCGGAGAAAAACACCCAAGCTCAGAGAGGGGAACCACCAAGGCCTGGCCTCATCAGGACACACCTTTCCACAAAGTCTCATAAGTCAGTAAAAGAAACACCCCCACCCAAGGGGAGGCAGAGGAGCACGTTTCTGAAACTAAGATCTGCAAGGTCCACACATTTTCTCTGTTGTCAAAGCACCGCTCAGCACTCCTTCCTGCCCTCGATGACAGGACACCCATGTTTCCCACTCCACCCACCCATAGCACCCCGGAAACCACCTCCACCACCTGAAGTTTCTATATCAGTGTTCACCTGCCATGGTTACAGCATCAGTCCCACCCTATTATTTCTCCCTCCTGATTCATGTTTACTGTATAAACACAGTGACTGCAAATATCTCTGAAAAGAACAGATCACCTGTTCTCCCGCCTCCCTAACATAAACTGTTTTAAGCTCTCCCTACAGTCTGTAGTTCCATGCCTATCTGTTTATGTTGCTGGACTAAGGCCCACCCAGGAGCAAGAATTAGGGCCCCTCAAGTATTCTCCAGACCCCTCCAAGCAGTACTTAACTGCACTCAGAGCCACCGGCTGTCTTGATGCAAACCTAGGTACCTCCTCCTAACTTTTCTTGTTTGTTTTTTTCTTTTTTTGAGACAGTGTCTCACTCTATTGCCCAGGCTGGTGTGTAGTGGCACAATCTCGGCTCACTGCAACCTCCACTTCCTCGGCTCAAGAGATCCTCCAACCTCAGCCTCCCAAGTAGCTGGGACCACGGGAGTGAGTCACCACACCTGGCTAATTTTTTTTTCTTTAACTTGTTGTTCAGAGGGGTTTCGCAATGTTGCCCAGGCTGGTCTCGAACTCCTGAGCTCAAAGCAGTCCACCCAAAGTACTGGGATTACCGTGAGTCATGGTATCCAGCCCCTCCCCCTAACTTTTCAATGGCTCTGCACTGCAATCAGAATAAAACCCAACTTCTTCCGGTGGCCCTTGGGTTCTGCAGGACCACTCTGGACTCATCTGTCACCATACTGCTCCGGCCATCCCCTCCATCCACTCATGCTCACTTTCCATTTCTCCACCAGGCTCTTTCTCAATTCTCACCCTTCTGGCCTCAGCTAAAATGCCATCTACTCCAGGCAGCCTTTCCTGACCACGCTACTGAGACTGGCCCCCTCCATTCTCCATCCCAGTCCCTCATGTGTGTTCTTCAATGTCGTTATGAAAACCTCCAATGCTCTTGTTTGTCTGCTTGCTGTCTCCCTCATGAGGCTACAAGTGCCACAGGGGAAGGAAAATGCCGTTGTGTTCACCGGGATGTCTCCAGCAGCTTAGCACAGCATAAAGTGGAAGCAGAGGAAATATAGTCCACACTACAAAAACGGAACCTCTACCCAGACTGCCCTGACTTGCTCTGGGACCCTGATGGGGTCACTTGAGGTCAACTCCTAGGCCCAGTTATCGGAGGACACTCCCAGGCCTTACAAATAACACGGAAAGCGGAAGAGCAGAGCTGACATCGTTTCCAAGGCGCACCCCTCATCAGTCCTCCTGCCGTTTCGGGGGTCCGAAGGGTCTCCCGGCACCTGGCTCAGCAATTCTTTGGGGCTCCACCTGCTCAGGCTTCCCCAGGCCCCACCCAGCCGTGGCAGCATCACCGAGATAAAGAAAGAGCTTGCGCCAGCGGCGAGAGGAGGAAGCACCGGCGGAAACCCGAGGGAGGGGCGCGTGCGGCCGAGGGGCTCCCTCCCCACCACTGACACACTTGGGCTCGCCGGGGCCAGAGGAGAGAGGGGCGTCTCCCCACAGCCCAGCCAGGGGCAGGGGCGACCCGGGGCGGCAGGGAGGAGGAGCCAGGCGCCGGCAGCGCCCCGAGCCCCGGCTCCCGGCGAGGCCGACCGGAAGCTGGGAAGGCAGGCGGCCTCGCAGGCCTGGGCCCCGGCTAGGAGGGCTGCGCCGCCTCGGGGGTCCCGGGGCGAGGTGGGCGAGGCGGGCAGACCGCCAGGGTCACCGAGCGCCAGAGCGAGTCACGGGAGTGCCGGACTCTGCCCTCCGGCGGCGACGAAACGGCCCGGACGCCGGGGCCCTGGCCTGAAGGGGGGTTCCCCGGGGATGGAGGTCTCGGGGTTCCAGACGGCCCTGGAGGGCACCCCTGTGGGGTCCGGGCAGGGGGAGGGGCAGCCGGACGGGGCCCGAGGCGACAGCGCCCGGTCCTCGGGCCGGACTCACCTCGCGGCGGGGCGGCCGAGCCTCGGTGTGCCGGAACTTGGACACCCTGAAGCGGTTCATGGCGACGGGCACGGCGGCGGACGCGTCTTCGAGGACCCCGGGCGTCGGGTCTCAGGTGCACGCTGAGCAACCGCGACTCCCGCTGCCTCGGCCCCACCCGGGACCCAATGCCGCGGTCACGCCCCCGGCGCGCCCCACTGCCAATCGCAGCCGTCTCCGGCCCCCTGGGCCACGCCCCCAAGCCCCTCTCCTTTCGCGCGCGCACCACCGGTCCCGCCTCCCGGCCAATCCAGGTACGGCCGCCCCGCGAGGCCACGCCCTGATACCGAGGGGACGGACTGGCGCGGGTGGGAGGTCACGTGGGGCGCAGCTGTCAGCCCACGTCTCCTGCGGTGCTTGCTTGCGTGGGGTCTCGGCTGCAGCATTCGCGATTTTGTGTGCAGGATTTGCTGTGGAGTCTTTGCGGTGTACCTAGCACGCCTTCCAGCACTATCTACCTCTTCCTGTAGAGAGGGGAGAAATTAGCTCCATTTCAGAGACAGGAAACCCCCGGCTAAAGGAGAGTGTAAACTGTCGGTCCCCAGGTCACACCAGTGGTAAGAGGCAGAGGGGGAACAGGGGCCCAGGTCTAAAGCAAATCCCTGTCCACCGGGCCTACTCAAAAGCCTCTGCATCCGGCCAGGCGCTCTGCATCCGGCCAGGCGCGGTGGCTCAGGTCTGTAATCCCGAACTTTGGGAGACTGAGGCAGGAGTATCCCTTGAGCCCAAGAGGTCGAGGCTGCAGTTATCTGTGACCGTGCCACTGCACTCCAGCCTGGGAGACAGAAAGAGACCCTGCCTCTAAAAATAATAATAATAATAGCTTTTAATTTTTCTTTAGTATTTATTCATTTATTTGACACGGAGTCCCTGTCACCCAGGCTGGAGTGCAGTGGCGCGATCTCAGCTCACTGCACCCTCTGCCTCGCGGGTTCAAGCAATTCTCTTGCCTCAGCCTCCCGAATAGCTGGGATTACAGGCGCCTGCCACCGCGCCCAACTAATTTTTTATTTTTAGTAAGAGACGGGGTTTCACCATGATGGTCAGGCTGGTCTCGAACGAGACTCAAGCAGTCCTCCCAACTTGGCCTGCCAAAGTGTGGGGATTATAGGAATGAGCCAACGCACCCAGCTGATTCTTGCATTTCTAAGGTTTGAAAAGCAATGCTTACATTTTATCTTAGTTCGGGCAGAAGTGTATTTACTGTGAACCAAAGTCACTTGTGGTTTATTGAAAAGGCTTTTTGTTTGTTTGTTTTGAGACAGAGTCTCACTCTGTTGCCCAGGCTGGAGTGCAGTGGTGTCATCTCAGCTCACTGCAACCTCCACCTCCTGAGTTCAAGCGATTCTCCTGCTTCAGCCTCCCAAGCAGCTGGGATTACAGGTGTGCGCCACTACTCCTAATTTTTGTATTTTTAGTAGAGATGGGATTTTGCCATGTTGGCCAGGCTGGTCTCAAACTCCTGACCTCAAGTGATCCACCTGCCTCAGCCTCCCAAAGTGCTGGGATTAGAGGCATAAGCCACTGCGCCCAGTCCAAAAAGGTTTTTAGAAAATCATCAGGTTGGCCGGGCGCGGTAGCTCACGCCTGTAATCCCAGCACTTTGGGAGGCCAAGGTGGGTGGATCACCAGGTCAGGAGTTCAAGACCAGCCTGGCCAAGATGGTGAAACCCTGTCTGTCCTAAAAATATAAAAATTAGCTGGGCGTGGTGGTGGGTGCTTGTAATCCCAGCTACTTGGGAGGCTGAGGCAGAGAACTGCTTGAACCCGGGAGGCGGAGGTTGCAGTGAGTCGAGATCGTGCCATTGAACTCCAGCTTGGGTGACAGGGCGAGACTCTGTCTCAAAAAAAAAAAAAAAAAGAAAAAAAAAGAAAATCATCAAGTGGCTGGGCATGGTGGCTCACGCCTATAATCCCAGCACTTTGGGAGGCCGAGGTGGGTGGATCACCTGAGGTCAGGAGTTCAAGACCAGCCTGGCCACCATGGTGAAACCCCGTCTCTACTAAAAATACAAGGCGTGGTGGCAGGTGCCTGTAATCCCAGCTACTCGGGAGGCTGTGGCAGGAGAATCACTTGAACCCGGGAGGTGGAGGTTGCAATGAGCCGAGATCATGCCATTGCACTCCAGTATGGGAGACAAAAGCGAGATTTTGTCTCAAAAAAAAAAAGAAAGAAAGAAAATCATCAGGACAGTGGTCCCACTGGATCCTAGGCGACCGAGGCACAGCTCATCATCCCCTTTCATAGGGAACTGCACCTGCTACAGACATCACAGACCAGAACATCTGGACCACACATTCCTCACCCACTTGGAATTGTCCTATACTCTGTGTGAAGTAAAGAAAATGCTATACTTAAGACAAATCATGCCCCTGAAGAGCTGGGCTCAGGCTCTTCTGCCCTCTGTAAAAGATCTCTGAGCTCACATGGGAGAGTTGCAGCCATTGGCAGCCATGAACTTGGCCAGTCCCATTATACTTCAAATGATCAGTGGTTTCAGCAAGAAATCACAGAGACCGTCTTGTCTCCCATTGCCTTCAGCCCAGCACTGTCGGGGAGCACCATTAAACCCCTTCGCAGCTCTCACAGATATCCACAGCTCAGGAGATGGGGAAAGTGCTCTGTGGAATTGCTGGTCTAGTGAAATGAAAGTGTGGAGGGGGAAACGCTTACGACTTTGTGTTCCCTTTGCAAGTAACATTTGTTTCTCCTTTTTTTTTTTTTTTTTTTTGAGATAAAGTCTCTGTTGCCAAGGCAGTGCAATGGTGTGATCTCAGCTCACCATAACCTGTCTCCTGGATTAAAGTGATTTTCCTACCTCAGCCTCCCGAGTAGCTGGGATTACAGGTGCATACCACCATGCCTGGCTAATTTTTGAATTTTTAGTAGATATGGGATTTCGCCATGTTGCCCAGGCTGGTCTCAAACTCCTGAGCTCAGGCTGTCTGCCCACCTCGGCCTCCCAAAGTGCTAGGATTACAAGCGTGAGCCACTGTGCCCGGCCTGTTTCTCCTTAAAGCTCACATTTTTGAGCTTCTGCCTGGAGAACACGGGATCATATTCTGACTGGCACTGAGGATAGGTGTAGCTTGTGGCTTCTGCAGTCTTTGGCAACAAGCCTGGGATGGATCCATTTGTGTCCAGTTGCAGCAGAAGTCCTTGAAAGGCAGGGCAGCAGTTTGTACCCATGGTAGTAATAAATGCTTGCCCTGCCTCTCTTTTGTTGTGAAAAGCAAATGAAAATAAGCATGAGAAAGTACTTCAGAAACTCCCAAGAGCCATATGCTTGGGAGATACTGATCGCAATGACGATTGATAGGCACGTGGTTTAAAGGAAAAACACACAGTTTTGTTGTGAGAAGACCTGGGCTTGGGTCTTCATTCACTCACTTACTAGCTGTGTGGCCTTGGACAAGTCTTTTCATCTTTCAGAGCTTATTTTATTGTTGTTTTTTTTCTTTGTGGGCGGGGTGGTGTCCGTTTGTAAAAATGGGAATAGTCCTCCCGCTACCTACCTCATAGGGTTGGGCTCATATCAAAATAGAAAACAAAGCCAGGGAACAGTGGCTCATGCCTGTAATCTCAGCAGTTTGGGAGACTGAGGCGGGCAGATCACTTAAGGTCAGGAGTTCGAGACCAGCCTGGCCAACATGGCGAAACCCCGTCTGTACCAAAAATACAAAATTAGCTGGGTGCAGTGGTGCATGCCTGTAATCCCAGCTACTCAGGAGGCTGAGGCAGGAGAATCGCTTGAACCCAGGAGGTGGAGGTTGCAGTGAGTCAAGATCGTGCCATTGCACTCCAGCCTGGACAACAAGAGCAAAACACTGTCTCAAAAATAAATAATAATAAAGTCTAACCAAAAAGAGACCAGGCATAGGCCCAGGCTGCTCTCAGCTGGGAGTCTTTCCCATGTTTTTCTTTCTTCTGTGTGGCAGATCCCAAGGACTTTGTCCTCTCTTTTGGTAATTACCATCATCCACTCCACTCCTTAAGAGTTCTCTGCTTCATAATAGAAAATACTGGCTCCCCAACAATCAGCCTTCCTGCTATCCCTGAAAACAAGAACACACACACCATTTCAACGTGGAGGATTTTTACTGTTCATCACTATGGGGAACTAGATGGGGGATAAACGAAAATACAAAGAAAAAAAGGGGGGGAAGTTACAACGGTGACAGTTTTCATATTACTGAGCTCTCCTCTAGTTCCTAACTCACTCTGAGGTAGTAAATGGAAGTCCTTTTGGCTCTTGTTTTCAGCTTCTATACTTGAAAGTTGTTCTTCTCAACCAGCAGCATCCCCCCAACCCCCATTTCTCCTAAGTTTTGGGCTCCCCGTGAGTAAGTAACTCTGTCTGAGTTCTTAGTATCCTCAGTGCTTAGTACAGCCTGGCACATGGGGCCAACACAGATTGAGCAATGGCTACGCATCAAGTACTATAGGAAGCCTTTACATGATTATGTCACTCAGATGACCCTTTGAGGACATTACTATTTTTTGTTTTGCTTTATTTTGAGACAGAGTCTTGCTGTGTTGTGCAGGCTGGAATGCAGTGGCGTGATCTCGGCTCACTGCAACCTCCGCCTCCCAGGTTCAAGTGATTCTCCTGCCTCAGTCTCCCCAGTAACTGGGACTACAGGTGCGCGCCACCACGCCTGGTGAAATTTTTTTTTTTTTTTTTTTTGAGGAAGAGTCTCACTGTTGCCCAGGCTGGAGTGCAGTGGTGCAATCTCAGCTCACTGCAGCCTCCACCCCCTGGGTTCAAGTGATTCCCATGCCTCAGCCTCCAAAGTAGCTGGGATTATAGGCACGTGCCGCTGTGCCCGGCTCATTTTTGTATTTTTGTAGTGACAGGGTTTCACCAAGTGGCCCAGGCTGGTCTTGAACTCCTGACCTCAGGTGATCCACCTGCCTCGGCCTCCCAAAGTGCTAGGATTACAGGCGTGAGCCACCACACCCGGCAATTTTTGTACTCTTTAGTACAGATGGGGTTTCACCATGTTGGCCAGGCTGCTCTTGAACCTCAGGTGATCCCCCCACCTCGGCCTCCCAAAGTGCTGAGATTACAGGCGTGAGCCACCACGCCTGGCCGACGTCGTTACTATTAAGTCCTCATTTATTTATTTGACATATGGTCTCCATTTGTCACCCAGGCTGGAGTGCGGTGGCACAATCATGGCCCATTGCAGCCTCAGCCTCCCAGACTCAAGCAATCCTCCCACCTCAGCCTCTCAAAATGCTGGGATTACAGGTGTGAGCCACCGTGCCTGGCCTATGTCCCCATTCTAGAGAAAAGGAAACAGAAGAACAGAGTGAAGTAAGTTGCCCAAGGACACACAGCTGGTAAGTGGCACAGCTAGAATTCAATCCCAGGCTGTCTGACTCCAGAGCTATACTCTTTTTTTTTTTTTTTTTTTTTTTTTTTTTGAGAAAGTGTCTTGCTCTGTTGCTCAGGCTGCAATGCAGTGGCACTATCATAGCTCACTGTAGACTTGAACTCCTGGACTGAAGTGGTCCTCCCACCTTGGCCTCCCAAATAACTGGGACCACAAGCATGCGCCACCATGCCCGGCCAATTAAAAAATTTTTTTTTGTAAAGATGAGGTCTTGCTATGTTGCCAAGGCTGGTCTTGAACTTCTGGGCCCAAGTGATTCTCCTGCCTTGGCCTCCCAAGGTGCAGGGATTGACAGGCATGAGCCACCATGCCTAGCACAGAACCCATACTCTTTTTCTCTTTATTTTTGAGACAGAGCCTCACTCTGTCGCCCAGGCTGGAGTGCAGTGCCGCAATCTTGGCTCACTGCAACCTCCATCTCCTTGATTCAAGCAATTCTCCTGCCTCAGCCTCCCGAGTAGCTGGGATTATAGGCGCCTACCATCACGCCCGGCTAACTTTTGTATTTTCAGTAGAGACGAGGTTTCTCCATGTTGGCCAGGCTAGTCTCCAACACCTGACCTCAGGTGATCCGCCCGCCTCAGCCTCCCAAAATGCTAGGATTACAGGTGTGAGCCACCGCGCCTGGCCACAGAACCCATACTCTTTTTTTGTTTGAGACGGAGTTTTGATCTTGTTGCCCAGGCTGGAGTGCAGTGGCGCGATCTTGGTTCACTGCAACCTCTGCCTTCTGGGTTCAAGCGATTTTCCTGCCTCAGCCTCCCCAGTAGCTGGAAATACAGGCATGTGCCACCATACCTGGCTAATTTTTGTATTTTTAGTAGAGACGGGGTTTAACTATGTTGGCCAGACTGGTCTTGAACTCCTGACGCTGTGATCTGCCCTCCTCGGCCTCCCAGAGCGCTGGGATTACAGGCATGAGCCACCGCGCCCAGTCAGAACCCGTATCTTTTTTTTTTGAGACAAAGTCTCACTCTGTCACCCAGGCTGGAGTACAGTGGCACTATCTCAGCTCACTGCAACCTCCGCCTCCCGGGTTCAAGCAATTCTCCTGCCTCAGCCTCCCGAGTAGCTGGGATTACAGGCGCCTGCCACCATTCCCGGCTAATTTTTGTATTTTTAGTAGAGACAGGGTTTCATCGTGTTGGCCAGGCTGGTCTTGAACTCCTGACCTCAGGTGATCCGCCCGCCTCAGCCTCCCAGAGTGCTGGGATTACAGGCGTGAGCCATTGTGCCTGGCCCAGAACCCATACTCTTCATCACTATGCTGGTCATTTAAGTATTTGCTGAATGTATTAAAGGAACTCTTGCTCACCTCCCAACACCCTTGTTCATCTCAGTCCTCCCCATTCCGTAGCCCAAACTCTCTCCAACTATTACTTGCAATTTACAATAGCTTGGTCACTGTTCTTCAAAGGACTGGTGGTTTTATTTATTTATTTATTATTATTATTTTTTTTTGAGAGGGAGTTTCACTCTTGTTGCCCAGGCTGGAGTGCAATGGCGCGATCTCGGCTCACCGCAACCTCCGCCTCCTGGGTTCAAGCAATTCTCCTGCCTCAGCTTCCCGAGTAGCTGGGATTACAGGCATGCGCCACCACATCCAGCTAATTTTGTATTTTTAGTAGAGACAGGGTTTCTCCATGTTGGTCAGGCTAGTCTCGAACTGCTGACCTTAGGTGATCCGCCTGCCTCAGCCTCCCAGAGTGCTGGGATTACAGGCGTGAGCCACCGTGCCTGGCAGGACCGGTGGTTTTTAATCTTCGAGTCTCAATGCCTGTGGAGAATTTGACGAAAGCTATGGGTATCTACCCAAATTAACATCCACGTACACAAAAATTTGGTGTACAATGCTGGGAGTAGCGGGGAGGGGGAGTAGCACAGATTCCCAGGCTTTGGGGATGGGGGTGAAGATTTATGAGCACAGTTTGTTTTAAATCCAAACAAGAATCCTCAGGTTTTTTCCCCATTGCTTGAGGTGGTTATGATGGTGGGAGTGTGAAAATTGAAAGTCCTTTGCAAGACTAACCAGGTCAGGTCTCCCTTCCTAGCCTCATCTCATCACATACTTTTTTTTTTTGAGACAGAGTTTCGCTCTTTTTGCCCAGGCTGGAGTGCAATGGCGTGATCTCGGCTCACTGCAACCTCCACCTTCCGGGTTCAAGCCATTCTCCTGCCTCAGCCTCCGGAGTAGCTGGGATTACAGGCATGCGCCACCACGCCCGGCTAATTTTGTATTTTTAGTAGAGACGGGGTTTCTCCATGTTGGTCAGGCTGGTCTCGAACTCCGGACCTCAGGTGATCCGCCCGCCTCGGCCTCCCAAAGTGCTGGGATTACAGGCGTGAGCCACTGCGCCCGGCCACCACTTCTTTTCTTTTTTTTTTTTTTTTTGAGATGGAGTTTCTCTTGCCCAGGCTGGAGTGCAGTGGCGCGATCTTGGCTCACTGCAACCTCCGCCTCCTGGGTTCAAGCGAGTCTCCTGCCTCAGCCTCCCGAGGAGCTGGGATTACAGGTGCGTGCTACCATGACTGGCTAATTTTTGTATTTTTCGTAGAGACGGGGTTTCACCATGTTGGCCAGGCTGGTCTGGCACTCCTGACCTCGTGATCCGCCGGCACCTCGGCCTCCCAAAATGCTGGAATTACAGGCGTGAGTCACCGCGACCGGCCTCATCACATACTCTTAAATTTAGGGTTTAAGCAAAGAAGGCAAACACTTTCATATCTTAGACATTTGTTTCTTAAGTTCAGGCTACTTGGAATACTCCATCCCTACCTGACACACTTTTCATCGATGTTCAGTTTGAATCTTACCTCTTAGAAGCCCTGACATCCCAAACTTCCTCTCTCCCATTTTAGAAATGGAATGACTCCTTCACCTTGTATGACTGTAACAGTGCTTATTCCTGTGATAGCATTTAACATTGTTAGTTGCTAAGGAGCCTCTCTCGAGTCATTGTTTGCTCCTCCCGAACAGGGATGGTGTATCAGGCATCACTGTATCCCCGATATTCTAGAACATGCATGACACACAGTAGGCGCTCACAAGTTTTACTAATTTAGTTTTTGGGCAGCACGGCTCCCATTCGGAACCAGCAAGTTCACTGCAGGTTTGGAGAAGGCTAACACGCTTAAGGAGAGAGCTGAGGTCGGCGCGGTGGCTCTCGCCTGTAATCCCAGCACTCTGGGAGGCCGAGACGGGTGGATCACGAGGTCAGGAGTTCAAGACCCAGCCTGGCCAAGATGGTGAAACCCCGTCTCTACTAAAAATACAAAAAAATTAGCCGGGCGCGGTGGCGCGCGCCTGTAATCCCTGCTACTCGGGAGACTGAGGCAGAGAATTGCTTGAACCCGGGAGGAGGAGGTTGCAGTGAGTTGAGATCGCGCCACTGCACTCCAGCCTGGCGACAGAGCGAGACTCTCTGTCAAAAAAAAAAAAAAGAAAAAAAGGAGAACTGAGTCTTGTTAGAGGAGGCGGGTGGGGAATCAGCCTAAGAGACAGTGAGACTGCGGCCAGGATTCTGAGGGTGGCGACGAAGATTTACTAGAAGCGCGCGGAGACGGCATGAGTAAAACTCACGCAATTCGTCGTAAGTCTCAGGGTCAGCAGGAGGAAACCACGCACTACATGCTGGGAGCGGCGCGACGGAGGACCGCGTTGTATGCTGGGACTTGTAGTCTCGCCCTTAGCCAGACCCCTCGGACCACTTAAGTTCGGCTACATTCAACCACGTCCTTACACCGATAACGTACACCCATTGGTTGTCTAGCACAGAATAGCGAGGTTCTGCACGGCGAGTCTACCTAACAACACTCTTCAGAGCAAACCCCGTTTCGGCGATGGCTACCCGGAAGGCGCGTTGGCTGCGGCTACGCGTACGGTGCGCCTGCGCGTGCGCGACGCATGCGCCTCTACGCGCGCCCGCCGTTCCCGCGAGGCCCACCTAGAGCCGGGCGGCGCAGGCGCAGAGTCCCCGGGCCAAGATGGCTGCGCGGTGCTCCACACGCTGGTTGCTGGTGGTTGTGGGGACCCCGCGGCTGCCGGCTATATCGGGTAGAGGGGCCCGGCCGCCCAGGGAGGGCGTGGTGGGGGCATGGCTGAGCCGCAAGCTGAGCGTCCCCGCCTTTGCGTCTTCCCTGACCTCTTGCGGCCCCCGAGCGCTGCTGACATTGAGACCTGGTGTCAGCCTTACAGGTGAGGGCAGGTTCCAACTTCCGAGTGGCGGTTTCAGGGCCTAGAAAAGAGTGAGTCTCCTCGCTGTGACTACGGCTGCAGGGGTAGTGGGGTGGAGGGTGTCTTCCGACGCGGATGCACAATTGCCGGAGACACAGACAGGCAGGAGGCGGGGAGGCCCCAGTGGCTGCTCAGCCGTCAAGGAAGGGAGAGAAGCGTGGAGCCCCCGGCGGCGGTGATGAAACGCCCCGTAGATCGTGAACCTTCACCTCTCTGTCAACATTTCTGGAGGCCGCTGCTCCCTCGTCCTCTTCCTTTCCCATCTCTCCACCTTCTAGCCCGTAGCGGAAGGGAAGAGCTAACTGCCATTCGGAGAGGCCTAGGTACTTTGTTACAACAACCCTGCAAGATGCCTGCCGTCATCACCATTTTAAAGAATGAGAAACTGAGATTCAACGGAGGAATCGACCAGCCCAAGGTCATGGAGTTAGACTAGAAGAGTTGTCTCAAACCCAAAGCAGTCATGTCATAGTTTACGCTCTTTCTACCACGTGGTGCTAATTGAAGGGCACAGTTAACAATCTTTTTAGAAGTCTTTAGTTGGTGATTGTAATAATAACACAGTCAGACATTTATTGAGCACTTACTGTTGGCCAGGCATGGTTTTCCCCTTACATCACATTTCCACATGATAGGCACTGTTATTCCATTTTATAAAGATACTGAGGCTTAGATGTTAAACCACTTATAAATGTCACAAGGAGGTGGAGGCTTGATATCATTGCCTGAGATGACACTGAATTATACATTAAGCCTTGAAGTGCTTAGTCATGTTTTCTTTTCTTTTCTTTTCTTTTTTTTTTTGAAACTGAATCTTGCTCTGTTGCCCAGGCCGGAGTGCAGTGGCTCAATCTCGACTCACTGCAACCTCCGACTCCTGGGTTCAAGAGATTATCCTGCCTCAGCCTCCCCAGTAGCTGGAACTAGAGGCATGCGCCACCACGCCTGGCCAATTTTTGTATCTTTAATAGAGACGGGATTTCGCCATGTTGGCCAGGCTGGTCTCAAACTCCAGACCTCAGGTGATCCGCCTCCCCTTGGCTTCCCAAAGTGCTGGGATTACAGGCGTGAACCACCGTGCCCTGCTTAGCCTTCTTTTCTTATGCCGTGTGTTTTGTGCTGTGTGTTGTACGTACCTGAATTGTGCTAGTTTTGTGTCCTCTAGAATTTGTGCAAATGGTATTTAAGCTATCTATAAATTTATAAAGATTAATTAAAGGGCCCTGACAAGATAATTTATACCAACTAACTTCCTGTTGCAATCCAGTTTGTAATAGTTACATAGTAGACAATCATTAAAGTATCAGTAATTGTGGTTACTTCATGCAATGTAAAGAAAAGAGCCTGGGCTTCAGGGGTGAACTTCCCCAGCGTCTGTGAGCGGGGTGTATTATTTAACCCCTTCGAGCACCTGTCTGAAAATTCATTCATTCACAGGTGTTAATTGAGGCCAATTGTATGCCAGCCACTGTTCTGGGCACTGAGGAGATGGCAGAGAACAAAGAGATTGGATGTGTGTTTGGTTAAGAGAATGATTATTTATGTATTTAATTATTTTTTAAGACAGGGCCTCCTGTTGCCCAGACTGGTGCAGAGGCACAATTACAACTCAGTGCAACCTTGACCTCCCAGGTTCAATCGATCCTCCATCCTCAGCCTCCTGAGTAGCTGGGACTACAGGCATGCACCACCACACCCAGCTAGTTTTCTGTAGATGGGGTTTCACCATGTTACCCAGGCTGGGCTAAAGTGATTCCCTTGCTTCAGCTTCCCAAAGTGCTGGGGTTACAGGCATCAGCCACTGCACCTGGCCAACAGAATGAATTTTTTTTTTTTTTGAGACGGAGTCTCGCTGTGTTGCCCAGGCTGGAGTGCAGTGGCGCTATCTCAGCTCACTGCAAGCTCCGCCTCCCGGGTTCACGCCATTCTCCTGCCTCAGCCTTCTGAGTAGCTGGGACTACAGGCGCCCGCCACCACGCCCAGCTAATTTTTTGTATTTTTAGTAGAGACAGGGTTTCACCGTGTTAGCCAAGATGGTCTCGATCTCCTGAACTTGTGATCCACCCGCCTCAGCCTCCCAAAGTGCTGGAATTACAGGCTTGAGCCACCGCGACCGGCCTTATTTTTATTTTGAGATGGACTCTTGCTCTGTTGCCCAGGCCAAATTGCAGTGATGTGATCCTGGCTCACTTCAGCCTCCCAAGATGCTGGGCTTATAGGTGTGTGCCACCATGCCAGGCTAGATTTTTCAACATGAGCAAAAGTGGCCATTTTTAGAGCTTGCTAACATTTTCTAATGTCAAGGTTGTTTTAAATAGAATCTGGCTGCATCTTTTCATTCAAATATTAATCCTTAGGTGACTTGTTTTATTAAGCCAAATTTGTTCATGTTCCAGCTGTACAAATTTGGGAGCACTCGTTATTATTGTGTATGTGAAAGAGAGAAACAGGCACTAAACACTAAGCTTTGTGTGAAGCTGTGACTAAGGAACTGCGGTTAGCTGTCTTGTTCCCCAAGTGAGCTCATAACCTGCCATGGGCAAGTTTTATATCAGGTAGTGTACACAGGTGAGAGGTGGCATCCTTCAGGGTACGTGCTGTTTTCACAGATAGAGTCATCAACTGGTTGGGCGGGGTGGCTCACGACTGTAATTCCAGCGCTATGCTGGCGCTGAGGCAGGAGGATCACATGAGCCTAGCAGTTTGGGACCAGCCTGGGCAACATAGGCAGATCCCATCTCTACAAAAAGATTTTTTTTTTTTTTTTTTTTTTTTGAGACGGAGTCTCACTCTGTCGCCCAGGCTGGAGTGCAGTGGCACGATCTCGGCTCACTGCAAACTCCGCCTCCCGGGTTCAGGCCATTCTCCTGCCTCAGCCTCCCGAGTAGCTGGGACTACAGGCACCTGCAACCGCGCCCAGCTAATTTTTTGTATTTTTAGTAGAGATGGAGTTTCACTGTGTTAGCCAGGACGTCTCGATCTCCTGACCTCGTGATCCACCCGCCTCCGCCTCCCAAAGTGCTGGGATTACAGGTGTGAGCCACCGCGCCCGGCCAAGATTTTTTTTGTTTGTTTGTTTGAGACGGAGTCTTGCTCTGTAGCCAGGCTGGAGTGCAGTGGTGCGATCTCGGCTCACCATGATCTTGACTCACCGTGATCTCGGCTCACCGCATCCTCCGCTTCCTGGGTTCAAGTGATCCTCTTGCCTCAGTCTCCTGAGTAGCTGGGACTACAGGCACGTGCCACCACTCCCAGTTAATTTTTGTATTTTTAGCAGATACTGGATTTCACCATATTGGCCAGGATGGTCTCGATCTCTTTACCCATGATCTGTCCACCTCAGCCTCCTAAAGTGCTGGGATTACAGGTGTGAGTCACCGCGCCCGGCCTACAAAAAGATTTTTAAAAATTAGCTGACTGTGGCCGGACATGGTGGCTCACGCCTGTAATCCCAGCACTTTGGGAGGCCTATGCGGGCGGATCACCTGAAGTCAGGAGTTTGAGACCAGCCTGATCAACATGGAGAAACCCCGTCTCTACAAAAAATACAAAATTAGCCAGGCCTGGTGGCGCATGCCTGTAAACCCGGGTACTCGGGAGGCTGGGGCAGGAGAATTGCTTGAACGTGAAAGTCGGAGGTTGCCGTGAGCCGAGTTAGCGCCATTGCACTCCAGCCTGATCAACAAGAGCGAAACTGTGTCTCAAAAAAAAAAAAATTAGCCAACTATGGTGGCAACTGCCTGTACTCCCAGCTGCTTGGGAGGCTGAGGTGGGAGTTTCACTTGAGCCCAGAAGGTTGAGGCTGCAGTGAGCCATGATGATGCCACTGCACTCCAGCCTGGGCAACAGAGTATGACTCTTTCTCTACCAAAAAATTAATAAAGTCATCAACTGAGAAGCCATGTGGTGGCGAGCCTCTATAGTCCTAGCTACTCAGGAGGTTGAGGTGGGAGGATTGCTGGAGTCCAGGAATTTGAATTTGGCCTAGGCAACATAATGAGACCCCTGTCTCTTAAAAAAAAAAATTTTGAAAAGGTCATTAACTCAGCGTCCAAACACTAGTCTGTGATCTTGTCTCAAATCTAGTAGTAAGATGACATAACAACATTTTAGATGTGACTTTTCTTCCAAGCAGAAAGAAAGCAGTTGTTGGTGGCCAGGTATGGTGGCTCATGCCTGCAATCCCATTACTTTGGGAGGTGGGTTGATCGCCTGAGGTCAGGAGTTTGAGACCAGCCTGGCCAAGATGGCCAAAGCTTGTCTCTACTAAAAATAGAAAAAGTTGGTCAGGCGTGGTGGCGGGTTCCTGTAATCCCAGCTACTCGGGAGGCTGAGACAGGAGAATCGCTTGAACCCAGGAGGCAGAGGTTGCAGTGAGCCGAGATCGCGCCACTGCCCTCCAGCCTGGGCAACAAGAGCCAAACTCCCTGTCAAAAAAAAAAAAAAAGAAAGCAGTTGTTGGACAGTGGGTTGGCCATTCTTAGAACGACTTGGAGGCTTATTTTATTCTGGGTTGTTCTAAAAAGGACAGGACATTTACTGGTCATATGTGATAAAATAAATAGTCTATTAAATGAAATCTAATTATTGTTAATCATTGATGCCCTATGGATAATGTCAAAAGTCATCAGACTGGGGATGGTGGCTCATGCCTGTAACCCCAGCACTTTGGTAGGATGAGGCCGGCGGATCACTTGAGGTCAGGAGTTCGAGACCAGCCTGGCCAACATGGTGAAACTTCTTACCTACTAAAAATACAAAAATTAGCCAGGTGTGGTGGTGTGCGCCTATAGTCCTGGCTACTTGAGAGGCTAAAGCAGAAGAATCGCTCGAACCTGGGAGATGGAGGTTGCAGTGAACCGAGATCACACCACTGCACTCCAGCCTGGGTGACAGAGTGAGACTCTGTCTCAAAAAAAGAAAAAACAAAGCCATCAGTCTTGTAATTAAACGTGATTTGTCTTTATCCACATGCAGTTTTGTGCGTTACTATCTCTGTACTAACTCCTGTCCGTGTTCTCTGCCCGTAATGTTGAAGCCACAGCTGCCACAGGTCACTACCAGCCTCCGCCTTGTGGCATTGGAATGAGTGGTGAGAGAGAGGCTGGACTGGGCCGGGCAACCCCTTACTCCGAAATAAAAAGAGGGTTGAGTACAAGTTCAATAATAAGTCAGGTCTAGTGTTTTCTCAAGTCTGACTGAAGAAACACAAAGTGGTCTCCTGACCCCTACTACTTCCAGTGTGCTTTTTGTATCCCGAGGATATTGGGTGTGCCAAACACACGGATTTATTTCCTATTTCTAATTTTAAGTATCCTGACCATTCCTATCCATTCTCCTGTCTGATCATCCTTTACCTGGCCTCCTACTTGGATGTGCTCAACCAACCTCTGGTTGTGTTTTGTGCTGATTAACTTCGAGTAGTCTCCCAGGCTTCCTAGAGTTGTTTCTCTTTTTTTTTTTTCAGGTGGAGTCTTGCTCTGTCGCCCAGGCTGGAGTGCAATGGCGCGATCTTGGCTCACTGCAACCTCAGCCTCCCAGGTTCAAACAATTCTCATGCCTCAGCCTCCCAAGTAGCTGGGATTACAGGCGTGCACCACCATGACCGGCTAATTTTTGTATTTTTAGTAGAGACAAGATTTCACCATGTTGGCCAGCTTGGTCTCGAACTCCTGACCTCAAGTGATCCACCCGCCTCGGCCTCCCAAAGTGCTGGGATTACAATAGGCGTGAGCCACCTTGCCTGGCCTAGAGTTGTTTCTCATGCAAACCTAATGGGTTCTTTGTTTAACATTTGCAGTGGCTCCCTATTGCTCTTAGGATAAAATCCAGACTCCTTAGCATAGCTCTAAGGCCCTTCCTATTCCTAGGCCCCATTAATCGTTATCATCTCTAACCACCACTACCACCACTGCCATCTAGTTTAGTTATAGGTATAAATCTGTATGGATTCAAAGTCCTCTTTAGCCTATTTCTGTCTCTCTCTCTTTTTTTTCCATGTCATAAGTTTATTTACAAACATCTAGTATGTCATATAAGTTCAAGTCTTTGATCCATTTATTTATTTATTTTTAATAGAGACAGGGTCTCTGTGTTGCCCAGGCTGGTTTCGAACTCCTGGGCTCAAGCGATCCTCACGCCTCAGGTTCCCAAAGTGCTGGGATTACAGGCGAGAGCCACTGTGCCCAGGCTTATTTTTCTTTCTTTTTTTTTTTCTTTTTTTTTTCTGTGATGGAGTTTCACTCCTGTTGCCCAGGCTGGAGTGCAATGGCGCGATCTTGGCTCACTGCAACCTCTGCCCCCCAGGTTCAAGCGATTCTCTTGCTTCAGCCTCCTTACTAGCTGGGATTACAGGCATGTACCACCACATCCGGCTAATTTTGTATTTTTAGTAGAGATGGGGTTTCTCCATGTTGGTCAGGCTGGTCTCTAACTCCTGACCTCAGGTGATCCGCCCGCCTTGGCCTCCCAAAGTGCTGGGATTACAGGCAGGAGCCACCATACCCGGCCCGGCTTATTCACTTTTTAAACAGATTTCATCTATTAAAACACCTCCAGTCTGGGCGTGGTGGCACACGCCTGTAGTCCCAGTTACTTGGGAGGCTGAGGCAGGAGAGTCGCTTGAACCCAGCAGGCGGAGGTTGCAGTGAGCCAAAATCGCACCACTGCACGCCAGTCTGGGCAAGAAGAGCGAAACTCCGTCTCAAAAAACAAAGAAACAAAAAGCCTGCCGGGCACGGTGGCTCACGCCGGTAATCCCAGCACTTTGGGAGGTCGAGGCAGGCGGATCATGAGGTCAGGAGATCGAGACCATCCTGGCTAACACGGCGAAACCCCGTCTCTACTAAAAATATGAAAAAATTAGCCGAGTGTGGTGGCAGGCGCCCGTAGTCCCAGCTACTTGGGAGGCTGAGGCAGGAGAATGGCGTGAACCCGGGAAGTGGAGCTTGCAGTGAGCCAGGATGGCGCCACTGCACTCCAGCCTGGGCGACAGAGCGAGACTCCATCTCAAAAAACAAAAAACCTGCTCTTCCTATCTGTTAAGTGGATGAACTAAAACATCCTTGTTTCTTAAGCAGTTGGTGTCTTGCTATTAAAAAAGGTGCTGTGAATCCAGATCCAAAGTACAAAGTCATCCTAGTTAGTAACCGCCATTTGTTTTCCACTGAAAGTGGCAAATGCTTTCCTGGGCAGCTTAGCCAGTTTCTGCAGCTTAACAGCTGATGCCTAGAAGTTCTTCCCCGACCTTCTTAGATTGATTTGTCATTGGTTCTCAGCAGGGGACACTTTTACTTCCCAGGGGACATTTGGCAATGCCTGGAGACGGGGAGTTCTCTACTGGCATCTAGTGGGTGGAGACCTCCTGAGTTTCTGGTGAATGTCTGGAGTAGGGCTTGAACATCTGTGTTTTCATCAGTCTAATGATGCTGTTGGTCCAGGGAGCGCAGTCTTGAGAACTGCTCCTTAAGTAGATACCCAAGGCTGCAAGATAGAGGGAAAAGAATGTGGGGAGTTGTTAAGCATTAAATGTGACAGAAAAATATGAAAATATGAAAATACCTAGCAAATGGTAAGTGCTCATGTGGCATAAGAGGGGGGAGCTGAATCCCTTTTTAATCATCTCCCAGTCAGGAGTATTATTCCTTTAGTGGTTTACTGAGACCACTCCAGTAGTATAAGCGAGGAGAATCAGCCTCATCCAATACTCTGACATAGTTTAATATTAATTGAATACTGTGGCTTCCTTAGCCATTATTGAAGTGCATTAGGGAACAGCCCTAAAGCTGTAGCCTGTGTATTAGTCTGTTCTCATGCAGCTAATAAAGACATACCTAAGACTGGGTAAATTTTAAAGGAAAGAGGTTTATTTAACTCACAGTTCAGCACGGCTGGGGAGGCCTCAGCGATCGTGGCGGAAGGGGAAGCAAACACATCCTTCTTAACATGGCAGCAGGAAGAATGAGCAAAAGGGTGAGCCCCTCATAAAACTATCAGATCTCATGAGAACTTACTATCGCGAGACCAGCATGGAGGTAACCGCTCCTGTGATTCAGTTACCTCCCATCAGGTCCCTCCCATGACACGTGGGGATTATGGGAACTAAAATTCTAGTTGAGATCTGGGTGGGGACACAGCCAAACCTTATCAGTTTGTTTGTTCCTTCACAGATATAGCCTGGTGGGTCATGTACTCACAGTTTTCTTTTGTTGAGAACATTCCCAGAGTGATTTTCTTTGTTTTTTCCTTTTTAGGAACAAAACATAACCCTTTCATTTGTACTGCCTCCTTCCACACGAGTGCCCCTTTGGCCAAAGAAGATTATTATCAGATATTAGGAGTGCCTCGAAATGCCAGCCAGAAAGAGATCAAGAAAGCCTATTATCAGGTCTGTATGGAAGTCAGGTTTTGGTGACCAAATTGTAGTAGGAATGTTGTTGATCCCATGTGATCCTGATCAGTACAGCGTATGTGCCCATATGAATAGGTCTCATGAGCTGATAGTATAGAAGGGTGTGATAAAGCTGGACTTTGCTAGACTGTTTTTCGATGCACAATGCTGTAGAGGTTGGTGCTTCAGAAAAAAGAGGTGAGTCCAAACCAGAGATTTTAAGAAGTTTTTTTTTCTAGAGCTGTTTTCATAATTAAATTTAATCTGTATTTTCTGAATCAGTAGATATGCTAGTCTAAGTTTTAGGTAGTTATTTTTTGCATCCAGATAAAAGTTTAGAGGTTTAGAATTACTTCCTTTCCTTTCTTTTTTTTTTTTTTTTTTTTTTTTTTTTGAGATGGAGTCTCACTCCATTGCTGAGGCTGGAGTGCAGTGGCGCAATCTTGGCTCACTGCAACCTCTGCCTCCTGGGTTCAAGCAGTTCTCCTGTGTCCGCCTCCCAAGTAGCTGGGACTATAGGCACCTGCCACCACACCCGGCTAATTTTTTTTGTATTTTTAGTAGAGACGCGGTTTCACTTTGTTGGTCAGGCTGGTCTTAAACTCCTGACCTCAGGTGATCCACCTGCCTCAGCCTCCCAAAGTGCTGGGATTACAGGCGTGAGCCACCGCGCCTGGCCCTTTCTTAACCTGGAAAATGTGAAATTCCCATTGTATCCCAGGGTCTATTAGGGTAGTTAGGGTAGCTGAGTAAAGTTGTATACGAGATGTCTACACCACTGGTTCCTAGACCCTTGGTTTGCTCTGACCAACAAAATAAAATCAATATTGGAGGCACCATTGTAGGATTGACAGCTTTTTATAAGTGCACAGTTCACTGGAGTTGTGCACCTGTCACCACAGTCAACTTTAGGACATTTTCATTACCTCGAAAAGAAACTCTGTATTCATTAGCACTCCCCTTCCATTGTCCTCTCTCCCCGGTCCCTAGCAGCTGCTAATCTGCGTCCTGCCTCTTTGGATTTGCCTATTCTCAATATTCATATACAGGGAATCATACAATATGTATCCTTTTGTGTGTCTTGGCTTCTTTCATTCACATAATGTTTTCAGGGTTCATCTGTGTTATAGTTTGTGTCAATACTTCATCCCTTTTTATGGTCAAATAATCTGTTGCATGGATTAATCACATTTTGTTTATTCATCGTTTGATGGACATTTGGATATTTTCCACTTTTTGCTATCATGAACAGTGCTGCTATATAGACATTCATATGTAAGTTTTTGTGTAGACATGTTTTCAGTTCTCTTGGATATTTAGGAGTATAGTTGCTGAGTCATATGGTAACTGGATGTTTAACCTTTTGAGAAGCTGCCAGCCTTTTTCAAAGCAGCTGCACCATTTTACATTCCCACCAGCAGCATATGAGGGCCATGATTTCTCCACATCCCAGTGAACACTTAACTATTATCGTCTGTCTTTTTAATTACGACCCTAGTGAATAAGAAATGCTATCTCGTTAGAGTTTCGATTTGCTTTTTCCCTGATGACTAATGATGGTGAGCATCTTTCTTGTGCATGTTGGCTATTAGTATGTCTTTGGAGAAACGTGTGTTTGGATCCATTGCCCACTTTTAACTGGGTTGTCTTTTTTTTTTAATTGGGTTGTAATGGAATGAACAGAGGCATGGGGACAGGAAGCAGAGATCCTGGCCTGTGAAGAGCGAATGGCCTGTCTCTTCCTGAGCTCAAGAGTCAGGTGCCTGATCCAAGAGTGGGAAAAGATTGAAAAGATGGAGGCTGGGTTGGACTCACATGACAGTTGATTTGAGGCCCTTAGTAAGTCCCAGAGACATAATTTAAGAGAAAGACTTAATTTAGAGAACCATTCAGATTTTTAGGCACGGAAGTAAAAAGATCAGGTAAAGCTGTAGCAATTACTGTATTTTATTTACCTACAAAAATAATTGAAACAGCAGAGACGTCTATTTATTCAGTCATTTTCTTCCCTTTTTAAAAATTTTTTCTTTTTTCAGACAGAGTCTCGCCGTGTGGCTCAGGCTGGAGTGCAGTGGTGCAGTCTTGGCTCACTGCAACCTCTGTCTCCTGGGCTCAAGCAATTCTCCTGCCTCAGCCTCCCGAGTACCTGTGTTTATAGGCGCGTGTGACCATACCTGGCTAATTTTTGTATTTTTAGTAGAGATGGGGTTTCGCCATGTTGGCCAGGCTGTTCTCAAACTCCTGACCTCTGGTGATCCACCCAGCTCAGCATCTCAAAGTGCTGGGATAACAGGCATGAGCCACTGCGCCCGGCCCCCTTTTTAAAAATTTGTTTTTCTTTTTTGTTCATTTACCTATTCTAAGCCATGCTGGGTGCTAAGGGCAAAGATACATCAGAATCAGTTCCTGCCCTCAAGTTAAGAGATGGATACATTAAAACAGATCATTATTATTATTATTTTGTGGGGCGGACAGAATCTCACTCCGTCACCTAGGCTGGAGTGCAGTGCCTCGATCTCTGCTCACTGCAACCTCCACCTCCCAGGTTCAAGTGATTCTCGTGCTTCAGCCTCCTGAGTAGCTGGGACCACAGGCATGTGCCACCACGCCTGACTAATTTTTTCTATTTTTGGTGGAGAGGGGTTTCGCTGTGTTGCCCAGGCTGGTGTTGAACTCCTGAGCTTAAGTGATCTGCCTGCCTTCACTTCCCAAAGTGTTGGGATTACAGGCGTGAGCCACTGCACCCAGCCGAGAGACAACTTTTATAAAGGGAACATAATTATGACTGGTATTTGGGGTTCTGTTGTATCGGGGGTTTTGTTGTTTCTGGTATTTGGGGTTCACATTGTATCTGGAGTAATTTATCATGTTTTTCCCTTAGCTTGCCAAGAAGTATCACCCTGACACAAATAAGGATGATCCCAAAGCCAAGGAGAAGTTCTCCCAGCTGGCAGAAGCCTATGAGGTAATATGACTTCGGTGCATGCGGTCACTGCTGTTCAGCTATGTGTATGAATCAAAGGTTGCATTGCTACCTGGGACAGCCTGGTGTGTCATACAGTCCAGTGTGAAGGCCATGTCCCTGCGCCAAGTAATCTTGTTAAGAAAAATAAAAAAAAAGAGATTCCAGGCCAAGCATGGTGGCTCACTCCTGTAGTCCTAGCACTTTGGGAAGCTGAGGCAGGAGGATCACTTGACCTCAGGAGTTGGCTTGACCCTAGGAGTTTGAGACCAGCTTGGGCAATGTAGTAAGACCACGTCTCTACAAAAAAAAAAAAAAAAATCACCAGGCGTGGTGGTGGCGCACCTGTAAACCCAGCTACTTGGGAGGCTGAGTCAGGTTCATCACTTGAGGGGCTCAAAGCTGCAGTGACCCATGATGCCATGATTGTGCCATAGAACTATGGTCTGGGCAACAGAAAAAGACCTTCTCTCAAAAAATAAAAAATTAAAAAAAAAACAAAACAACAACATTCTAAGACTAACTTGGAATCTCAATGAAGAACAGGATCCAGGCCAGGCGTGGTGGCTCATGCCTGTAATCCCAACACTTTGGGAGGCCGAGGCAGGTGGATCACCAGGTCAGGAGATCGAGACCATCCCGGCTAACACGGTGAAACCCCGTCTCTACTAAAAATAAAAAAAAATTAGCCGGGCATGGCGGCATGCGCCTGTAGTCCCAGGTGCTGGGGAGGCTGAGGCAGGAGAATGGCGTGAACCCGGGAGGCGGAGCTTGCAGTGAGCTGAGATTGCGCCACTGCACTCCAGCCTGGGCGACAGAGCAAGACCCCGTCTCAAAAAAAAAAAAAAGAACAGGATCCAATAATCTGTACTAATAAAGTTCCCCAGGTAATTTACACTTGTAGCTGGATTTGGGAATTCACAGTTGGATTAATTAATTCAGCCCTTATTCAATGACATCCCCTTCCTCCACCTCAGGGCATCACTGCTTTTTGGGGATAGAGGTTATTGTAAAAGTAGAAGCCCATTATTGTCCTATAAGAATGTCAATGTAATCAGAGGACAAAGCATACATCTCTGAAAACAGCTATTGACCCCACTTCCATAGTTTTCTGAAAGTAGACCTTTTTCCCAGATTTTTTGACAATCTTTTCTTTTTTTTTTTTTTTTTTTGCTTAAGAGACAGGGTCCCTCTATGTTGCCCAGGCTGGTCTTGAACTCCTGAGCTGAAGAGATCCTCCTGCCTCAGCCTCTCAAATTGCTAGGATTATAGGTGCAAGGCACCAGACCTGCCCGACTTTGGCCATCCTAAAGGGGTTCAGTATATATAGGAGCTCATATATCTATAAGAGTAGACAGCCACGTAGAAGAACAGGCTCAACTCAGTAAATCTTTTTTGAGTAAATATCTGTCAACTAGATCTAATGAAAAGTTTATTTACTAGTGTAATTTTAAAATAATATGTTCTTATTAGGTAACTCAAACTAATTGATAACATAACTAAACAGTCTTGGAACCTGCTTCTATGGAAGATAAGATTAATTTTTTTTTTTTTTTCAAGAGTTGAGGTCTCAGCCAGGTGCAGTGGCTTACGTCTATAATCCCTATAATCCCAGCACTTTGGGAGGCCAAGACAGGCAGATCAGGAGGTCAGGAGTTTGAGACCAGCCTGGCCAAGAGACCAGCCTGAGCAATATGGTGAAACCCCATCTCTACTAAAAATACAAAAATTAGCCAGGTGTGGTGGTGGGTGCCTGTAATCCCAGCTATTCAGGAGGCTGAGGCAGGAGAATTGCTTGAACCCGGGAGGCATCAGTGAGCCGAAGATTGCGCCATTGTACTCCAGCCTGGGCAACAGAGCGAGACTCCCAATCAAAAAAAAAAAAAAAAGAGTTGAGGTCTCACTCTGTTACCTAGGCTGGAGTGTAGTGGCGAGATCACAGCTCACTGCAGTCTCAAACTCTTGGGCTCAAGCAGTTTTCCTGCCTCAACCTCAACTTCCTGAGTAGCTGGGACTACAGGTTCCCCACTGCACCCAGAAGATTCAATTTTTAATGGGGCGGGGGGGTGTTATTCTTGTGAATGTGTTTTTCCACATGGTTAGTTGATCTGATGTTTCTGCCAGGGGCATGAGTTTTGGAGAGTCCTAATCCACCGTGTTGCTGACTTCTGTCTTCAAGGGGGATGTTATTAAACGGACCGAGCCTCAGAACCTAAGAGCAGCAATTCCTTGGGAAGGGCTGGAACCAGGAGATAAAACCCACCAGGAAGTCATGAACTCCCACCTGACTCCTCCTCTGCCAGCCTTCCTCCTTTGCATCTTAACTGGGTGCCCTAAAAGTTACCCTAGGCACCAAGCTGTCCTCCACCTGCTTTCTTAGTCCCCCTCCATTCTAGGTGGAAGTGTCTTTTCCTTTGGAGGAAGCGTACTCTTTTCTGTTTGGCCTTAAGGATAGTGCCTATTTTTTTGAGATAGTGTCTCACTTTGTTGCCCAGGCTGGAGTGCAATGGTGCAATCACGGTTCACTGCAGCCTCAACCTCAACCTCCGTGCTCAAGCAATCCTCCCACCTCAGCCTCCCAAGTAGCTGGAACTATAGGCGTGCACCACCATTCTTGGTTAATTTTTTTGTATTTTTCTTGTGATGGGGTTTCACCATGTTGCCCAGGCTGGTCTTGAACTCATGAACTCAAGCAGTCCACCTGCCTTGGCCTCCCAAAGTCCTGGGATTACAGGTGTGAGCCACCATACTCAGCCTAGGGCAGTGTCTTTTTAATTAAAGAAAAAAAAAGTAAGACAAACACATAAAAAAAAGATACAAAGTGAGGGCCAGGCACGGTGGCTCACGCTTGTAATCCCAGCACTTTGGGAGGCTGAGGCAGACGGATCACGAGGTCAAGAGATCGAGACCATCCTGGCAAACGTGGTGAAACCCTGTCTCTACTAAAAATACAAAAAAATTAGCTGGGCGTGGTGGTGCATGTCTTTAGTCCCAACTACTCGGGAGGCTGAGGCAGGAGAATCACTTGAACCCGAGAGGCAGAGGTTGCAGTGAGCCGAGATCGCGCCACTGCACTCCAGCCTGGCGACAGAGCAAGACTCCCGTCTCAAAAAAAAAAAAAAAGATACAAAGTGAATACTACATTTTTCCTTGTCCCTCCCTAATCCCCCTTTTTGAGGTAGTTAGTCCTTATTAACAGTTTTGTGGGCCAGGCCCAGTGGCTCATGCCTGTAATCCCAGTATTTTGGGAGGTCGAAGTGGGAGGATCGCTTGAGGCCAGGAGTTTGAAAGCAGCCTGGGCAACATAGCAAGACCCTGTCTCTACAAAAACTTAAAACAATTTGCCAGGACTGGTGGTGTGCACCTGTAGACCCAGCTACTGTGGAGGCTGAGGCAGGAGGATTGCTTCAACCTGGGAGGTTGAGGCTGCAGTGAGCTAGGATTGCACCACTGCTATTGTCGTTGCTGTTACTTCTGTTACTCCGGTTGTTCTGGCTTGCAGAAAACCTTTCGATGAAGGTAAGGGTAGGAAGCATAAATTCTCTACGAGGTAATGTCCCCTGAGGAGAGAGGTGAAGTGTGAATCTGTGAAGAATCCAGGGTGCCTGTGAGGTCAAGCGAGGATCAACACAAACATTTTCCCAGCATGCGCGACGGCGGGAGAGTTCGTGAGACTTTTGGAAGCACTTCACGCCCTACACTTAGCATTCAGTTTGGTCATCTCATCCCTCTTCTAGGTGCTAGTCACAGGCCCACCCCAACCTCATAGGATGTGTTTGCACACAGGGCCACTTAATAAATGTTATGGCTGCCTTATTTGCTGTGAACTCTTGTCTGTATTCCTGGGCCTTGGTAGACCTGGGATGCCCAGTGGCTCTGCCTTTCACTGTAGGTTTTGAGTGATGAGGTGAAGAGGAAGCAGTACGATGCCTACGGCTCTGCAGGCTTCGATCCTGGGGCCAGCGGCTCCCAGCATAGCTACTGGAAGGGAGGCCCCACTGTGGACCCCGAGGAGCTGTTCAGGAAGATCTTTGGCGAGTTCTCATCCTCTTCATTTGGAGATTTCCAGACCGTGTTTGATCAGCCTCAGGAAGTAAGTTCCTCACTTGGAAGAATTATTCAAATTTTAGACTAAGTATGGGTCAAACAAATTTTTTTATCAGTTTCTGTTTCTCAGAAAGGCAAGGCAGCTTAAATGGAGTGATCTGGAGGCAGCCATTTTAGTAGAAAATAATTTCAGTATTTGAAAAATCGCATAGGTAGTAATGAGTATGTCCATTCTGATGGTATTCTTAACAGTTGCATAATGAGGTAGCACCTAAGGCTTTCAGAGCCCATGAGGGTGTGAGTGTTGTCTCTCATCTGCTACAGTATTCCAGGAGAGTTCTGTCCGGTGGGAAGGCACTGCTGATCCTCTCTCATTTATGTCCTTATAAGACACTGTCAGAGTGGAAGAGAGAGGGGATATATTTATGATCTAAATTATGATTGTGGATCATTCAGGCTGTTTTTAAGTGCCATGTACGAGTATTTATCTGTGAACATTTTCAGTCTGTTGAAAGTACGTTTTCATTTAAGTCATACATTATCTCTTAAAAATCCCAAAGAGTAGGGCAGAATTCGTTCAGTGAGTCCTACCTATGCTTACTTGGCAGAGTGCAAGTAAGTACAGTGGTGAAAGAGTGACTGAAAATGTGGGCCAGTACCCTCCTTTCCCTTTAGAGCCGAGCGTCAGTTTTGGTCGTTGCAAACAAAAGTTGACAGGCTGTCCCTTGGTTTCTTTAGTACTTCATGGAGTTGACATTCAATCAAGCTGCAAAGGGGGTCAACAAGGAGTTCACCGTGAACATCATGGACACGTGTGAGCGCTGCAACGGCAAGGGGAACGAGCCCGGCACCAAGGTGCAGCATTGCCACTACTGTGGCGGCTCCGGCATGGTAAGGCTCTGCCCGAGACTCCACCTCCCACGGCTTGCACCACTGACTGAGAAGAGCTGGTTGTGGCACTGCTCCCAGAGAACGTATGCTGGGAATTGGGGGAGTTGGTGAACTCAGCCTGGCTGTCTTTCCCCCGTGACCCTGAGGAGACGAGCCTGTGCTCCTCTTTCCCTGATACCACAGGCTCAGCAACCAGAGCACAGCAGCTCCGGGGGCGGGGCGGGGGATTGCATCCAGTTGTCACTTTCTTCTTTATTTTTCTAACAATTGCTTTGGTAATTCAAGGGGAAATAATCTTTTTTAAATGTACTGTTCAGCTCCCAGGAGTCTTCAGGTACTTCTGTAGACAGGCGGTATCATATTTTTCAGTGTCGTGTGGTCAAGTTGATGATCTGGAGTGCAGAAGTTTGTGTGTTCTAGAAAATCAGATGAACAGATTGAGGCCCTGCACCTGGGTTCCTAGGCAGTGTGTTTGAGTGCACATGCACATAAAAAACAAGCCTTAAAGAGACATTTTTCTTACGCACATTGTGGTCCCAGAACCACCCATCAGTTTACCTGCGTACTTAGGTTACCATTTTTCTTGTTTTTATCAGGAAACCATCAACACAGGCCCTTTTGTGATGCGTTCCACGTGTAGGAGATGTGGTGGCCGCGGCTCCATCATCATATCGCCCTGTGTGGTCTGCAGGGGAGCAGGACAAGCCAAGCAGAAAAAGCGAGTGATGATCCCTGTGCCTGCAGGTGGGTGCTTGGGCCCGCCATGTCCAGGAGCTTGGAGAGGGCAGACAGGGTTGAGGCTACCACACCGTGTGGAGAGGGTGGACAGGGCCGAGGCCACTGCACTGAGTGTGAGTGGGCTCTTGGTAGAAGTTATGGTTGAGGCCCTGGAGCCCCAGGCTGGAGGAGGAACTGGAGTCTCCTTGAATCTTTCTGTTTCTGCCAGTTATCCTTAAAATTTACACTTTGCATGTCACAATGGGGAGAAGAGACCTGACGTGCCTACTCTGCTTCTTCCTGGTGAGGGAGCAGCTTCCAACCCCCGGGCTCCTCTCCTCTCTCCCCTGTCTTAGTCACCGAAGCCATCATTGTCCCTGCTGCCACCCTATCTACATCAGCCCCACGGATCCCACCCCTCACTCCATGTCTACTGTTCCCTTGCCCAAAACTCACTTTCTGCTTTCTTTTTTCGGTTAACTTTATTCATCTTGGAGATCCCAGCTTGAGTATCCCTTCCCTAGCTAGCCTCACACCCTCCTCCCTGTTCTTTTTTTTTTCTTTTTTGAGACGGAGTCTCGCTCTGTCACCCAGGCTGGAGCGCAGTGGCCCGATCTCGGCCCACTGCAAGCTCTGCCTCCCAGGCTCATGCCATTCTCCTGCCTCAGCCTCCCAAGGAGCTGGGACTACAGGCACCTGCCACCACACCCAGCTAATTTTTTGTATTTTTAGTAGAGACGGGGTTTCATCGTGTTAGCCAGGATGGTCTCGATCTCCTGACCTCGTGATCCACCCGCCTCGGCTTCCCAAAGTGCTGAGATTATAGTCATGAGCCACCGCGCGTGGCCTGCTTTACTGTTGTTTAGATGTCTGTTTCTCTAGAGTTGTGAGCATTTCCATTGAAGAGCATGTCTCTGTTTGTAGTTATGCATTAGTGCTATCGTTTGGTTAACACCCATCACCCCAGTGAGACCATGAACTCCCTGAGGTACTGCCTAGACCAAGCCTGAGGCAGGTGCTCAGTCATCAGGTGTCTGTGTTGCATCTCTGGAAGGTTACCCATGTGCCTCTTAGATAATGACATTGTTCCTCGTTAATAAGAAACAGGAGTGGGGAAGAAGCTGTGGGTTACAAGTGGATCTTGGGTGGAAAGTGCTGTGGGAGGTCTCACAATAACTGCTCCCTTTCTTTTTTTTCTTTTTCTTTTCTTTTTTTTTTTTTTTTTAAGACGGAGTCTCGCTCTGTTGCCAGGCTGGCGTGTAGTGGAGTGATCTCGGCTCACTGCAACCTCCGCCTCCTGGGTTCAAGCGATTCTCTTTCCTCAGCCTCCTGAGTAGCTGGGACTACAGGCGTGTGCCACCACGCCCAGTTAATTTTTAGTAGAGACCAGGTTTCACCATGTTGGCCAGGATGGTCTCGATCTCTTGACGTCATGATCTGCCCGCCTCGGCCTCCCAAAGTGCTGGGATTACAGGCGTGAGCCACCGCGTCCTGCCTAACTTCTCCCTTTCTAATGTCCCTTGTAGGAGTCGAGGATGGCCAGACCGTGAGGATGCCTGTGGGAAAAAGGGAAATTTTCATTACGTTCAGGGTAGGTGCCCTGCCCCGCACAGCTTCTGTTGGGCCTTTCCTCTCTTCGGGTGGGTGTGGCTGAGGCTGCTCCCATGTAATCAAAGCTTCACAGGAACATGTCTCGCCATTCATGTTTCTGAGGGGCACAGTGGCCACCTAGATGTGGTTTTTAGCTGTTTGTTACCTTCAAGATTCTGTGCCTTGTGTGGAGAGAAGACAACTTCTTCAACATGCTAACAAGTTAGAAATACAGGTCACATAAAAATACAGGAAACATCTTGTGTTTTTATGATAAGATTGTTGATGAGGCAGTGAGTGTGAAAGTTACAATTTTACATACTGTATACAGGGGCAAACCTTGGTTTTCTGAGATGGTGGAAACATTAATGAAGACAATGCCTTCTACTGGCAATTGCCCTCCTATGTGTACACCTGAGAAAAACCCACACAAGCCTAGCAGGCGATAGGTACAAAGGGGTGCACAAGAGTCCTGTCCATGGTAGCAAGACACTGCCTTCCTCCAACAAGAGAATGGCTCAGTGAGCCGTGGTGGTCAGAGGCTGCTGCAGGGCAGTCGGAAGGAAAGAATGAGAGCTGAACTCAAGGGATGCTCCAGGCGTTGCAGGTACAGACAGCAGGGATGGAAGGCAGCTTGCCAGTGGCTGTAGGGCCTCAGAGACCATCTGTGTAAAGTTTTAAAACCTGTGAGATGGCATTATGTATTATTTAGGGACACGGAAATACATAGTAAGTAGAAGCTTGTAGGAATGATAAATGTTAAAGTCAGGGTTGTGGTTAGCTGAGGAGGGCAAGACTCACCGGTGTTTATGATGTTTTATTTTATTTTACTTTATTTTTTGAGGTGGGGTATTGCTTTGTTGCCTAGGATGAAATGCAGTGGGGCAGTCTTGGCTCACTGTAGCCTCAGACTCCCTGGGCTCAGGTGATCCTCCCACCTCAGCCTCCTGAGTAGCTGGGACTACAGGCACACGCCACCAGGCCCGGCTGACTTTTGTATCTTTAGTAAAGATGAGGTTTCACCATGTTGCCCAGGGTGGTCTCAAACCCCAGGGCTCAAATGATCCACCCACCTTGGCCTCCCAAAGTGCTGGGATTACAGGTATGAGCCACTGCGCCCGGCCTGTGATATTTTGTTACCTCCACTGGGTTGTGGGTATGACATGCTTGTTATATTATTTACTCTTCCCTTTTTTTTCTTTTTTTTTTCTGGAAAGAGAGTCTTGCTCTGTTGCCCAGTCTGGAGTGCAGTGGCATGATCTCAGCTCACTGCAACCTCCACCTCCCAGGTTCAAGCGATTCTCTTGCCTCAGCCTCCTGAGTAGCTGGGACTACAGGCATGCGCCACTACACCCAGGTAATTTTTGTATTTTTAGTAGAGATGGGGTTTCACCATGTTGGCAGGCTGGTCTCGAATTCCTGACCTCAGGTGATCCACCCACCTTAGCCTTCCAAAGTGCTGGGATTACAAGCGTGAGCCACCACGGCTGGCCTATACTTTCTAATAAAGTAAGATTTTTTTTTTTTTTTTTTTGAGGTGGAGTCTCGCTCTGTTGCTCAGGCTGGAGTGCAGTGGTGTGATCTCTGTTCAGTGCAAACTTCATCTCCCAGGTTCAAGTGGATCTTCTGCCTCAGCCTCCTGAGTAGCTGGGATTACAGGGGCCCGCCACCACACCTGGTTAATTTTTGTATTTTTAGTAGAGACAAGGTTTCACCATGTTGGTCAGTCTGGTCTCAAACTCCTGACCTCAGGTGATCCACTCACCTTGGCCTCCCAAAGTGCTGGGATTACAGGTGTGTGCCACTGTGCCTGGCTAAAGTAAGATTAAAAAAAAAAAATCAAAAGCCAGTTTTACATTTTTGTTTCCCTTCACGATTGAATGGCTTGATCTGAGACTGAGGAAATCCAGGCACGCTTCCATTTCGGCATTTCAAGTGTGTAGAACATTGCAGTGTTGAAATATGTAGAACATGTCATTCCTGGGCCTGGGATGGTGTCTCCTTGTTGGAAGGACAGTTCTTTCCCTCAACACTGCACTTTATGTATGGAAGGGGTGTGTAGTTTGTCAGGTCTGAGCTTGGGCCTGGCCAGGCATGCAGCTGGTGTTTAGTCTGCAGTGGACTTATCTTCACATGCATCTGTCATGTTTGGCCTTAGGTGCAGAAAAGCCCTGTGTTCCGGAGGGACGGCGCAGACATCCACTCCGACCTCTTTATTTCTATAGCTCAGGCTCTTCTTGGGGGTACAGCCAGAGCCCAGGGCCTGTACGAGACGATCAACGTGACGGTAAGAGGGTGTGAGAACACCTTTGTCACCCCTGTACTTTATTGCTCTTTTTCTGAAATGGAAAAGAACTGACCAGTGGCCTGGAACCCATGAGTGACCAGCATGTGGGGGGGCACTCACAGGGGAGGACATGAGGAATTTTAGGCTGCTCCTTGAGTGTGGACCACAAGCCACAGGCCTTGAGTCTATAATCGCATGGGAAGCAGTTCCTGGCTGGCATCACTCCCACACTGGTTAGCGGGGCCTGGGAACTGGGCGCATTCAGGACACAGAAGGGTTCACCCTGGGTTGTGCTCTCTGCACTTGCTTCTGTCCAGTGTCTGGCTCCAAGAGCAGAAGACTCGGGCGGTGCATATCCCTTTTGCCACAGTGATGGCTGCCTGTGTGCTGCCAGCACCTGTCCCCCACCTCTCTCTTGACCTGCCCCTCCAGCTCTTCCCACCTCCAGGCCACATCATTCTCTGTATTCGCCTCAGAACCTTCTCCAGCTTCTTTGTGGGGAACCTTGGGGTAACCTCCATGAAGGAGGTGGGCATTTTGGGCCAAGGCTTTCTCCTCCATCTGGGGGCTATTCCCTGGCTTCTCCAGGGTCCTGTGGTTCCAAGGGCCAGGGAGCGACCTCAGCCACGCACCCTGTATTGGCTTTTCCTGCTTTGCTCCCTCACTCCTGCTTCCTGGGCTCACTTGCCCAAACTCTTGCCCCCTCATCCTAGTCACAGGCTCTGCTCTGGGCAGACCCAACTTAGCTCATTTCCATGTGCTTGTGGGCGGGCTTGGCCCAGAAACCCAAGTGGTGGTTCTTTTTTTTTTTTTGAGATGGAGTCTCGCTTTGTCGTCAGGTGCACGCCACCACACCTGGCTAATTTTTTGTATTTTAGTAGAGACAGGGTTTCACCGTATTTCCCAGGCTGGTCTTCAACTCCTGATCTCAGGCAGTTCACCCGCCTCGGCCTCCCAAAGTGCTGGGATTAAAAGGCGTGAGCCACTGCGCCCAGCCCAGTGGCAGTTCTTTTTTTTTTTTTTTTTTTTTTTTGAGACAGAGTCTTGCTCTGTCGCCAGGCTGGAGTGCAGTAGCGCGATCTTGGCTCGTGGCAATCTCCGCCTCCCAGGTTCAAGCGATTCCCACCTCAGCCTCCTGAGTACCTGGGCCTACAAGCACGCGCCACCATGCCTGGCTAATTTTTTGTATTTTAGTAGCGATGGGGTTTCACCATGTTGGCCAGGAAGGTCTCAATCACCTGACCTCGTGATCTGCCTGCCTCAGCCCCCCAAAGTGCTGGGATTACAGGCATGAGCCACTGCGCCCGGCCTTTTTTTTTACCCACCCCCTCCACCACCGCTCTGCCGAGACAGAGTCTTGCTCTGTCAGCCAGAGCTGGAGTGCAATGGCACAATCTTGGCTCACTGCAACCTCCGCCTCCCGGGTTCAAGCAATTCTCCTACCTCAGCCTCCTGAGTAGCTGAGATTACAGGTGCACGTTACCATGCCCTGCTGATTTTTGTATTTTTAGTAGAGACGGGGTTTCATCATGTTGGCCAGGCAGGTCTTGAACTCCTGACCTCGTGATCAGCCTGCCTCGACCTCCCAAAGTGATGGGAGCGTGAGCCAGTGGTAGTTCTTTTCAAGGAATTCCTATCAAGATTGTCTTCATGTAGTGAAAACTTTTTATTTGAGCAACTGGGGACCAGGGGAAACCACAGATTTTCTTTCTTTATAGATCCCCCCTGGGACTCAGACAGACCAGAAGATTCGGATGGGTGGGAAAGGCATCCCCCGGATTAACAGCTACGGCTACGGAGACCACTACATCCACATCAAGATACGAGTTCCAAAGTAAGTGCCCCCTAGGCTGTGGCCAAGCCCGCCTGGTCCTGCGGTGGCACTGCCCTTGGAGCTCTGTGGCTTGGGCAGGTTACTGCTCCCTGTAAGTCAGGTGGTTCCTGCCCGAGTTATCTGTCTGTAAAGTGGACATAGTAGAATGGTCAACTTCTTTTTTTTTGAGATGGAGTCTCGCTGTGTCCCCCAGGCTGGAGTGCAGTGGCGCCATCTCGGCTCACTGCAACCTCCGCTTCCCAGGTTCAAGCGATTCTCCTGCCTCAGCCTCCCGAGTAGCTGGGATTACAGGTGCCTGCCACCATGCCCGGCTAATTTTTTGTATTTTTAGTAGAGATGGGGTTTCACCGTGTTAGCCAGAGTGGCCTCAATCTCCTGACCTAGTGATCCACCCACCTTGGCCTCCCAAAGTGTTGGGATTACAGGCGTGAGCCACCATGCCCGGCCAGAATGGTCGACTTCTTGGAGTTGTTGGGAGAATTAAATGAACAACACATAGGAATTGCTTTGCTGCTGCTGCTATTGTTGATTTTCTTCTTTTTTTTTTGAGAAGGAATCTGTCACTGTGTTGCCCAGGCTGGAATGTGGTGGTGCCATTTCAGCTCACTGCAACCTCCTCCTCCCCAGTTCAAATGATTCTCCTGCCTCAGCCTCCCGAGTAGCTGGGACTACAGGCGCTTACCACCACGCCCAGCTAATTTTTGTATTTTTAGTAGAGACGGAGTTTCACTGGCCAGGCTAATCTCGAACTCCTGACCTCAGGTGATCTGCCCACCTTGACTTCCCAAAGTGGTGGGATTACAGGTGTGAGCCAGCACGCCTGGCCCGTTGCTTTTCTTGTTGATGTTACTAGCACTGTTAGGAGCTGGAGAGGTGGCCTGGGCAGAGTGCTGTGGGTACCTAGGGCGGGACATGCCTGACTCCCCTCGGGAGCACTCATGCTTTTTGTTAATTAGATAATTTCTTTTTTTTTTTTTGAGATGGTGTCTAGCTCTGTCTCTAGGTGGAGTTCAGTGGTGCAATCTCCACCTCCCAGATTTAAGCAATTCTCCTGCCTCAGCCTCCCAAGTAGCTGGGACTATAGGCATGTGCCGCCACGCCCAGCTAATTTTTGTATTTTCAGTAGAGACGGGGTTTCACCTTGTTGGCCAGGATGGTCTCTATCTCCTGACCTTGTGATCCGCCCACCTTGGCCTCCCAAAATGCTGGGATTACAGGCATGAGCCACTGCGCCTGGCCTAATTAGATAATTTCTTACTTGCTTCACATACACACTGGTAAAATCTGTTTCCCCTCCTGTAAACTGTATTTAGCATAGCCACAGTGACACTTGTTTAAATGACTTAGTGTAGGGTGTTTTAGGAGCTTTTCTGTACAGAAGCTTTGAGGGCATGGTCCTTAGGTTCTCACCGCTGCACTGGCTCAGGGTGTCCGCCCCTGCCAAGGTTGGGTCCCTCTCTTCCCATGTGCTGCGAGGGTGCTGGCTGCCTGTGAGTTCTTTCCAAAGCTTCCCGGCGGAAGCCTTGGCTGCTGACTCTGCTCGGTCCACAGGAGGCTAACGAGCCGGCAGCAGAGCCTGATCCTGAGCTACGCCGAGGACGAGACAGATGTGGAGGGGACGGTGAACGGCGTCACCCTCACCAGCTCTGGTAAGGAGTCTGAAGACTACATGGTGACACGTGGGGGCCTCAGAGCCCCCCAGGGTATGGACAATTCAGGGCAGCATGTTGGGGTTTCCACTTCGGGTTCTTCATGAAGCCTTTAAAATGTGCAGTTGAAAGAGGGGGGCTGTGGGCGGGGACAGCGGGCAGGGAGCCGCAGCCCCCAGTCCAAGCTTCGCCTCCTCTCTCTGTGTGTGTTTCTGTGCTGAGGTGAGAGCACCAGGGCACTTCCTGCAGGCAGCTCTGCGTGTCTCAGACCCAGTGTTCTGAGTTCTATTCTTGGTTCTGCCACTTGCCCTGTGACCTCGGACAAATCCTTCCCTGAGAGCTCCTGGCAAAAGCGTAAGGAGAGAGCATGGATTGGAAGGATTTGTGCACTTCCCACCTGGGACACTCCGCCAGGATTTCAGAGTGTCTTAAAACAACAGCAGCCACAGCAGTGGAGCCGCAGTCAGCAGACTCCGTCCGCCGCTTTAGAGCAGGACTCCCTCCAAGTTATCTAGCCGTGAACAGATGCACCATTTACCCTGAGCTCAGACATCGTGCTAGCGAGTGGCTGTGTTAGGGATCTGTCACCAGAACACCTGCTGTGGGCGCTGAGACAATGGCACCCCAGCTGCAGCCCCTCTTCCCATGGGGTCTGGGGCCTCTTTCCTGGGACTCCTGGCTCAGGGCAGGGCAGGCTGTGCCCAGGGGTCCTTGGTTCAGGCGGCATGTATTTCCTCCTCATTGCATCATTTTGTTTTTGTTTGGATCCTGGGTGGAGTTCTCAGAACTTGAGCAGCCTTAGATTAGTGCATGGTAATTCGTAGCAGGTGTTTGGAGCTGGGGGCCGATTTTCCAATAAAGTGGAGGATTTGGAGCTCCAGGGGCAGGGGCAGGGGCTGGGATGGAAGTCCCTGGAATTTCACTGAGCTCCTGTTGCTCCCAGGGGACTGGAATTCCTCTGTTAAAAAGCAGCTGCCGGCCGGGCGCAGTGGCTCTTGCCTGTAATCCCAGCACTTTGGGAGGCAGGGGCAGGTGGATCACTTGAAGTCAGGAGTTTGAGACCAGCCTGGACAGCATGGCGAAACCCCATCCCTACTAAAAATACAAAAATTAGCTGGGTATGGTGGTGCATGCCTGTAATCTCAGCTACTCAGGACGCTGAGGCAGGAGAATCGCTTGAACCCAGGAGGCAGAGGATGCAGTGAGCCAAGACCACACCACTGCACTCCAGCTTGGGTGACAGTGAGACTCTCTGAAAAAAAAAAAAAAAAAAAAAAAAAGGGCCTGGCGCGGTGGCTCACGCCTGTAATCCTAGCACTTTGGGACGCCGAGGAGGGTGGATCACGAGGTCAGGAGTTTGAGACCAGCCTGACCAACATGGTGAAACCCTGTCTCTACTAAAAAAAAAAAAAAAATACAAAAACTAGCGGGGCATGGTGGTGGGCATCCATAATCCCAGCTACTCTGGAGGCTGAGGCAGGATAATTGCTTGAATCCAGGAGGCAGAGGGTGCAGTGAGCCAAGATTGCACCACTGCACTACAGCCTGGGTGACATAGCGAGACTCTGTCTCAAAAAAACAACAACAAAAAAGCAGCTGCCACAAAACTCTGTAGCCCAACCAGGTTCCAAATGTCACTTATTTTAATGGTTTGGTACATATACTGTGTATATGTATACTATCTTTTGTTCTTGTTGTATCTCTTGAACTAAAATAGAAGTGGTAATAGAGTAGCTATTCCCCGGAACTCTAATCAGTGCACCTGTGGCTTCTCCTTCCTCAAACCCTACAATCACATAACATGCGAGATTGGTTCCATAGACAGCTGTCCTTCCCTCCTCCCGCCCATCAGGGTAGCTTGAGGTGTGCTACGGCCGGGCCCTGGGTGGGTTCGTGGGTGTTGCTTACTCTGTTGGAGGTTGGGTATTACTGGTCACCAGTTGATGTTTTGACCCTCTCTCTGATACTGTAAGTTGAAAGTTGATTCCGCCACCCACTGAGATCCTTTGTCACTTCCATGGTTACTTGTCCTGATCACTCAGCCTCACTCAGCTGTTCCCTCACTCAGCCAGGATGTCTTCTCCTGTGTGCAAGACACTGTCAGCTCTTCCTTTTAAAGATCTTGGTGAGGCCGGATGCAGCGGCTCACACCTATAATCCCAGCACTTTGGGCGGCTAATGCAGGAAGATCACTTGAACCCAGGAGTTCGAGACCAGCCTGGGCAATATAGCGAGACTCTGTCTCTACAAAAAATTTCAAAACTAGCCAGGTGCAAAGTAGTATGCACCTCTATCACCAGCTACTTGGGAAGCTGAGATGAGAAGATCACTTGAGCCTTAGTACTCAAGGCTGCGGTGAGTCATGACAGCGACACTGTACTCCAGCCTGGGTGCCAGGGCAAGACTCTGTCCCTAAGCATACACCGTCACATGTCAGTCTGCTGCCTGTGGGTGGTTAAGTCTCTCATTATACTGTGAAGACAGTTAGTTTTGCATCCACATATGACAGTATTACAGGACATATAATTCTCATGTCCTAAGAACTTAAGCAACAGTGGGATTTATTTATTTATTTGAGGCAGAGTCTTGCTCTGTGGCCCAGCCTGGAGTGCAGTGGTGCAGTCATAGCTCACGGCAGCCTCAAACTCCTGGACTCAAGTGATCCTCCCACCTTGGCCTCCCAGAGTGTTGGAATTACAGACATGAGCCACTGTGCCTGACCAGCATAGTTTTTGATGCGTTTAGTATCTTAATGTAGCTGCTGAAAACCTTAAGAGCTGACCCCGGTCTCCCAGAAAGACCATGGTGTGCTTAGAGACTCAGCACTTGCAGGGATAAACAGGTCCATCTTCTGGCGAACAGAGAGGGAACTGGGGGGGCTTGCAATTACTATGTGACTTTTTGAGTGAGAGACACAGTATGGCTCCTTGTTGTTCTTTTTTTTTTTTTCTTTTTTTGGAGACGGAGTCTCACTCTGTCACCCGGGCCGGAGTGCAGTGGCGTGATCTCGGCTCACTGCAACGCACTCTGCCTCTTGGGTTCAACCAATTCTGCCTCAGCCTCCCGAGTAGCTGGGACTACAGGTGCATGCCGCCCCTGGCTAATTTTTTGTATTTTAGTAGAGATGGGTTTCACCATGTTCGAGGCCGGTCTCGAACTCCTGAGCTCAGGCAATCCGCCTGCCTTGGCCTCCCAAAGTGCGGGGATTACAGGCGTGAGCCACTGTGCCCGGCCTTTTCTTTTTTGAGACTGGGTCTCACTCTGTTTTATGTAGCCTCCCTCACCCCTTCCCGGGGACCTGTGGCCCCAAACTTTGGACCTTTCACTAGCGAAGGCACCTTCTTACTTAGACTGAGGCCTTTACTCTTTTATGCACTGTGCGTGGCCTAGGTCTCTGAGCACATTAAAAATGAGCTCTACAATTAACATGCCAAGTTCAGGTCTATATTCTAACTCACAACAAAAGTGTGCACTCCTTGTCTAGTAGTTGGCAAATCTGTAACACGTTTGTGTGAGAAAGTACCTCTAGATGGTGTCAGCCTGGGCCCTAAAGAAATTGCAGCACAGCTTCCCTAGGTTGAGAGCATTTAGGTTAGGTGCCCCAAATGGGGACAACTTGCTCAGGGAGATAGACTGCTGATGTGAGGGATGAGATGGAGTGCCTGTGACAAAGGATTGTGCGTGGCCGTGACTCCCACATGGGCTGTTCTGCAGGGTCTTTGCGCACACAGCAGCATGGAATCTGGCCAGTTGGTCTAGAGTAGGGTTTTTCTTGGCAGTCATTATTTACCTTCTTATAGCCAACAGCATGGTGGTTGAGTCTCAGCTTTGGAGTCAGACTGCATGGGCTCGCACTCAGTCCTCCCTCCCGCTTGTTGGCTCTGTGGCCTTGGGTAAACCCTGTAACCTCTCTGTGCCTCCTTTTTTTGTTTTTTCATCTGTGAAATTTGCCTGTAAGGAAGTGTATGGCCTGGCCTGGGAGGTGCCTGGCACTTGACTGTGTTTTTGTCACTGTTGCTCAGATAGAGACAGCTGTCATAGTCCGTCTCTATTTCTTGTTTCCCTGCTGTGGGTCCTTGATTGAAAGAGCAGTTGGGAGACCCTCAGGCTCTGAGTGGCCTGTTCACCTCAGTCGTCTGCAAGGTGAGGCATCCTGTGCCATCTTAGGAGTGGCCCCCACTCTTCTTGAGGTGGCACTTGGCCGCTTCTTGAACGTGGGCCCCTGGGTGGCCAGGCGGGGGTAGGTGGGCCCTGGGATGTGACTGTGGAAGTGCAGGCCCATGACGCCAGTTCTTTCTGCTGTTTGTGCCCAGGTGGCAGCACCATGGATAGCTCCGCAGGAAGCAAGGCTAGGCGTGAGGCTGGGGAGGACGAGGAGGGATTCCTTTCCAAACTTAAGAAAATGTTTACCTCATGATATCCCAGCCGAGGTAGGAAAACCCTGGAGGTTTTTTTTCCCTTTGTTTTCCTCTGTGAACTAATCCTGGTTTTCTCCCACTTTAACCAATATTGTGCCCCCACCCCCAGGAGTTGGAACAGGTGCCAGTCCAAGGTGTGGTAAACCTAGCTCCACTAGGAGCTGGCCTCTCAGCCTAGGGAATAGATGACGTGGCAATCAGCCTGTAGTGCAGGACTGGCTGGGCTGCCGCGGCCAGCCTCTGGCTGTGTCTTCTTCCTGGGGAGGTGGCGATGCTGGGGCTGTTGTACAGCCCCCCTGCAGTGGTGGGTCCGGCTTGCCCATGGTCACAGAGGGCGAGTCAGGCAGAGCCAGGCCTAGAACTCAGATCTCCTCACGTCCTGCCTGCTTGGAAGCTGCCCTCCTGCGTGGACAGCGCAGGGCTGTGCAAGCCTGGGGGCTGCTCCAGGGGTAGCGCTTGCTCGCCGTGTCATCTTGGGACCCACTTTGGTTTATTATGCTCATCTCAGCAAGTGGGGTTCTCGCCCCTCTCTTGGCACAGCTGCTTTCCAGGGATTAACAGACGCTCCCCACAGGGGTGTGTTCCCTTGAAATGTTGAGTATAAGGTAACAGCCTATCTCTTTGGCTCAGGAAAAAGATCCACTGGAAACTAGGCCGGGAAGCAGCAGCCCCTCCAAGGGCCAGGGCACCTGGGAGACGGGAGGATTCCAGAACAGCAGCACTGAGCTCCCACCCGCAGAGCCTCTGGACGGCCTTGGCAACAGCAAAATCATGGGACAACACCTCTCTCCACGGAAAGGTCACAGTGGACAGCCCGGGCAGTAGGATGCAGCCCCAGAGGCTGGTGGCAGTTTCCTGTCCATTGGTAGGTGACGGCCCCTGGCTCAGGCAGAGGGAGATGGTTAGACTCTTGCAGGGCTAAAACTCTAATTTGGAATTGAATATTGTGGATATCTTAGTTAAAGGCCATGCTTACAGCTTAGAAATGAAGCCTTAAGCTGCATCAAGTTACGAAGTGATTAATTTCCTTCTCAGCAAACCTCCGGGAGGTTCCAGAATGAGTTCTTCCTGACAGGTTGTCTTCACTGGGAGCGTGGGGCCCCCAGGCCCCACCAGCACCGTCCTCCCCTAATGAGGGGCCCTGCCGAGGCATCAGCTGCTCTGCTCAGTTAGTTTTTATTCCCGGGGTACCAAGCAGCTGCACAGTCGGTGCCTGGGAGGCACGTAGAGGCCCAGAGAGTCCCTGGGGGTTCTGCTCTGACCGTGTGGGTGGTGATCCTTGTCAGGATGTACAGTCCTTGCTCCCACCCCATCCGGGATGGCCGCCTGTCCCTGACTATTGAGTCCTGTTGTTGTAAGCCAGGCATGGAGGGCTCCTGCCCTTCTGCTGAGCCACAGCCCATTGCAGCACTGTGCTGGCCAGACTTCAGCTGCCTTGGGAACTGAAGCCCTGCCACTGTTGCTAGTCAGGGGCTTGGTTCTCCCACTTACACTGTTGACATCTATTTTCTGAAGTGTGTTTAAATTATTCAGTGCTAATCATTGTTTTTTCCTTTGTAAATGTTGATTCAGAAAAGGAAAGCACAGGCTAAGCAGTTGAAGGTTCCCCACCATTCAGTGAGAGCAGAACCCCCATTCCCCAGCCTCTGCTGGTAGCATGTCGCAGTTTCCATGTGTTTCAGGATCTTCGGGCTGTCGTTAGACAGGTTAATGAAGAACACTTCTCAACAGTTTCCTTTTTGTTTTCCTTTATAATTCACTAAAATAAAGCATCTATTAGTGTCTGATTTAGGAATGTAAAATGATTCTGTATTAATGTAAATAAGATTATCTATTGCAAAAAGATATTTCAAACCTAAATTGTGGTCATTTCTTCTTTGAAAGAATTCAGACAGCCTCTGCAGGTGGCTTATGGGGGTTACAGGAGACTTGGCTGGCCTCATCCTGTGCTCACAGCCACCCAGAGCACATAGAGGCAGATGGGTCTGGGGTGCCGACAGTGCTGACCCTCACTTGGATTCCAGAGCAGGGTGCTTGCCATGACACAACAGTCCCCTGTGAGTGAATGTTCTAGAATCTGGATGTGACTTTTTTCTTGGGAGCCCATGCTGTGAGAGCTGGCCAATGTCCCTGGGTCCCTGCATTTCAGTCTCCCTCACTGGATTGTTTCCCTTCATTCTTTCCAGTCTTTGCATCTTTTACATTCAATTTTATTTTATTTTTTTTTTAAATGGAGTCTCGCTGTGTCGCCCATACTGGAGTGAAGTGATACCATCTCTGCTCACTGCAACCTCTGCCTCCTGGGTTCAAGCGATTCTCCTGTCTCAGGCTTCTGAGTAGCTGGGACTACAGGTGCATGCCACCACGCTTGGCTAATTTTTGTATTTTTAGTAGAGATGGGGGGTTTCACCATGTTGGCCAGGCTGGTCTTGAACTTCTGACCTCAGGTGATCCGCCCACCTCGGCCTCCCAAAGTGCTGGGATTACAGGTGTGAGCCACCATGCCTGACCAAAATTTTTATGTATTATAGTTTGGCTACTCTGGGTTCCCAGCCACGCTCTATGCCTGGCGTGGCTAGAGGGGCCCTGATACACAGCTCAGTCCACTCTGGCACTCTGGGCTGAGCAGGGTGAGATGAGAGTCTGTTTGCTGGGTCAGGTGGAGAAGAGACTCGGGAAAGAGCTGACGGACAGGAGAGGCTCAGCAGTGACATTCTGCTCATCTCAGATACTTCCCAGTATTTTCATCAATGAAATACTGATTGCCTGCCTACTGTGGACACTCAGTATGGACCAGGCCCTATTCTAGTTCCTGGGGATACAGCAGTGGGGAGCTAGACCGTGTCTCTTGTGAAAGCTTGGGCTTATTCCTGGAACAGTCACCCTGAGTCTCATTCATGTCCTATTGCTTCAAAGCAGAAGTCTAGAGAAAGACTTTGGAAGAGAAAGGTGGATTTTCTTGCTAAACAGAAACCATTGTTGTGTTGAAGCATCCTTCCCTCAAGGGATTAGAGGTGGCTGTGCATGACCAGGCGAGGTGGCTCACACCTATAATCCCAGCACTTTGGGAGGCTGAGGCGGGTGGATCACCTGAGGTTAGGAGTTCAAGACCAGCCTGGCCAACATGGTGAAACCCCGTCTCTATAAAAATACAAAAAAATTAGCCAGGCGTGGTGGCACATGCATGTTATCCAAGCTTCTCAGGAGGCTGAGACAGGAGAATCACTTGAACTCAGGAGGTGGAGGTTGCAGTGATTGGAGATCATGCCATTGCACTCCGGCCTGGGCGACAGTGCGAGACTTCATCTCAAAAAAAAAAAGGTGGCCGTGCAACAGCTGTAGAATTCAGTGCTCTTTCTGGGCCTGGGTTTGGTTTATTTCCACTTGTGCTCCTGATGTATTTGTTACCAGACTTCTTTATAGCTTCTGAGTAGTAGTATGTATTTAAAAATATAAGAAAAGGGCCAGGCATGGTGGCTCACGCCTGTAATCTGAACACTTTAGGAGGCCAAGGAGGGAGGAATGTGTGAGCCCAGGAGCGAGAGAGTGAGACCCCCATCTCTACAAAAAAATTCTAAAAAATTAGCTGGGAGTGGTGGCTTGGCACCTGTAGTCCCAGCTACTTAGAAATCTTGAGGTGGCAGGATTGCTTGAGCTGAGGAGTTCAAGGCTCCAGTGAGCTGTGATCATGCAACTCCACTCCAGTCTAGGTGACAGAGCCAGACCATGTCTCAAGAAAATAAAGTATTTCTAGGCCTGTGAGCCTGTGGGAGGTACATGTTTGGCACTTGCTTAAACATTAGGAGGGTGGGCCGGGCGTGGTGGCTCACACCTGTAATCCCAGCACTTTGGGAGGCCAAGGTGGGCGGATCATGAGGTCACGAGTTCAAGACCAGCCTAGCCAACATGGTGAAACCCTGTCTCTACTAAAAATACAAAAATTAGCCAGACTTGGTGGTGGGCGCCTGTAATCCGAGCTACTCGGCAGGCTGAGGCAGGAGATCCGCTTGAACCCTGGAGGTGGAGGTTGCAGTGAGCCAGGATTGCGCCACTGGATTCCAGCCTGGGTGACAGGGTGAGACTCCATCTCAAAAAAAACATTAGGAGGGTGGACAAGGCCAGCTCTCAGGCATTGGTCCTCAGCCCCATTCCCACCTCAGGCCTGGGACTGGGTTGTTTCCAACCTGAGCCCCCTCCTCACTCATAGTCCTTTGGGTTCTGGTGGCCTGGCCTTTGTTTCCTTCCCTGTCAACCAAACAGTGTGCAAGAATTCTCTCCAGGCCCACAGGCCTCCAGCTGCCCCTGCCCCTCTGTGTTTGTAGCACTGCAGAGCCGGCTCTGATGTGGAGGACGGCAGCTGCACGGCTCCTGGAAGAGGCTTGTTTCACACTCTTGCTTGTTAATAAATACTGTGCAGGTCTTATCTTTTAACTAGAAGTTCTGCTTATTTCTCATGACTCTTCAAGGGTCACAAATGGGCCAGGGGGGAACATAAAAGGCGAAGTGGGTCCATAGTTATATGGCCAAGGGCATGATCCACAGACCTTAGCTTACTGGTCACCTCCCCCGATGCTGCTCCTGTCCCCATTTATTTATCCTTCCTGTTTTGTTTTTTGCAGCCCTTATGTCAATTTGTTTTTTGGGTTTTGTTTTGTTTTTGAGACAGGCTTTCACTCTGTTGCCCTGGCTGGCTTGTGGTGGTGCAATCACAGCTCACCACAGCCTTGACCTCCTGGGCTCAAGTGATCCTCCTACCACAGCTTCCTGAGTAGCTGGGAGTACAGGCACATGCCACCACGCCTGCCACCATTTCTTCTGTTTTTTTGTTTTTGAGGCAGAGTCTCCCTCTGTCGCCCAGGCTGGAGTGCAGTGGTACAATCTCGGCTCACCACAACCTCCACCTCCTGGGTTCAGCTGATTCTCCTGCCTCAGCCTCCTGAGTAGCTGCCGGCACACGCCACCACGCCCAGCTAATTTTTGTATTTTTTGGTAGAGACAGGGTTTTGCCATGTTGACCAAGTTGGTTTCGAACTCCCAACCTCAACTGATCCACCTGCCTTGGCCTCCCAAAGTGCTGGGATTACAGGCATGAGCCACCACGCCTGGCCCTAGTTTCTTTTGTATTTCTTTTTTTTAGGTAGAGATGGGGTCTTGCTATGTTGCCCAGGCTGGTCTCGAACTCCTGAACTCAAGCCATCCTCCACCTCAGCGTCCCAAAGTGCCGGAATTACAGGCGTAGATACATAACTATTTATTGTGTGTTTCTATCAGGCTCTCCCACTAAATATAAGCTCCTCAAGGCAGGCAGCATAACTTTTTTTGCTACATTGTATTTAGGGCCCAGCATACTGGTAAATTGTCAAAGAAATGCTTCAGTCAATGGATAGAATGAATTTTTGTGCCTGGGGGTGCCAGAGCCAGGGTGGGGAAGTAAAAAAATAAAAACTGTGATGGTAGTCACACAAACCTAAATGTGTTGAATTGAAATTCACAGAACTGCTGGGCTCAGTGGCTCATACCTGTACGATAATCCCAGCTACTCAGGAGGTTGAGGTGGAAGGATCACTTAAGCCTGGGAGGTGAAGGCTGCAGTGAGCTATGACTGTGCCACTGCACTCCAGCCTGGGCAACAGAGCGAGACCTTGACTCTTTAAAAAAAAAAAAAAAAAAAAAAAAAATTGGCCAGGCGCGGTGGCTTATGCCTGTAATCCCAACACTTTGGAAGGCCGAGGCGGGCGGATCACGAGGTCAAGAGATCGAGACCATCCTGGACAATATGGTGAAACCCCGTCTCTACTAAAAATACAAAAATTAGCTGGACGTGATGGTGCATGCTTGTAATCCCAGCTACTCGGGAGGCTGAGGCAGGAGAATCACTTGAACCCAGGAGGTGGAGGCTGCAGTGAGCTGGGATCGTGCCACTGCACCCCAGCCTGGGTGACAGAGGGAGACTCCGTCTCAAAAAAAAAAAAAAAAAAAAAAATCGGAGCTGCCATGGACCACAAACTCTCAGGCAAATAACTGGTCTCTCGGCCTCTGACCCTCTTCTCTGTGACCCACCCCAGCAAGCAAGGTGGGTTGTTTCTCCTTCAGTTTTGCTTCCCAGCAGTGTCCAATTACTGTGCGTTGTGGACCACAGCTCTGCCACATCCGATTTTCCTTTTTCCAACCTGTTTGAAGTTCACCTGTGTCCAGGATGGTACCCCAAGGCCGGCTCCTTCCAGGACAAGGATGAGGAGAGAAAGGGAGAAGCCCATATCTCCCCCGCCTCCCTGCAGAGCCTGTCTCCAGTTCACATGTGCAGATGGCCTCACTAGCTCTGGAGATGAAAGGGGTGTGTCAGAAGCTCGGCTCCTGGGGCTCCTCTGTGTCCTGTGCTATGTCCCCGTCTGTGAATGAATTTCAAATGTGGGAACAGAGGCTGCTGGTCAGAGCTGTTCTGCTAGCTGAGGTCAGAACAGGCCACTTCACACCTGTCTGACTAAACACGTTTAGGTCACTCGTCCCAGTCACCAAGTGATCCCTTCAGCCTTGGACCCTCCCTTACTGCTGTGTTGGTACAGCCCTGGAGCCACCCCTTACTGCTGTGTTGGTACAACCCCGGGTCCCCTCACTTACTGCTGTGTTGGTACAGCCCTGGACCCCCCCCCCCCGCTCCAACTTACTGCTGTGTTGGTACAGCCCCGGACCCTCCCCAACCACTTACTGTTGTGTTGGTACACAACTACCACCCCAACCCAAGTCCTGGAAGCAGAGTCCTCTTCTCCTGGAAGCCATCTGGGAGAACAATGGCTTTATTCAGATGTTGGTGCCTCTGCCCCTCTGGTGCCCCCGATCCCCACAAGGGGCCGCGAGGCGGGCAGGTCACAGCAGGTTGAAGTCCCCTTTGTGCTGTTCCAGCCACTGGTCCAGCGTCAGGGCCTTGGGGTTGAGTCTCAGGGTCAGCTCGATGTCACGGTCGGGTCTCAGGGCATAGAAACGGAACATGTTGGCCAGGTCCCGGGCACCGGGAAAGCCAAGCTTTTCGTAGTCCTCAGGAGTCATCTGGAAGCAGAGGAGCCTGTCGTGGCCGGCGTCCTCCAGTGCCCCGGGAGGTGGCGGGGCAGGGAGGCCGGATGGGCTGGGGTCTCCCGACCTGCTACACCCAGAGCCACTATTGTCTCGGTCCCTGACCCAGGTCCTCCGTACAAGGTCATTTGAAAACTTCTAAGAGCCGAAAGTTCAGAAACTGCTGCTCTCCTGAGCTGCCTGACATTGTAGATCAGTTTAAAGATTGTTCTTGGCCAGATGCTGTGGCTCATGCCCGTAATCCCTGCACTTTGGGAGGCTGAGGCAGGCAAATCTCTTGAGGCCAGGAGTTCGAGACCAGCGTGGCCAACACGATAAAACCCCGTCTCTTTCAAAAATACAAAAATTAGCCAGCCTGGTGGTAGGTGCGTGTAATCCCAGCTACTTAGGAGGCTGAGACAGGAGAATCGCTTGAAACCAGGAGGTGGAGGTTGCAGTGAGCTGAGATCACCCCACTGTACTCCAGCCTGGGCAACAAGAGTGAGACCCTGTCTCAAAAATGAATAAATAAAAAGACTATTATTTTCAGATCATGAGACGAAAATATCTCAGTCCCTTCCAAATCAGAGACCTGCCTGCATCACTTTCTTTCTCAAAAACCAAAGCTTGACCAGACACAGTGGCTCACACCTGTCATCCCAGCACTTTGGGAGGTGGAGGTGGGAGGATCGCTTGAGCCCAGGAGTTAGGCCCACCACGCCGGGCTAATTTTTTGTATTTTTAGTAGAGACGGGGTTTCACCGTGTTAGTCAGGATGGTCTCGATTTCCTGACCTTGTAATTGCCCGCCTCAGCCTCCCAAAGTGCTAGGATTACAGGTGTGAGCTACCGCGCCTGACCCAACTTTCGTCTTTTAAGGACTCCAGTGTTTCCCAGATTCTTTTTTTTTTTTGGAGTTGGAGTCTCGCTCTGTCGCCCAGTCTGGAGTGCAGTGGCATCTCGGCTCGCTGCAAACTCTGCCTCCTGAGTTCAAGCGATTCTCTTGCCTCAGCCTCCCAAGTAGCTGGGATTACAGGCGCCTGCCACCACACCCGGCTAATTTGTTTATTTTTAGTAGAGATGGGGTTTCACCCTGTTGGCCAGGCTGGTCTCAAACTCCTGACCTCAGGTGATCCACCTGCCTCGGCCTCCCAAAGTGCTGGGATTACAGGCGTGAGCTACTGCACCCAGCCTCCCAGATTCTTTAATGAGTATGTCTTACTTTCCTAATGGTAATGACAAACATTAGAAACCAGGTACCCAAGAGTCTGTCCAGTAGGCCTCCTGCCCACCCAGCCAGGCCAATGGGGGCAGGGGTCGGCCCTATCTTTCTAGCCTCTTTCCCTTTAAATCCCCTCCCACAGGGGAGGGGTCGGGTCTATCTTTCCAGACTCTTTTCTCTTCAAATTCCCTCCCACAGAGGAGCCCGGCAGGGCCTGCATTTTCACCCCTCCTTGCCTTGGCTCCTATGGCCCTCTCCTCCTGGAAGCTTTTCTCTCTATTTGGTCAAAACATCTAAGCCAGAAATTTCACTCTGTGGCCAGTTAGCTCCTGGAACAGCAGAAAATAAACGTTGACGATGAACGAATGAATTTAGATGTACTGCCCAGAGGTGTGGGCAGCCCTGGACACACCCTCCCTACGGGAGCTAGAAAGCCCTGACAAGGATGCCTGAGTCACCTGGGGCGGGAGGCCCACCTTGGCATCGTGCACGACCTTGCGGGTGTGCTTGGTGAGCAGGGCAGCGTACTCCTCGGCCGTGTGCCTGCAAGTGCTCAGCCCGATGTTCTGGCCGACGTATTTTTCTGGCATCTTCAAAAGGCTGAGCACCACAGGACCCAGGTCAGACACGGACATGCCATCCATGGGAACGTCACCTGTGGGCAAGCCTGTGGGGCAGAGACGTGAGCTGGTATATGTCCCGAGGGCAGACAGGGGCAGGGACAGAGCCCCTCTCCAAAGGGTCCAAGCTGGTTCTTCCCAGCAGTCAGCTGCACACTCCAGCACTCGGGCATAGCTAAGACAAGTCTTGCTATTTGTGGTAGCACAGAGGCAGCAGTGGAATTGAGTCAGGAAACGGGATGGAATCCGGGTACTGCCACCTAGGGCAGGCTGTTGAGGCTCTCTGAGCCTGGGTTGCTGCATTCCTAGAATGGGGCTAAGAACCTGGGCCTGCCCAGCTCTCTCAGCGCTAGGATGACAGAGAAGGGACAAAGGAAAAGGACTCTGAAAGCTGCTACAGAGAGTGTGGCTGGAGCCCAGGGTCTCCGCTAATCTGGAGGCACCAGCCTGAAGTACTCTGTCATATCCTAGATTCCTGGAAGCTGGAACGTCCACCTCTGAGTAGATACTCCAAATACCAACTCACTTACCAGGAATCCTGATTAACCAGACACCAACGGCTGGCCTAGAGCAGCACGTCCATGATAAATGCTTCATAAATCCTGAATGAATGAATGACTCGCAAACTTCCAGGCTGAGGTTTTGTAGATGGGGAGGCTGGCAACTGTCTGGGTGTGGCCTGTGGAATGCTTGGGTCCTATCCTCCTTACCTAGAGACAGGGGCCAGTGCAGCTTCCTGTTCAGATCACCTGGGAGCTCGAGGGCACAGAGCGCACAGACCGGAGCAGGAGATATCCCTGACTGCAGGTTTTTTTTTTTTTTTTTTTTTGAGATGGAGTCTCGCTCTGTCGCCCAGGCTGGAGTGCAGTGGCGCAATCTTGGCTCACCACAAGCTCCACCTCCCGGGTTCACACCATTCTCCTGCCTCAGCCTCCCGAGTAGCTGGGACTACAGGCGCCTGCCGCCACACCCGGCTAAGTTTTTGTATTTTTAGTAGAGACAGGGGTTTCACCAAGTTAGCCATGATGGTCTCGATCTCCTGAACCTCGTGATCCGCCCTCCTCGGCCTCCCAAAGTGCTGGGATTACAGGCGTAAGCCACCGTGCCCGGCCTTTTTTTTTTGAGACGGGGTCTTGCTCTGTCACCCAGGCTGGAGTGCAGTGCCACGATCTCGGCTCACTGCAACCTCTGCCTCCTGGGTTCAAGCGATTCTTCTGCCTCAGCCTCCCGAGTAGCTGGGATTACAGGCGTGCACCACCACGCCAGGCTGGCTAATTTTTGTATTTTTAGTAGAGATGGGGTTTCACACCATGCTGGCCAGGCTGGTCTCAAACTCCTGAACTGGTGGTCTGCCCACCTCGGCTTCCCAAAGTGCTGGGATTACAGGCGTAAGCCACTGCGCCTGGCCAGCTTTGCAAACTATAATAAATGGTGGTACCAAAGGGCTACTGTTACCACCAGACTTGGCCCGCCAGGTGAGCAGGACTCCCATGGGCTGGGCCCTTATGCGAGGGTGACCTGGCATTCAACCAGAGGGTAAGGAGTGGCCAGCCAGAGGCACCAACCCCTCCTGCCCTGATCACTGAGTGACCAGCAGGACACAGGTTGGGTGAGCCTTGTTCCCAGCCAGGGCCAGTGCACCTAACCTGTTTATAGCCCCAATGGGCACTGAGAAGAAAGAGCTTTCCTAGTTTGTGAAATCTGCAACTGAACTTCATTTTCCAAATCCTCTCCTCGTCTTTGGTTTTTTTGTTTTGTTTTGTTTTGTTTTGTTTGTTTTGAGACGGAGTGTTGCTCTTGTCGCCTAGGCTAGAGTGCAGTGGCACAATCTCAGCTCACTGCAACCTCCACCTCCTGGGTTCAAGCGATTCCCCTGCCTCAGCCTCCCTAGTAGCTGCCAGTACAGGTGGGTGGCACCACGCCCAGCTAATTTTTGTATTTTTAGTAGAGATGGGGTTTCACCATGTTGGCCAGGCTGGTCTCCCCGCCTCAGCCTCCCAAAGTGCTGGGACTACAGGCATAAGCCACAGCGCCCGGCCCTCCTCATCTTTGAAGGAGAACTGACAATCACTAGGTCCTCTCTGTAAAGCCTTCCAATGGACCAAGCGAATATCGTGTCACCACCATCTCAGCAGATCTTGCCACCCCTGCAAACATTGGTATAGAGCCCATCTCACAGAACAGGAAGCTGAGGCCCCGCAAGCTGACAGGATGTGCTCAGTCCTGGGCCTAACGTGAGGGAGCCACGGCTTGAACCTGGCACCACGTGACAGCGGCCCGCGGTCTGTTACACCAACGGCTTTACAGGGTGAGAGCTCTGCCTCACCGTGTGCGAGAAAGGGCACTTACTCAGCAAGTAGCTCTTTCCGTCTGGGGCTTTCTGGGGCAAGAAGTGGGAGAGGAGGTTCTCAAAATAGCAGGGCAGCCGCACACTGGTCATGGGAACGCCAATGTCCCGGAAATATTCCTCCACCTCCCCTTTGCCGTCAAAGTGCGCGGCGGCCAATCTCCCTGCCGTCAGCTTCTTGATGTTCTCCAGGCCGCTGTAGACCACATAGTGGAGGCCCAGGCGCCTGGCCAGATCAGCGAGCAGCTTCCCCTGGAGGGCAGGGAAGGAGAGATCACAAGGCTCAGAAGAAGGATGTCTGTCCCTGGTCACAGCCCCAGCATTCTAATCCCGGAGCGGCCACCATCTGCGAGGTTAACATCTAGACCCCACTTACCCTTGAGGAGGCCCCCTCTCCTGGAATGATGTTCACACATGACACCACGCCCGTAAACACAGCCCCGGAAGCCTTCTACCAGCCACTGACTCTGGCCCACCATGTGCAACATAGGACGGGGGGGCAGGTCGGCTGCAGGGGGACGGCCTGCATGGAGGTCTAAAGGAGAATGCACACGTCCCATCTCTGCTGGTGTGAGAACACCCTGCCCATGGAGCTCAGCCATCTTCCTTGGAGAGCCCTGGGAGGCTATACAGAGGCACCACAGCTGCCTAGGTTCAAATCAGGCTCTGCCATGTACGAGCAGTGTGACCCCAGAGAAGTGATGGCACCATCCTGACCTCGCTGGTAAAATGCAGATGACAACACTACCTACTGCATGAGGTGACGCAGAGATTCGGACGGTGGCCTCCAAAAAGATATGCCGCATCCTCATTCCTGAAAACTGTGAATGTGACCTTATTCGGAAAAAGGGTCTTGGCAGATGTAATTACGTGAAGGATCTTGAGATGGGAACATCCTGCACTAACTAGATAGGCGCTAAATCCAGTAACCAGGGTACTTATAAGAGACGGGAGAAGAGACAACACCTGGAGAAGGCCATGCGAAGAGGGAAGCGGAGATTGGAGCTTTGTGGCCACAAGCCCAGGAACACCTGGAGCCATGAGAAGCCAGAAACAGTGAAGAAGGATTTCCCTCAAACCCCTTGTTTTGTTTTGTTTTTTAAGATGGACTCTCACTCTGTCACCCAGGCAGGAGTGCAGTGGCGTGATCTCTGCTCACTGCAGCCTCCGCTTCCTGGATTCAAGCAATTCTCCTGCCTCACCCTCCTGAGTCGCTGGGACTACAGGTGCCCGCCACCATGCCTGGCTAATTTTTGTATTTTTTGTAGAGACAGGGTTTTGCTGTGTTGGCCAGGCTGGTCTTGAACTCCTGACCTTAAGTGATCTGCCCACCTCAGCCTCCCAAAGTGCTGGGATTACAAGCATAAACTACCACGCCTGGCCTCCAAGACTCTGGAGAGAGGGTGACATTGCTGACACCTTGATTTTGAACTTCTAGCTTCTAGAATATCAGAGAATCGATTTCTGTGGTTTTTGTTTTTGTTTTTGAGACAGAGTCTAGCTCTGTCGCTCAGGCCGGAGTGCAGTGGCACAATCTTGGCTCACTGCAACCTCCGCCTCTTGGGTTCAAGCAATTCTCCTGCCTCAGCCTCCTGAGTAGCTGGGATTACAGGCGCCCACCACCATGCCCAGCTAATTTTTGTATTTTTAGTAGAGACAGGGTTTCACTGTGTTGGCCAGGATGGTCTCAAACTCCTGACTTCAAGTGATCTGCCCGCCTCGGCCTCCCAAAGTGTGGGGATTACAAGCATGAGCCACTGTGCCCAGCTGATTTCTATGGTTTTAAGCCACGTGGATTGTGGTCCTTTTTCGTGACAGTACCAGGAAGCCCACAGGGAATCATCAGGATTAGAAATAAGATCTGCTGGGCTGGGCGCAGTGGCTCATGCCCGCAGTCCCAGCACTTTGGGAGGCCGAGGCAGGCGGATCGCCTGAGGCCGGGAGTTAGAGACCAGCTTGACCAACATGGAGAAACCCCGTCTGTACTAAAAATACAAAAAAATTACCAGGGCATGGTGACGCATGCATGTAATCTCAGCTATTCGGGAGGCTGGGGCAGGAGAATAACTTGAACCCAGGAGGCGGAGGTTGCGGTGAGCCAAGATTGCGCCATTGCATGCCAGCCTGGGCAACAAAAGCGAAACTCGGCCTCAAAAAATAAAGAAAGAAATAAGATCAGCTCAGGGCCGGGCATGTGGCTTACGCCTGTAATCCCAGCACTTTGGGAGGCCGAGGTGGGCGGATCACCTGAGGTCAGGAGTTCAAGACCAGCCTGGCCAACATGGTGAAACCCCGCCTCTACTAAAAATACAAAAATTAGTTGGGTGTGCTGGTACACACCTATAATCCCAGCTACTCGGGAGGCTGAGGCAGAAGAATTGCTTGAATCTGGGAGGCAGAGGTTGCAGTGAGCCGAGATCACCCCACTGCACTCCGGCCTGGGCGACAGAGCAAGACTCAGTCTCAAAAAAAAAAAAAAAAAAAAGATCTGCGTTAATCAGAGAAGTTGTCTTTGTCTGCTCTATATAATGGGCTTCTAGGTAAGACCATAATTGAAGAAAGGGTCAAGGCTAATAACAAGTTTGGATGGGTACACGTGGACATGAAGGCAACAACAGACACTGGGAACCACGGGAGGGAGGGAGGCAAGGGTTGAAAACCTACCTACTGGGTACTGTGCCCACTACCTGGGTGACAGGTCCAGTCACACCCCAGACCTCAGCATCACTCAATATACCAATGTAACAAACCTGTGCATGTACCCCTGAATCTAAAATAAAAGTGGAAATTACTTTTTAAAAAAAACTTCTAACATTTTTGATTAAAAAAAAAAAAAACAAACGAACAGGCCAGGCGTGGTTGCTCACGGAGACTGAGACGGCCTCAAACAAACAAAAAAAAAGTAATTGGATGAGAAAGCAACAGCGTCCACCTGCTTCACAGCCTAGAGCAGGCAGAGGCATGAAGAAGAGGGAAAGGCCTGCAGTGCTCCAACCTCCCTGCAGAGTCGGAGCTCCTCCCAGGCGCTCTGCTCCTAGCCTGGCCGGGCCTCCCTGCAGCTCCTGCCTGCCCTCACCTGCTTGACCTCCTGCTCCTGGCTGCAGCTCTCCCAGTAATTGGTCACGATGAAGGTGGCGTAAGCCCCATTCAGGGCCAGCTCCATGATGACCTGGTCATCTTGGTCTCCCTGCACTACTTCTGCACCTTGCAGCCTCAGCTCCTTTGCTGCCTTCTTCCTAGGGTTTCGGGTCACCACTCGAACCTTGAATGTCCCATCTTCCAGGAGTGTGCGGGCCACGGAGCCACCCTGGGCACCTACAAAGAATCAAAAAGACCTCTCAGGTCAGACCTACCTGAAAGTCCCACTGAAGGGCGAAACCCCGAAGGGAGTGCTCCACCACAGCAAGGAGCATCCAGGAAACCTTCTCAACGACGATTCTCATTCAGGTATTTTTATTTTCTTTATTTTATTTTTTTGAGATGGAGTCTCACTCTATCACCCAGGCTGAAGTGCAGTGGCACGATCTTGGCTTGGTGAAACCCCGCCTCTATCAAAAAATACAAAAATTAGCTGGGTGTGAAGGCACATGCCTGTACTCCCAGCTACTCAGGAGGCTGAGGCACGAGAATTGCTGGAACCCAGGAGGCGGAGGTTGCAGTGAGCTGAGATTGCGCCACTGCACCACAGCCTGGGTGACACAGCGAGAATCTGTATTAAAAAAAAAAAAAAAAGGCCAGGCATGGTGGCTCACGCCTGTAATCACAGCACTTTGGGAGGCCAGGCCGAGTGGATCACCAGGTAAGGAGACCGAGACCATCCTGGCTAACACAGTGAAACCCTGTCTCTGCTAAAAATACAAACTTAGCCGGGCGTGGTGGCACCCGCCTGTAGTCACAGCTACTCAGGAGGCTAAGGCAGGAGAATCGCTTGAACACAGGAGGCGGAGGTTGCAGTGAGCCCAGATCACGCCACTGCACTCCAGCCTGGGTGACAAAGTGAGATTCCCTCTCAAAAAAAAAAAAAAAAAAAAAAAAAGGGCCTGGTGCAGTGGCTCACACCTGTAATCCTAGCACTTTGAGAGGCCGAGGGGGGTAGATCACCTGAAGTTGGGAGTTTGAGAACAGCCCGACCAACATGGAGAAACCACTGTCTCTACTAAAAATACAAAATTAGCTAGGCGTGGTGGCACATGCCTGTAATCCCAGCTACTCGAGAGGCTGAGGCAGGAGAATCGCTTGAACCCAGGAGGCAGAGGTTGCGGTGAGCCGAGATCGCGCCATTGCACTCCAGCCTGGGCAACAAGAGCGAAACTTGGTCTCAAAAAAATAAAGGTAAAAATATTTGTGATGTAATAAAGTAAAAAAAGTAGAATACAAAACCATATTCAGGCTGGGTGCAGTGGCTGTAATCCTAGCACTTTGGGAGGCTGAGACAGGTGGATCACGAGGTCAGGAGCTCAAGACCAGCCTAGCCAAGATGGTGAAACCCCGTCTCTACTAAAAATAAAAAAATGAGGCCGGGTGCAGTAGCTCACAACTGTAATCCCAGCACTTTGGGAGGCCGAGGCGGGCGGATCATGAGGTCAGGAGATCGAGACCATCCTGGCTAACACGGTGAAACCCTGTCTCTACTAAAAATACAAAAACTTAGCCGGGCGTGGTGGCGGGCGCCTGTAGTCCCAGCTACTCGGGAGACTGAGGCAGGAGAATGGCATGAACCCAGGAGGTGGAGCTTGCAGTGAGCCGAGATCGCGCCACTGCACTCCAGCCTGGACGACAGAGCAAGACTCCGTCTCAAAAAAAAAAAAAAATTAGCTGGGCATGGTGGAGCCTGTAATCCCAGCTACTTGGGAGGCTGAGGCAGGAGAATCGCTTGAACCAGGGTGGCAGAGGTTGCAGTGAGCCGAGATTGGGCCACTGCACTCCAGCCTGGGTGACACAGTGAGACTCTGTCTCAAAACAAAAGAAAAAACCATATTCAGATCTTGATGGGATTTGAATTCTTCCTGAAGTAGAATATAAAGCCATATTCAGATACACAACCATATTCAGATCTGCTCAAAAACGAGACAAAGAAAAATAGTTAACAGAAAGGAATACAAAAACTTATTCAGATCTCGATGGAGCTTGAGTCACACAGGCATGCGCATCGGTCAGATGTACCCTTAAGATTTTGCGCGTTGCAGCTGGGCCCAGGGGCTCATGCCTGTAATCCAGACACTTTGGGAGGCTGAGGCACGCAGATCTCTTGAGCTCAGGAGTTTGAGACCAGCCTGGGCAACATGGTGAAACCATATCTCTACAAAAAAAAACCAAAAATTAGCTGGGCGTGGTGGCATGTGCCTGTAGTCCCAGCTACCAGGGAGGCTGAGGCTGGAGGAAAGCCTGAACCCAGGAGGTTGAGGCTGCAGTGAGCCGTGATCACACCACTGCACGCCAGCCTGGGTAACAGAGTAAGGCCCTGTCTCCAAAAAAAAAAAAAAAAAAAAATTCTTTATTATATGTATATTTTACCTCATAATTAAAAATAATCTATAAACAAATACTGAATTCTAGCTAATGTTATGCATGCTTTAGTATGGAAGGGCGGTGTACACATATCTGCAATTTACACAGAAATGCATCAAAAATAAGGACTGAGGCCGGGCACAGTAGCTCATAGCTGTAATCTAAGCACTTTGGGAGGGTAAGGGGGATGGGTTTTGCTTGAGGCCAGGAGTTTGAGACCAGCCTAGGCAGCAGGGTGAGACCCAGTCTCTACAAAAAATTAAAAAATCAGCTGGGCCTGTTAGCGCTCATCTGAAGTCCCAGCTACTCAGGCGAATGAGTCAGGAGGATTGCTTGAGGCTTGGAAGTCAAAGCTGTAGTGAGTGATGATTGAGCCACTGCACTCCAGCCTGGGCAACAGAGCAAGACCCTGACTCAGAAAAAAGTGTACACCAATGTTCCATGGCAGCATTATTCATAATAGCCAAAAAGTGGAAATAAATCAAGTATCCATCCACTGACGAATGGACAAACAGAATATAGTCTATCCATACGGTGGAATATTACTCAGCCATAAAAATAAGTAAAGCTGTCAGGAGTTCGAGACCAGCCTGACCAACATGGTGAAACCCCGTCTCTACTAAAAAATACAAAATTAGCTGGGTGTGGTGGTGCACACCTGTAATCCCAGCTACTTGGGAGGCTGAGGCAGGAGAATTGCTTGAACCCGGGAGGCAGAGGTTGCAGCGAGCAGAGATCACACCATTGCACTCCAGCCTGGGCAACAAGAGAGAAACTCTGTCTTAAAAATAAAAAAGTAAAGTTGGCCGGGCGCGGTGGCTCAAGCCTCTAATCCCAGCACTTTAGGAAGCTGAAGTGGGCAGATCACCTGAGGTCAGGAGTTTGAGACCAGCCTGGCCACATGGCAAAACCCCATCTCTATTAAAAATACAAAAATTAGCCAGGCATGGTGGCTCACGCCTGTAGTCCCTGCTACTCAGGAGGGTGAGACAGGAGAATCGCTTGAACCCGAGTGGCAGAAGTTGCAGTGAGCAGAGATCACGCCACTGCACTGCTGCCTGGGCAACAGAGCGGGACTCTGTCTCAAAAAAAAAAAAAAAAAGAGTAAAGCCCGGACACACACTACAACATGAACAAACCTTGAAAACATGCTAACTGAAGAAGCCAGAGAGAAAAGGCTACATATTATGATTTTATTCATATGAAATGTCCCGAATAGACAAATCCATAGAAACCAAAAGTAGATTGGAGCTTTCTAGGGGTTGGCTGGGAGGAGTAAGAATGGGGAGTAACTGTTCACGGGTTCATGGAGTTCTTTTTTTTTTTTTTTTTTTTGAGATCAGGTCTCACTCTGTTGCCCAGGCTGGAGTGCAGTGGCACAATCAGGTCACTGCAGCCTTGACCTGCTGGACTCAGGTGATCCTCCCACCTCAACCTCCTAGGTAGCTATAGGTGCATGACACCACGCCCCACTAATTTTTGTATTTTTTTGTAGAGACGAGATTTTGCCCTGTTGTTCAGGCTGGTCTCAAACACCTCAGCTCAAGCGATCTGCCCATTTGGTCCAACTAAAGTGCTGGGATTACAGGGTTGAGCCACTGCACCTGGGCCAGAGTTTCTTTTTGGAGTGATGGAAATTTTCTAAAATTGATTGTGGTGATGGTTGTACAATTCTATGAATACACTAGAAACCAGTGAGTTGCACACTTTAAACAGGTAGATTGTATAGTACGTGAATTATATCTCAATAAAGCTGTTAGAGATATTAAATATGTATAAATAAGAAAAAATAGGAATGAAATAATATGCTATCATTTGAAAAAATGATAACATGTTATCTACTCTGGCAGGATATTCAAGAAACTTGGTAACAGCAATAGATGAGGTGGAAGAGGAGGCTAGGAAGAAGATTTAATTTTGGTATCATGTTCAAGTACTCCTATTCAAATAAGTTAAGTAACTCATTTTTTTTTAATTTGGAAAGCAGGTCTGGCGTGGTGGTTCATGCCTGTAATACCTGCACTTTGGGAGGCCGAGGCGGGTCATCACCTGAGGTCAGGAGTTTGAGACCAGCCTGACCAATATGATGAAACCCCGTCTCTACTAAAAATACAAAAATTAGCCGGGCGTGGTGGCATGCCCTTGTAATCCCAGCTACTCGGGAGGCTGAGACAGGAGAATCGCTTCAACCCGGGAGGCAAAGGTTGCAATGAGCCGAGATCGTGCCATCGCACTGCAGCCTGGGTGACAGAGCAAAACTCCGTCCAAAAAAAAAAAAATTGGAAAGCAATTTGGGCCTCGTTCCTGCGACCACAGCCCCAACCTGGGTCGGGGGTCCCAGTGACCTTACCCCTCCCTGCAGACCCCAGGACGGGCGGTCTTCAGGGCTAGGCGCCCTGGCTCTGCAAGGGCCCCAGTCTGGGGTTTGGCTCACCTGTGCCTCCGAAAACCACCACCAGTTTCTTGTCCACCATGAGGACGAGAATGGGACGAATCCGGTCCAGAGATCTGGGGGTAATGGGAGGCGTGGAGTTGGGGGTGGGGCCGGGGTTCCCGCCAGGAGCGACAAAGGACACCCCCATTGTCTATGCATCGAGTATGTGTCGAAGGGGGCGGCTGGGCCCGGAGCGGCAAGACGCCTGTCCCGAGATATCGGGGTCCCGCGACCCACCTCGTGTCCCTTGGGCCCGATCCCCTCCTCCTTCCCGCCTCCCCCGGTTCCAGTCACCCGCCCCCCGGCCCGGGTCCCACCGGCTGGAGTGACCTCCTCGCCGCGGCCTGGGCGGGACAAGTTCCAGGAGCCCGGGACCCCGATTCTGCGGCCGAGTCCACTGCAGAGGCGGGGATGGAGCTGCGCGCTAGGCGCCAACTCCCTCCCCGCAGCTCCGGCCCCACCTGGCAGAGCGCCGCTCACGGAAGCCCAGCGTCGGAGGACCCCTGGCTGCAGCCGCCAATCCCGACGTGTCGGCCGAAACCCCTCCTCCGGCGCAGTTGGCTCCTCCTGGATCCCGCGGGACTCGGCGTCGTTTCCGGGTTTGCCCGCCCCAGGCACGTGCACAGTGAGTTTGTGTAAATCCAGTTAGACCAAAATGAGCGAGGTGGAGAGCCTCTTAACCGGATGCTACGGGTGATGACTGGGAGGAGGAGAAAAATTACCTCTTTATCTTGCATGAACATCTTAATTTTCAGGTATTGGGCGTCAGGCAAAGATAATTAAAGCTATGTCCATGAGTCTTATCCCTTGAGGCCTTGTCCGCTTGATATTTTCTTTGCCTAACTCACTTTTAAAATTTTATTATTTTTATTTTTTTGAGACAGTGTCTTGGTCCGTCGCCCAGGCTGGTGTGCAGTGGCGCGATCTCGGCTTACTGCAACCTCCGCCCCCCGGGTTCAAGAGATTCTCCTGCCTCAGCCTCCCGAGTAGCTGGGATTACAAGCATGTGCCACCAAGCCCGGCTAATTTTTGTATTTTTTAGTAGAGACGGGGTTTCACCAGGTTGACCAGGCAGGTCTCGAACTCCTGACTTAAAGTGATCCACCCACCTCAGCCTCCCAAAGTGCTGGGAGTACAGGTGGGAGCCACCGTGCCCAGCCCTAACTCACTTCTGAAGTTGCTGCTACTTGCACTGATTTCAGTTTTTTTTTGTTTTTGTTTTTTGTTTTCAAGGTGGAGTCTTGCTCTGTGGCCCAGGCTGGAGTGCAGTGGTGGTGCGATCTTGGCTCACTGCAACTTCCGCCTCTTGGGTTCAAGTGATTCTCCTGCCTCAGTTTCCTGAGTAGCTGGGATTACAGGCAGGAGCCACCATGCCCGGCTAAAATTTTTTTGTATTTTTGGTAGAGACGGGGTTTCAACATGCTGGCCAGGCTGGTCTCGAACTGCTGACCTCAAGTGATCTTCCCGCCTCAGGCTCCCAAAGTGCTGGGATTACAGACATGAGCCACCACACCCGGCCCACGATTTCAGTAATTTCTTTGTGTTCAGTAAAACTAAAAAATGACTCTGGGCTGGGTGCGGTGGCCTGTAATTGCAGTGATTTGGGAGGCCGAGGCGGGTGGATCACCTGAGCTCAGGAGTTCGAGACCAGCCTGGCCAACATGGTGAAACCCCCGTCTCTACTAAAAATACAAAAATTAGCCGGGCGTGGTGGCAGGCGCTTGTAATCCCAGCTATTCGGGAGGTTAAGGCAGGAGAATCGCTTGAACCCGGGAGAAGGGGGTTGCAGTGAGCCGAGATCACGTCATTGCACTCCAGCCTGGGCGACGAGCAAAACTCGGTCTCAAAAAAAGAAAAATCATTCTGTCATTCTGGCCGCTGTTTGAAGAATGCGAATAATGCAACAGGGAGATCAGATACAAGACTGGTAACCGAGGTGTCAGAGTTGAGACTCAGTTTCGCAGATTGCATTGGCAAGTGACCAAGTGGGTGGTGCCACGGTTGACAACCCTATTTCTTACATCACTGAGTGGATGTACAAGGATTAAACCACACTGGGGAAGAAAAGTGCTCAACCCTGAGGCACCCTCACACACCTCGGCTCTTGTGAACACTAGTGTTCCTGCCGAAGCACGCCTACTTACCCCGCTGAGCAGAGCCTGAGCCTGCAACCTCCAGAGACCTGGGGAAAGCCACATACTCCGCTTCCCGCCCCCGGCAAGGGCGTGTCAGCTACAAGGGGCGTGTCATCTCTAGGCCCCGCCCCGCGCTGCGTGCCCACGTTGCGCCGGCCTCGCGCCAGTCCGCTGGGCTGCAGGGACTGCGGCGCCTGAGGGAGTCGCTGACGGGCACGCTGACTGGAGGCTGGCGGACAGGCGACAGCGACCTGCGGCAGGTGAGCTGTCCGCGCCCTCCCGGGGCCTTCCTTCCGCCCGGCTTCTCGGACCGCGCTGCGTCCTTCGCGGGCCCTGCCTCGGTCCAGGCCTTCGGACCTGGGCTTGGCCGGGCCACAGCCCTTTGGGTCCCCTGCGCCGGTCTGAGGGGAGACCCGGCCGGGGGCGGCCGGAAGCTGGGTGAGGCCGGGCAGAAGGACGAAGAAGGGCGTGGAGGGGCTGTCAGGGGAGGGCGAAACCGCGGACGCCGCTCTCCAGAAGTCGTCTCCCCGGGGGCGCGGGGAGGCCTGAATGGCTCTCTTTGGCGTCCCCGTTGGGCCCACCCTCTCCCAGCGTCACGGCTATGCTGGGCGAGGTGACCCCCGGGGTCGTAGCTGGGGGCGTCGGCGGTGCAGACAGGGGATGCCGGCAGAGATTGGAGCCCGGCTTGGCTGTTTCCCGGGCTGTTGGCATTGACCGGGGCTCTGCCCTTCCTCTAATGCCCTTATCTCTATAGGAAGTGCCCCTTGAGTGGGTGTCGTGACTTCACGAGTGAACCCTGGTACGCCCTGGAGCAGAGTCGGACTGGGAGGGATCAAGTGTGGGGGCAGCCGGTTAGTCCGGACGCGGGTTTACCTATTACTTTCTGAGCGCAGTGCTCTGGGTGGATTAATTGCCCTGCAAAAGCTGCCGGGACCTCCTTGCAGTCTTTGCACGAGGCCTGCCTGTGTCATGCCATTTAAATCGCGTCTGGGCCGGGTCGGTGGCTCACGCCTGTAATTCCAGCACTTTGGGAGGCCAGGGCGGGCGGATTGCTTGAGGTCAGGAGTCCGAGACCAGCCTGGCCAACATAGTGAAACCCCGTCTCTACTAAAAATACAAAAATCAGCCGGGCATGGTAACGTGAGCCTGTAGCTCCAGCTACTTAGGAGGCTGAGGCAGGAGAATCGCTTGAACCCGGGAGGCAGAGGTTGCAGTGAGCCGAGATCACGCCATTGCACTCCAGCCTGGGCGACAGAGCAAGACTCCATCTAAAAAAAAAAAAAAAAAAAAAAAAAATCGCTTCTGATGAGCCGGTTGTCGTGGCCTGTGGCTGTCCATCCTTACGTACTGTGTTTTGTTGATGGCGCTACAAACCAGACAAGGTGGAGTGTGATTGAAGAAAGAAACGCTGGCCGGTGCAGTGGCTCACTCCTGTAATCCCAGCACTTTGGGAGGCCGAGGCAGGCGGATCACCTGAGGTCAGGAGTTCGAGATCAGCCTGGCCAACATGGTGAAACCCCGTCTCTACTAAAAATACAAAAAAGTTAAACGGGCGGGGTGGCGCGTGTCTGTAATCCCAGCTACTGGGGAGTTTGAGGTTGGAGGATCACTTGAGCCCACGAAGTGGAGATTGCAGTGAGCTGAGATCGCATCACTGCACTCCAGCCTGGGTGACAGAGTGAGACCCTGTCTCAAAAAAGAAAAAAATAAATTATCACAAGACAAAATTTGTGCTTATCAGGAGTTCACAGTTAAGACATATATAAGCTTACTTGGTGAAATTAGAAAAAGTTATCAGATAAAACATTCAGGTTTAAACACTGGTGAGGGTGTGGGAATTTGTGGAGCCTTGGAAACACACTCATTGAATGACCTCATCTACCTGGGGATGTGAAGAGGGAAATCCTGTGATTCCTCCATTGTCTGACTTGATTTCCTTTTTTCCTTGGCTGTGGCAACATGTTGAAGTGCTGTGAGTCACCAAAAGGGGGAACGTGAGCAACTCTAGAAATGCCAGTGCCAGTGAGTTACAGACAATAAAGCATTGACCGCCTTTAGCTCACCCCTCATCAAGTCTGTTGAAAACTTGTAAAATTGGACAGCTAGAGCTACCTTGATTTTTTGGTTTCCTTTTAACAGCTGACTCTCTTCACAGGACAGTTGGGCTCTACATCAGGATTGCACCCAAAACTGGAATATCACTCCTCCAGGAGGAAGATATATTTGAAAATTAGAATTGTGGGCCCGGTGCAGTGGCTCATGCTTGTGATCCCAGCACTTTGGGAGGCCGAGATGGGCGGATCACCTGAGGTCGGGAGATAGAGACCAGCCTGACCAACATGGAAAAACCCCATCTCTACTAAGAAAAAAATAATAATAATACAAAAATTAGCTGGGCATGGTGGTGTGTGCCTGTAATCCGAGCTACTTGGGAGGCCGAGGCAGGAGAATCACTTGAACCTGGGAGGCAGAGGTTGCGATGAGCCAAGATTGTGCCACTGCATTCCAGCCTGGGCAACAGGAGCAAAACTGCATCTCAAAAAAAAAAAAAAGAAAGAAAGAAAATTAGAATTGTGTATTTCACTGTAAAATTTGAAATTCAGCTTTAACTCCTTGGAAAGGAAAGAGATGAAAAACTTGACCTAGACTGGGTGCGGTGGCTCACGCCTGTAATCCCAGCACTTTGGGAGACCAAGGCGGGTGGATCACCTGAGGTCAGGAGTTCGAGACCAGCCTGGCTAACATTGTGAAACCCCGTCTCTACTAAAAATACAAAAATTAGCCTTGCAAAAAGTAGCCTGTAATCCCAGCTACTCGGGAGGCTGAGCAAGGAGAATTGCTTGAACCTGGGAGGCAGAGGTTTCAGTGAGCCAAGATCATGCCATTGCACTCCAGCCTGGGCGACAAGAGCAAAACTTCATCTCAAAGAAAAAAAAATTCTATCAGAGTGAACAATAAGTAGGATGCTAGCACATACCTGTAATCTCAGCTACTTGGGAGGCTGAGGCAGGAAGTTAATACTTGATGAGCCTAAGTTTTTGGTGTCTTTGGATGCTGCTTGTCGATCTAAGGGGTTTCCAAACGCTTCTTTTTTGGTAAAATTGGGATTATGACTAGGAATCTGTTTTTTGGAGTTTCCCAGGTGATCCTTGTTTGGGGTCCTTGTCTAAGGCACAGGCTGGAAAGAGGAGGGAGTGGACTGGCAGGGAAGATAGAGCAGTAAGCGAATAGAATACCTGGGGAAAGGGACGCCAGAAGAGTGATTGTTGTCTGGTGAACTGTGCTGTCAGTGTGTATGTCAGAAGCCAACAAAGTGGATATTCTCTTCACTCAGCTTAGGGAAAAAATTAATTTTTGTTTCACAGATAGATTCGTTTCCTTCCCAGGAGTATTATAGGCCTAATTACTGTCATAGTTCTCAGTAACTTTAAAAAGGCTGTGGGGAAGAATGGCATAACAGACTAGTATCTTGTACCCAGCCTGCCTTTTTCTTATTCTATTTTTTTTTTTTTTTTTTTTTTTTTTTTTTTTGAGACAGTCTTGCTCTGTCACCCAGGCTGGAGTGTGGTGGCACAATCTCAGCTCACTGCAACCTCCGCCTCCTGGGTTCAAGCGATTCTCCAGCCTCAGTCTCCTGAGTAGCTGGGATTACAGGCGTATGCCACCATGCCTGGCTAATTTTTGTATTTTTAGTAGAGATGAGGTTTCACTATGTTGGCCGGGCTGGTCTCCTACTCCTGACCTCAGGTGATCCGTCCACCTTGGCCTCCCAAAGTGCTGGGGTTATAGGCATGAGTCGCTGCGCCCGGCTTTTTTATTTTTTATTTTTTATTTTTTTGAAACAGAGTCTGGCTCTTTCACCCAGGCTGGAGTACAGTGATCTGATCTGAGCTCACTGCAATCTCTGCCTCTGGGGTTCAAGCAGTTCTCCTGCCTCAGCCTTCCAAGTAACTGGGACTACAGGCATGCACCACCATGCCTGGCTAATTTTTGTACTTTTGGTAGAGATGGGGTTTCGCCATGTTGGCCACGCTGGTCTCCAGCTCCTGACCTCAAGCGAACCACCCTCCTTGGCCTCCCAAAGTGCTAGTATTACAGGCGTGAGCCACAGCACCCGGCCTTTTTTTTTTTTTTTTCCTTAGAGTCTTGCTCTGTCACCAGGGCTGGAGTGCAGTGGCGCCGTCTCGGCTCACTGCAACCTCTGCCTCCTGGGTTCAAGTGATTCTCCTTCCTCAGCCTCCCTAGTAGCTGGGATTACAGGTGTGTGCCACCACACCCAGTTAATTTTTGTATTTTTAGTAGAGACGGGGTTTCACCATGCTGGCCAGGCTGGTCTCAAACTCCTGACCTCAAGTGGTCCACCCACTTTGGCCTCCCAATTAGAATTAGAGGTGGAGCGACCGTGCCCGGCTAAGGGCCTACTATTTTTTTTTTTTTTTTTTGAGACAGAGTTTCACTCTTGTCACCCAGGCTGGAGTGCAGTGGTGTGACCTTGGTTCACTGCAACTTCCACCTCCCAGGTTTAAGCGATTCTCCTGCCTCAGCCTCTGGAGAAGCTGGGATTATAGGCGTCTGCCACCACGCCTGGCTAATTTTTTGTATTTTTAGTAGAGACGGGGTTTCACCATGTTAGTCAGGCTGGTCTCAAACTTCTGATGTCAGGTGATCCACCTACCTCGGCCTCCCAAAGCATTGGGATTACAGGCGTGAGCCACCGCGCCCGGCCAGGCCTCGTATTTTTGCTTTTGCTCATGTTTTCATGTCTGAGATAGAGGGCCTACTATTAAAGCACTGTGCTGAGGCTGCAAGAAGGTACTAGTGTGATTAAAACAATCTGGTCCGGGCGCGGTGGCTCGCACCTGTAATCCCAGCACTTTGGGAGGCGGAGGCGGGCGGATCACGAGGTCAGGAGATCGAGACCATGCTGGCTAACACGGTGAAACCCCGTCTCTACTAAAAAATACAAAAAAAATTAGCCGGGCATGGTGGCGGGCGCCTGTAGTCCCGGCTACTCGGGAGGCTGAGGCAGGAGAATGGCGGGAACCCGGGAGGCGGAGCTTGCAGTAAGCAGAGATCGCGCCACTGCGCTCCAGCCTGGGAGACAGAGCGAGACTCCGTCTCAAAAAAAAAAAAAAAAAGAAAAAAATAAAACAATCTGGCATTATAATGCCATCCTGATTTTAGTTAATCTAGTTGACTGGCTGGCCTCATAAGTAGCTGTGATGATCATAATTTTTATGCGAAACACCTGTCATTGAGCATACAGGTGTACTGAAAGAATTGGGTGGAACAGGGTATTTGAAATCAGAATTGTTCTGGAAAGTCGGGTACATAAAGCTCTATCTTTAGCACAGTTGTCTGTATTGCACAATTAATATTTATAGAATGGTACACCTTATGTTATCTTTTTATTTTTCCACCTAACTCTCTCTCTAGATTGAAAGGTACTTGACGTGCAGAGCAAGATCTTATCTTTCTTTGTAGTCACAGTACTCAAGAGGGTGATAAATGTTTGTTGATGATAATGTAATGTCACCTGTCCAAGTGTAGCCATCATCTTCAGTAGTTACTTGATCTGCTGTTGTGTCTGGCAAGACTGCTATGTGCTGCTGCAGAGGAGCCATTGTCACCTTGAACTATCTCTGTGGCAGTCTGGAGGAGGGCAGGAGGGAGAAGGGAAGGAATAAATGAGCAAAGCTGAGTGTGGATAGTAGTGTTTGACGGCAGATGAAAAAGCAAACTTGGTGAAGTGTGGCCTGGGTGGTCATCTAACTTCTACCTAGAAGACATTAAACCTTTACTCTCTTCTTTTTATGTAGGAAGGCAGAGGGAAAGTCAGGCCTTCGGTTGGCTTGGTAATAGCAGGTATCCCAGTAATTAGAAAATAACTTAAAAAACTCCATTCCTCTACCATATACTTGAGAATTTGTCAATCTCAGCAAAATTTTCAAATGTCTGTGTTCAGTGTCATATTTGTCCTGCTCTGTAAGACTTTTTGTGTTTATAAAAAGGCAAGTGGACCCAGAAGGGGAAAAATATGCTGTTCTGAGAAACTAGCTGCTGTAGGTTATGCTTTTCTGTCTTTGCTTGTGGCTCTTCTGGTTATTTGAGAAAGGCAAAAAAACCCAAAGTCTTTTTTCTACTCTGTTCCCACAGTCACTCAACACAACACTTCTGATACCAGATATATGGGAGTTGTTTCCCCATACACCAAGCAATTCTCTAGTAGACACACCGGTGCGGTGTCCTCTAAGTCAGTTAAATTCTGATACTCTATCTGGAGATAGCGTCAGATCCCACCAATTGAGGGCTCAGTCCCACAAAACTGTCCCAACTTGAGGCACTAGTCACAAGTAGTAAATTGTCACCTATACTTCTGACCTACTAGCTATAAATCGAAAGTTCTGACAATCCCTCCTCGAGTTTGATTAATCTGCTAGAGTGGGTCACAGAACTCAGGAAAACACTTTACTTACATTTACCAATTTACTCTAAAGGATATTAAGAAGGATACAGATGGCTGGGCGTGCTGGTTCATGCCTGTAATCCCAGCACTTTGGGAGGCCAAGGAGGGCAGATCACCTGAGGTCAGGAGTTTGAGACCAGCCTGACCAATGTGGTGAAACCCCATTTCTAGTAAAAATACAAAAAAATTAGCCGGGTGTGGTCGTGCATGCCTGTAGTCCCAGCCACTAGGGAGGCTGAGGCAGGAAAATCGCTTGGACCCTGGGGGCAGATGTTGCAGTGAAATGAGATCACGCCACCGCACTCCATCCAGCCTGGGCGACAGACTGGAAGAAAAAAAAAGGATACAGATGAATAGCCAGATGGAAGAGATGTATAGGGTGAGGCATGTAGGAAGAGGCATGAAGCTTCTACGCCCTCTCTGGAACTTTCGTGTATTCAGCTATCCTGAAGCTAATGCAAACCCTGGTGTGTGTGTGTGTGTGTGTGTGTGTGTGTGTGTGTGTGTGTGTGTGTGTGTGTGTGTGTGTGTTTATGGAGGCTTCATTACAAAGGCATAATTGAATACGTTATTGGCCACTGGTGATCAACTCAACCTTTAGACCTTCTCCCGTCCCCTGAGGTTAAGGGGGTAGGGCTGAAAGTTCCCACCCTCTAATCACATGGTTGGTTCCCCAGGCAATCAGCCCCCATCTAGGAGCCCACCAAGAGTTACTTACTTACAACAAAAGATGCTCCTATTACCCAGGAAATTCCAAGGGATTTAGGAAATTACAAAAGTTTTAGGAGCTCTGTGTCAGGAACTGAGGTTAAAGACCAATATCAGAATGAAGGATTCTCCTAGTGCCCCCATCTACAAAGGTTTTAGGAGCTCTGTGCCAGGAACCTAGGGTGCAGATCAAATATATCTATAAATCTTTTTGTTTGTTTGTGTTTTGAGACAGAGTCTTGCTGCGACACCCAGGCTGGAGTGCAATGGCGCTATCTCGGCTCACTGCAACCTCCGCTTCCCGGATTCAAGCGATTCTCCTGCCTCAGCCTCCCGAGTAGGTGGGACTACAGGTGTGCGCCACTATACCTGGTTAATTTTTGTATTTTTAGTAGAGACGGGGTTTCACCATATTAACCAGGCTGGTCTTGAACTCCTGACCTCAAGTGATCTGCCCACCTCAGCCTCCTGAAGTGCTGGGATTACAGGCATGAGCCGCTGCATCCAGCCTCAAATTTATCTCTGTATCTTCTTCTAAATTACAGTATCACACCCGTGCATATGCCCAAAAATTTTTTTTTTTTTTTTTTTGAGACGGAGTCTTGCTCTGTCGCCCAGGCTGGAGTGCAGTGGTGCGATCTCGGCTCACTGCAGGCTCCGCCTCCCAGGTTCACGCCATTCTCCTGCCTCAGCCTCCCGAGTAGCTGGGACTACAGGCTCCCGCCACCATGCCCGGCTAATTTTTTGTATTTTTAGTAGAGACGGGGTTTCACCGTGTTAGCCAAGATGGTCTCAATCTCCTGACCTCATGATCCACCCACCTTGGCCTCCCAAAGTGCTGGGATTACAGGCGTGAGCCACTGCACCCGGCCTCATATGCCCAAATTTTAAAGGAGGCACCACATTCAAGTCCAAATGCCTAAAGGTAGAAGGATCAAGAAACAGTAGTATGAGGCCATTTGAGAAGTATATATAGTTATCCCTCAGTATCTGTGGAGATTAGTTCCAGGACCCCTCAAGGGTACCAAGATCCAGGATGCTCAAGTTTCTTTTCTTTTCTTTTTTTTTTTTTTTTTTGAGACGGAGTCTTGCACTGTCACCCAGGCTGGAGTGCAGTGGTACGATTTCGGCTCACTGCAATCTCCACCTCCCGGGTTCAAATGATTCTCCTGCCTCAGCCTCCCGAGTAGCTGGGATTACAGGTGTGCACCACCACGCCTGGCTGATTTTTGTATTTTTAGTAGAGGTGAGGTTTCACCATATTGGCCAGGCTGGTCTCGAACTCCTGACTTCAGGTGAGCCGCCTGCCGCGGGCTCCCAAAGTGCTGGTATTACAGGCATGAGCCACTGTGCCCAGCTTAAGTTTCTTATATAAAATGGTGTATAGAATTTGCATATAACCTATGCATATCTTCTGTATTCTTTAAATCATCTGTATTTATAATACCCAATACAGTGCTATGTAAATAGTTGTTATACTGTATCGTTTAGGTAATCATGACAAGAAAAAAAATCTGTACATGTGTAGTACATATGTAGCCATCTGTTGTTTTTTTTTTCCCTGAAGATTGATTGGTTGATTGAGACGGCATCTCACTCTGTCACCGAGGCTGGAGTGCAGTGGCGCAGTCTTGGCTCACTGCAACCTCCACCTCCTGGGTTCAAGCGATTCTCTTGCCTTAGCCTCCCGAGTAGCTGGGATTACAGGTGCCTGCCACAACCCCCGGCTAATTTTTATATTTTTAGCAGATTCCGGGTTTCACCATGTTGGCCAGGCTGATCTCGAACTCCTGACCTTAAGTGATTCACCCACCTCCACGTCCCAAAGTGCTATGATTACAGGGGTGAGCCACCATGTCAGGCCTTTTTCTGAATATTTTTAATCTGAGGTTGGTTGAATCCACTGATGCAGAGCCCATGGATATGGAGGGCTGACTGTACTGTATTGAGCTTCTAAGGTATGCAGAGTATTGGCACTGAGGGGATGTGCAAATACAACAACAAACCAAGCATAGTCTTTGTTTACTAGGAGCTGGTAGTAACTGTGGGAAGACACAAAACAGTAAAATCACTTTGTAAGGTTTATGAGAGTTTTGAGAGGCCAGGGAAGTTAAAGAGTGGAGAAATGGAGAAAATGGGAGAACTTGTACTGAACCCATTAGGACAGAGGAGGAAGGGAAGAGAAGGAAGGAGGCCAAAGAAAGAAGAAACCCTTCTTAGAGCACTCAGGGTCTTACTGAAAACTTTACCCATAAAAAGAGAATGTCACTGATAGACTCCTTTTAGAACAGGGATTGATTTTTTTGTTTTTGTTTTTGTTTTTATTTTTGTTTTTGTTTTTGAGAGAAGTCTCGCTCTTGTCCCCCAGGCTTGAGTGCAATGGCTTGATCTCGGCTCACTGCAACCTCTGCCTCCCGGGTTCAAACAATTCTCCTACCTCTGCCTCCCAGGTAGCTGGGATTAAGGCACCTGCCACCACGCCCGGCTAATTTTTGCATTTTTAGTAGAGACAAGGTTTCACCATGTTGGCCAGGCTGGTCTCGAACTCCTGACCTCAGGTGATCCACCCACCTCAGCCTCCCAAAGTGCTGGGATTACAGGCTTGAGCCACCATGCCTGGCCACAGGCAACATTTTTAAACCATACGATTGTCCTGGAGAGAGAATCTGAAGCCTTGCTCTGATTCTGAAAGGGATTTGCAACCAAAAAAGGATAAGGATTGTTCTGACAAGTACCCTTTCTTCCCATCTTCAAAAGTACACATCTCTTAATTTGTGTCTTCAAACACAAATTGTGTTCAAAAAAGGAAGTATTTGAGTAGATTAAAGACAGAAACCCTAGGACATTCCTTTGTAAACAAACAGCCTTTTACCAAACACCAACTGTCAAGGGACTTGCCTGAGTACTTGTCCAAAGGACAGCGTGTCCCCATGTGTAGGCAGTGGTCTAATCTGGTTCCTAGGAGAGGACTGCTGAGGCCACAGCAACTTAACTGGCTAGTGTGGGTGAGGCAGAAGTGTTTGAAGCTCAAGGTCTGTCAAGGACAGCTGATTAGAGTATGTCTGTCCCTAATACAGGGTTAGAGCTCAGTACCAATGCTGGGGATGAGGTGAGTTGAAGACACAGAAACTACATGGTTTTTTGGAAGGTCACGAACTTTTCAAGGAACTAGTGGGCAACTGGAAATGATATGTGAAAGAGTAGAGGGAGCTCTGGCCTAGCTGCCAGAAAACTCTGGGCAGGTCAGGTCTGGGAACAGTGGCTAATCCAGGCCCAGCTTCCCACTGTTGATTTGGACATACAGGCCTAAGATAAGAGACCGTGCCCAGAGCCACTGGTCACTTAGCACAGGTAGTGGGAAATGGTAGCCAGCAAATGTTTAATTGAATATCTTATGTCTCCTAGACCACAGCTGAGCAAACTAGGCCAAGCTCAAGGTCCTGAGGGGAATGAGGAGCTGAGCTCAGTCCCTTTTGGCCCCCTTTCTCTTTCCCTCCTCATTTTAAGTATGGAAGCTCACTTATTTCCTTTTTGTATTGGCCATTTGTGTAGGGTTTTGTTTGAAAAAGGGCTTGAGGCTGGGCGTGGTGGCCCACGCCTGTAATCCCAGTACTTTGGGAGGCCAAAGAAAGATTGCTTGAGCCCAGGAGTTCGAGACCAACCTGGGCAACATAGTGAGACCCTGTCTCTACAAAAAAATTTTTAAAATTAGCTAGACATGGTAGTGAATGCCTGTAGTCTCAGCTGCTCGAGAGGCTAAGTTGGAAGTATCACCTGAGCCCAGGAGTTGAGGCTGCAGTGAGCTCTGATTGACCCAGTGCACTTCAGCTTGAGCAACACAGCAAGACCCTGTCTCAAAAAAAAAAAAGAAGTTGGGCACAGTGGCTCAGGCCTGTAATCCCAGCACTTTGGGAAGCCTAGGTGGGCGGATCACCTGAGATCAGGAGTTTGAGACCAGCCTGACCTCTAAAACTACAAAATTAGCCAGGCGTAGCCCAGCGGCTCATACCTGTAATCCCGGCACTTTGGGAGGCCGAGGCGGGCGGATCACCTGAGGTTGGGAGTTTGAGACCAGCCTGACCAACATGGAGAAACCCCATGTCTACTAAAAATATAAAATTGCTGGGCGCAGTGGCTCACACCTGTAATCCCAGCACGTTGGGAGGCCGAGGCGGGTGGATCACAAGGTCAGGAGATCGAGACCATCCTGTGAATGGCGAAACCCCGTCTCCACTAAAAATACAAAAAATTAGCTGGGCGTGGTGGCTGGCGCCTGTAGTCCCAGCTCCTTGGGAGGCTGAGGTGGGAGAATGGCGTGAACCCGGGAGGCGGAGGTTGCAGTGAGCTGAGAACACCAGCCTGGGAGACAGAGCGAGACTCCGTCTCAAAAAAAAAAAAAATTAGCCGGGCGCGGTGGCATATGCCTGTAATCCCAGCTACTCGGGAGGCAGAGGCAGGAGAACTGCTTGAACCCGGGAGGCGGAGGTTGCGGCGAGGGGAGATCACGCCATTGCATGCCAGCCTTGGCAACAAGAGCGAAACTCTGTCTCAAAAAAAAAAAAAAAAAAAAATGTAGCCGGGTGTGGTTTTGCATGCCTGTAATCCTAGCTACTCAGGAGGCTGAGGCAGGAGAATCACTTGAACCCGGGAGGCAGAGGTTGCAGTGAGCTCAGACCGTGCCATTGCACTCCATTGTTTCGCTGCAACGAGAGGGAAACTCCATCTCAAAAAAAAAAAAAAAAAAAACAGGCTTGAGTATACCTCTCACAGCCCTGGAGAATGCCTGAGCTGTTGGACAGTTGCCTTTTCCATTATGTCTGCTTTTTTCTAAAGCTATTCATTCATTGTTGCCTAATCATGTCCTCAGTCAGTAGTTGATGTTCTGGGCTATTTGAATTTCCTCTGAATAATGATTAATGGAGATAATGATGTTTGACCAGTTCTGGGAACTCTTGGGAATTAAAGGAATTAAACTCTTGGACATTAAACTTCACTTTAATGTGTATAGTTGTGGGTGCTGCCCCATTGGAGAAGATTGTGACAGGAAGTTACACAGTTTTACAGCAAACTGCTGGGATTTTTTATTTTTTTTTCAGTAAATTATGATAACTGTAGCATTTTCCTTTGCAATAATGATAACCTAAGGCCTTGGTGTTTCCTCTAAAATGTACATAGATACAGGATGTGGGTTTGTTACAAAGTTGTATAACTATTGCCTTTTTGTGGCTGACCCCTTCCCTAGAGAACAACATGAAGAGACCTTGCTGCTGCTATGAAACCCAGACTCTAAGGACAACTTGGGGGACATTGGATATTTTTTCACAGATGTAGACATCAAGGAGTCAGTGGTTTGTGTATGCGTTGAGTGGAGAAGGCTGGCAAGCATTTGCTACCATGACTGTTAAAAATGTGCCTGTACATTTCTTTTTTTTTTTTTTTTTGAGACAGGATCTCACTCTGTCACCCAGGCTGGAGTGCAGTGGTGTGTTTTTGGCTCAGTACAACCTCCACCATTGTGGGCTCAAGCAATCCTCCTGCCTAGGACTCCTGAGTAGCTGGGATGACAGGCATGTGCCACCACGCCCAGCTAATTTTTGTAGTTTTTTTGTAGAGACAGGGTTTTTGCCTTGTTGCCCAGGCTGGTATACATTTCTTTATATAAGGAGGGGGCAAGTAACACAGTGTTATGCTACCAATCAGGCTTTCAGAGACCATAAAACAAAATCTAAAAGGTACGCTCTTAGTAGTCATATCTGTGGAATGTAAGGAAGCCAGTTTAAGACCAATGTAATGCAGCATTTTCCCTTCACACATGAAACAGTGAGTTACTCGAGCACAAAGCATCAAATGCTTATTCCCCCCACAAGGCCATTCTTATCTTTCACCAAGTGTTTAGTCACTAGGCAGCCATCATCCTCCCTCCCTCTCTCCCTTCCTCCCTTACTTTCTTCCTTTCTTCCTTTTGCAGTGGCACAGTCATGGGCTCAAGTGATCCGCCTCAGCCTCGCGAGTAGCTGGGACCACAAGCACTCACCACCACATCCAGCTAGTTTTATTTTATTTTTAAAAATTTTTTGAAACAGAGTCCTGCTGTGTCACATAGGCTGGAGTGCAGTGGCACGGTCTTGGCTCACTGCAGCCGCCACCCCCAGGGTCAAGTGATACTCCTACCTCAGCCTCCCAGGTAGCTGGGACTACAGGCATGTGCCACCATGCTTGGCTAAGTTTTGTATTTTTTGTAGAGATGGGGTTTCACCATGTTGCCCAGGCTGGTCTGGAACTCCTGTACTCAAGCTATCCACCTGCCTTGGCCTCCCAAGGCGCTGGGATTACAGGTGTGAGCCATTGCGCCGAGCCTCATCCAGCTAATTTTATAATTTTTGGGGGGAGGTAGCAACAGAGATCTCCATATGTTACCCAGGCTGGTCTGAAACTCCTGGCCTCAGTGATCCTCCTGCCTCAGCCTCCCAAAGTGTTGGGATTACAGGCGTGAGCCACCGCGCCCAGCCCATTATTCTTATATCTGAGATTCACCTTTAATTGCCCTCTGTCATCAGCACTTTGAGAATGCCTCAATTTTGAGAATACCTTGTATTCTGGAAATCATTCATTCAGTCAACAAACCCTGACTGGTGTGTAATTGGGCAGTAGGAGGCCAAGATAAATGACCTGTAATCTGGAAAACAAACATATAAACATACACATACCATAACGAGATATGAGTGCTAGGATGGATCACAAAAGGCTTACTTAGGTAGCTCTGAATATAATATCAGGCCTACAATATTATCACTTATGTTGTTTTTTGGATCTTATTTTTAGAAACAGCACAAGCTTTTTCTTGGAGGAAATATAGCAAGGAAGAGGGGAGCTGTTCTGACTGAAGCAGGGTATGGGAGGCCCACAGCCTTTCCTGCTTTGCCTCCTGTTCAAAGCCATCCTCCCTGCAGTTCACTGAGAAATGACTCCTTGGAGCTCCAAGGAAGTCCTACAGCTAGCTAGTAGCAGACCTGGTAGTAGAAGTTAGTTCTTCTGATTCTTAGCTTTCTTAGCAGTCAGGTACCAGACTGATAAACGAAAATCAAATTTCTCCCAGTTATATGTTCCATCCCACAAAGAAGTAATAAACACATTTCTGTCAGGGGCTTCAGCCTGCCTGGATTTGTTACTGGGTTTGTTTTAAATGTTTAGCTTCCAGGCATCCAAATACATACAAAAAAGGTCTATTCCCAGGAACATACTGTAACCCTTTTCATTGTCATTTGTGGGCAGTGCCAAGCTGCCTCTAATAGCTTCTTCTGTTTTTTTGGTGGAAATTCAGTTTCCTCAGAAATCTATATAAGGGATATTTGATAAAGGTGACTAACAATCTCGTCTCTGTAAATTGATGAAGGGATGAGAGGGGTATTAGACTCATGTCCTCTTTTGAATGCACACTGCTTTTGTGGTCCGGCAGGGTTTCTCAGCGTTAGTGCTGTTGACATTTTGGGCTAGATTGTTTGTGGTGGTGGGGTATGTGTGTGTGTGTGTGCGTGCGTGCAAGCACATTTGTGCGCTATAGGACATTGAGTAGTATCCCTGACCTCTACCCACTATTGTCAGTAGCACACTCCCGTCTTTCAGTTGTGACAACTAAATATGTCTGCAAACATTTCCACGTCTCCAAACATGTTCCTTGGGGGACAAGTTGGCCCCCAGTGGAGAAACACTGGATTGGAGATTGGTTGTCATGTGATAAAAATGCAAATCAGATTTGTCACAGGACAAAGTAAATTTTCAGTTACCTAATTAAACCTTTACTTTTTATAAGTCGCTCTAAAGAAACAAAAGTGTGTCCTGTCTTCCATCCTGATTCTCGGTTACTGGAGGGCCCTTCACCTAAGTCATGTTCAGGATCTCCTTGAAGGAGTTAAACTAAAACAATACAATATCTTCCCTTAGGTCTTTTGCAGAATTTATTTTGCTAGGCCGGGCACTATGGCCCACTCCTGTAATCCTGGCACTTTGGGAGGCCAAGGCGGCTGGATCACTTGAGTTCAGGAGTTCAACACTCGCCTGGGCAACATGGTGAAACCCCATCTCTACAAAAAATACCAAAAAATTAGCTGGGCATGGTGTTGCATGCCTGTAGTCCCAGGTACTTGGGGGGCTGAGGTGGGAGGATCACTTGAGCTCAGGAGGTCAAGGCTGCAGTGGGCCGAGATTATGCCACTGCGCTCCAGCCTGGGTGACAAAGTGAGACTCTGTCTCAAAAAATATATATATTTTGCTAGAAATCCCAAGATTTTTCTCTCTTTTCTTTTTGTTTATTTTCTTTCTTTTTTTGAGATGGAATCTCACTCTGTCACTCAGGCTGGAGTGCTGTGGCATGATCTCGGCTCACTGCAACCTCCACCTCCCAGGTTCTGAGAAGCTAGGACTATAGGCGCATGCCATCACATCTGGCTAGTTTTTGTATTTTTAGTAGACGCAGGGTTTTACCATATTTGCCAGGCTGGTCTCGAGCTCCTGACCTTGTGATTCACCTGCCTTGGCCTCCCAAAGTACTGAGATTACAGGTGTGAGCCACTGTGCCTAACCCCCATATACTTTCAAACAAAAAATGGAAATATCACTGTCTCCATGAAAAGCCATACAGGCAGCATCAAAACTACACTAGGGGCCAGGTGTGGTGCCTCCTGACTGTAATCCCAACAATGGGAGGGTGATAGGATTCCTTGAGGCTAGGAGTTCGAGACCAGCCTGGGCAATATAGTGAGACCCTATGTCTACAAAATACTTTTTAAAATTAGCATAGTGGTGCGCACATGTAGTCCTAGCTACTTGGAAGGATGAATTGGGAGGATCGCCTGATCCCAGGAGGTAGAGACTGCAGTGAGCTAATATCTCACCACTGCACTCCAGACACAGTAAAACCCTGTCTCTAAAAAAAAAAAATTAAATAAATAAATAAATGGTTTACACTGAGGGTCACAGACTTTGAGTTGAGGTTCGTCATGAAGAATCTCCATTTTCATTCTAATAGCACTAGATACAGGCTGGGTGTGGTGGCTCACAGCTATAATCCCAGCACTTTGGGAGGCCGAGGTGGGCAGATCACGAGGTCAAGAGATCGAGACCATCCTGGCGAACATGCTGAAACCCCATCTCTACTAAAAATACAAAAAATTAGCTGGATGTGGTGGCACGTGCCTGTAATCCCTACTACTCGGGAGTCTGAGGCAGGAAAATCCCTTGAACCCAGGAGGCAGAGATTGCGGTGATCCAAGATCACGCCACTGCACTCCAGCCTGGCGACAGAGTGAGACTCTGTCTCAAAAACAAAACAACAACAACAACAAAAAACACAAAAAAGGCTGGGCACAGTGGCTCACCTTGTAATTCCAACACTTTGGGAGGCCGAGGCGGGCGGATCACTTGAGGTCAGCAGTTTGAGACCAGCCTGGGCAACATGGGAATACCCTGGCTCTACTAAAAATACAAAAATTAATTGGGTGTGTTGGCACATGCCTGTAGCCCCAGCTACTCAGAAGGCTGAGGCACAGGAATTGCTTGAACCCAGGAGTGGGGAGAAAAAGGAAATATTAGGGGACATTTGTTAAGTTTATATTTTTTTCTTTTCTCTTCTTTTTCCTCTTTTTTTGAGACAGAGTCTCGCTCTGTGGCCCAGGCTGGAAGCTGGAATTCAGTAGTTCAGTCATAGCTCACTGCCGCCTTTACCTCCTAGGCTCAAGTGATCTTCCCACCTAAGCCTCCTAAGTGGATGTGACCACAACTGCATGCCACTCCCTCCACCCCCGTCTGCCTACCAGCTAATTCAAAAAAATTTTTTTTTGTAGAGATGGGGTCTCCCTGTGTTGCCCAGGTCAGTCTCAAACTCCTAGGCTCAAGCAATCCTCCTGCCTTGGCTTCTCAAAGTGCTGGGATTACAGACATGAGCCACTGGGCTCAGCCATTAATTTTAAATTGCAAGTGACATATTCTTTAGTTTATTAATCAGCACCATATGATGTCACAGTTTTATAACTCATTTATCTCATTTAATTCTCATACCCACCTTGTGGAATTGTTATCACTGTCCTTTACAGATGAAGAAAGAAACTCCAAGAAATTAAGTAGCTGGCCCAAGTCCACCCAACTGGGATGGGCAGAACCAGGGTTTGCTCTTGGTTGTGCCTTTCTACAGCCTGTGCCTTAACCACATCTATGTGCTGCCTCTTGGCCTCTGTGTGGCCAGTAGATTCTCTCATGGCTAGGCTCATCTTAATTAACATTTGTTGGGTGCCTACTATGGCTCAGGCTCTAGAGATCATTGTAAAATCCAGTCCACTGCCCCAGCTCCTCGTGTGTCTTTTGAACACATTAGTATTGTGCTGTGCAGAAAGGACTTCTGTGCATATGCCTGCTATTACACTTGTTGAACCCAATTTCTACAAACTTTCATTCAGATGGAGGGATTCAGTCTTCTTATCATATAATACATACAGAAATACAAATATTTAAATATTTATCTAAATTAATAGTCACATATGCCATTTATACAGTTAGTGAGTTACAGCCAAGTGACAGTTGTGATGGGAGGCTGTGTCTGGGGAGTTACATACTGGTGAGGAAACTAGAAAACATGGCTGTCGGGCCGGCACTGTGGCTCACGCCTGTAATCCCAGCACTTTGGGAGGCCGAGGCGGGTGGATCACGAGGTCAGGAGATCGAGACCATCCTGGCTAACACGGTGAAACCCCGTATCTACTAAAAATACAAAAAATTAGCGGGGCGTGGTGGTGGGCGCCTGTAGTCTCAGCTACTCAGGAGGCTGAGGCAGGAGAATGGCATGAACCCGGGAGGTGGAGCTTGCAGTGAGCCGAGATAGCACCACTGCACTCCAGTCTGGGCGACAGAGTGAGACTCTGCCACAAAAAAAAAAAAAAAGAAAACAAGGCTATGAAAATTTAACACATTGACTGGGCAGGGTAATGCATGGTGATCTGTTTTCTCTTCGCTCCAATCCTGAAAGGTTTCTTTGAAGAGCTGGAGTGTCTAGAAAGCTTTCCTAGAAAGCTAGTGTACATTTTGCTAAGTAATCACTGTGTCACTTAGATTTTCTGCTCTTTAAGTGTGGTTATGAGATGTGTTCCAAACAATTTGTTACTAACCATGAAGTTGATGAATGCTTTGCCTTTAAAAAAATAAGTTTGGGTGGGGTGCAGTGGCTCATGCTTGTATTCCCAGCATTTTGGGAGGCTGAGGCAGGCAGATCGCTTGAGTCCAGGAGTTTGAGACCAGCCTGGACAACATGGTGAAACCCTGTCTTTACTAAAAATACAAAAATTAGCCAGGTGTGGTGGCGTGTGCCTGTAGTCCCAGCTGCTTTGGGGGCTGAAGCAGGAGGATCACTTGAGCCTGGGAAATCCAGGCTGCAGTGAGCTATGATCACACCACTGCACTCCAGCCTGCGTGAAAAAGTGAGACTGTCTAAAAAAAAAAAGTTTGGCCAGGCATGGTGGTTCATACCTGTAATCACAGCACTTTGGGAGGCCAAAGTGGGAGGATTGTTGAGGCTAGGAGGTCAAGACCAGTCTCGGTTTGATTGGGTTAAACATTATCCCTGTAAGTTGGCTCTCATTCTGAGAAGTTGTTTAGAGTAGAAGAGAGGGCTGCATTTACAGCTAATTGCTAGTAATTTCACATCATCTGCAATATATTTTCTGGACACTCTGCCCGACTAGTCCTATGGGACGTTGTCATTCATGTGCAAATCAGGCCCTATATACTAAGGGAGGAAAACAGTTGAGGACCTCCTTTTTTTAGGCACTCTTGGTGCCTTGTGCATTAAGATAGTGAGTCAGAGGATAAGAAGGAAGCAGATTCCATTCCCCTTACCACTCTTTGGGTGTAGGCAGGGCCTGCTGGTAGTGCTGGGAAAGCCGACCATCCTTCTTTGAGCAAGTCCAATAGCTGCTGCTGCTAGTTCTGTCCCACCATAGGCACAGTCTATGTAGGATGAGCCAACCATATGTGGAGTTACTGGTTCTTGGTCTGGGCTTGTTCCTTTCCCCAATTTCAGTCCCCACCAGAATCTGGGCAGTCATTGTGAAGAAGCCTAGGAATAATACCTTACTCTATAGGCCTGTGGAAACGTGTAAAGATACCTTGCAGGCCCAGAGTGAGAAATTGGAGCCACCTTGTTCGATTGACCAAAGGCTTGTCCTATGGAGTTACTAATTTTACAGGAAGTTTATGTTAACATACTTTCTATCCATTGCACTACCATTTCTGAGGCACAATATATTTCAGTAGGCAGAAAGATAGAACTGCTTAGATTTTAAATACTCAATACATGCTTGACACAGTTTAGTCTATTTCTCTTCAGTTACTATGGCAGTGGGTGCTATAGAGATGTGCAGACCCTATTGTGACCTCCCTTTGGTATAGGGATGCTCTGGAGCCCCTGGCTTCATTGTCCACTAAGGTCTGGCAGGTCTGATTGCCTCTTTTCAGGCACTGAGTGGTGGGGTATGCCATCCTCCCCTGCTGGAACCAGCCTTGGCCTGCCCTGTTAGTCATCAAAAATAGATCTCACCAGGGAACAATCTTCTCAGGTTGTTGTGTAATTTGAGTGAGCCAAGGTGAGTGTTTTAGGGACAAGCAGCATCAACTTCGGAATCTTCAACTGGGCCTGAGCACTTATTTCTCAGAAATAATAGAATCTTGCTCACTTTTCTTTCTTTTTTTTTTTTTTTTTAGATGGAGTCTCGCTCTGTTGCCCAGGCTGGAGTGCAGTGGATCAGTCTAGCTCATTGCAGCCTCCACCTCCTGGGTTCAAGAGATTCTCCTGCCTCAGCCTCCTGTGTAGCTGGGATTACAGGTGTGCGCCACCACGCCTGGCTAATAATTCTATTTTTAGTAGAGTTGGGGTCTCACCATGTTGGCCAGGCTGCTCTCGAACTCCTGACCTCAAGTGATCTGCCCGCCTCGGCCTCCCAAAGAGCTGGGATTATAGGTGTGAGTCACCATGCCTGGCCTCTTGCTCACTTTTCATACTAAAACAACAAATTACAGGCTGTAGTTTAACCTCTCTACTGCATGCATAAATGCAGTGTGGTACGAGTGCCTCTGTAGCCCATAACTTCAGTTTCCTTGTTGCTAGCAGTCTGTGGTGACACTATACTAATCTCACATGCAGGAACCAATGAGGATTAGCCAGGGACACAGGAGGAGTCACCTTGCATTCAGAATGACTCAAGTTTAGTCTCAACTTGACCATTAGCTCTCTGAGTGATCTTGCCCATGTTAATTCTCTTGATCTTAGTTTCTTCAGAGCCAGTGAGACATTGCTTGAAAGTGACTTAGCCTGGTATACCCAGGTCTGTCAGACTTATAGTCTGGTGCTCTCTTGGGTGAACTTGAGGGCCTTCTGCCAAGGCAGGAATGGCTTCTTTTAAAAAAAAATTATTTTATTATTATTTTTTTTTTTGTAGAGACGGGGGGTCTCACTATGTTTCCTAGGCTGGTCTCAAACTCCTGGACTCAAGTGATCCTTCAGCCTCGGCCTCCCAAAGTACAGAGATTATAGGTGTGAGCTACCAGTACCAGCCTCCAGGAATGGCTTCTAAGGCTTCAGGCTGTTTATAGAGAGGAAAGCACCTGGGAGCTGATGGCACTCTCAGGTTTCCCAAAATGACAGTTCTGCATATGCATCTTAATCACCTACTTTTTTTCCCTCCACCCCCAAATGCTATTCACAGTCCTTGTTTATGATAGAAGCTGAAGCTTACAGGTGACAATTTTTGTGCCTGTATGAAAGGAAACATGACTGACTCCACTTATCCACACGACACCTGCTTTCAAGGTTGTTCAGTGTTGGAATAATTTTTGCTTGATGGTAACCTAGGGATGACCCAAGGTTTCATTAGTTAAAGCCAGCCCTGTGGGATGCATGAAGTCTAGCCTCTGTCCCTGTAAAAATCCCACCAGAACCATTTTAGAATTCACTCAGGACTTCACCCCTCCCGCTCCTGGTGCTGCTTATGGAACTAAAGAATCCTCATCTTCTCAGCCCTGGGACACATTGTCCTCATATAAAGCGAGGTGGCAATCAGGGAACAGGGGCGAGTCTTGTGCTTATTTCAGTTATAATAGGAAGGCTCTACCAGGACTCATCATTGTCCCAACAATAGTCGATTCCAGGCCCCTTCTTTGAACTCATTTCAGTGTCTCAGGTTCTGTCCTTGGTGTCTGTCTTCACTGCTTGCTCAGTTGTATTTGAACATGGCTAGAGATGAGCACACTTCTCTTCTCCAGTAAAAAAGCCTGCAAGAAAAGTCTTGGACTTCTTGAACTGCTATTCAGTTGTCTTTTTTATTCAATGTATTTTTTGAGATGGAGGGGGTCTCACTTTGTTGCCCAGGATGGTGTTGAACTCCTGGCCACAAGTGATCCTTCTGCCTCAGAGTTCCAAAGTGCAGAGATTACAGGCTTGAGCTACCACAACCGGTCTCTTGTCAGTTTTTGAGGTTACTTAAGAGGTTAATGCCTTTAAATTAGTTTGCAGTTGTTTTGCTTTTGCCTGCCTTCTTGCCCAAATGCGCAAGTGCTTATTTAGTAATCTGACTCAAGTGCTTTGTGTCCCCAGAGTCCCCACTTTTCCAGGATTCATTGTCTTTTTTTTTTTTTTTTTTTTTTTGAGACACAGTCTTGCTCTGTTGTGCAGGCTGGAGCGCAGTGGCACTGTCGGCTCACTGCAACCTCCACCTCCTAGGTTCCAGAAATTCTCGTGCCTCAGCCTCCCAAGTATTTGGGATTAGAGTCACACACCACCACACCTGGCTAATTTTTTTATATTTTTAGTAGAGATGGGGTTTTGCCATGTTGGCCAGGCTGGTCTTGAATGCCTGACCTCAGGTGATCTACCCGCTCGGCCTCCCAAAGTGCTGGGATTACAGACATGAGCCACCACACCCGGCTGGATTCAGTCTTAACTTGCTCTTTTTTTTTTTTTGCATCTCACTCCCTTGCCAGGCTGGAGTGCAACGGTGTGATCATAGTTCACTGCATCCTTGAACTCCTGGGGTCAAAAGATCCTCTTGCCCCAGTTTCCCGAGTGGTTGGGACTACAGGTGTGTGTCACCACGCCTGGCTAATTATTTTATTTTTCGTAGAGACAAGGTCTGACTGTGTTGCCCAGGCTAGTCTTGAGCTCCTAGGCTTAGGTGATCCTCCCACCTTGGCCTCCCAAAGTGTCAGGATTATAGGTGTGAGCCACTGCACCCAGCCTGGATTTGCTCTTTTATCAAGAGGTTAATATTTATTCTTCCGTTCAGTGAACCGTGGGATTGAATTCCCCCAGCGATTGAAATGAAAGGGCTTATGTATAACATTTCCTGAGGAATGGTAGTACCAGAGTTCAGAGGAGACCTCAGGCCATTTATTCTATAAACTCAGAAGCTGTAGTTCTAGATGATGTGGCTTCTTCAGGGTGTTGAGAAGTCTCTGTTATCTCGTGCCTTGTTGGATTAGAACTGATTGAGCTCTGTCTGCTGCCCCAAACATGTGGCTCAGCCAATCTCCAGTGGCATCTGCAATGTGGGTATTCTAGCCTCCAGTGCTCACGTGGCTCACCTTAGAAAGGGCAGATATTCCTATTTCCTGACGCTGCTGGAGAATGAGGTCTGAGTCAGAAGTCCTCAGGTGTGACCTGCCCAGAACTATCTGAAATTGCTGGATTTCTTGTTCTTCCTCAGTGTTTAACAATCACCCAATTGCTCATTCTCACCAGCGACTTCCTCAGTAAGAGCTCAATATTTGAGGTGGTGCTGCATTTTGTCAAACATTCATGCGTGTTAGCCCACTTAGTCTTCGCAGCACACAGTGGATTAATGGATTTTTAAAAGCTGGTATTTATGCACGATGGAATACTACTCAACCATAAACAAGAAGGAAATTCTGTCATTTGTGACTACATGGATGCATCTAGAGGACATTATGCTAAGTGAAGTAAGCCAAAGAAAGAAAGACAAATGGTGCATGATATCACTTATATGTGAAATCTGAAAAAGTCAGTTATAGAAGGAGAGTGTAACATGTTGGTTACCAGCGGCTGGGGGAAGGGAAGGGTGGGTGTGGAAAGGGGAGATGTTGATCAAAGGGTACAAAATTTCAGTTAGGAGAAATAAGGTCTGATGATCTGCCTTACAGCATGGTGACTATAGTTAATATGGTTAATATTATAATAGTATTGTATACTTCAAAATTGGTAAAAGAGTGGATTTTAAAAGTTGTCACCACAAAGAAATGATAAGCATGTGAGCTGATGGATATGTTAATAACCCTGATTTAATTATTCCCCAATGTATACATGTGTCCAAACATCACACTGTACCCCATAAATATAATTGTCAGTTAAAAACTTAGGAGTCAAGTCAGATCTGAAGAGAAGTCAAAACAGATTTCATACAGTTAATTTAGAGACATGGGACCCAATTAAAAATTTGTATTACTTTACTTGGTATTTTAGAATTTAGCTGTTATTTTCTTGTTACACACACAGGCACAGGCACACAAATCCTCTATTTAACTGGCTTTCTCAGTAGGAACTCCATCTGTGTATTTGCAACAGCTGTAACTCAGGTTGGATGCTCCCCAGGGTGCTGGCCTATAAGTCATATTGGACCCTGATCTGAATCTGAGGGAATCTGGATCTCTCTTGTAGGAAGCTTTTGGTTTAACTGGGAAGACAGGATGACAGTCAGTTGTGGAAGCTGAAGCGTAATCACCTCATATTAATATGGTGGCAATTTTATATCGGAGTGAGCTCTGAGCTGCAAACAGCCTTCTAGGAAGCAGGCAGGGGACCCCCATCCAGGGTGATGGTAAGAATCCTGATGCCCAACTGCAAGGTGTTCAGCAGGGAGGGAGCACTCGTGGAGTCCCAGTGCAGAAGTCTCTGAGCAGCCACTTAGCCTCCCTGTGTTTGTGGGGTAACAACCCGAGTTCATGTTGTGGGCATCTCATGCAGTGTAGTAGCTGGTCACTGTCAAGTGTCACTATTTCATTGAGTCAGAAGCCTGCAGAATTGTTCTCATTCCAGGGAGTGAGTCAGTCTGCTGTTGCTTACTCTCGGTGCTGGCTGAGCTCAGCAACCTGCTCTCTTCCTTCAGTTCAGGTTTCTCCAGGGCAAAGAAGTCTTTATTGTTCCTTTCTGTATGACCAGATGGGAAATGAATTATAATATAGTCCTTAGATTATATTCCCACCTGGTAGCAATGCACTGAGTTACCTGACCTGAAATTTGTTGGACTTAGTCTCCATGGAGGAGGATTTACCATCTTCGTTGTCTCAGAAGTCCTGGTAGTGCCTCATGCCAGCAATTTAGCAGGAGCAAAAGCTTTGAGACAGTGTTCTGGATCTGCTGAGCTGGTCTAAAGGAACCTCTTTTGCTTGAAGTAACTGTGATAGGAACTTTGTTACTGCTTCTGTTAGCTCAGGTGTTGGAATGAGAATCAGCAGCTGATGAGGTGAACAGCTAGGAGTACTGGAATTATGGAGTAGTGGAGGTAGATTTTATAAACAGAGGGTCCCAGTTTTTTGGAAATGGGAAAGAGAGAGGGTAGACTGGCCTTTCTAGAATTTGTAACAGAAAAGAGGACCCAGGAGCTTCCATTGACTAGTTAGTTAATGCAGTGCGGGATCTTAGCTGGTTTGCTTGGTCCAATTCCTGTCTCTCGGTTTCTTTTTTCCCTTCCCTTCGCTGCCTTCCCCTCCCTCTTCCCTTTTTCTTTCCAAGAGAATTGAGTCACTCCATATAAAAGAAGCAGCCAGTTGGCTAAAAAGTCCAACAAAAAACAAGTATTTATAGCTCTCCAAATTTCCCACTTGTCATTATCAGTATACTTTTGCACACAGTTATAGTCGGTGTTTGGGATCCTTTTTAAAAAAATAAAAAGTTTCTGTAGGCTTTTCCATGCATGAACACAGCTTATCAACTTGCCCCGGCTGTGCCAGGATTCCATTGTTGACTGTTGTTTGAGCAGTCATGCCCTTTGTTCTTAGGCTGTGTGTTGTTTTTTTCCTAACATCATAGTATGGCTGGGTATTATTTTGATACAGATTACAATTACTATTACTATTTCTTGAAGTGTATTTCCCAGAGTGGAATATTTTAGGATCTTTTTTTCTCTTTTGTGGGGGTGGGGAACATGTAGCTTCTTGTGGATATTAGACATTGAAGTCTAAAAAGGTTCTATATTTATGATTTGGCCCTCAATTTTCTAGAGATTCCAATGGTTCCTGCAAAGAAAAGAGCATTCAAGTATAGAAACCAGCCAGACTAAGTCTGGACATGTAGCTTTTCAGAAAGTGAAAAAAAATTATGTTTCTGCAGTTGCAAGGTGGCCTCTGAATGCCACACTGTGTGGCCACTCCCTTGGACAGTGGCTAGGCCACAGGGTCGCCTCCCCTGGCCCCAGTCTGTGGGTTGAATATGCTAACCGAGCCTTCCCAGGAGCCTCCTCTGCCCCCAGCCCCCAGGTCTGTACAGATGGTAGTTGGTACTTTCAGCCCGCCTTGAGAACTCAGTATTCTTCCTGTTAGCTTTCCTTCAAAGTAAAATCGGTAGAACCTATTTTGAGTGTAGAAAATTTGAAGTCGTGGACAGCAGATTACAAAAAATTGCCCACCACCATGCCTGGCTCATTTTTGTATTTCTAGTAGAGATGGGCTTTCACCATGTTGGCCAGGCTGGTCTCGAACTGCTGACCTCAGGTGATCTGCCCACCTCGGCCTCCCTAAATGCTGGGATTATAGGTGCGAACCACTGTGCCTGGCTCCTTTTTGTATTTTTCGGAGAAGCACAAGGACTTGTTGTTTAATTAAGCAAGACTATACTCTCCCAGAGCATGCAGTTATTATTGAGTAAAACACAGTTAATGAGATTTAATCACGTTCCCTATCACTGTTGTGCAGCATGATAAGTAGGTGCAAATGGCAAGAAGCACGCTGAAGTTACTGCAGTTGGTAACCTGGGCCATGGATGGCACTTGTCTTTGCCTCATTTTGCCTGTAAGAAGCATGGGGCCTGTGGTCCTGGGGTACCTGGACCCTCAGCCTGGTGTGTGTGTGCCCTCAGCCTGGTCCTTTACTTCCATCACCCATCTAGAGGCTCCAGGACCCTTTACTGCACCCCTCCCTCCTCTAGATAGCTCAGTGTTTTCATCCCAGCACCTTTTTCTCTGCTGCCTGAGAACTGAGCAGCCAGAGACAAATTTTGGCTCTCAGGGTCCTCAAGGGTGTACAGCAAAGCTGTTCTTATTATTTAAAGTATTTTATTTATTTATTTTTGAGACAGAGTCTTACTTTGTCGGCCAGGCTGGAGTGCAGTGGCATGATCTCGACTCACTGCAACCTCTGTCTCCCAGGCTCAAGAAATCCTCCTACATCAGCCTCCCAAGTAGCTGGGATTACAGGCTGGAGTGCAGTGGCTCCATCTCGGCTCACTGCAACCTCCGCCTCCCAGGTTCAAGCGATTCTCCTGCCTCAGCCTCCTGAGTAGCTGGGATTACAGGTGTGTGCCACCATGCCTGGCTAATTTTTGTATTTTTAGTAGAGACAGGGTTTTACCATGTTGGCCAGGCCGGTCTCGGACTCCTGACCTCCTGATCTGCCCACCTCGGCCTCCCAAAGTGTTGGGATTACAGGCGTGAGCCACCGCGCCCGGCTAGCAAAGCTGTACTTTTACCAAAAAAAAAAAAGAAAACATTTATAAATCAAGGTCTGAAGGCCCATGTGAGGCTTATTCTACAGCTTGCAATGCCTGTTTTTGCCCCTTGGTAAGTGGACGCACAGCTGGGCAGCCTTATGCTATCTCTGTGAACTACCCATTTCTGGCTTTGTTCATAATATTCCCTTGATCTGGAGGCCCTCCCCCAGCCCTGCCCCAAATCCTGTCTGTGTTGAGGGTCCTGCCCCAGGAAGCCCTCTGCATACTCTTCCCTGCATGTAATACCTGCCTGCTTTCACATTCTTCTAGACTGTGCTGTGCATCGTACAGTTCATCAGCATTATTGCAGAGTAGAGTGTCTCTGATTTGGAGTCAAGAGAAGGTTCCATTTTTCTGTACATCCCGATGTTTATTTTCTGAGTGTTCTCAGACATCACTAAGCCTCAGTCAAAATAAAGTATGATCATGATGTAACATTCATTGAGTGCTTATCACATGGTAGGCATTGTGCTATATGAGTTATTGCTTGACTTCCTAAAATAATCCCAGTAGAGATGCTAAATCTAAAGGTGAGAGAGATGGTTCAAAAAGACCTCAGTGAGCAAACCATGTACTATAATATCCTAAAAGATAACAAAAATGTAACTAGGTATCTAGAGAAAACTCAGGAAGGATATGTGCCTTGGGCCTTTTAAGGACCATTTCTTAACACTTCTGTGTTCTTCTTGACACCTGTTTCTGGGTAGAGCACATAGAAAATGCTCAGTAAATAAGTTCTTTTTCCTTGGCCCAGTTTGGCCTGATTTGGCCCCAGTTCTGTCTTTGTGAGTTACTTTATTAGTTGTCGGTGCTACTGTGCTGCTATTCATGTGGAAGATTCCCCAAATGGGCTGCGCCTTACATTGCCTGAGCAGAAGCCCCGAGGGATGGAGGATGAGCTTGCCTTGTTATGGGACTGTGTTTCCCTGGCTGACAAAGGCTCAGCATTTGCAGCAGGCAATGGGAATTGATTGGCCAACTTAATATTTCCTTCAGCCTAGCAAAGTCCTGAGTAGGCTAGGGACAGTCTGCTTTTTTGGTAACTCCTGTAGGCTGCCTTCTGCACAAGGCACCCAGCCTCTCACAGGTAGGATGAACTGGCCTCAGCACGCTTGCAGAGGGGTGGAACTGTGCGTTGCTTGCCAAGCTTTTTGTTTCCCTAAGGTTTTTGAGGTTTTCTTTGTTTTTGGTAACTTTCAATTTTTTTTTTTTTTTTTTTTTTTTGGACAGAGTTTCACTCTTATTGCCCAGGCTGGAGTGCAGTGGCGCGATCTTGGCTCACTGCAACTTCTGCTTCGTAGGTTCAAGTGATTCTCCTGCCTCAGCCTCCTGAGTAGCTGGGATTACAGGCACGCGCCACCACATCCGGCTAATTTTGCATTTTTAGTAGAAACAGGGTTTCTCCATGTTGGTCAGGCTGGTCTTAAACTCCTAACCTCAGGTGATCCACCCACCTTGGCCTCCCAAAGTGGTGGGATTACAGGCATGAGCCACCGTGTCTGGCCTAACTTTTAATTTTGATACGGTCTTTTTTTTTTTTTTTTTTTTTTTTTTAAGACAGTTTCGCTCTTGTTGCCCAGGCTGGAGTGCAACGGCGTGATCTCGGCTCACTGCAACCTCTGCCTCCTGGGCTCAAGAGATTCTCCTGCCTGAGCCTCCCGAGTAGCTGGGATTACAAGTGTGCACCACCATGCCCGGCTATTTTTTGTATTTTTAGTAGAGACAGGGTTTCACCATGTTAACCAGGCTAGTCTCAAACTCCAGTCTGCCTCGGCCTCCCAAAGTGCTGGGATTACAGGCATGAGCCACTGTGCCCTGCCTTGATACAGTTTTAAGCATACAGAAAAATGGTAAGAATAGTACAAAGAACTCTCATACCTCTTCCCCAGATTCACTGCTAGGATTTTGCCTTGTTTGCTTTTCTGACTTGCCAGTGTCCCCCACCCTGCAGCATATGCACATGCACACACACTGTCTTCTGAACCATCTGACAGGGAGTTGCAGGCAGTGTACCTTTACTTCTGAATACCCCAGTGTGTATTTCTTAGGAACAAAGACATTCTCTTATATAATCGCAGTACAATTATTTTTAAAAACCAGCAAGCTTAATGTCAATACAATGCTATTACCTAATACATTGTTCATATTCAGATTTTTTCCATATTCCACTATGGTCCCAGTAATGGCAGAGCTTTATTTTAAAGAAAACAATCCTGGGGTGTGTGGGTGTCACCTTGGTTACATTCGCTCTGAGGAAAGCAGAACCGACAGGTATTTGGGGAAGTGACTGCCGTGGGTGCCACATCACCAGCTCCTTGTGTCTCTGCAGGACCAGAGGAGCGAGAGCAGCAAGAACCACACCCAGCAGCAATGTCAGCGGAAGTGGAAACCTCAGAGGGGGTAGACGAGTCAGAAAAAAAGAACTCTGGGGCCCTAGAAAAGGAGAACCAAATGAGGTGAGCGATGGGGGCTGGCTGCACTGAATCAGGTGGGCCCAGCACCTGTCGTGCTCAGCACACCTGGTTTTGTCTGTTGGCAGCACTGGGGAGTGGCCATGGGCCATGAGCTCTGGACCCCTGGGTGCCTGCTTGGCCCTGCAGGGACCGCATACAGCTTCGGCTGCTTAGAACTCTCCCCACTGGTCCATTGTCTCATCCAAGGAGGCAGGGCAGGTGCTCCTGGGAGTGCTGATAGGATTTGATGGTAGTTATCCTTTTTTCTTTTTAAAAACTTGTGCGTTTCCTCATCTGGGCTGAGAAAGGGTAAACGCAGGCAAAGCTGGCTCTGTTCAGTCTTTTACCACATAAAAGACTGCAGGGCAGCCTTTCCTTACTCTGTATAGGGACAGCTCATGCTAAACCTGAGCTTCCAGGCCCTGTTCTGCATCATTAGCCTCTCATAGCCCTGTCATTGGCCAAGTTTTTTTTTTATCCCTTGAAATAATTGCTAATAATAAATTGATTCTCAGCACATGGATGATAACGAGCTAATCTCCTAAAGAAGACAGCAGAAGCCAGACCATGATAAGGCCAAATTTTTCTCACTCTTGTAGATGGATTGTGTGGACACATGTAAGCCCCTGCCCAAGTACCACCATCTTTAGGATCACATGTTTTCTACCTTGTCCATCCATCCACACACCTTTACAACTGTGTAATTTCGTTAAGCAGCACAAACCCAGCGTCCTGGCCCTAGCCTCTCGGTTGTCTCCTTTGCATCCTTCCGTGCTTGGTCCTAGTCACATATAGTCTCAAAGAAGCTGTGGGTCCAAGGTGGGAGGAAGGCAGTAGGGCCATCTGAGGAGACCCATGGTCACAGCCTTACTGAGGTGTGTGAATTCCAGAAGACACGTTCCAAGGCAGGCTGTTCTTAGAGAAGCCAGCAAATACTGAAGGGAATACAGATGTGTGTCTCTTCGACCACTAGGTGGCCACAGAAGCAAAGCATTGCTCATTTGGGTGGTTCCCAACACAGACACATGGACGTGGGTACTACTCTCAAGGAGCAGGCCACAGTTATCCCTTGTGTCCTGAGTCCTTGGAGCAGAATGTCATGTCTGCTTGTCCTGTGTTCCCTGACAAGTTGCTGCTATTTGTGTTGGAGTGAAGTGTCTGAGAAGCCCCAGCCTCCAGTACAACAGGTGGTCACCTTGGGGTGTGGACTCAATCTTCTCTCTATGGTCCTTTCTGGAAAGCTGGGAAGGGCTAATTGACACACAAACACCTCCCATCTCTCCACAGAATGGCTGACCTCTCGGAGCTCCTGAAGGAAGGGACCAAGGAAGCACACGACCGGGCAGAAAACACCCAGTTTGTCAAGGACTTCTTGAAAGGCAACATTAAGAAGGAGCTGTTTAAGGTTTGTGCCCCGCATTGGGTTCCAGACTGTCATATGGGGTTGGGGTGGGGGCCTTGGTCCCATGAGAAAAGTGCCCCTGGAGCCACTCTGAGGGAAAAGCTGGGCTTTTCTCCACACTCCATTCCTTCTTGACGTTAAGCTCTGGCTCTCGGCTGGGTACAGTGGCTCATGTCTGTAATCCCAGCACTTTGGGAGGCCGAGGCAGGTGGATCACTTGAGGCCAGGAGTTTGAGACCAGCCTGGCCAACATGGTGAAACCCTGTCTCTACTAAGAATACAAAAATTAGCCGGGTGTGGTGGCGCGTGCCTGTACTCCCAGCTACTTGGGAGGCTGAGGTGGGAGAGTCACTTGAACCTGGGAGGCGGAGGTTACAGTGAGCCGAGATCGTCCCACTGTACTCCAGCCTGGGTGACAGAGCGAGACTCTTTACCCCGCCAAAAAAAAAAAAAATTGGTTCTCATGGCTTAGATAGAATAACATAGTGGTGTGAAGGAAGCAAAAGTATGCGTGTTCCAAAGACTTCACCATGCCATTCCTTTAAGAAACAAAAGCTTCCTTGTGTGTTAAATAATTCACTACATAAAAATGGACCATAGGATTGGGTCTTTGGGGTTGGGGGTTGTCACTTGAGCCTCTGCATCCAGCTGCTCGGATGTGGTGTGCTCAGGCATAGCTGGCCTCCTCCTGTCACCTCCACAGCTGGCCACCACGGCACTTTACTTCACATACTCAGCCCTCGAGGAGGAAATGGAGCGCAACAAGGACCATCCAGCCTTTGCCCCTTTGTACTTCCCCATGGAGCTGCACCGGAAGGAGGCGCTGACCAAGGACATGGAGTATTTCTTTGGTGAAAACTGGGAGGAGCAGGTGCAGTGCCCCAAGGCTGCCCAGAAGTACGTGGAGCGGATCCACTACATAGGGCAGAACGAGCCGGAGCTACTGGTGGCCCATGCATACACCCGCTACATGGGGGATCTCTCGGGGGGCCAGGTGCTGAAGAAGGTGGCCCAGCGAGCACTGAAACTCCCCAGCACAGGGGAAGGGACCCAGTTCTACCTGTTTGAGAATGTGGACAATGCCCAGCAGTTCAAGCAGCTCTACCGGGCCAGGATGAACGCCCTGGACCTGAACATGAAGACCAAAGAGAGGATCGTGGAGGAGGCCAACAAGGCTTTTGAGTATAACATGCAGGTACTATTGGGGGCTGCCAGCTGCTAGGGCTGAAGAGGGAAACTTTGACAGTGGTAGCAGATCCATAGTGGCCCATGAAGGCACACATGGCATTAGGACAGATGAGCTGCAGGGTGCCGAGAGGAAGGTGGCCACCAGATTGGCCACCAGAGCTTGTGGGCCCAGTGGGTGGTTCCCAGCATGGAGGCCTGGTGTGATAGATGCCAGTGGGTAGTGTTTTGGGAAGGGTGAGTCCTCTCGCACATAGAGGGGTCTGGAAGAATGGAGCTGGCTTCCTCCCTCATTGCAGGATGCTGGTCTTGAAGAATGGTTAATTTTCTTTTCAAGTTTTGCTCTGAGAAGCCCTGCTTTATAAGTTAATAGAGAGCCAGTGCCACCAAGGAGAGTAAATAAGCTCTGTTTACAAGTAGCCTTTAGATGAGGCTGAACCTGGGGAAGCTTACTCTGTCCCCAGGTCCTGTCAGCTTCCACTGAGGCCTCCCAGGGCACTCAGGATGAGTATGCCCTGCCACAGTCTCATTCTCCCATGTTCCAGGTTTTCTGTTGCTTCTTGATAAAAAAATAACCAGCACCTAGAAATGGGGATGTACTCATGCCCTCCTGTCTGTGCTGTGGTAGTTTCAGTGGCTTGAGCCACCTCAGAGAAGGCTACATCTCTGGTCAGTTCCCAGGGGAGACCCAGCATTTGGCAGCCTTCTTGGGGTACCAATATCCACACCTCCCCAGAGCTCTTGCTAGGGAGGGAAGACCATCAGGCAGTGCAGCTGCCGCCCACCAGTGCTGCTTGCTGTGTAGTTGGCACACCTGAGCAAGCTCACCTGCTCCAGCTCACTCTCTCTGGAGGGCGTCCTCTAAAAGGAGAGTGTAGCCAGGCGCAGTAGCTCATGCCTGTAATCCCAGCACTTTGGGAGGCTGAGGCAGGGGCATTACTTGACCCCAGGAGTTGAAGACCAGCCTGGGCAACCAAGGTGAGACACCATCTCCCCACAAAATTTAAAAATTAGCCAGGTATGGTGGTACACACACGTAGGAGGATAAGGTGGGAGGACCACTTGAGCCTAGGAGTTTGAGGCTGCAGTGAGTTAGCCATGTTCATAACACTGCACTCTAGCCTGGGCAACAGAGACCTCATCTCAAAAGACATTTAAAAAAAAAAAAAAAGTATGGGCAGCCCAAAGATGGCTCAGTCGATCCTCTGCTCCTGCAGATATTCAATGAACTGGACCAGGCCGGCTCCACACTGGCCAGAGAGACCTTGGAGGATGGGTTCCCTGTACACGATGGGAAAGGAGACATGCGTAAATGCCCTTTCTACGCTGCTGAACAAGACAAAGGTAGGTCTGTGTGTCCTGAGCTCCCCTCCTGGGGCAGGTGTAGCAGGAGACTCCACTGATGCCATGTCTCCTATTGGTGCTGCCACACAGGTGCCCTGGAGGGCAGCAGCTGTCCCTTCCGAACAGCTATGGCTGTGCTGAGGAAGCCCAGCCTCCAGTTCATCCTGGCCGCTGGTGTGGCCCTAGCTGCTGGACTCTTGGCCTGGTACTACATGTGAAGCACCCATCATGCCACACCGGTACCCTCCTCCCGACTGACCACTGGCCTACCCCTTTCTCCAGCCCTGACTAAACTACCACCTCAGGTGACTTTTTAAAAAATGCTGGGTTTAAGAAAGGCAACCAATAAAAGCCAGATGCTAGAGCCTCTGCCTGACAGCATCCTCTCTATGGGCCATATTCCGCACTGGGCACAGGCCGTCACCCTGGGAGCAGTCGGCACAGTGCAGCAAGCCTGGCCCCCGACCCAGCTCTACTCCAGGCTTCCACACTTCTGGGCCCTAGGCTGCTTCCGGTAGTCCCTGTTTTTGCAGTACATGGGTGACTATCTCCCCTGTTGGAGGTGAGTGGCCTGTAAGTCCAAGCTGTGCGAGGGGGCCTTGCTGGATGCTGCTGTACAACTTCTGGGCCTCTCTTGGACCCTGGGAGTGAGGGTGGGTGTGGGTGGAAGCCTCAGAGGCCTTGGGAGCTCATCCCTCTCACCCAGAATCCCTCTAACCCCTTGGGTGCGGTTTGCTCAGCCCCAGCTTATCTCCTCCTCCGCGCTGTGTAAATGCTCCAGCACTCAATAAAGTGGGCTTTGCAAGCTACCTCCTTCCCTGCCTCCTGGCACCGGGTGGGTCAAGCCACCTCCCCATAGGAGAGTCCCTCAGAAGCAAGGGCATGTTATGTCTGTGTGGGGAGTGGACATCGTCCATCATGGCTCCCAGCAGCCACCTCCTGCTCTGGGTCTACTCTCCAGCACCTCTAGTCTCCAAAGCAAAGTCACTCTAACCGTCTTGCAAAGATCTTTAAAGTGTATCCAGCACTGCTATTTTTTAGCTCAGAAATACCTTAGAGGTTTCCTACTTAAAAGGTTTTTTTAAAATATATATATATATTTAAAAATAAGGGTTTTAAAAAAGCACATATTTGTATTTAAACAATTCATTCTCTAAAAGAGAAACATGAACTTAAATAATTTTATTAATAGGAATCTACTACCTGTAAAAGTTTTATTTCAAAAAGGGTTAAAAAGTAGGGAAACTCTTTAAACTACTGACCAAGACTGCCACCTTCATAATTCAGATGAGTTAGTGCAGAGATGGCCAGGGCCAGAGGTCGCCCAGAACCTGCGTGTGCAGACTGCGCTCTGTTAGTCTTCTGCCTGTCAGCCTCAGCCCAGTCTGTGTTGCTTAAGGGTGCGCCTCCCCAGGGCTGGATGATGCTGTGCTCAAGCCTGCGGGTAGGAGGGCTCCAGCTTGCAGATCCCATGCGTGGATGCCATATATAGATGGTTGAAACCAGCATCAGAGGAAGGAAGGTGACCTTACAGCCACTGCCGAGACCAACGTGTGCCCTGGCCCAGTCACAGCTGGAAATCCCAGGGCTGGTCTACACCCGACTCTGGTTTGGTTTAATTAGGTCCTTACGTGTTGGTGTTGTCCCAGGCAGTTGGCATGGCATCAGCACTGAGGGTGTGAGACCCTGAGGACTCAGCCTCCCGTCCTGCCAGTAGACTGCCTGCAGCCCCACCCTCTTTCCCTCAAAAAAGAAGGAAGCCAGGCAAGAGAGCAGAGGCCCAGGGCGGGGGAGTGAAAGGGCCAATTTAATGAGAAACTACAAACTGAGACTGGGCCACGATTCACAGTGACAGGAGGCCATGCAGTGGCAGTGCGAGACCAGGAAGGACAGTGGCAGGATACAGTGGTCCAGGTGAGCAAGTTCACAAACCATTCAGGAAATAAAGACAGGGCGAGGCTGGTGTCCACCAAGGCAGTTCTACCACTTGTGGCTGCTCCTTCCTCGTCCCTAGCCCAGTGTGCCTGCAGGAGCAGGTGTGAGCAGGCACAGCAACAGCCTGTCAGCTGGGGTGAGGGGCCCGGCACTTACAGGGAAGAAAATCCATGGAGAAGGCTCTGCACATCCAAGCGCACCCACAAGGGGGACCCTCTGCCATCTCTTGCCCAGTTGGGATACACCAGCCACCAGGCAGAGGTCATACCCACACGCAGTGAGGACACAGGGCAGACGGGAAGGGGCTAGGCTCAGGGGCTCCTTCCGGCCCCAGCAATACAGGGTTCACAGAGGCATGGCCTGAAAGGGGGTCTGCACACTGACTCAAAGGGACAAGTTCCTTCTTAGCTACCAGGGTCTGATCATTCACCCAGGTACAGTGTCCTCTCTACCTGACACCAGGCAGCTCTCGGGCACTGGGACAGGGTATTAGACATCCTGGGCTTCTATACCTGAGAGTTCTGAGGGCCAGAGTTGGCAGTTTTACTTCCAGCCACCATGCCCCACCTCTAGCACCCCAGAGGCGCAAAGTACCCAGAAACAAACCCAGGCTTTGTGACCCTGTCCTACGTGGGCCCACCTGACTCCAGACAACTTACCCATTCTCGGCCCAGCAGGTCAGAAACGCCTGTGGCCACAGGCCTGGGGACTAACTGGCTAACTGCTCTGGCTGCTGTTGGTCCCAGGGGGAAAGAGTCTGGACTGAACCTGTACCTTGTTTGGAAACAGAGGCATCAGGACCCCAGCAGGAGACCCCTCCCAGCTTATCTTCCCGATCACACACACCAAGCAGACCAACAACACACAAGCTCATTGTCAGCCCCCTGCCACCCACTGACCCTTGGCCTTAAATCCCAACAGAATTTTTGCCAGAAGAGTCAGCGGCTCAGGTAGGGCAGGGTGAAGAGGACAGGACTTCTAGGGGATGGTGGCACGGCTCCCAGCCCCAAGTGGGAGCGGGAAAGTGACCACTGAGCACAGGGAGCAAAGCACAGGGGGCCAGACTGACAGGCGGGGGAGTCCCGAGTCCCAGCTCCGTTAGCACAGGCGCTTGTACGTGTAGATGTAGGCTTTGCAGCTGGGGCATGTGTGCGTCACATCCTTGAAGTCATTGATGAGGCAGGGGATCAGGCAGCAGCCCAGATCACATCTGAATCAGAGACAGGGAAGAACAGGCTGAGGCCTGCTGCGGAGGAGGCAGAGGCAGCCAGTTGACCCTGGTGCAGCCCCCACCCTACCAGTGCCCACACCACCTACCCCATGAAGCAACAGAAGAAACCCAGCACGAAATTCATCAAGCCAATCTCGTAGGAGATCTTGGTGGTGATGGCCTGCTGGCAGTGGGGACACACCGTCTGCACAGGCGCTCCCTCAAAGATCTCTCCCTGCAGCACTGTCACCGTGGTGGCAGCTCCTGAAGGGACCAGGACTGTGGCTGTGTGGCCCCCAGGGCCAGGGTAGGGCCCTGGCGTGTAGGGCCCTGGGGGGTAGTAGCCCATGGGTGGGTGGGGGCCTGGAGGAGGGTAGAAACCTGGAATGGCACAGAAGATGGAGGCGAGAGGTCACTGGCCTGCCACCTGCACCAGACAAAGAGATTGGCGCAAAGCCCCACGGTCCACAGCGCCCAGCGTGCAAGGCTACGCCTCAGACCTCCTACCGCCCTCCTAACGGGCCAGTGGGAGGCCTTACAGCTGGGGCCCTAAGTCAAGTGGGGCCACATTCTCCCAGCCCTTCCTGGTCCCCACCCCTTGGGGCCCATGACAGATGTGGCAGAGAGCCAGGCACATGGCCCGGTCCCTCTGCTCCTCTGTCTGTCTCCAGCATGCAAGGACAGGGCACTCAGCCTCAAGCCCATGACCAAGAGAGGGAAAGCCTTGCGGGTCACCCACCCCTCTCCTGCACACAAGGCGCCCCTCCCCACCCATGTCAGGTCCTGGTGTGCCAAGGACCAGCCCTTCCTGACCAGCCTGAATAAGAGCAGTCCCACCTTCCCACGTCCACAGTCCCTGTCCACACACAGCCTGAGCCCTAGGCAAGGGCTGGTTGGGCGTGTTGGAGTCCCTGCCCTACAGCAGATGCCCACCTGTACTGAGGACAGCCAGCGCAGGCCAGACAGCAGCCAGGAGTTCCCCATGCTCCCCTCAGATCCCTTCCCCACTCACCCGGAGGCATGTAGGTGCCATCTGCACTCATGTGTGGTGGGATGAAGCCAGGCTGGGGCATTGGGTGACCCGGCGGCTCATAGGGTGGGGGGCCAATGTCCGCAGGGGGCAGTGGCATGCCTGGAGGGGGCTGCATCACAGCTGGGGAGGAACGGCCTGGACAGAGAGAGGCAGAAAGAGGAGACTGAGCTGGAGCCTCTGCACGATGAGCTCGACCAGAGGCCACTGTTTTGGGACACAGATGGGGCCCAGGGGTAACCCTGGAGTGGGCATCACCACTTAGAGAGTCCCAACCATGCCATGGCGGCAGGGGGCTGCAATATGGAGCCTCAGGAACAGTGACCCCCTACCTGGGGTGGGCGGGGCTCCACTTTTCTCTTCCAGAAGTGGGGCTGTGGGGCCCCCAGGATAAGGAGGGGGAGGCTCGCTGGACATCTTCGCTGCTTCTCCTGGACATGGAGGGAAAACCCAGACATGAACTAAGCTCCCAGCCAGGTTCCTTCTCCTTCAGCCCTGTGGGGTGGCCAAGATGCTGCACAAGGCGTGTGACCATCCTCAGAAGGGTCTGCCTCCAGGCACTGGGGATCCCCCACCTTTCCCAGGGCCACCTAGCCCAGAGCCACCATCCTCACCTCTCAGTAGTCACCTGCTCTTCCCTGTTTGGAAGCTGAAGGGCAAGGACAGAACCCAGGAAGCAGGGCCCAGTGAGGTAAAGTCCCCCAAGGAGCCTAACTCAGCACTTGCCCCACACGAGAGCAGTTTGGCACCGAGCTCTCCCCTCCCCAAACGTTTAGCGGGCACTAAGGCAGTCGGAGGAGACACTGGACCGATCTCTGCCACAGGCTGCACTGGGAATGGGGGTTCTGGGGGATTTCTTACCTCAAATCCGTGCTACTCAGAGAAGGGAGGCAGGTGAGGCTCCTTCAGCTGCTGGCCTGGATGGACAGGGAACAGGCAGGGCTCCGGGAGCTGTTTCAGGGGAAGGAAAGGCAGGGCCCTCAGCAGGGAGCAAGGGCTGCCAAGCCAGGGCTGGGCCCAGGGGCCTGGGCATACCACACAGTTCCTCCCCTTCCACATCCGGCTTCTCCCTAGCTGTCACTCTGCCATCCACACACCCGACCACCCCTCCATTCCTCGGTCCCGTCGCAGGTCTGCTTCCTCCCTCCCCCAGGACTGCTGGCACCCAAGGGCCACGGCTGGGCCCTCTGCCTCCCCTCCCACCAGGCCTGAGCTCCCATGCATGAGGACTGGACTGCCAGGCAAGCTGTGCTCTGGCCTGTGCCCTTCTGGTTTGTTTGTTGAGGTGGGGGTCAGGGGGAAGAAGAGTCAAGTGAAATCTTTTCCCTCATTTCTGTCACCAAACTCTCTGAGCACAGCTCAGAAAGGTGGGAAGCTTTTGCTCTTACTTAGCATCATAAAGGACTTGGGAAGTGGGGTTCAGTTACCTTAGCTAAAAGTAATAAAATGAGACAAAAATCAGTTTCAGTGGAACAAAAAATACAGGGAAAGGAGTGTTTCCCAGACAGCCCAGCACCTGCAGGGGATGGAGGGCACATAAGTTTGAATATAAAGTTTAACAAATCAGGGGCAGGGCCAGAGGAACCAAGTCCAAGCTCTTGGGTTCAACTATAAAGTACCATGGAAGTTTGAAAACTGAAAGAGATCAAAAAGCTGTTAGAAGAAAATGCAGGCATCAATCTTTATGACCTTCGATTAGGCAGTGGTTTCTTAGATATGACACCAAAAGCAAAGCAACAAAAGAAAGAAAACTTAAAGTGGATGTCATCAGAATGAAAAACTCTTGTGCTTCAAAGGATACCATCACATTTTATAATTCATAGATCTGATAAAGGACTTGTATTAAGAAATACAAAGAACTCAACTCAATAACAGAAAGACAACCCAATTTTTAAAAGGATTTGAACAAAGACTTCTCAAAAGACAAATGGCCAAAAGCACATGAAAAACTACTGAGCGTCTTTTCATAAGGGAAATGAAAACCAAAACCACAAGGAGACCATTTCCTATCTACTAGGATGGCTAAAATTTAAAAAGACAGTAATAGGCATTATGTAGAAAAACTGGAACCCTCATACACTGCTGGTAGGGGACAGCCCCTGCAAACCTTTTGAAGAACTGCCAGCCCCTGTTCCCCTTTTGAGGAACAGTCTGGCAGTTCCTCAAAAGGTTAAACCTAGAGTTACCAGATGACCCAGCAATTCCACCCCTAGTTATCTGCCCAAAAGAAATGAAAACCTGTCTACACAGAAATTTGTACACAAATGTTCACAGCAGCATGAATCATAATAGCCAAAAAGTGGAAACAACCCAAATGTCCATCAACAAAGTGGATAAACAAAACCGTAGGCTGCCCAGACAATGGAAGACGATTCGGCTATAAAAAGGAAGGAAGCACTGACACCCTACAGCATGAACTCTGAAAACATGCTTGGTGAGAGAAGCCAGACACAAAAGGCCACATACTGTATGATTTCACTTATATGAAATGTCCCCAATAGGCAAACCCATAGAAACGGAAAGTACATTAGTAGCTGTTTAGGTCTGGGGGAGAGGGGAAATGGGGAACATGGAATCTCCTTCTGGGGTAACGAAGATGCTCTGAAACCGATTGTAGCAACAGTTGAACGATTCTGTGAATAACTAAAAACCACTGAATTGTACACTTTAAATGGGTGAATTGAATGGTACGTAAATTATGTCAATAAAACTTATTTTTAAAAAAAATGAGGGAAAAGAAAATTAGTCCTACTGCAGCCCATCTCCACATGTCCCTGCTGGTCTGTATGCACAGGCACCTGTACCTTTTGGTTTTGTTTTGTAGAGACGGGGGTCTCACTATGTTGCCCAGGCTGGTCTCGAACTCCTGGCCTCAAACAATCCTCCTGCCTCGGCCTCCTAAAGTGTTGGGATTACAGGCAGGAGCAACTGCGCCCAGCCCATACCATATAAAAATATAGTTGCTGTCCTGACAGTTTTAAATCCTTTTTTTTTTTTTTTTTTTTTTTTTGTGAGACAGAGTCTTGCTCTGTTGCCCAGGCTGGAGTGCAGTGGCGCGATCCTGGCTCACTGCAACGTCTGCCTCCCGGGTCCCAGCGATTCTCCTGCCTCAGCCTCCCAAGTAGCTGAGACTACAGGCACACGGCACCACGACTGGCTGATTTTTGTATTTTTTTAGTAGAGAAGGGATTTCACCACATTGACCAGGCTGGTAAATCCTTTTAATGCTGTGTCACACATATTCCATCTTACAAGACTCCGTGACCGTTGATATTAATATTCCACAAAATGGGCATACTTGACCAAACCCTATTAAGACATTTAGGCAAGGCCCTACTTGCTGCTTTCATGAAATACAAGAGAACACCTCTGTCCACCGCTCTTTCCCTTTTGTTAGATTATCTCCTCAGGCTAAGCTTGTCAGAGTGAGATGACTAGGTCAAAGGACATGAGCATTTTATGCCTTTTTGAAAGGATGCCAATTTATAGTGCCAGTTATTAATTTTCATATTAAAATGTCACTTATTTTTATATGCATTTCTTTGGCAATCAGGAGACAGAACATCTTTCCAAGTGTTCAGAAATTACACCTCTTCTGAGTTGCCTTATTATCCACAGAAGACATGGAGGCCTAGAAAAGGATGGGGCGGGGCATAAGTCTAGGACCCCAGCATGACTCTCCCACCCTCCTGCCTGCACAGTGAATTCCAATGGCACAGGGTTAAGAAAAGGGAGCAGTGGCCAGGTGCAGGGACTTATTCCTGTAATCTAATCTCAGCACTTTGGGAGACTGAAGCTGGCAGATGAACTGAGGCCAGGGGTTCGAAACCAGCATGGTCAACATGGCAAGACTCTTGTCTCTACAAAAGAAAAATTTTTAAATTAGGCATGATAATGTATGCCTGTAGTCCCAGCTACTGGGGAGGCTGAGGCAGGAGGATCACCTGAGCCCAAGACTCAGAGGATACAGTGAGCCATGATCAGGCCACTGCACTCTAGCCTGGGCAACAGTGCGAGACCCTGTCTCAAAAAACAAAAAAAAAAAAAACAGAACAGGGAGTAGCAGCAGTGCCTCTTGGGGCTGGTCCTGGGGTCCCTTGCCCAGGCTGCTCCTAGCCTGCCAGGTGCCCTCCTGCAGGGGAGAAGAGGGCAGCCTTTCATGGGGCTTTACCTGCGTCTGGAAAACTGCTCCAATACGTTGAGTTGGAATAAGTGCCAGCCCCTGCTACAAACTCCCAGACTCCCAGAAAATGCTCTCTGGCGCCTCTGGGTGGCACCACCGTCCACCAAGTGGCCCAACACTGTGGTCTGCAGTGGTCTTGCTCATCGGGGAATGGTCCAGGCCCTGGGATGCTCTGAGCAGACCAGGAAAATAAGCTGCACTGTGCTTGGTGAGTCACTGAAGCACCTGCAGATCCCAGCCTGGGTCCCTTGCAGGGAGCACACACACACACACGTGTGCACACACACCCCATCTCTGAGAATGCAGGTGTTGCCTTTCTCTGGCCCATCTTTTCATCAAAGTCAACAGATATAATCCTATGATCTCCTAGAGCTCAAAAATTCTATTTCTGGAATTCCACATACAGCCTTGCCCATGATGATAGGGTGTAAGCCCACAGGGCATAGCCCTCCTTTGGTGTTCACCCAACCTGGGTACAGAAAATGCAGGCCACAGGGAAGGGTCTGGACCTGCACAGGGCTGGCTTCCCCTCCAGCTCGATGGCCACACCAGAGCCCACCTTCTCTTTGCCCCTCACCGGGGGCCGCAGGGCCCTGTTGCTCCTCCGTGTCTTCCCCACCTAGGGCCATGCCTGCTACTCACTGCTCCCCCTCACCCCTCCATATCCACATGCGTCCTCCTGCTGCCTTCCTGAACCCCAGCAGAGACTGCAGGGCAGGTCCTTCTCTACCAAGGAGAGGATCTGGAAAACAGCTCATGAAGATTTCCCGAATTCAAACACCCATTCTCCCAGTGCCTTCCAATACAAAATCAAACATGCATTCCCACAAAACCATGTTGTGTAGGGTGTAATAAAAACTACAAGAATAATCTTTCAATCACACGATCAGAAGCAAAATAGTTTTCCAATAAAACGAGTACTGTTCAAATTAAGCTACAAAATGGAAAATGTCTGATCTGAAAATGCAGCCCCAGCACCTCTGCTGTGGGAAGGTGCTGGTGAGGGAGGGGGCTAGGAGACCTGGGGATCTGCCCAGTTCCCAACAGAGGAGGAAGGGGAGACTTGCGGGGTCTGGGGAGCCCACTGAAGTCAACTTGCAGCCCTGACAAATCCAAGAGAGGCTTCTTGGCCTTCTTGCTTTAAATCTTGGATTTATTAATTGCAAACAAAATAGGTGCCTGTTTGAAAATCTTTACAAGTCAATCACAAACTTAATAGTAAGTCACTCCTATGGAAGACCAGAGGCCTCTGCAAAGTCTACCCCTCCACACCCTCTGGGTTCTGTGGCATGTGAAGGTGTGGAGAAAAAACCTGTTTCTCCTCTGCTTTCACACCATAACAATCAACAGAAAAGACTTCTGTGGCAAAACATGTGGGGGTTTCTCCCCAATAACAAGCAAGCAGTCAGTTCTGCAGCGGACACCAGGTGGACGTCTTCTAGTGGCATTCAAGTCTGATGCTACCGTGTCAGATCCCACAGGTTGAGGGCTCAGTTCCATGACTGCCCCCCACTTCTGATCATCGCAATTCCTAGCTTGCGACCTGCGCTTCTGACAGACTGGCTACAAATCACTATCTTGGGAGCGGATTCCTTGTAAGAGGATTAGCTAGTCTTTTGTGGGTGCCTCTCCCCGCGGCCCTTCCACCATGGGATGACACAGCAAGAAGGCCCTTGCCAGATGCTGGCAGTGCCTTGATCCTGGACTTCCCAAGCACCACAGTTTTGATGACTGATGGTGAGGCTTAATGGGAGTTGTTTGGGACATGGGAGGTGGATTCCTCATGAATAGATAAATGCCCTCCCTGGGGTGGAGGAGAAGCGAGTGACTTCTCACTCTGTTAGTCCCCGCATCCTTGCTGGTTGTCAGAAAGAGCCCAGCGCTTCCCCTCCCCTTCTCACCCCCTCTCTCGCCATGTGATCTCTGCACAGAGACCCCCCGTGCCTTCCACCATGAATGGAAGCAGCCTGAGGCCCTCAACAGAAGCAGATGTTGGCACCGTGCCATCCTATAAAGCCTGCAGAACCAGGAACCAAATACTCTCTTTTCTTTATAAATTACTCAGCCTCAGGTAATTTATAGCAACACAAATAGACTAAGACACCAGCCTCCAGAACTGTAAGGAGATAAATTCCTCTTCTTTATGAATGACCCAGTCTCAGGTATTCTGTTAGAGAAGCACAATGGACTAATACTACATCAAGACTTGACAAGTGGTAGGTTTTTTTTTTTTTTAGACAGAGTCTCGCTCTATCACCAGGCTGGAGTGCAGTGGCGCAATCTTGGCTCACTGCAGCCTCCGCCTCCCGGGTTCAAGCGATTCTCCTGCCTCAGCCTCCTGAGGAGCTGGGACTACAGGCATGCCACCCATCTAATTTTTGTATTTTTAGTAGAGATGGGGTTTCACCATGTTGACCAGGATGGTCTCAATCTCTTGACCTCGTCATCTGCCCGCCTCGGCCTCCCAAAGTGCTGGGATTACAGGTGTGAGCCACCGCACTTGACCGACAAGTGGTAGTTTCTTAAGGGTTAGTTGCCACAGGAATTGGAAGCCTTAACAATGGTTTTTTTCTAATGTGTTACATTAGAAGTCATTGGTGTACCTTGCATTTGGAATGGGTCTTTTACATAGACATGATTTCTTAACATCATGTGTGGGTCACCTGAAAATACGGGTTCCTGTAATGCAGATCTACCAATGTTGACACATCTCATTGAACAATATATATTTTTTTAAATCACATTGCTGGTATCACTACCAATGTCATTAAAGTCACTAAATATTGTTAACGCTAATCATCATTTGAAAGCTTGAATTTCATCACTGGCAACAAAGCACTAACAAATATAGAAACAGCAACATATACAAAAATAAAAGGTCAGTTGTTTCCCTTGAAGTAGCAAGTTCACTTTGCTCATTTTCAAGAAAGTGTATGCTAAATATCCAAATCTGAATAACCACGGTGTGTGCCAGTTGTTCTTTAAGTGAAGATGGAGTCCATGAAAAAGGCAGCTAGTTCGGCCCACACTTCAAATGAATGCACGTGTGCTTTTCCTCACGACAGCATCAAACTCCATTTGACATACTTCATGTGTGCCTCATTTCGTCACAAAGGATCTTAAAAAGCTGTGGACTCATGGGTCAGGACTTAATAAAGTTGATTTTTACTGCTTTTTCTGATGCAACACTGGTGTGTGTGTGTGTGTGTGTGTACTGTGTGTGTGGTGGTGAAGACTCAATTACAACAAGACCAGCACAGTGTGGTGCCAGTCTTGAGTCAGTGCAGGCCCCACAGCTTGTTTCCGCACTGCTCCTACACCATCAATGTGAAAGCCATCACAAACAAAGAGGCATGGTAACAAATCATGGCCGTGTTATTATTAAAACAGTTCTGATCCTAGCCCCCCGAGTGGTCTCAGGAAGCCCCCAGGAGACTGCAGATCACATTTCAAGAACTGCTGTGCTAGAGGAACCCCCACTAGAAGTTAAGGGGTGCGTATCAGCCAAGTGCAGGGCTGGGACAGGACTTCACAACCAGAAGGATCAAGAGTGGCCTGCAAGTCTTGGAGTCGCTCCTGGGGAGGCCCTGAGTTTGTTGTTCTGGCAAGGCCCCACCCCAGGGATGTGCTTGCCACCCGGTGGAAGGCTTTAAATGAAACAAGCAGTCAAGAACATGGGCTCTGGGCCAGGTGTGGTGGCTCAGGCCTGTAATTCCAGCACTCGGGGAGGCCGAGACGGGAGGATTACTTGAGCCCAGGAGTTCGAAACCAGCCTGGACAACATGGCAAGACGTCATCAATATTAAAAAAAAAAAAAAAAAAAAAAGGCGGGGGGGCCCGCTCTGCATCAGCTTAATTCAAACCCAGACCCCCAAGACCCACCACTTTCCAGCTGAGCGAGCTGAGCCTCGGTTTCTTCCTCTGTAAACAGAGATGATCATGCCTACCTCTCAGGGTGGGAGTGAGGTTGAAGAGAGACTGTGTGTGAAACGCCTGCAGCAGAAACGCTGGGCCTAGCACACAATGACGCTAAATAAATGGAAACTGCTATTATTATGCTTTATTAGGCAACTTCCAACAGGGAGGAAAACAACAGGTATTGACGCCTCTGCCATGGAGTGCCTTCTGATTCCCAACGAGGGGTCCTGGTGCATGTTCACTAATATGACTACAAGGGGATGCCTCTACCGGATTCTGGAGGGACTTGCAATCAAAACCCTCCCTAAGAACTCAGCTCAGCAGCGTTCCCTCACAGCACAGCTCAGCTGGGCCACCTGCTCCACGGTAACCCGAGACAACTCTTTGAGAAGGCAGAGACACTAGCAGTCCTCCAAGGGCCATCTCTCCTGGTGGGCTGTGGAAATGCCAGGGGCCTGCCTGGGAGTGCCCAAGGTTGGCAATGCCCCTGGAAGGATGCTCCACCAATACACCCTGGTGGCAGGGGCTCTGCAGCAGCTGCTGCCCAGACACATTTCTCAGAGCTGGGCTGGCTTGGTGCTGCATCCCCAGGAGGTGCTTACCCACGTGGCAGCCATGGCGTCAGGACGCCAGCTGGCCTCAGAGGGGCTCCTCTGTCCCCAGGAGGCAGGTCCCAGGCATCCAGCCAGGAACAGGGCTTTCTGCTTTGCTGGGAAAACTGAAAGGCCGATTTCTGCCTTGCCTGCAGCTTCCATGTGCTGAATAAAGGAGGTGCCCACTGCTCCATGAGGGGCAGAGCCGAGGTAAAAGACAAACACTCTCTGTGCTTCTTGGGTCTGAAAAGAGAATGGCAAGGCCCAAACCAGGTCTGGAGGAAAAGGCCAAAGCAAGAAGTGAGCCAGAAGCAAGCAGGAGCTCACGTGGGCCTCAGGGAAGATGCTCTCAGTCCAGATAGCAGCACCCTGCAGGGACAGGGCAGCGGGAAAAGGAGAGCACAGAATCCCCACCAAGGGTGCAGGCCTGAAGGGGACCCTTCCAGGGAGGCTTGGCCCACACTAGGCCTTTCCATCCTGTGACATCTCCATCCAACACACAGACGGATTAGTTCAAACCCACCTTGGAGGGCGGTGTGAGAATTAAGTAAGGCATGGATATAAAAACTTACTGAACCACTGTAACGGGCCATGCAGCGTGAGGGTCATTAGGAGGGGGACTGTTACTTGCAAGGGATGGCCGCTGACCACGTAGCTGTTCCGCCTATTCTCCCAAGCACCCCAGGGCTGGGCTGAAGCACAGTCTGTGAGGTGACCACGTAACAGAGGCCCTCTAAGGGGAGGGCGGGGGATGGTGCTTCCTTCTGATAGTTACTCAGCACATCCTCCGTGCCAGATACAGGCTGGGGATTAAAGACACGTCCCTGGCTGGGCGCAGTGGCTCACGCCTGTAATCCCAGCACTTTGGGAGGCTGAGGAGGGCGGATTACGAGGTCCAGAGATCGAGACCATCCTGGCCAACACGGTGAAACCCCGTCTCTACTAAAAATACAAAGATTAGCTGGGCGTGGTGGCACGTGCCTGTAATCCCAGCTACTTAGGAGGCTGAGGTAGGAGAATCACTTGAACCCAGGAGGCGGAGGTTGTAGTGAGCCAAGATCGCGCCACTGCACTCTAACCTGGCGACAGAGCGGGACTCCATCTCAAAGAAAGAAAAAAAAAGACATGTCCCTGCCTTCCAGAAGCTTACGGTCAAGTGAAGAGGATGAGCGTTAAATAATCACCCCCCTCGCCAAAAAACCACAAACACAATTACATCTGTGACCAGTGGTATCGAGAAAGTCCAGGGCACAGTAGAAGGACAGCAAGATCGCCGTTCTGGAGCTCTAACACCATCTCTTCAAGCAAACCTGGGAGGAGGTGGCGGAAGAGTTAATGAGACCAGCAGGCAAAGGGAGGGATGGGGACAGCAGAGGGAACAGTGAGTACACAAGGCCTAAGGAAGGAGGGATGTGCCCCTGAGGGTGGCCAGATGGCAGCCTGGGGCCCTCACAGCGACCCAGCCACAGGGTTTGTTCCAGAGCTCAAATACCTCAGATCTCCAGGACAAGGATGACAAGGCCAGCTGGACAGTGTCCCAGGCCCTTCTCCTCAGGCTTTAGGCTTCCCCAGGAGACCTCCGGCACCATTCAGCCTTGTTGCATTGTGGCACTTGGAAACAAAGACAGCGGTCTTCTTTGCTTGACTGTCAATAGAATATTGGGAGAGCACAGGTCTCCCTGGGACCCTGCCTCGCCGCTGATGGCCTGCAGCCCTAGACAAATTCCTCAACCTCTCTGAGCCTCAGTTTCCCCACGTGCAAAATGAGGTTCTTGGAAGGCTGAACAAAATCCCACATGTAGATGTCCAGGCTGTATTGCTGGAGACGCCTTCCATGAATTACTACGCAGATACCACCACCCATACAGAGCTGTGCTGTGCTCCTCCACATCACACTGCAAAGGAAGAAGGCAGAATAACAAGATCTCAAACAGCAATGTTCCGCCTAATGAAGTACAGACTGGAGATTGCCAGCTGCACCCAAATCCACTCTCTCCCCCATTCTTGAATACAGAACTCCACTTTCACTCAGGGCAAGTCCATCAACCAAGAGGGTCCCCGAGCTTTCTTAGAGTGACAAAGCTTTGGCTAATGAGCTGTAAGCAGAAGTGTCCAGACCATAAGAAGGCATTCAGGGCAAGCCGACTCAGCCCGGAGCCAGGCCCTTCATCTTTCCTGCCTTCCTCCCATCTACCACCTGGAAGATAGATGCCATGGCTCCAGTAGCTGTGCTTCACCATGAGGGCCTTGGGATGGAGGCCAGTGCCTAGGACAGCCATGGGACACCACACCAGCAACTAACTGACCACCTCCCACATCTTCCACATGAGTAATAAAACTTGGTTTACTGGTTAATTATTGGTAAATTATTTTCAGGTTAAGTATTAACAAGTGTCATTACAAATATACAGCACAGACAGGTGCAGTGGCTCACACCTGTAATTCCAGCACTTTGGATGCCAAGGTGGGAGGACTGCTTAAAGCTAGGAGTTCAAGACCAGCCTGGGCAACATAACAAGATCCCATCTCTACAAAAAAATAAAATTAGCCAGGTATGGTGATAGACACCTGTGGTCCCAGCTACTTGGGAGGCTGAGGCGGGAGGATTGTTCTAGCCCAGGGATTCTAGGCTACAAAGAGCTATGTCACGCCAATGCACTCTAGCCTGGGCAACAGAGTGAGACTCTATCCCCCCTCCACCACAAAAATATATCTCTACAGTTCCTTAGGTCTGAAGGAACACAAGTTCTCTTCAAGTGATCCATGATCAAAAGGATCATGGCTTTCTTTAGGTCACATGACACAGCCTCAGCCAGTACAGAGGCCAAGGCATGGGGAATACTCCCTGGCGGGAAGGCTGGAGCAGATGCTTCCGTAGTTAAAACAGGCCCCGAGAGAAGTGCAGCTGGTTGCCTTGGAGCGAGGACACATTCTTCTGCAACTCCAGTGCTCATTTCAGCATGAGCACTGGCTCAAGGAGGAGCTGAGGAGGACGATGGCGTGCAGTGAACGTTAATAGAGCATGCACTGTTTGGATGCAGGTGCCCAGCACAGGGACATGAAGGAAGTGCTCCAAGTGAGGAGGTGCTCAAAAGGGAGCCCCTGCTGTGAGACTGCTCCTGGGCCCCAAACCCTCTCCACTCCCCTCTCCACCATGCCCTATCCAAACCTGGGGCTAATCCAGCCACCCAAGTCCATGTGGGACCAGGCCAGGATTCCCTGTGGCCTTTCGCAGCTGACCAGAGGGACCCTATTCCCAACGCTGGGTGATGAGCAGGAAAGAGGAGGCCCTCCACAAAGGTCCACTCAGTTGCAGAGCAGCCTCTAGTGAGGCTGAGCCCTCCCAAGACTCAGGGAGGTTGCCAATGTGTCCCCTTCTCTGGGACCGTTGTCCTCGGCTGCCAAGTTCTAGCACAGGCAGGCCTGGAAAATCCTGAACATGGCCCATTTCCCATTGTCCTGATGGAGGCAGGACGAGACAGTCCCTCCCTCAGATAACATCGCGGGTGGCTCTGAACCATTTATTTATTTTTACACTTGAAGATGGGTGTATCTGATGCCTTGGGAATTCTAAACACTTCAAAACAAGCTCAACTTAAGTCACAGAAAGGACCAGAAAACAGATCTGGTTTTCCCATCTGCCAGCTCTCCTCCCACCCAACCCTACATGCTCCTCCTCGACCATGATGAGTCTCAGCGGAAATAAGACACCAGCCTAGCCAGGCACGGTGGCTCATGCCTGTAATTACGGCACTTTGGGAGGCAGAGGTGGGCGGATCACGAGGGCAGAAGTTCAAGACCAGGCTGGCCAACATGGTGAAACTCTGTTTGTACAAAAAATACAAAAATTAGCTGGGCATGATGGCATCCGCCTGTAATCCCAGCTACTCGGGAGGCTGAGGCAGGAGAATTACTTGAACCCAGGAGGCGGAGGTTGCAGTGAGCCGAGATCACACCGTCGCACTCCAGCCCGGGCAATAGTCTGAGAATCTGTCTCAAAATATAAAAAATAGCTGGTCACGGTGGCTCACACCTGTAATCCCAGCACTTTGGGAGGCCAAGGCAGGCGGATCACAGATCAGGAGATTGAGGCCATCCTGGCTAACATGGTGAAAACCTGTCTCTACTAAAAATACAAAAAAATTAGCCAGGCATGATGGCGGGCGCCTGCAGTCCCATCTACTCAGGAGGCTGAGGCAGGAGAATGGTGCAAACCCGGGAGGCGGAGCTTGCAGTGAGCTGAGATCGCGCCACTACACTCCAGCCTGGGCAACAGAGTGAGACTCCATCTCAAAAAAAAAAAGATAAATAAAAATAAAATAAAAAATAAAATAAAAATAAAATTAAAAATAAAATAAAAAAGACATCAGCCCAACCCCATGGCCCCAAACACCACTGCGCCCTCCAACAGAAGCATGAGCCCTGTGTCGCAGGCAGAGCTGCAGGGGCAGAATCTTGCACCGAGTGGGGCACAGGCATCAGGCCCCACGCCCACCACCCTGCCCTGCCACCTGACTCTCCAGTCTCAGATTTTTTTTCATCTGTGATATGGCGGTAGGAGCAGCCCCTTATCAAGAATTGTGATGAGTCACGGGAGAGGCCATGGGTGAAGAGCACACCACTGAAGGCCTGCCACAGGAGCCTGAGAGAGGAAGTACACGAGAAAAAAGAAGACACTGTTACTTTTTTTTTTTTTTTTAGACGGAGTCTCGCACTGTCGCCCAGGCTGGAGTGCAGTGGCGGGATCTTGGCTCACTGCAAGCTCCGCCTCCTGGGTTCACACCATTCTCCTGCCTCAGCCTCCCGAGTAGCTGGGACTACAGGCGCCCGCCAACACGCCTGGGTAATTTTTTGTATTTTTAGTAGAGACGGGGTTTCACCGTGTTAGCCAGGGTGGTCTTGATCTCATGATCTCGTGATCCACCTGCCTCGGCCTCCCAAAGTGCTGCGATTACAGGCAAGTGCCACCGCACCCGGTGACACTGTTGCTCTTAAGCAGAAGCAAAATCAAAAGGCAGACAGGACTCAAAGAATGGTTCTAAACCTAAAAGTACTAAGGCCTCTAGGAACTATGATGATGACAATTACTGTGCAATTTATATCATGCTGAATTTTAGTAAAACCTCCTGGCAAACCACTCTCACTTGGTGACACTCCGTCCACAGCACGGGGCCACAGCATAGTGGATCAGTACAACTTTCCTGGACAGCCTTGCTACCTGTACACTCTTATGGACTCAATTCCACTTCAATGTATTCGTTCTAGAGGTAAATGGACATGTGAACACAGATTCACAGGCAAAGATGTTTATATGCACCACTGTCTTGATGTTCAAGAAAATGGAACTGGTTACATGCATGTGATTAGCTATATAATGTAACTGTATTCAGCCCCTAAAAAATGATATAGTTTTGTTTTTGTTTTTTGAGATGGAGTCTCGCTCTTGTTGCCCAGGCTGGAATGCAATGGTGCAGTCTAGGCTCACTGCGACCTCCGCCTCCCGGGTTCAAGTAATTCTTCTGCCTCAGCCTCCTGAATAACAAGGATTACACGCACCCGCCACTAAGCCTGGCTAATTTTTGTATTTTAGTAGAGATGGGGTTTCACCATGTTGGCCAGGCTGGTGTCGAACTCTTGACCTCAGGTGATTTTGCCCACCTTGGCCTCTCAAAGTGCTGGAATTACAAGCATGAGCCACCATGCCTGGCCAATGATATAGATTTTTATTGACATAGAAAAATGGTTTTAATATAGCAGTGAGTGAAGAATAAAAAAGCAGTAGCACAGTGTGATTCTTCTTTAGATGTATTTACATACGTAACACATTTTTTGTCTTTGTTTTTTCCTTTTTGTGGAGAACAGCGTCCTGATATATTGCCCAGGCAGGTCTCGAACTCCTGAGCTCAAGCTATCCTCCAGCCTCTGCCTCGCTAAGAGCTGGGATTACAGGCGTGAGCCACTGCACTCTTCCATAACACATATTAACAGTTTTTCTGGGCAGTAGGAGTTTAGGGGATTTGTTTATATGTAAGTACACATACAGAAACGTTCTACTGATGTGGAGTTTCTAGTTTTTTAATGGTAGGCAGCACCTTTACATGACTCCTTCCTCAAAATGCTCATTATAAGTCAGACACAGTGGCTCACGCCTATAATCCCAGTTACTTGGGGGGCTGAAGAGGGAGGAACACTCAACCCAGGAGGTGGAGGCTGCAGTAAGCCATGATTGCACCGCTGCACTCTAGCATGGACAACAGTGGGGAAGAACCCTGTCTCAAAAAAAAAAAAAAAAAAAAAAAGGCTGGCCGCGGTGGCTCACACCTATAATCCCAGCACTTTGGGAGGCTGAGGCACGCAGATCACCTGAGGTCAGGAGTTCGAGACCAGCCTGGCCAACATGGTGAAACCCCATCTCTACTAAAAATACAAAAATTAGCCAGGCGTGGTGGCGCATGCCTGTAATTCCAGCTACTTGGGAGGCTGAGGCAAAAGAATTACTTGAACCCAGGAGGCAGAGGTTGCAGTAAGCTGAGGTCGCATCATTGTACTCCAGGCCGGGCAACAAGAGCGAAACTCCATCTCAAAAAAATATATATATACTACTCCTCATACTCCTCAATCCAGAAACACACCTCAGACTATAATCTAATTTCACCTACAGGAGAAAATGCTCTGCAGAGCAAGCCAGAGGCCTGGACTGGTTAGTGGCCTCCTCTCCAAAGCCAGCCCCTTATGGCCATAGGTCTCCCATGAGTTTGGTCAAATGAGTCAGTTCTGCCAGATCACCTCCCGGTACTCCAGGCAAATGGAAAGTTTAGATCTGTAAAGTTGGAATGTAATGACCTCACAGTCCTGCTAGCCTAGGAGACCCCGCCAGGAGACCCAGCAGGAGGTCACCTGACCAAAGAGGGCTGGTAAGAAAGTCCCCGTTGGATGCATAATAAAAACGAGTGATAGAGCCCATGCTGAGGACACAGCCCCGGCCTCCCAACTCGCCCAGTGATCTCGCCAGGACTCTGAACTACCTCCCAGGCAGAACGCTGCTCAAGAGCTTGTTCCTGCATGCTCTCCTGCTAGCAGAGAAAATGAAGGAAGCACAGACAGGAGGGGAAATGCAGAGCAAAAGGAAAAAATCAGACACAGCTCAACCACAAGTGAATAAACAAGTCATCTGCACCTGTCCCACAGGCAGGCCTTGGTAACTACAAGGCTGACTAATTTTAGAAACAGCATGAACCTAAAGAACCATCATTTAAGTGCTCAAAATGGAGCCCTTAAAAAAAATCCTTCTGTCTGCCTGTACTGAGCAGACACAAAATGGACAGTCTTGGGTTGACTCTATTCAACCAGCTGTCTGTTGGATGAGATCAAGACACACCACTGCAACCTACAAAAAAGCACCAGGCCGTTAAGTGCAGTCAAGACACGTGGCCACTCACGGCCACCCAGGTGGAAGAGTCTTAATTCAGACACAAATGTCTCCTGGCCGTCCTTAGCCAGGGAGCTGGGCTCTGCCCGCGGCCAGGTCTTGCCTGAGTCCCCCTATTCCGTGGGTCGGGGTGGGATGTGGAAAAGCAAACCTCTAGGCTTTCTTCCTCCAAATGTGTCAGTCACCATACATACCTGTACACAGAAGCTCCCCCTCCAGCAATTTTCCCTCAGAACAGTGAGGACAGTGGCTCATCCCTGCGACATTTAGATCTCTCATGTTACAGGGCATTCTTTCAATTATTTTGAAGACATTTCTGATGGGTGAAGAAAGCGCTCTAGGAACTGAGAGTGGGAATCTAATTTGTATTTTACACTACATTAGATGCAACAGTATATAGCATATGGAAATTAGTTAACTGAGTTTCTATCACTCTTAGTTGGCATCTGACCCTAAGAATTCACTTACATTGGTTGGGTGTGAAACAAACTGAATTAGTAGTTTACACTGCATTATATGAAACAGTATATAGACTGGGTGCAGTGGCTCACGCCTGTAATCCCAGCACTTTGGGAGGCTGAGGCAGTCGGATCACTTGAGGTCGGGAGTTCGAAACCAGCCCGACCAACATGGAGAAACCCCATCTCTACTAGAAATACAAAATTAGCCGGGCGTGGTGGCACATGCCTGTAATCCCAGCTACTCGGGAGGCTGAGGCAGGAGAATCACTTGAACCCACGAGGTGGAGCTTGCAGTGAGCCGAGATTGCGCCAGTACACTCCAGCCTGGGCGACAGAGTGAGACTCCATCTCAAAAAAAAAAAACAAAAACAAAAAAAACAGAAATAGTATACAGTAGGCCAGGCACTGTGGCTCAGGACTGTAATCTCAGCACTTTGGGAAGTCAAGGCAGGAGGATCACTTGAGACCAGGAGTTCAAAGCTGCAGTGAACTGAGTGCGCCACTGAACTCCACCTGGGCAACAAAGCAAGACTCTGCCTCAAAAAAAAAGAAAGAAATAGTATATAGAAGTTTATTAGGTTGGTACAAAAGTAATTGCAGTTTTTGCCTAAGTTCCTGTAACTCTAAGTCAACATCTGGCCCTGAGTTCACTCATGCTGGCTGGGACAGAAGACTTATTCTGGAAGCTTGGGAAAACAGGAGCTCACGTCATGATTGGGACTGCCATCTGCTTGGCCATGTATATATTTCTCTATGACTCAGACATCAGAGACCAGGCTGGAGTGCAGTGGCGTGATCTCGGCTCATTGCAACCTCCACCTCCCAGGTTCACGCAATTCTCATGCCTCAGCCTCCCAAGTAGCTGGGACTACAGGCGCCTGCCACCACACCCAGCTAGTTTTTTGTATTTTTAGTACAGATGGGGTTTCACCGTGTTAGCCAGGATGGTCTCGATCTCCCGACCTCGTGATCCGCCTACCTCGGCCTCCCAAAGTGCTGGGATTACAGGTGTGAGGCACTGTGCCCGGCCTTTTTTTTTTGTATTTTTAGAGACGGGGTTTCGCCATGTTTGCCATGGTCTCAAACTCCTGACCTCAAGTGATCCTTCTGCCTCAGCCTCCCAAAGTGCTAAGATTATAGGTGTGAGTGTCTGCTCCTGGCCAGAGAACACCTTTTGGAGGTTGCAAGGCCATCAGAGATGACTGGGTCCAAGTCTAAGCTGCCATTCATTTCTGTCTTAAATGTTTACTAAGCACCCATGGAAGACAGGTGCCCTGTGAAGTGCTGGAGATGACGGTGGGCGAGCAAGCAGTGGCACAGAGTGGGGAGCAGTCTCCGAGGAGAGAAGTGGCTGCCCCGGGCACCCCAGCTGCCTGGAGATGACAGAGCCAAGACAGGACCTCAGCTGTCCTGACTCTCTCCTTCCACATCACTGTCAGCCCTGTTTCTTTTCTCACACATTCTCCAGAAATGGTTTTCAAAATACACTTGAGTGGGATCTCACACTCCCAATAAAGTGCTTCACACAGTGTAGCTCACACAGTGCAGTTCCTTCACATGCGTTCCATTTACATAGATTTCATGGTACCCAGGACAAAAAGCTGAAGTGGCAGTGCCCGGTCCCCTGCTTTCCCTGGGGAGGGAAATGGGACACAGAACGTGCTGTTTCCTCAGGCCCCGCTGGGCCTCTAGCAGGGGGAGTGCCTCTGAGCTAATAGGCAATTCAAGGACTTTAGAGGACAGTTTGACTTATGAGGTCTTTGCTCTGCTAGTTGACTTTAGAACCTAACCCACTGAATGTGTACTGAAGAATTCAACACAGCATGCAAATCAGCACCCCCAACACTCAGGCAATGACGGAGCACATGAAGACCACGGTCCCTGCGTCTTGGCTCTTAGGAAGATGAGACGGCTGAAATGCAGGCATGGTGTATCATTTTATTCAACCAATAAGTATGGACCACACACTATGCGTGAGGCATTTCCTAGGCACTGAAGATGGCAGATCAACGTCTGTCTTAATGGCAGGCAGCTTCAGTGGGGGGCTGAGTAGAGGGCATAAAATACAGAAATAAAACATCGGGCCTGGCACAGAACAAAGCGTGGCATGGAAGAAGGAAGAACAAGGAAGTGGTTGCCACAGGGCTGCAGTTGTCACCAGGGATAGCTCCACTGAGCAGGGAACACTCCGTGTTGGAGGATGGGTGAGCCGGGTCCTCTGGCCACAGCAGGATGCCCACTTTTACCCTGATAAGCCGAGAGGCTTGCAGAGAGCTTGGGAAATCATTTCGCCCCACGACTCTCCATTTTCCGCACTCACCTGCCATGCTAATCCAGTTCTCCAAAGTTCTGACATCAAGTAGGTGGCTCCTAGAGCTGGGGAGCCTGAGAGCACTCGGCTACCACCTCCAGCAGGTATAGTTCCTTTTTGGCCAATTTTACTGGGGCCACAGAGAAATGCGTCATGGTGTGGCCACTGTCCCTGCAAAGCAGCTAAACACACACCACAGAACCTGAGCTTGACCATGCTGGGGACAGAAACTAAGGCCTGAGGTCAGGTGACACAAAATGCCTGGGGAATCTGAGATCTGAGAAGTGCTCACTTGAGGCCTTCTCCCCTGAACAGGGCAGGACTCTTCAGGTTCAAGGATGAGGCCGTTTCACTCAGCAGAGCCATCACCATCCAAGTTCCTCTCTTTTTTGTTTAAGTGACTACCTGTTTGAAAAGACTCATCAGACCCTCCATGGAGGTCACTCACCTCATGGTCCCTGCCCTCAGGGAGCTGCAGATCTACCTGGCAAGACAAGTGACACTTGAGAAGAACTTATAAAAAATACACAGGCAAGCCCAGCAGGAGCTGTCGCCTCTGTGACAGCAGGTGCTCCAGCAGAGAAAAGGTGAGGCCTGTCATGGGCTTCACAGCCCTGCAGGGAGGTGGCCAGGGAATTCTGGGTCTAGGGCAATGGAGTCACTCATAACATGCAGAATTAGAAAGTTGTGATCAAGGCCATCTCCCAGTCAGACCCATAGCTCCTGCAGGGCAGGGTCAGACCTTGGGGCCAGTTTCTCCAGGGCACCGGGCAGCCTGTGAAACATGGGTTAGTGGGTGGATGGGCTGCAGCTTGGCTGCTGCTCTAGGCAGGAACTCTGCTCTCCAGCCAGAGGACCCTTCTGTTCACTTCACTCCCATTGCCAAACTGGATGGCTGAGAGGCGCTCCAGACCTTTCTCGTCTCCTTAAACCATGACCAGTCAGCAAGTCCTACTAACTCCATGGTTCAAAGGCCCTCAGATCCACTATCTCATCTAACAGTCAAGGGTGACAGGGAAGAGTCTGGACTTGGACCATATCCCAGATCTACCACCGGATCGTAACTCACACTCCTCCAAACTATCTCATCCCCCCACCCTTCCCAAGCCCACCCCCGTACTCTTTCCCTGGCCTCCAAACACGCCCACACCCCACTTCCCTGCAAACCTGGGCCTTCCTGAGGATTCTGCTGCCAGGGGATTCTCTGTCCCTTGTCTTATCTCCCCTCAAGAATCCTGGGACTCTCCCACTTGTATTGTTGGGCCCTGCTTGGTGCCTAGTCCATGTGTGTTGAAGAAATGAGTGCACAGGTTTGGGGTTGACCTAAGTGGACCTCCTGTGCCATTCTTTTTTGTTTGTTTTGAAACAGTCTCACTCTGTCACCCAGGCTGGAGTCCATTGGTGCGATCTCGGCTAGCTGCAACCCCCAACTCCCGAGTTCAAGCAATTCTCCTGCCTCAGCCTCCTGAGTAGCTGGAATTACAGGCACCTGCCCCCACACCTGGTTAATTTTTGTATTTTTAGTAGAGGCGGGGTTTCACCATGTTGGCCAGGCTGGTCTCGAACTCCTGACCTCAAATGATCCACCCACCTCAGCCTCCCAAAGTGCTGGGAATACAGCCATGAGCCACCGCACCCAGCCCCTTCTGTGCCATTCTTAACCCAAAGGCCACTGCCCAGGGTGAGAACACAGCCGCAGCCGAGAGAGACTCCACTGCGTCCTCAGGAAAGTACTTACGTTCACAGCCAAATATCCAGACAGGAAAAAACACCATTTCTTGAATTCCAGTCAACTCCGTGATGCAGTGATCACAATGGGGCTGGGAGAGCCCACGTCTCCCTCAGCTGCTCTTCCGCCACCCCTGCTGTTTCAGGGCCAGCCATGGGCCCTTCTCTGCCATTACTTGGCAACCATGGGCAAGTCACTTAGACACTCTGGCTGCTGCCTCAGCTGGCCAAGTCCCACTGTGCTGCTACCTCCCTGGCTGACAGGTGAGAACAACGCATGTTCATAGGGCGGTACACTGCAAAGAACCCCATTTCCTCCTGCTTCCCCAGCCTGTGAGGCCGCTGTTTGCATGGTTTTTTTTTTTTTTTTTTTTTTTGGTTTTTGTTTGTTTGATTTTTTGAGATAGAGTCTTGCTCTGTCACCCAGGCTGGAGTGCAGTGGTACAATCTCGACTCACTGCAACCTCCACCTGCCAGGTTCAACTGATTCTCCTGTCTCAGCCTCCGGAGTAGCTGGGATTACAGGCATGCACCACCACACCCGGCTAATTTTGTATTTTTAGTAGAGACGGGGTTTCTCCATGTTGGTCAGGCTGGTCTCAAATTCCCAACCTCAGGTGATCCGCCCCCGTTGGCCTCCTAAAGTGCTGGGATTACAGGCATGAGCCACAGCACCCGGCCTGCATGTTAATCAGAATTGTGACAACCAAGCTCGCTTTCTTCCTGAAGTAATACGGGTTGAAATTCTCCCTAAACCCTCCCAAGGCAGCTCTCGCACTCTTCTCTACCTACTTCCACCTTTCTTGGCCTCTTTTCCTTCTTGGGGGAAAAACCCAGACACTGGGACTAGATCTGAATTCAGACTTAATTAGCATTGATTGAACAATTACATCTCAGGAAGACCCTCAGTGTTTACTGAACCCCCATTACACCTCCTTGCAGTAAGAATCGATGGTACTGAATCACTCAATGTACAGACCAAGCCAGGTCTCACCCACAAATCAGGAGCACTGAAAAGGTGACAAGAAATGTTTCCTGGAAAAATGGTCCAGTATTACCAAAAATGCATCACAACTGCTTTCAAGGAAAGAATCAGAATGCTCCTGGACCCCCTCACCCTGCACTGCAGGCTCTGTATTGGTTTTGCTTTGTCTGCCGTCAGGGACCCTTCATCTCTTCAGCGCTAACAGCAGATGCAGGCCTTCCTGTGGCCTGGGTGATGCTCTTCACCTATCACAGACGCGGCCAGCAAGGCCTGTCTGTCACACAGCTTCAACATGACAGAGAGGTCTCCACGTCTAGGCAGCCCTGGTCCCAGGACACCACCAATGTCATGGACCACTGCCTGATGACTCACAGAGTAGGAGAAGTGGTGACCGGGGCCATCAGGCCCACGGGTTCAGGAGCCACCAGACCAGTGTCTCCAAGAGTGGACAGCCCTCTGGGCATGGGGAGGTTCTGGCCCAGGCCCTAGGCGCCTCCACCTCTGCTGCACTGTATTGCAAGGTAGCCTTTACCACCTCCCACAGAGACTGTGGCTTGGAGACTCCTGACTAGGCAGAGACAGAAACAGAAACTTTTTGTGGGATCCTAGAAAGGGGCACATTTCCATTTTGAGTAATCTATTTCCAAGTCCCCTCGTGGGGGAAAGGGAACCTCCTGTCACCACTGCCGGCCTGGCTCTCTCTCTCCATCCTCCCCATGGAGCGCCAAGGTCCTCTGCAGAGCTCTCCCTGCCTGCCACCTTCTCACCAGCACTTCCTCCACCTACAGGACAGTGACATGCTATAAAATGCCACAACTTTAACTACCATATTTCCCTGTGTCTTCTATGAGTAAAAACATGTCCTTACCCTTGGAACCATGTTCCTCAAAGTGGAGACAAATTTTCACAGGGCCTATCTTTTCTCTCCCACTCAGGCAACTGAGTAGGGTGAAGGGCTGGTGTTTGTGGCTAAGGAACAAAGTACCTGGGCCCAAGGGTCTCAAAGCCACGGCCTCTAGTCCATCAACACCATGAGCTAAATTGCACTACACACCCCAGTTCCCCTAGACCTTAGAAAACACACACTGAACTGGTAGGTTCAACCTGGACAAGCTTACAGTGTAAAGAGCCGACAGGGAGTTGCAAGCTGATGACTAGCTTCAATTATTGCCAACGTGATCTGCTGGGGCAAGCTGGCCTTCGGGACGCATTCCGTTAGCTCCTTCTCAAAACAATTTTGTTCCCTGAAGTATTACTTTACATCATACAGTCAATGTTCTGCTCTTATGGTGATTCTAGAACCACGGCTGGCTGCTCTTAAATCCTTGTAAGAACTTGGGCACGGTAGCTCCTGCCTGTAATCCCAGCACTTTGGGAGGGTGAGGCAAGAGGATCACTTGAGCCCAGGAGTTAGAGACCAGCTGGGCAAAATAATGACATGCCATCTCTACAAAAAAAAAAAAAAAAAAAAATTAGCCGGGCATGGTGGGGCATGCCTGTAGTTCCAGGTACTCAGGAGGATCGCTGGAGACAAGGAGTTCAAGGCTGCAGTGAACGTCGTGACGGCACCGCTGCACTCCAGCCTGGGCCACAGAGCAAGACCCTGGCTCTAAATAAATAAATGAACCTTTGTAAGAGAACCTGTAAAGCTCTTCCCTGGTTCTCCCATCCTGTGGAAAACCTCCGAACTCCTTCAAATTCTCAAGGGTGAGAGACGGATTTCTAAATACCCAGGGCTTCCATTAAGGTAAAAACCATTAAGAAGATAAAAAAGTCAAACCCAATAAACAACAATTCTAAGACTCTAATTAATGACATGCATGCTTATTTGGGAGGGAAAGGCACTGATATCTGCAACTTACTTTGACACAAAAAACAAGAGGGACTGCTGGTTGGACAAATATGTGATGAAATACAATAAAGTGTTAACTCTACATTCTAGGTGGTGGTCTGTGGGTGTTCACTGTAAAATTCCTTCAACTTTTGTATGTTTCACGTTTTTCGTAACTGAATGTGTAGAGGGGGAGTCTTCTGAGACTGGCAAGTGACTGGGCATAACCTTTCCGATTAAGGGCAGAGGGCAAGGCAGAGCTGGCACGCCTCCCTCCACCCAGTTCTACCTAGATCGGCCCCAAGGGAAGCAGCAAAGAACCCAGGAGAGCAGTAACTTGCCCGGGCACCGCCCCGCCCAGCATCAGGCCCCAGAATACAGAAGAAACTGGCAGAAACACTATGGAACGTCCCTGCCCCCGGGCCCGCCAACCCCCTCACTGGGACAGGTTCTCAGCCCCAGCTGCGCCCGGGAATGATCTGGGGAGCCTACTAAATGCAGATTCCTGGGCAGCGCGACGGAACTACAGCATCCCAACACCTGGGGTGGGCCCCAGGAATCTGCCCGTTTCCCAAGAGCCCCAGGTGGTTCTGACGCAGAGGATCTTGAGCCCACCTTTGGAGGAACTCACAGCCACTCGCCCCACCTCATCTAACACCTGTTGAGAAGCCCCCCAAGGAACTCGCTAAGCCAAGGTCCTCGAAGGCGCGACTCCTAGCCCCAAGCTAGGCCAGGCCGTCGCCATCTCCGCCGGGGATGCGCGGCCGAGCGCCACATCCCGACTCCACACGTCGGCGAGCCGGGCGCGGGTGCAGGACACTGCTGGGCTCCGGGACGGCCAAGGTCACCCGCGGGGCTCGGCAGGGGCTGGCTCGGCCACGGGGCTCCTCCTCGACCCCCTTTCCTTGAGAAAACAACTCCCACCCCTCCCCTCCCCGTCTCGCCCTGCAAGACGGAGATGGCAATTTCCACAACCTTCCCTGACGGAAAAACGTGCGGGCGAGCAGGCTGCCATTCCGGGCGCACAACCCCGCGGCACACAGCGGGGCGCCCGCCCGGGCCCCGCCACCGCAGCGGCTTCGACATCCCCAGGGCCGCGCTAGGTCTCGGCAGCGCCCTGAGGGGAGGACGGGCCCCGCCATGCCGCGCCCCAACCGCCGGCCCCGCTTTACCTCCAGAAGCCCGGTGCCCGAGGCCGGCCGAAAGCGGAGAGGGGCCCGGGTCCGGACAGGCGCCGGCAGAACAAGACCCTCAGCCCCGCGCGGCTTTGCGCGCACAACGAAACCCCCCAACCCACCGCCCACCCCACCGCCCAGAGGCTTCTAGGACTTGTAGTCCGCCCGGTCACCCCCCCCACCACAACCCGCTCTGAGAGGCTGGGGACTACGGTGCCCGGCATGCACCGCCCAGGCGCCGCGGGCGGGGGCGGGGAGGGGGCGCCACGGTCCGAGGTCACGCCCCGACCTGAGGAGAGCTGGCGCCCAGACCCTTCCCCCGGGGAGGAGGGCTCCCGCGCGAAGCCGTCTCCGAATGCGTCCAGTCGACTCACCGTCCCCGCAGCCCTGGGGCAGCGGCCGCAACAGCAGGACCGAACGCCTCGGCAGCTGGCAGTCGCACTTCTGTCACAAGGAGGCGGGTAGACTTTGGACCAGGGCCGAGGCCCGGGACGTCACGGTGGGGGGTGGGGTCTCGGGAGGCACGTGATGCGCCGTGATGACGTCAGTGGGAGCGGAGGCGATTTGGCCTAGAGCTGGGGCTGAGCACGTGGGATGGTCGGGGCCTGTTTGCCCAATGTACACGAGGCTGGAGAATAGGGAAAGAACCGTCCCTGTGAGCGCCTCCTCTTCACTCATGCCAGCAACAGGGCAGGGCATCTTCCTCCAGGGCTGCATTTTTTCTTTTATGCGACTAATATTTATTGAGTTTGGGAGGTGCATTACATAAAACCTTGAACCACACGGTCACTGTCCCTGCGCTTGAAACTGCCTTTGCAAAAATTACAACAGAAAATTATGACAGTGAAAGAGAGCTGACCTAACCCACTCCATCTTGCTTCTAACCTCCAGGTTGTCCTTGTTCATTCCTAGGCATAGGCAGAACTAACTTTGGGAGCAACTTAGTTTATAGTTTAATATTGAAACAAAGATAGTTAACAGCCCTTTCCCAAAACAAACCCCCTTGTTGCCTGAGAACCAGGCTTCCTTTGTAAGAGTAACACGTTAGCTACAAGATTAGACATTATAGTTTAGGGCCCAGCTCAGTGGCTAACGCCTGTAATCCCAGCACTTTGGAAGGCTGACGCAGGTGGATCACTTGAGGTCAGGAGTTTGAGACCAGCCTGGCCAACATGGTGAAACCATGTCTCTATTTAAAAATACAAAAATTAGCCGGGTATGGTGGCACGCACCTGTAATCCCAACTACTAGGGAGGCTGAAGCCCAAAAATTGCTTGAACCCGAGAGATGGAGGTTGCAGTGAGCTGAGATTATGCCTCTGCACTCCAGCCTGAGCAAGAGACTGAGACTCCATCTCAAAAAAAGAAAGAAAGAAAGAAATTACGGTTTAGGAGTCATGCACCCAGAGGCCACAAGATTCTAAACCTCCCCAGTTGATCCTAGGTATAATATCACTATTGTAAAACCTAAGATTGGTACTCTTAGGTGTTTTTCTGACCCTGCAGTCTGATGCACCAGCCAAGGCCACCTAGAGCTGTAATCTGACTCAACCAGTTCTTGCATCCTTCAACACCCTGTGATTTCATCTCCCACCCCACCAATCAGCACTCCCTACTCCTTGGCAGCTTATCTACCAAATTACCCTTTAAAAACTCTAGGCTCTGAATTTCCAGGGAGACTGATTTGAGTAATGAAACTTTGGTCTCCCATTCAGCCAGCTCTGTGTGGATTAAACTCTTTCTCTATTGCAGTTCCCCTGTCTTGATACATTGGCTCTATCTGGGCAGCCAGGAAGAAGAACCCACTGGGTGGCTACTTGCTCAGGTACTTCCTTTGTTACAGACAGTATACAAGGAAACCACAAAATGCCCAGGACTGTGAAGGAGAGGAAGGGACGCCCTAACAGAGTTACGGGGTGGTGCCACTAGACAGGTTGGTTAGAAAAGGCCTCTCAGAGGAGGCGATGCTGAGGCAGGGGCATGAAATTGAAAAGACATTCTATTCTGGAAGGGCATTCCAGAGGGAGGGATTGCCTTGGGTGAGAGAGTCAGAAAGGTGAGGATGTCAGTGGGGCAGGCTGGATCCAAGTCATGTTGAGATTTGTAGGTCATTTTAAGAACTCTGGCCAGGCGTGGTGGCTCATGCCTGTAACCCCAGCACTTTGGGAGGCCGAGGCAGGCAGATCACTTGAGGTCAGGAGTTTGAGACCAGCCTGGCCAACACAGTGAAACCCCGTCTCTACTAAAAATACAAAAATTAGCCCGGCATACACGCCTGTAATCCCAGCTATTCGGGAGGCTGAGGCAGGAGAATTGCTTGAACCTAGGAGGCAGAGGTTGCAGTGAGCCAAGATCACACCACTGCTCTCCAGCCTGGGAGACAGAGCAAAACTCTCTCAAAATAAAATAAAACTCTGGATTCTTCTTTCTTTTTTTTTTGAGATAGGATCTTGATCAGGCACCCAGGCTGGAGTACAGTGGCATGATCATAGCTCACTGTGACAACTCCTAGGCTCAAGCAGTCCTCCTGCCTCAGCCTCCCAAGTAGCTGGGATTACAGGCATAAGCCACCATACCTGTCTGCAGTTTGGATTTTTTTTTTTTTTTAGATGGAGTCTCGCTCTGTCACCAGGCTGGAGTGCAGTGGCTCGATCTCGGCTCACTGCAACCTCCGTCTCCCAGGTTCAAGCAATTCTCCTGCCTCAGCCTCCTGAGGAGCTAGGACTATAGGTACCTGCTACCACGCCTGGCTAATTTTTGTATTTTTAGTAGAGACTGAGTTTCACTATGTTGGTCAGGCTGGTGTCGATCTCCTCACCTCGTGATCCGCCCGCCTCTGCCTCCCAAAGTGCTGGGATTACAGGCGTGAGCCACCGCGCCCGGCCTGGATTTTATTTCAAGTGGAATTTAAAGCCCTTGAAGAGTTTTAAGCAGTAGAGTTACAGTCAATCTTCATTATTTATGGATTTTGTGTTTGCAAATTTGCCTACTCACTAACATTTATTTCTAATCCCAAAATCAATACTTGTGGTGCTTTCTCATTCATTCATGGACATAACGATCCTGCACATTCTCCACTGAGGTCAAATAAGGCAACACTGGGCTGTCATGGTGGCACTCGCCTTCTATCCCAGCCACTCGGGAGGCTGAGGTGGGAGGATCCCTTCAGCCCAGCAGGTCGAGGCTGCTGTGAGCTGGGATTGTGCCACTGCACTCCAGCCTGGGCAACAGAGTGAGACCCTGTCTCTAAAAATAATAGGGCAGCGCTGCCTACAAGTCTCCTTTTTGGTCTATTTAGTGTCATCTTTTTCTCATTTATTTTTACGCTTTTTATTGGTGATTCTGGTGTTTAAAATGGCCCTTAGTGTTGTGCAGAAGTGCTGTCTAGCATTCCTCAGTGCAAGAAGGTGGTGATTTGCCTTATAGAGAAAACAGCTGTGCTCAGTTAGCTTGGTGCAGGCAATTGAGTTCAATTGCACTGAATCAACAGTGTATATTAACTAAGTTGCCTTTAAACAGAAACACCTATAAACAAGGTTATTGATTGGTTGACAAAAATGTTGTGTCCACAGGCTCACAGGAACCTAGGTTGTTCCCCCAGAAGCAGTGGTTCAGTGTTTGCTTAATTCAGTGTTTGTGGCCACTTATATGATTCGATTGACATTTCACAGGATCATCTGACTACAGTGTGGAGAATGGTTTAGACCAAGAGAGGCAAATAGAAGGCTGGGCGACCAGCACATATGTAATCCAGAAATTTCCAGGCTGGTCCCTGTGGCTCACACCTGTAATACCAACATTTTGGGAGATTGAGTTCAAGAGTTTGAGACTAGCCTGAGCAACATAGTGAGTCTCCCATCTCTACAAAAAAATTTATAAAATTAAAAAATTAGCCAGCTGTGGTGGCTCATGCCCATAGTCCCACCTACTCAGGAGGCTGAGGCAGGAGGATCACTTGAGCCCAGGAGTTTGAGACTGCAGTGAGCAAGAATTGCGCCATTGCAGTCCAGCTTGAGCAACAGAGTTAGACTCAGTCTCTAAAAAAATAAATAAATAAAAATTTGAAAATAAAAATTTCCCAGTAACCACATTAAAAGTATAAAAAGACACAGGTGAAATTAATTTTAATAATACATTTAACTCAATATATGCAAAATATTGTTTCAGTAATCAACATAAAAAATTATCAGCCAGGCGCAGTGGCTCATGCCTGTAATCCCAGCACTTTGGGAGGCCAAGGTGGGCAGATCACCTGAGGTCAGGAGTTCAAGACCAGCCTGGCCAATATAGTGAAACCCCGTCTCTACTAAAAATACAAAAAATTAGCTTGACATGGTGGCAGGCGCCTGTAATCCCAGCTACTCGGGAGGCTGAGGCAGGAGAATAGCTTCAACTGGGAGGCGGAGGTTGCAGTGAGGCAAGATCACACCATTGCACTCCAGCCTGGGCGACAAGCAAAACTTTGTCTCAAAAAAAAAAATTATCAATGATATATTTTACTCTTTTTTCACACTGTTTTTGAAATGCAGTGTGTACTTTATATTTACAGGACATCTCAATTTGGAGCAGTCACATTTCAGGGGCTCAGTAGCCACATATGGCTTGTGGCTACTGTATTGGACAGCACAGATCTAGAATATTTATTCATTTACTCATTTGACCAAGCAAGGTCCTGTTCTAGGCCTGGAAATACACAAAATGGAATAAAGCCCCATCTCTGTCCTCAAAGCGCACACAGTCCAGCACGGGAGACTAATATAATAGCTTATGTTCAAGATGTCAAAACAGAGTGCTTTGAGAGTTCAGGAGAGGGAGTGCCCGAACAAGGAAGGCTTCAGAGAGGAGGACGTTTAAGTTGGGGCTTGAAGGATGTGTAGGATTCCCCAGGTGAAAGAAGTGGGGTAGGGTACTCCAAGTAGTTAGAGCTGCTAATGCAAAGTTGCAGAGAAATGAAACACAGAGTGTGTGGGGAAATGCAAGCAGTTCTGTATGGTTGGGTGGTAGGATATGAAAGAGGAGGGCAGAGGGTGAGGAAACATGAGGGCCTTATAGACCAATCTGTGGAATTTAGACTGTATCCTATTGGGTAGGTAGTGGGTGATGTAATGTTGAGAATTTTGGGCTGAGTAATATGACTAGATTCTTGTTTTATTTTAATTAATTAATTAATTTATATTAAAATAGAAACAGGGTCTCACTAGGTTGCCAGGCTGGTCTTGAACTCCTAGGCTCAAGTGATCCTCTCACCTTGGCCACCCAAAGTGCTGCGATTACAGGCATGAGTCACCATACCTAGCCATGATCCGTATTTTATTTATTTATCTTTGTTTTTATTTTTATTTAAATTTTATTTTATTTTGGGACAGAGATTGCAGTGGCGCGATCTTGGCTCCCTGCAGCCTCTGCCTCTTGGCAAGCGATTCTTCTGCCTCAGCCATCCAAGTAGCTGGAATTACAGGCACATACCATCACAACTGGCTAATTTTTGTATTTTTAGTAGAGACAGGGTTTCACCATGTTGGCCAGGCTGGTCTCAAACTCCTGACTTCAAGTGATCCTCCCACCTAGGCCTCCCAAAGTGCTGGGATTACAGGTGTGAGCCACCGCACCCCGCCAGGATTCATGTTTTAGACAAATCATTCTGACAGTGTGGAGGGGGTGCAAATTTGAGGCAGGAGGACCCACTGGGAAGGGAAGGGGCTCTAGGATGGATCCAGAGGAAGGACCTGTGGAAACTAAGGAGGGGTCATAGAGGGGGTAGGGCCTAGGGTAGGCAAAGGGTTGGTCCCAAGTGTCCCATGCAGTAAAAGTCAAATAGAACAGTCAACGTGAACATTACCATGCTATGTACTGGGTGAAAACTTGCTGATCTCTGGAGCCCACTGAGTAGCGGAGGGTTTGAGAGCCAGTGAGAACCAGAAATGTAGTGAGCTGGAACTGGGTTCAAGTCTTAGGACACACCACTTCACGGCCCTCTCCAAAATATTTCATTTTTCTGGCTGGACGCAATGGCTCACTCATGTAATCCAAGAACTTTGGGAGGCCAAGGCAGGCAGTTCACTTGAGCACAGGAATTTGAGACCAACCTGGGCAACATGGCAAAACCCGGTATCTACAAAAAATACAAAAATATTAGCTGGGTGTGGTGCACGTGCCTGTGGTCCCAGCTACTCCAGAGACTGAGGTGGGAGGATCGCTTAAGACCGGGAGGCTGGAGTTGCAGTGAGCCTGGTGATCACGCTGCTGCACTCCAGCCTGGGTGACAGAGCCTGACCCTGTCTGAAAAATAGGTATATTTAATTTTTCTGACTACCAAATGAGGGTAAACCTAATAGCAATTTCACGGGGCTGTTGCGAGGATGGGATGGCTTAATGCATTTAGGTCACTGCTCATAGTGCCTGGCACACAGCCAGCCCTCAGACCAATGGCAGCTGGTATTATTTGTTAGCCTCTGAGTGCTCTGGGCCTCAGCTCCCTCACCTCCAAAAATGAAATTGTCATCTCCCACTTGCTGTTGACGGGAACTGGGGACTAGATGAGACGATTGAAGTGTATATGCAAACGTAAAGGCGGTATTCCTCGAAAGATTGAACGTAGAGCCACTATGTGACCCAGCAGTCCCACTCCTAGGATTGCACCCAAGATAAAACACACAGCCGCATAAAAACCTATAGTACACGAATATGCATAGCAGGTATTCATATCATAGCATGGATGTTTATATTCATAATAGCCAAAAAGTCAAAACAACTAACAGGTTCTCCATGACCAGACATTAGTTGGGTGCTCCTCTCTAATGACCAGACGTTAGTTGGGTGCTCTTCTGAATCCTCTCCCCCGCCAGACCTCAATTTTTGGACTTCTGTATCTGTCTTTGCGTCACTCAGTTGTTTGTTTAGGGACAGGGTCTGTTCTGTCACCCAGGCTGGAGTGCAGTGGCGCGATGATAGCTCACTGCAGCCTCAAGCTCCTGAGCTCAAGTGATCCTCCTGTCTCAGCCTCCCAAGTAGCTGGGACTACAGGTGCATGCAACCACAACCAGCTATATATATTTTTTAATTTGCTTGTTGCCCAAGCTGGTGTCAACTTCCTGAGCTCAAGCGATCCTTGTGGCCTGGCCTCCCAAAGTGCTGGGATTACAGGCGTGAGCCGCTGCACCTAGCCAAGCCGGGTTTCAGCAAGAATTCTGTTAAATTGATTTAGCCAGAATCGCCCCTGCATATCTGTCCAAATTTCACAACCCCCATCATCCTCCAGGTGATATTTGATCACCCTGACCTGCCTTCAGCAAGACTCTTGTTAGACTCAATTTAGCAAAGAATTACCCTCCTCTCCTAGTAACTTTCCATCCACCAACAGCACCCACCTCCCACTCCTTGGCTATCAATCTCTATTTTCCCTTGTTGTATTCGGAGTTGAGCCTATTTCTGTACTGAGGTCTCTTTTCCCCTATTGCAATAGTCCTGAATAAAATTTGTTTTTACAGCTTTAATTACTGTCCAGCTCTGGTTTTCTTTTTCTCTTTTTCTTTCATTTTTTTGAGACAGAATCTCGCTCTGTTGCCCAGGCTGGAGTGCAATGGCGCGATCTCAGCTCACCACAACTTCCGCCTCCCAGGTTCAAGCGATTCTCCCGCCTCAGCCTCCCGAGTAGCTGGGACTACAGGTGCACACCACCATGCCCGGCTAATTTTTGTATTTTCAGTAGAGATGGGGTTTCAGCATGTTGGCCAGGCTGATCTCGAACTCCTGACCTCATGATCCGCCCACCCTGGCCTCCCAAAGTACGGGGATTACAGGAATGAGCCACCATGCCTAGCCTCTTTCCTTCTTTCTTTTTTTTTTTTTTTGAGACGGAGTCTGGCTCTGTCACCCAGGCTGGAGTGCAGTGGTGTAATCTCGGCTCACTGCAAGCTCCACCTCCCAGGTTCACGCCATTCTCCTGCCTCAGCCTCCCGAGTAGCTGGGACTACAGGCGCCCGCTACCGCGCCCAGCTAATTTTTTGTGTTTTTAGTAGAGATGGGGTTTCACCGTGTTAGCCAGGATGGTCTTGATCTCCTGACCTCGTGATCTGCCTGCCTCGGCCTCCCAGAGTGCTGCGATTACAGGCGGGAGCCACCGCGCCCGGACTTTTTTTTTTTTTTTTTTTTTTAAGACACAGGGTCTCACTGTGTTGCACAGGCTGGAGTGCAGTGGCGGCAATCATGGCTCACTGCAGCCTCGACCTTCCAAGCTCAAGCGATCCTCTTGCCTCAGCCTCCTGAGGAGCTAGGACTACAGGCATGTGCCATTATGCCCAGCTATTTATTTGTTATTTTTGTAGAGACAGGGTCTCACCGCGTTGCCCAGGCTGGCCTCAAACTCCTGGGCTCAAGCAGTCCTCCCATCTTAGTTAGCCTCCTAAAGTGCTGAGATTACAGGCATAAGCCACCACACCCAACAGCTCTGGTTTTCTTTGACACAACCAAATGTTCATCAACTGATGAATGGATAAACAACGTGTGATCTCCATATAATGGAATATTATTCATTCCATAAAAAGGAATGAAGCACTGATCCGTGCTACAACGTGGATGAACCTTGAGAACACTCTGAGTGAAAGAAGCCATCCATTTCTCTCTTTTTTTGTCTTTTTTCCTTTTTGTGGAGAATAGGGTCTCGATATATTGCCTGGCAGGTCTGTAACTCCTGGGCTCAAGCTATCCTCCTGCCGCTGCCTTCCTAAGAGCTGGGATTATAGGCATGAGCCACCGCCCCCGGTGAAAGAAGCCCTTCCTAAGTGAAAGAAGCCAGTCACAGAAGACCACTTATTGTTTTTCTCTTCTGAGACAGCGTCTCGCTCTGTCGCCCAGGCTGGAGTGCAGTGGTATGATCTTGGCTCACTGGAACCTCGACATCCCAGGTTCAAGCGATTCTCCTGCCTCAGCCTCCCAAGTAGCTGGAATTACAGGTGTGCCCACCACCACACCCAGCTAATTTTTGTATTTATGGTAGAGATGGGGTTTCACCTTGTTGGCTAGGCTGATCTTGAACTCCTGACCTCAAGTAATCCACCCACCTTGGCCTCCCAAAGTGCTGGGATTACAGATGTGAGCCACTGCGCACGGCCCACTTATTGTGTGATTCAGTTTACATTAAATGTCCAGAATAGGCAAACCCATAGAGACAGAAAGTCAGAAAATAGATTAGTGGTTACCTAGGGCGTGGGGAGTTCAGGCGAAATGGGAGGTGAGTGCTAATGGGTACAGGTTTTCTCCTCTCCTCTCCTCTCCTCTTTCCTTCCTTTCTTTCTTTCTTTCTCTTTCTTTCTGTCTTTCTTTCTTTCCTTCCTTCCTTCCTTCCTTGCTTCCTTCCTTCCTTCCTTCTTTCTTTCTTTCTTTCTTTCTTTCTTTCTTTCTTTCTTTCTTTCTCCTTCCTTGCTTCCTTCCTCCCTCCCTCTCTCTCTCTCTCATTCTCTCTTTCCCTCCCTCCCTCCCTTCCTTCCTTCCTTGAGATAAGGTCTCCCAGTATTGCCCAGGTTAGTCCAAACTCCTGAGCTCAAGCTGTCTTCAGTCCTCCTTCCTCAGCTTCCTGGGTAGCTGAGATTACAGGGGTGAGCCACTGCACCCGGCTGAGTTTTCTTTTTAGGGTAATGAAATGTTCTAAAATTGATTGTCATGGTGTTTGCAACTATCTGCAAATATACTAAAAGCCATTGAATTATACATGGATGGATTGTATGTTAGATGAATTATATCTTAATAAAGCTGTTATCAGAAAAGGAGGGGCAGGGCTACACAAAAAGCCGCTCCGGGAGAATTCGGACATGTGATGAAATAACAAAGTAAACGCAGGCCCGGAGACAGGACGATGTTCCTCATGTTCCTGCCTCACTCGCTGTCAGATCAGGAGCCCACGGCTGTCCTGAATGGCATTATTTTCAGGCTTGCAGAGGAGCTGCTTGTGTCACCTTTTCCTGGGCAACGTTCACTTTCTGCAGAACGCAGCTCCTCCTCCCTGGCACCCAAGGCGCGCCTCTGAGACTCACATCGGTACTGCAAAGCCACCACCTCTTATTTTTAGTCCAGATTTCACCATAATTGGGGCAGCAGGAGTGCTGTAGGCCCGGGACATCTTCAGTGACAGGTGTCTTTCTACCTCGTGGCACCTGCTACCAGAAGACCATTCTCCCACCAGTGGGGGAACACCTGCTGACCTTCAGCAGAGCCAGCCCATGGGGCTCCCAAGAACTTTTGCGCCTAAAAGTATGAAAAGCAGGAGCTCAGCTGGGCGTGGTGGCTCATTCCTGTAATCCCAGCCCTCTGGGAGGCCAAGGCAGGTGGATCACCTGAGGTCAGGAGTTTGAGACCAGCCTGGCCAACATGGTGAAACCCCATCACTACTAAAGATACAAAAATTAGTCAGGCGTGGTGGTGCATGCCTATAATCCCAGCTACTCGGGAGGCTGAGGCAGGAGAATCGCTTGAACCCGGGAGGCGGAGGTTGCAGTGAGCCAAGGTTGCAATGTCACGCCATTGCACTCCAGCCTGGGTGACAAAGTGAGACTCTCAAAAAAAAAAAAAAAGAAAAGTGGGAGCTCTTCCACTTTCTCTATAACCAGTGCCATCTGCTGGCAACACAGTGGCACTGGGGATGTGGTGGAGTCCCTTCCTTGCCTTTCCTTTCCTGTCTTGCAGTTTGCATTACAGAGACCGAGGGGTGATGTTTATCTCTCTTAGTTTAGTTCTTTTAGGCCAGAGTTAAAATAAGACCCGAGTCTTATATGGAGACCCTATTAAAAAAAGTGCATATGAGTGTTAAGGTTGAAGAATTTTCACAAACCTCACTCACTATTGCAACCAGCACCACATCAAAACAGAACACCAGGCCGGGCGCGGTGGCTCACGCCTGTAATCCCAGCACTTTGGGAGGCCAAGGTGGGTGGATCACAAGGTCAGGAGATCAAGACCATCCAGGCTAACACGTTGAAACCCCGTCTCTACTAAAAATAGAAAAATTAGCCAGGCGTGGTGGCGGGTGCCTGTAGTCCCAGCTGCTCGGGAGGCTGAGGCAGGAGAATGGCGTGAACCTGGGAGGCGGAGCTCGCAGTGAGCCAAGATCGCGCCACTGCACTCCAGCCTGGGCGACAGAGCAAGACTCTGTCTAAAAAAAAAAAAAAAAAAACAACCAACCAGAATACCAGCTGGGCACAGTGGCTCACACCCGTAATCCTGTAATCTCAGCACGTTGGGAGGCCGAGGCAGGTGGATCATCTGAGGTTAGGAATTCAAAACCAGCCTGGCCAACATAGGGAAACCCCATCTCTACTACAAATACAAAAATTAGCCGGGCAGGGTTGCGGGCGCCTGCAATCCCAACTACTTGGGAGGCTGAGGCAGGAGAATCGCTTGAATCTGGGAGGCAGAGGTTGCAGTGAGCCAAGACCTGGGCAACACAGAGAGACCCTGTCTCAAAAAAATAAAACAAAATAAAATAAAAAGGAGCCTGGCATCTCCCCACTCTCTTGCTCTTCTCTCACCATGCAACATGCCGACTCCCCTTCGCCTTCCACAATTTGAAGCTTCCTGAGGCCTCACCAGGAGCAGATGTTGGCGCTGTGCTTTGTGTACAGCCTGCAGAACCGTGAGCCAAAACCTCTTTTCTTTATCAATTACCCAGTCTCAGGTATTCTTTTATAGCAATGCAAATGAACTCATGTACTCACTTTGCCTGTTTCTGTATCTTCTGTTATTGAGCTGGTTAGAGCACACAGTGGGTAATTTTTTTTTTTTTTTTTGAGACAGTTTCACTCTTGTTGCCCCCGCTGGAGTGCAATGGCATGATCTCAGCTCACTGCAACCTCTGCCTCTCGGGCTCAAGCGATTCTCCTGCCTCAGCCTCCCAAGTAGCTAGGATTACAGGCACCCGCCACCATGCCCAGCTAATTTTTATAATTTTAGTAGAGACAGGGTTTCATCATGTTGGACAGGTTGGTCTCTAAGTAGTGACCTCACGTGATCCGCCCATCTCAGCCTCCCACAGTGCTGAGATTACAGTAATTTTTGTAATACAAAACCCCAGAGCATTTTGAATGCAGTTCTGCACATCAGAGCAAACACTGACTGGTCCAAGGAGGTACCTCTCTCCTCCCATGTTCTCTCCTTCCTCCTTGGCCCCCTCTCCAGCATCAAGCTAATGCATTGTTGCCTTGAAAGCCTCAAACAAAATCATGTACTCATTTTGGGAGATGCAGCTAACGTCAGTGAGCACTTTGTGCTGGGTACCATGCCACTCTCCTCACCTCCCTTCATCTCAACAAGGAACCTGCAAATGTTTACCTCCAGCTCCTAAACCTACGTGGAGGGTTTAAGGCACAGGCTCAGGGCCACACAACGCATGCCCAGCAGACCCCAGGTCTTGTGGTTCTAGCCTCATGGTGCTGCTCACTGCCCAAGCTGCTCTCCTGGCATGGGTGTGAGTCAGCACACACTGAGGTGAGAGAAGAAGCTGTTATATTCAGGCCAGATTTTTTTTTGCAAAAATCTTTCTTTACACGCAGCAAGAACTGGGAAGGAGCCCACTGGAGCTGAGCCAGCAAAACCCAAATGGAATCCACGTTGTTGGCCTCTTAATTTGTTTGAATCATTGCAGATTCCCAGAACTTTGATACAGAAAAGTGCTCAGGGTCGGGCGCGGTGGCTCACGCCTATAATCCCAGGACTTTGGGAGGCTGAGGCCAGAGGACCGCTTGAGGCCAGGAGTTTGAGGCCAGCCTGGCCAACATGGTGAGACCCATCTCCGCAATAATAAAAATAATCAGCCAGGAGAGGTGTTGCACACCTATGGTTTTAGCTACTCGGAGGGTGAGGCAGAAGGATTGCTGGAACCCAGGTGTTTGAGGCTGCGTGAGCTGCGATCGCACCACTGCACTCCAGCCTGGGTGACAGTGAGACCCTATCTCAAAAAAAAGAAGTGCCCATATTAGAAGCGAATGGCTTGATGAATTTTCCCAAACTGGCCACACCAGCGTGCCCACTCCCCTACAGCTCAGCTTCATGCTTCCTTCCAAGCATGAGGTCACCCAAGGATAACCACTCGCCTCACCTCCAACACCTAAGATTTGTTTACTCCATTTCGGGACTTTTGTTTGTTTGTTTGTTTTTGAGACGGAGTCTTGCTCTGTCGCCCAGGCTGGAGTGCAGTGGCTTGATCTTGGCTCACTGCACGCTCCGCCTCCCAGGTTCACGCCATTCTCTTGCCTCAGCCTCCCCAGTAGCTGGGACTACAGGCACCCGCCACCATGCCTGGCTGATTTTTTGTATTTTTTTAGTAGAGATGGGGTTTCACCATGTTAGCCAGGATGTCTCCATCTCCTGACCTCGTGATCTGCCCACCTCGGCCTCCCAAAGTGCTCAGATTATAGGCTTGAGCCACCGCGCCTGGCCATTTGTTTCTTTTTAAATTCTGGGATACATGTGCTGAATGTGCAGGTTTGTTACATAGGTGTCCATGTGCCATGGTGGTTTGCTGCACCTATCAACCCATCATCTAGGTTTTAAGCCCTGCCTGCATTTGGTATTTGTCCTGATGCTCTCCCTCCCCTTGCTTCCCCCACCCCACGACAGGCCCCGGTGTGTGACATTCCCCTCCCTGTGTCCATGTGTTCTCATTGTTCACCTCCCACTTATGAGTGAGAATATGCGGTGTTTGGTTTTCTTTTCCTGTGTTAGTTTGCTGAGGATGATAGTTTACAGCTTCATCCACGTCCTTGCAAAGGACATGAACTCATCCTTTTTTATGGCTGCAGTTTGGGGACTTTTTATAGCAATGGTTTCATACAGCATGAACCCTTTTATGTATGTAATTCCGCTCAATTTTATATCAATGAAAGTTGGCCGGGCGCGGTGGCTCACGCCTGTAATCCCAGCACTTTGGGAGGCCAAGGCAGGCAGATCACCTGAGGTCAGGAGCTCGAGACCAGCCTGGGCAACGTGGTGAAACCCCATCTCTACTAAAAATACAAAAATTAGCCTGGCATGGTAGCATGTGCCTGTCATGCCAGCTACTTGGGAGGCTGAGGCAGGAGAGTCGCTTGAACCCAGGAGATGGAGGTTGCGGTGAGCCGAGATCGCGCCATTGCACTCCAGCCTGGGCGACAGTGTTAGACTCTGTCTCAAAAAAAAAAAAAAAAAAAAGAAACGAAAAGAAAAGAAATTCATCCCACTATTACATGTAGTTGTCTTTGTTCATTCTCACTGCTGTGTTATAGTCTACTGTTTGAATATGCGATAGTTGGATGGGAATTTTTAGCTACTATGAGTAGTGCTGTCACAAACATCCTTGTGCATGGTGTATGTCAATTCCTGGTGGGTTCCGGTCGAGGGCTGGACTGGCTGGGTCACAGTGTGTGCAATTTTTCAGCATTGCAGACCCTGCCAAACAGTTTTCCAAAGTCTGCTAATTTCTGCTCTGTCAGAGCAGATGAGAGATCTGTTGTTCATATGCTTGCCAATGCTTGGTGTTGCCAGAACTTCACATTTAAATGCTAAATTATTCTAAAAGAAACATGAATGGTTACAGTGTTAACATTTATTTTATAATATTTCTATCATTAATATGGCCCCATGAGAGTTGACAGCTCCTTCGGAGCTATCATCCATTTAGCAAACACTTACTGAGCACCTACTGTGTGCAGGGATCTGTGTTCTGATACTAGAAAGACAGAGAAGAAAGAGAAGGTCTCTATTCTGAAAGAGCTTCAGGAATGCCCTCTCTTCAGGTCTCAGCTCAGATGTCACCTCCCCAGAGGAGCCTCCTTGGGTTACCTTTGCCCAGCTGTTATCTCATTGTCTGCCTCCACGCCTGGCTGAAGAGCCAGGTTTTGTGGATGGACTGGTAATGACCTCTGCAGAAGCATCTGTTGTGAAGTAGGAACATGGGATTGATTCACAAGCAGCATCCCTGAAAATATCCCACTGTTCAATTCAGAAGGCGTTTTCCTGGACTCTTGCTCCCACAGTTCTAACCATTGGCAAGAGTGGCTGCCAGATCAGTTCTGGTCAAGGAGCGATTTGTATTTTGTTTTATTTGAGATGGGGTCTCACTCTCTTGCCCAGGCTGGAGTGCAGGGGTGTGATTCTGGCTCACTGCAGCCTCGAGTAGCTGGGATTACAGGCACACACCACCATGCCCAGCTAATTTTGGTATATTTTTTAGAGATGGGGTTTCACCGTGTTGTGCAGGCTGGTCTCACGCTCTACTCCTGGGCTCAAGCGATCTGCCTGCCTCAGCCTCTTGAGTAGCTGGGATTACAGGTGTGAGCCACTACGCTCAGCTAATTTTTTATTTTGTAGAGATGGTGTCTTGCTATGTTGCTCAGGCTGCTCTCCAACTCCTGGATTCAAGCAACCCGCCCACTTTGGCCTCCCAAAGTGCTGGGATTACAGGCATGAGCCACAGCGCCTGACTGCAAGAAACGTTTTCCATCAGCACTGGCCTGGCATGTTACATATGTTATTTCTAGCCGCCATGTTTTATTTCCCCATTTAGCAGAGAGGGAAGCTGAGGCTCAGAGAGGTTAAGTCACTTGCTCAAGATTCCACAGCTGGTGCAAGGATTTGCCTCCCCACCTGCATGAACTCAATGTGGAATCCCTCAGCAGGGCTCCTGCTGTGTGGCGCGGGACCAGGAATGTGGGATCACAGTGCTGGCTGGGTTGGGAGTCAGGGCTCCCGGTGTTAAGCCGAGAGTGTCCCTGCAGACTTTCCCAGGAGACAAGCAGGCTGGGATTCTCTTGTCCCAGAACTGACCAAGCAGAGCCTGACCATACCTCATATCTCCACGCAGCCTCCTGGTCCTGTGGCAGCTGGCTCTTGGCCATGTCCTTATGATGTCAGAGCAGGGCTGAGACCCTGTTTGAGAGCACAGGGGTTGTGAAGAGCCCAGCTCAAGCGGGGAGCAGAGCAGGGTCTGGTGAGGGCACCGTCACTTGGGTGGGCAGGGACATGCAGGGCCTAGAAAGGACAACGCCCTTTTTTTCTTTTTCTTTTTCTTTTTTTTTTTGAGACAGAGTCTTGCTCTGTCGCCCAGGCTGGAGTGCAGTGGTGCGGTCTCGGTTCACTGCAAGCTCCGCCTCCCAGATTCAAACGATTCTTCTGCCTCAGCCTCCCGAGTAGTTGGGATTACAGGCACCCGCCACCATGCCTGGCTAATTTTTTGTATATTTTTTGAAGTAGAGACGGGGTTTCACACTGTTAGCCAAGATGGTCTCAATCTTCTGACCTCGTGATCTGCCCGCCTCGGCCTCCCAAAGTGTGGAATTACAGGCGTGAGCCACCGCACCCAGCCTATCGCCCTTCTTTGTTTGAGACGGAGTCTTGCTCTGTCACCAGGCTGGAGTGCAATGGCACAATCTTGGCTCACTGCAACCTCTGCCTCCCGGGTTCAAGTGATTCTCCTGCCTCAGCCTCCCGAGTAGCTGACTACAGGCACGCACCACCATGCCCAGCTAATTTTTGTTTCATCATGTTGGCCAGGATGGTCTCCATCTCTTAACCTCATGATCTGCCCACCTCAGCCTCCCAAAGTGCTGGGATTACAGGCGTGAGCCACCGCGCCCAGCCGACAATGCCCTTCTTACCACCTGGGCTCTCCTTCCCAGAAAATGGAACACTTGGCCAGGTGTGGTGGCTCACACCTGTAATCCCAGCGCTTTGGGAGGCTGAGGCAAGCAGATCACCTGAGGTCGGGAGTTTGAGACCAGCCTGGCCAACATGGTGAAACCCCATCTCCACTAAAAATATAAAAATTAGCTGGGCGTGGTGGCAGGCGCCTGTGATCCCAGCTACTCAGGAGGCTGAGGCAGGAGAATCGCTTGAACCCAGGAGGCGGAGGTTGCAGTGAGCGGAGATCGCGCCACTGCACTCCTGCCTGGGTAACAGAGAAAGACTTTGTCACACACACTACACACACACACACACACACACACACACACACACACACACACGAGAAAATGGAACACTGTGGGGGGCCTTTGGATGCGTCCAGAAATGAATGTAGTTCTTCAGATTCTTTTTTTTTTCTTTTGAGACGGAGTCTCGCTCTGTCGCCCAGGCTGGAGTGCAGTGGCACGATCTTGGCTCACTGAAACCTCCACCTCCCGGATTTAAGCAATTCTCTGCCTCAGCCTCCAGAGTAGCTGGGATTACAGGCACGTGCCACCACGCCTGGCTGATTTTTGTATTTTTAGTAGAGGCGGAGTTTCACCGTCTTGGCCAGGCTAGTCTTGAATTCCTGACCCCGTGGTCCACCCGCCTTGGCCTCCCAGAGTGCTGGGATTACATATGTCAGCCACTGTGCCCGGCCTTTTCTCTTTTCTTTTTCTTTTCTTTTCTTTTTTTTTTTTTTTTTGAGGCAAGGTCTCACTCTGTTGCCCAGGCTAAGTGCAGTGGCACAATCATAGCTCACTGTAGCCTCAAACTCCTGGCTTCAAGCAATCCTCCCACCCCATCCTCCTGAGTAGCTGGGACTACAGATGTGCGCCAGCACATCCAGCTAATTACAAATTTTTTTTTGTAGAAACAGGGTCTCACTATGTTGCCCAGGCTGCTCTCGAACTCCTGGCTTCAAGCAGTCCTCCCGCCTTTGCCTCCCCAAAGTGCTGGGATTACAGGCCTGAACCCCCACACCCACCCAGCCAGTACTTCAGATTCTTATCTCTTTGTAAAACCTGGGTCTTCCTAACTCCAAGAAACCTGTCTTCTGCCCGGATTCGAGAAAATTCCAAGGAGGGAGCTGCCTCTCCATCCCTTCCATATGTGCTTCTAGGAAAAAGTTACCAGTCTCACATCACCAGAGGGCTTGAATGAAGAGGCTGCCATCAGCTATTCAAACATTCATCCAATATTAACTGAGCACCTACTCTGGGTGAGGCTTACCAGGGAGCACCTGCCCCACTCCAGACTTTGAATTGCGCCCGTTTCATCACATTCTTTGGTGTCCTGGCAACCAGAGACTCTGATCTGAGCTCCAGCCAGAACAGAGGCCATTCCTCCCTGACTGCTGTGACTCACCACCACCCCAGGCCTCTGAGGACCAGTCCATGTAGCTCTCGGAACCACTGAAAGCTACCCCTTGTCCTTGAGGACACCTGGAACCCCAGCCCCACTGACCCACCCTGGCAGGATGAGCTTCTCACTCACGTTCACCGAGCTGGCCAACATCGCCATCCCACAGTGCGGGGTGCTGAACTTCAAGGCCCTGCACCTCCTGCTGCACGGCATCTTGGAGCACATCCACATGGCCGAGCTCAAGAAAGTCCTCTCAGGCGATGAGGACTTCCTGCAGACCTCGCAGGTGGTCATCATGCCCAGGGAAGGAGACGCCCAGCCTATCCTCAACCCCATGAAGAGGCTCAGCAATGTCTTCGACCACGTGGTGAGCCGCCTCGACAAGTTGGAGAACCAGCTGGCCCTGCTGCAGGACCTGCCCTCCACTGCCCAGCTGCTGGAAGCCAGCCAGGGCACTGCCCGGCCCGTCCAGGACCTGTGGCATCTGATCAAGCTCCGGAAGATGGTGGAGGGTCATGATGAAGTCATGGCCAAGGTACGCCCCCAGCCTCCAGACACTTCTTTTCCTCCCTTCACCACTGGCTCTCTCCTGGGACGTCTTTTTTTTGTTTTTGAGACTCCGTCTCGCTCTGTCACCCAGGCTGGAGTGCAGTGGTGTGATCTTGGCTCACTGCAACCTCCGCCTCCCGGGTTCAAGTGATTCTCCTGCCTCAGCCTCCCTAGTAGCTAGGATTTCAGGCACATGCCACCACACCCGGCTAATTTTTGTATTTTTAGTAGAGATGGGGTTTCACTATGTTGGCCAGGCTGGTCTCAAACCCCTGATCTCAACTGATCCACCTGCCTCGGCTTCCTAAAGTGCTGGGATGACAAGCGTGAGCCACTGCGCCCAGCCTTCTCCTGGGACATCTTGTTGCTTACTCACCTACGATGGGCCATCTCCTTATGCAGAGTGGGAAGAAGGGTGCTTTAGAGTCAGGCACAACCAAAACGCCAAGCTTGCAGCCTCCATCAAGTATTGCAAAGAAGCCAGACACAAAAGGCTACCCAGTGTATGATTCCATTTATACGAAATGTCCAGAATAGGTAAATCCATGGAGACAGAAAGCAGTGGTTGCCAGGGGCTTGGAGGAGGAGAGAATGGGGAGTAATTGCTTTGTGGATATAGGGTTTCCTTTTGGGGTGATGAAAATGTTTTGGAACTAGATGGAGGTGGTAGTTATACAACCTCACTGATGTACTAAATGACACTGAATTGTTCACTTAAAAATGGCTAATTGTACATTATGTGAATTTCACCCCAATTTTTTTTTGAGACAGGGTGTCACTCTGTCATCCAGGCTGGAGTGCAGTGACTCAGTCATGGCTCACTGTAGCCTCGACCTCCCAGACTCAAGCAATCCTCCCACCTCAACCTCCCGAGTAACTGGGACCACAGGTGTGCACCACTGCACCTGGCTAATTTTTGTATTGTTTGTAGAGATAGGGTCTCCTTATGTTGCCCAGGCTGGACTCAAACTCCTAGGCTCAAGTGATCCTCCTGCTTTGGCCTCCCAAAGTGCTGGGATTAGAAGCGTGAGCTACTGTGCTCAGCCTTACCCCAATTTCTAAAAAATGCCTGGAGGAGCTACCATGGGAGAAGTACCAGAGTAGTCACGGTGAACAGGCACGCCCGGCCTAGCAGGGGAGATAGACACAAGTGAGTGAGAATCTCCAAGAACCAGCCCTGTGAGGAGCAGCAAAGAGGCATTCCTTCTGCCTTACAGAAGAGGAAACTGACGCTCAGAGGAGCTCAGTGATTGGCTGAAGGCCCAGCAGCTGGTGGGCAAGGGAGCTGCGCGCTGAGGCGTGGCCTCTGACCCTGGCTCACCTTTGACTGCTGACCCCTGCTAACCCCGACCAGCACGTGGACAGTGTTCAGTTACTGGCAGCCCAAGAAGAAATAAGAAAGGGAAAATAAGCCGAGCACAGTGGCTCACACCTATAATCCCAACACTGGGAGGCCAAGGCGGGATGATCACTTGAGCCCAGGAGTTCAAGACCAGCCTTGGCAGCGTAGTGAGACCTCATCTCTATAAAAAAATGAATAAATTAGCCGGGTGTGGTGGCGTCCACCTGTAGTCTTACCTCAGGAGGCTGAGGTGGGAGAATCACTTAACCCCAGGAGTTGGAAGCTGCAGTGAGTTGTAGTCACTCTCCTGAACTCCAGCCTGGGGGACAGAGCAAGCCCCTGTGTCTAAAAATAGTAATAATAATTTGGCCAGGCACAGTGGCGCACACCTGTAATCCCAGCATTTCGGGAGGCCAAGGTGGGTGGATCACCTGAGGTGAGGAGTTCGAGACAATCCTGGCCAACATGGTGAAACCCTGTCTCTACTAAAAATACAAAAATTAGCTGGGCATGCTTGCGTGCGCCTGTAGTCCCAGCTACTCGGGAGGCTGAGGCAGGAGAATCGCTTGAACCCAGGAGGCGGAACTTGCAGTGAGCCGAGATCGCACCACTGCATTCCAGCCTGGTGACAGAGCGAGACTCTGTCTCAAAAAAAAAAAAAAAAAAAAAATTAGCCAGGTGTGGTAGCAGGCACCTGTAATCCCAGCTACTCGGGAGGCTGAGGCAGGAGAATCACTTGAGCCTGGAAGGCAGGTGTTGCAGTGAGTTGAGATCGCACCACTGCCCTTCAGCCTGGGTGACGGAGAAAGTCTTGTCTCCAAAAAGGAGACCATCCAGCGATGACTGCCTTCCTATCCCTGGAGGCAGCATGTCCTAGTCCTCTCTGAGCCAGAACTGTGCCCGTTGGTGTGTCCAGCTGGATCTCCCTGGGAGTCAGGGCCATTTTCAGAGCGTTCCCAAGTTACCACTCTTCTCTTTCAAATTGAGGGGAAACTGGCTGGATGTGGTGGCTCACACCTGTAATCCCAGCACTTTGGGAGGCCGAGGCAGGTGGGTCACTTGAGGTCAGGAGTTCGTGACCAGCCTGGCCAACATCATGAAAACCCGTCTCTACTAAAAATAAAAATAAAAAAAAATTAGCCAGGCATGGTGGCGCATGCCTGGAATCCCAGCTACTCAGGAGGCTGAGGCACGAGAATCGCTTGAACCCTGGAGGTGGAGGTTCTAGTGGGCGGAGATTGCGCCACTGCACTCCAGCCTGGGCAACAGAGCAAGACTCCATCTCAAAAAAAAAAAATTAAAAATAAATAAATAAATTGAGGGGAAATTGACCTAACATAAAATCAACCATTTAAAAGTGGACATTAAACACTGAATTAATGAAAATTCGGTGGCACACGATATATTGACATTGTTGTGCAGCCAGCCACCTCTATCTAGTTCTAAGCCATTTCCATCACCCTGAAAGGAAAAAACCCTATTTCCCCTTTACTTCTCCTCCCTGCAACCCCTGACAACCACTAATCTGCTTTCTGTCTTACGGATTTGCCTATTCTGGACATTTCATCTAAAGGCATAATCTGTGTATTTCATAGAGACAGAAAGTAGATTAGTGGTTTCCAGAGGCTCAGGAAGGGGGGAACAGAGAGAGACTGTAACAGGGACGGGATTTCCTTTTAGGAGAATGAAGTGTCTTGGAAGTAGATAGTGGTGTACATACCAAATGCCCTCAAATTGCACACTTCATTTTTATTTTATTTTTATTTTTTTGAGACAGAGTCTCACTCTGTCATCCAGGCTGGAGTGGACTGGTGCAATCTCTGCTCACTGCAACCTCTGCCTCCAAGGTTCAAGTGACTCTCGTGCTTCAGCCTCCTGAGTAGCTGGAAATACAGGTGCGCGCCACCATGCCTGGCTAATTTTTCTTTGCATTTTTATATATATGTTTGTTTTTGAGATGGAGTCTCACTCTGTTGCCCAGGCTGGAGTGCAGTGGTGTGGTCTCAGCTCACTGCAACCTCTGCCTCCCAGGTTCAAGCAGTTCTTCTGCCTCAGCCTCCCAAGTAGCTGGGACTGTAGGTGCCCGCCACCACACCCAGCTAATTTTTGTATTTTTAGTAGAGACGCGGTTTCACCATGTTGGCCAGGATGATCTTGATCTCCTGACCTCGTGATCCACCCGCCTTGGCCTCCCAAAGTGCTGAGATTACAGGCATGAGCCACTAAGCCCGGCCAATACTAAAATATTTTTATACTTTAATATTATGGGTATTTTACCACAAAAAAAAGCAGAGATTGGCAGAATAGATAAAAAACAAACAAACACACAAAAAAAAAACATGACCTAACTACTATATGAGGTTTGCAAGAGACACATTTAAGATTCAAAGACACAAATAGGGCCAGGCACAGTGGCATGCACCTGTAATCTCAGCTCTTTGGGAGGCTGAGGCAAGAGGATCACTTGAGCCCAGGAGTTGGTGATTGCAGTGAGCTCTGATGGCCCCACTGCACTCCAGCCTGGGTGACAGAGTGAGATCCTGTCTCTACGAAAAAAAGACAAGACACAAATACGTTAAAAGTAAAATGATATAAAAAGATATTCCAGCGGGGCACAGTGGCTCACCCCTATAATCCCAACACTTTGGGAGGCTGAGGTGGGTGGATCACCTGAGGTCAGGAATTCAAGACCAGCCTGACCAACATGGAGAAACCCGTCTCTACTAAAAATACAAAATTAGTCGGATGTGATGGCACATGCCTGTAATCCCAGCTACTTGGGAGGCTGAGAACGGCTTGAACCTGGGAGGTGGAGGTTGTGGTGAGCCGAGATTGCGCCATTGCACTCCAGCCTGGGCAACAAGAGCTGAAACTCCGTCAAAAAAAAAAAATTAGCCTGGCGTGGTGGCGGGAGCCTGTTAATCCCAGCTACTGGGGAGGCTGAGGCAGGAGAGTCACTTGAACCCAGGAGGCAGAATTTGCAGTGAGCCAAGATCGCGCCACCACACTCCAGCCTGGGTGACAAAAGCGAAACTCCATCTCAAAAAAATTAAAAAATAACAAAAGATATTCCTTGCAAGCAGTGACCAGAGGAGAGTGGGATCTTCTCAGACAAGATAGACTTCAAGACAAAAATTGTTACTAGAGACAGGGCTGCCTGGGGTGGCTGAGGGCAAGTTATGAGGGCCTTGCAGGCAGGATGGGCAGATACCAGGATCCAAGGTGCCGGCACTCCAGAGGCAGCTTGCCCCCTGGCCTGCCTTGATGGATGAAGGCTTCTAAAAAGCAGCTCAACAGGGCAACCCACCCAGCTCACAAAAGGGGCTCGTGGACAGGTTCAGACCTAGCTGTACAGCCTTCAGGACTGTTTGTGCAGCTAAGGAATGTCCCCATCATTAGAGAATCTTGCCTTGTCCCAGCCTGATTGAAGTTGCCCGAGGTTCCCACAATGACCCATTGAAGGGGGTTGCCATGGCAGCTGGTTCTAGAATGATGCAAACTGCACAGCTAACTGTCTGCACCCACCAACTAGTGAGGCTGCCGGGGGGTCGCCTGGCAAACAAACGTGTTTTACAATGTTCCTTTCGCGAGTCCCAGTCTGCCTCCTTCAGGCCTCGGTTTTTCTCCCCTGTAATAATAACCTCTTGCAGCTGGCCTCACAGGCGAAAACAAGGGATGATGTCAGCTGTTTGTTGTTGAAACTGTTTCGTCTAACCCTGTTTCCATAACATTGTGGGTCCAAGGCTTAGGGTATTTTTTTAAATTGTAGAAAACCTTTAACTTATTGGTCTTTTTGAGGGAATGAGATGCATCGCCACTGCATTACAACTAAGCCATTAATCCTGTAGCTTCATCAACATTAACTGGTTCACTTTCATGATGCCAATGGGGAATCAGTTCTTTCTACAGATGTTCAAGAGAAAAGATTGCCAGGTGTGGTGGCTCATGCCTGTAATCCCCGCACTTTGAGAGGCTGAGGTGGGAGGATCGCTTGAGCCCAGGAGTTCAAGACCAGCCTGAGCAACATGGCGAGACTCCCTTTCTACCAAAAAATTTTGAAATTGGCTGGGCATGGTGGTGCACCTGTAGTCCCAGGTACTCAGGAGGCTGAGGCAGGATTGCTTGAGCCTGGGAGGTCGAGGCTGCAGTGAGCTATTATTAATATTACAGCCTGGACAATGGAGCAAGACTGTGTCAAAAAAAAAAAAAAGAGAAAAGCCTTTTGAGAAGAGTGCAAGTTCTTTTATATATTTACAAAACCTTTATTCACTCAATTTTTTTGTTTGTCTTTATTTTTTAAGATTGTATTACTTGATTTTATTTTACACTAGGTGGTGGGCACACAAAGCAATCCTTAATAAAGTTGACAATTAGCTTCATTCAACATTTTTAATAATGCACATATAAAAAAAGTATTCATCTTACAAATTCTTCTGCAATCCAAACATATAATAGCTTGGAGAACATTTAGAAAACAAAAGCCAATGTAAAAAGACAGATTAAAACAACTAGAACAGTACAGGTTTTATTTATATGGCTCGAATTTTACAGGTTTCTTACTGTATCATCAGTGTCAGAAATCTGTTCTGTCAGCTGGCTCCATTGTTCTGGATTTAAAGAAATACCTTTTCTTCCTGGTTTCATTTCACCTTCAGGATCCATCCAATATTCTCCAATATCAATTAGCACTTTGCCTTTAAAATCTTGAACGCCAACGTACCTCATTTTCCCAATCTGAAACATGTTACCATCTCTGCTGCTGCTCCTCTGTCAGAAGATGACAGAGCTCTCCAAGTTTCGCCTGTCTTTTGCTTCTTTACAGGTTTTTCTGGAGCAACTTGCTTTTTCCTCTTTAAGTTTTTGTCAACCTCACTGTCAGAATCACTGCCAGAAGAGTTTGAAGAAACAAGTTCCTTTGCTTTAGGCATCGCTTCGCTCGGCTCTAGCAGTGGAACACCCTCTTGCTCGTTCGCTCATGACTGACTCGTTTGTTTTTATTTTTAAGGCAGGGTCTCACTCTGTCGCCCAGGCTGGGGTGCAGTGGCTCGATCTCAGCTCACTGCAGCCTCAACCTCCCGGGCTCAACCCTGGAGGCAATCCTCCCACCTCAACCTCCTGAGTAGGTAGGACTACAGGCCTGTGCCACCACACTGGCTAATTTGTATTTTTTGTAGAGACAGGGTGTTGCCATGTTCCCCAGGCTGGTCTCGAACTCTTGAGCTCAAGTAATCCTCCCACTTCAGCCCAAAGTGCTGGGATTACAGGCTTGAGCCACTGCGCCCACCCTCTGTTAACCTTTTTTTTGTTTGTTTGTTTGTTTTGAGACGGAGTCTCGCTCTGTTGCCCAGGCTGGTGGGCAGCAGCATGATCTTGGCTTACTGCAGCCTCTGCCTCCTGGGTTCAAGCGATTCTCCTGCTTCAGCTTCCTGAGTAACTGGGATTACAAGCGTGCACCACCATGCCCAGCTAATTTTCGTATTTTTAGTAGAGACGGGGTTTCACCATGTTGGCCAGGCTGGTCTTGAACTCCCGAGCTCAGGTGATCCACCCGCCTGGGCCTCCCAATGTGCTGGGATTACAGGCATGAGCCACTGTGCCCGGCCTCTGTTGACTTTTAAATCATAACATTTGTCTTAAGACTAGTGGTAACTGCCAGGTGTGGTGGCTCCCACCTGTAATCCCAGCACTTTCGGAGGCCGAAGTGGGCGGATCACCTGAGCTCAGGAGTTCAAGACCAGCCTGGCCAACATGGTGAAATCCCGTCTCTACTAAAAATACAAAAATTAGCTGCTAGTCGGGAGGCTGAGACAAGAGAATTGCTTGAACCTGGGAGGCAGAGGTTGCAGTGAGCCGAGATTGCGCCACTGCACTCCAGCCTGGGAGACAAAATGAAACTCCATCTTAAAAAAAAGAAGAAGAAAAGATTAGTGGTAACTGGTTTTGCTTTGTTTTTAGCCTTAAAGTGTTTTTGGCTGGCTTTGTGAAGTCCATTCGTGGACTTCTGCCCTCCTAATTTGTTCTTGGCCATTGTCAGACTTGGTTGGATATGTGCACGCAGCTTCTGCAGCTCAGGTGATGCCATCTGCATGCACTGGGTCCAGGAAGTCCCCGGGAGAGGGATCCAGTCTAAGGGGATGCTAACAACCTATTGTTGCTTTCTTTATTTCTAAACACCCTCCCCATTTTACTCCCTCAGAAACTACAAAGCACCTGCTGTATATTGTACAGGTTAAAATGATGTCACATTTAAATTGGATTTTTAAGGCTGGGCGTGGTGGTTTACGCCTATGATCCCAGCACTTTGGGAGGCTGAGGCAGAAGGATCACCTGAGCTCAGGAGTTCCAGGCCAGCCTGGCCGATGTGGCAAAACCTTGTCTTTACTAAAAATACAAAAATTAGCTGGGCATGGTGGTGCGTGCCTGTAGTCCCAGCCACTCGAGAGGCTGAGGCACGAGAATCGCTTGAACCCGAGAGGTGGAGATTTCAGTGAACCGAGATCGCGCCGCTGCACTCCAGCCTGAGCGACAGAGCAAAACTCCATCTCAAAAACAATAAATAAAATACAAATAAAAATTGGGTTTTTAACTATTTTGTAACATTGCTTAAAGGTGTGGAAGACACTTTGGGGTGTTAGAGGACCAAGGTTGCCATGATTGCAGTAATGGTAACGAACACTCAGATGTCATTGGTGTCACCTTCACAGTGTCGTGAAGTGCTCTTACATTCCTCGTTTCCGTGGAGGGAAATGTTAGCATTCCTGTTTTCCAAAGTCCCACATGTGACCGTGTGGACAAGTCTAGCTGCTTGTCTGAGGGGGTGTTTGCCTTAGCCCCTTTTTCAGGCCTCTTAAGGCCTTTGTAAGTACTGGGCCCTAGCTGAACCCCAGCATCCTTAAAGCCCTCTTGAGAGAGAGAGAGAGCAGGTTTGGACAAGCCCTGCCTCGAGGACTATGGCATGGGTCAGCTTCTGGAAGGGCAACTGTCGGGGACGCACTTTCCCTTGAACTCAGCACCATCCAAGCCCTGAATGTGGCCCAGTCACCCTGGGCAGAAAAAAGACCTCAGCCACTTTCCCCACAGCTCTCTCTCCTGCCCCTTCTTCCCCAGGACAGGAGTCCAGAGCATGTCCCCTACATGTGAGACAGCAGGTGGGTCTTGGGTGAGAAACCTCTCACTGCATATCACACAGAGGGGGAGGTTGTAGTAAGCTGAGATGGCACCACTGCAATCTCCACGCAAGATGCAGGGAGTCTGGCTCTGGCGCCCAGGCTGGAGTGCAGTGGCACAGTCTCAGCTCACTGCAACCTCCACCTCCTGGGTTCAAGTGATTCTTGTGCCTCAGCCTCCCGAGTAGCTGGGATTACAGCTGCCCACCACCACACCCGGCTAATTTTTGTATTTTTCGTAGAGACGGGGTTTTACCATGTTGGCCAGGCTGATCTCGAACTCCTGACCTCAGGTGATCTGCCCACTTTGTCCTCCCGAGGTGCTGGGATTACAGACATCAGCCACCACACCCAGCCTCGTTTCTACCTTTTGACTGTTATGAATATGCTGCTATAAGCATTCATGTACAAACTTCTGTTTTGTTTTTAGGGACAAGGTCTTGCTCTGTTGCCCTGGCTGAAGTTCAGTGGTGCCACCATAGCTCACTGCAGCCTCAAACTCCTGGTCTCAAGCGATCCTCCCATCTCTGCCTCCCAAGTTTCTGGGACTACAGGCGCTTGCCACCATGCCTGGCTAATTTTTAAGTTTTATGTAGAGATGTGGTCTTGCTGTGTTAACAGCCCACGCTGGTCTTGAACTCCTGACCTCAAGCACTCTTCCACCTTGGCCTCCGAAAGCAGTCGGATTACAGACGTGAGCTACCATGCCTGGCCCATGTGTGCAAGTTTTTATATGGACCTATGTTTTCATTTCTTTTGGGAATATACCTAGGATTAGAATCAGAGATCATCTGGTATCTCTATAATCTTGTGAGGAACTGCCACACTGACTTCTAAAATGGCTGCACAATTTACATTCCCAGCAGCAGTGTATGAGAATTACGATTTCTCCTTATGGTTAACAGCACTTAGTATCTGACTTTCGCTTCTGACCATCCTACAGAGTTTGAAGTGGTATCTCATTGTAGTTTTGATTTTCATTTCCCTGATGACGAATGATGTTGAGCATCTTTTCTTTTTATGTGCTTATTGGCCATTTACACATCATCTTTGGAGAAATGTCTATTCAGATCTTTGCCCATTTTTAATTGGGTTATTTGTATCATTGAGTTGTAAGAGTTCTGTATATATTCTGCATATACTGGGTCAGATATATGATTTGCAAAATGAGGTTTTCTCCCATTTTGTGGGTTGTATTTTCATTTTCTTGCTGGTGTCTTTTGAAGCACAAAAGGTACTTTTTATTATGACTTTAATCTCTTCACTTGTTTTAGGTTTACTCGGATTGTCTATTTCTGCTTGAGTCAGTTTTAATGATTTTCTAGGAATTTGTCCATTTCACCTAAATTATATAATTTGTCCACAGGCAATTATTCATAGTATTTCTTTATAATCCTTTTTATTTCTGTAGAGTTGATAGAATGCCCTCTCTTTCATTTCTGATTCTAATAATTTGAGTCTGATTCTTGGCCAATCTAGCTAAAAGTTTGTCAATTTTGTTGACCTTTTCAATTAACCAGTGTTTAGTTTCATTGATTTTTCTGTACTATTTTTTTATCCTCTATTTCATTAATTTCACCATATTCTTTGTTATTTTCTTATTTCTATTTGTTTTAGGTTCAGTTTGCTTTTCTTTGTTCCAGTGTCTTAAGGTGGAAGGTTAAGTTATTGATTCAAGATCTTTCTTTGTTAATATAGTCACTTACAACAATAAGTGTTCTAAGTGTCTAATCACCACTTTAGCTGCATCCCGTAAGTTCTGGTGTGTTGTGCTTTCATTTTAACTCATTTCAAATTAGTTTCTAATTTCTATTTCTATTGTGATTTCTTCTTTGACATATTTCTTTTCTTTTTTTTTTTTTTTTTTTTTGAGATGGAGTCTCGCTCTGTCACCCAGGCTGGAGTGCAATGGCGCGATCTTGGCTCACTGCAAGCTCAGACTCCTGGGTTCACGCCATTCTCCTGCCTCAGCCTCCCAAGTAGCTGGGACTACACGTGCCCGCCACCACGCCCGGCTAATTTTTTTTTGTATGTTTAGTAGAGACGGGGTTTCACCGTGTTAGCCAGGATGGTTTTGATCTGACCTCATCATCCGCCCACCTCGGCCTCCCAAAGTGCTGGGATTACAGGTGTGAGCCACCGCGCCCGGCCTTCTTTGACATATTCCTTTTGTGATTTCTTCTTTGACATATTTGTCATTTAGTAGAATGTTTTTTAAATTTTTACATGTTTGTGAATTTTCAATAGTTTCTTCTGTTGCCTTTTTTTTTTTTTTTTTTTTTTTTTGAGATGAAGTCTTCCTCTGTCACCAGGATGGAGTGCAATGGCATGACCTTGGCTCACTACAACCTCTGCTCCTGGGTTCAAGCAGTTCTCCTGCCTCAGCCTCCCGAGTAGCTGGGACTACAGGCACGCACCACCACACCCAGCTAATTTTTGTATTTTTAGTAGAGATGGGGTTTCACCATGTTGGCCAGGATGGTCTCGATCTCCTGACTTCATGATCTGCCTGCTGTAGCCTCTCAAAGTGCTGGGATTACAGATGTGAGCCACCACGTCCGGCCTGTTTTTGTTTTTTGTTTGTTTGTTTGTTTTAAGCCCTGTCTATGGGAGCCATTGGCAATCCAAGAACTTTTTTATTTTATTTTTGAATTATAGAGACGGGAGCTCACTATGTTGCCCAGGCTGGTCTGGAACTCCTGAGCTCAAATGATACTCCTGCCTCAAGCTCCCAAAGTGCTGAATTACAGGCATGAGCCACCATACCTGGCCTCTTCTGTTGCTTTCTAATTTAATTCCATTGTGGTCAGAGTATGTATTTTGCATAATTTCAGTCCTTTTGAAATTTGTTAAGGCTTGTTTTATGGCTTTACCATATGGTCTACCCTGGAGAGTATTCTATGTGCATTTGAGAATAATATGTATTCTACCATTGTTGAGTGGGGTATTCCGTAGATATCTGTTATGTCTAGTTGGTTTATACTATTGTTCAAATCTTCTCTTTTCTTGCTGGCCTTTTGTTTTGTTAATTTTATTTATTTTATAGTGACAGGGTCTCCCTTGGTTGCCCAGGCTGCTCTGGAACCCCTGGGCTCAAGCCATCCTTCCACTGCAGCTACCCAAAATGCTGGGATTACAGGTGTAAGCCACTGAACCCAGCCTCTTGCTCTTCTTTTTTTCTTTTTCTTTTCTTTTTAATTTTTTTTTTTTTTTTTGAGACAGAGTCTCACTCTGTCACCCAAGCTGGAGGGCAGTAGTGCAATCACAGCTCACTTCAGCCTCAACCTCCTGGGCTAGGAAGATCCTCCCATCTCATCCTCCCAGGGACCTGGGACTACAGGCATGCACCACCACGCCTGTCTAATTTTGGTATTTTTTTGTAGAGATGGGAGACCGCTATGTTGCCCAGGCTGGTTTCGAACTCCTGGGCTCAAGTGATCCACCTGCTTCAGCCCCCCAAAATGCTGGGATTACAGATGTGAGCCACTGCACCCAGGATACTGTTCTTTTTATCTCGGGTTTTGTTTTTTCGAGATGGAGTCTTACTCCATCTTGTGTGACTTACTCAGATGGAGTCACACAGGCTGGAGAGCAGTGGCATAATCTTGGCTTGCTGCAACCTCTGCCTCCGGGGTTCAAGTGATCCTCTCACCTCTGCCTCCCAAGTAGCTGGGATTACAGGCAAACACTACCACGCCTGGCTAATTTTTATATTTTTGGTAGAGATGGGGTTTCACCATGTTGGCCAGGCTGGTCTCAAACTCCTGAACTTCAGATCCACTGGCCTCAGCCTCCCAAAGTGCTGGGATTACAGGTGTGAGCCACCATGCTGGACCTTCCTTATCTTAGTTATTCTATTCATTACTGAAAATAGGAAATTGAAGTCTCAAACTATTCTTGTTAATTAACTATTTCTCCTTTTGTAACTGAGTACCCCCATTTTTCTAAAAGATAGTTTATTTTAAAAATTATTTTCTCTTCCTTTCTCCTTCCCCACTGCTCCCCACTTCCTACTTAGCCCTTTAGAAATGCAAAGAGAGGCCTGGTGAGTTGGCTCATGCCTGTAATCCCAGCACTCTGGGAGGCCGAGGTGGGTGGATCACTTGAGGTCAGGAGTTTGAGATCAGCCTGGCCAACATGGTGAAACCCCATTAGCAGGGCGTGGTGGTGTGCCCCTGTAGTCTCAGCTACTTGGGAGGCTGAGGTGGGAGAATCACTTGAACCCGGGAGGTGAAGGTTGCCTAGGTGACAGAGTGAGACTCTGTCTCAAAAAAAAAAAAAAAGAAGGCAAAGATAGTCTTTGACCCCTCCTTCACCAGTCACTCCCTACAGGGCAAGTTCATGTAACTCCTGGAGAGTTAAGAAACAGACTTAGAGACCAAAGCACGCCCCTTATAGGACTTTCACCTGGGAACTTCCACTCTCCAGGGATTGCCTGAGAGCTCAGTCTCACCAGGAGGACATGTTGAAAGCGTGCCCATGGCCACTTTTACAACTTACTTCTTCCCAGGAAGGTGCCAACTCAGCTGCCCAGTAGATAAGACATCACGCTCAAAAGGAGACCCCTGCCCTTGCTGGCTGTATCCCCTACGTCTTAAAAGTGCCCACTTTTTCTCCAGAAGTGAAGCGGCACGTTTAAAGCCAGGGCGCTTTGTGCCCCTTCCCCAAGCTAGAACTTTTTTATTTTATTTTTGAATTACGGAGACGGGATCTCACTATGTTGCCCAGGCTGGTCTGGAACTCCTGAGCTCAAATGATACTCCTGCCTCAAGCTCCCAAAGTGCTGATAATTCGGAATAAATTCACTTTCTTTTTGGTACCAGACCTTGCTCATGGTAACTGAACCCTGCAATGCAGCGAGCAACCAACGTGCTTTTCAGTTACACTTTCAGTTCTGTCAGTGTTTCCTTCATGTATTTTATAAAGGGCTCTGTTAAGTGCATGTATGTTTATAATTATTATATCTTCCAGATAGTTTGGCCCTCTGAGTGGAAAAAAACTCAGTTTCTTTCACACTGTTCTCACAACACGCTTTTTTTTTTTTTTTTTTTTAGATAGAGACTCACTTCGTTGTCCAGTCTGGAGTGCAGTGGTGCGATCTTGGCTCACTGCAGCCTCTGCCTCCCAGGTTCAAGTGATTCTCCTGCCCCATCCTCCTGAGTAGCTGGGATTACAGGCACGCAACATCAGGAACTGCTAAGTTTTTTTGTATTTTTAGTAGAAACAGGGTTTCACCGTGTTGGCCAGACTGTTATCGAACTCCTGGCCTCATGTTCTGCCTGACTTGGTCTCCCAAAGTGCTGGGATTATAGGCATGAGCCACCGCGCCAAGCTCGCAACACACTTCTGACACCAGATGTGTGAGGATTTCTCCCTACAGCAAGCAATAATTTCTGCAGGCAGCCTGCTTCCCCTTTTGCCCTCCAGAGCCAGGCTCCACAGGAGCCCGAGAGATCCTTTAAAATGTAAATACAGACCGGGTGCTGTGGCACTTTGGGAGGATGACGCGGGCAGATTGCTTGAGCTCAGGAATTCGAGACCAGCCTGAGCAACGTGGTGAAACCCCATCTCTACCAAACAAAAACAAAAACAAAAACAAAAAAAATTAGCTGGGCGTGGTGATGCACACCTGCGGTCTCAGCTACTTGGGAGGTTGAGGCAGGAGAATCACTTGAGCCCAGGAGGTGGAGGTTACAGTGAGTTGAGATCGCGCCACTGCACTCCAGCCTGAGCCACAGAGTGAGACTCCATCTTAGAAACAAAAAGTAAATGCAACCCTGTCTCTCCTGCTCCTGATCCTCCAGTGGCTCCTACCCAGGGATGGGCTGTGCTTCCTCCCTGGCTGACATCTATCATAGAAGAAAGGGCGTGAGATGCTTCATGACGAGTAACTCCTGGTTTCTGGATATATTCAAATACAGAGTTGCCTCCTTCTCATCCAGGCCACTTGGAGATGAGAGCACTGTTGACTTTAGTAGCATCTCCTGGTCCCCTTGTAGGTTCCAGTCTAGGCCTTGGGAGAGCCAAGAGGACCTCTTGAACAACGGCTATCATCAGAAAGCTTCTGCACTTCACTTACCTTCTCCCCCAGCCATACCCGGCTTCACATTTTCTCCTCCTCTTTTGCAGTCAATGCAGACCCTGCAGGACTTGCTCACTGATCTTCATGCACTCCAGGTCACCATCACAGCCCTCAGAAAAGAAGTGGACATGCTGAAGAACATGCTTGACAAGGTAGGCCCTCCCCCAGCATCCTCCATGCCAGCTGCGTTGCTCAGGCCTCTGGGGGTTGGAGCAATGAGGAAAATCTAGGAAGCTTACTGTTAGGCCAAGAGTGCAGCTGTGAGGGTGTGGTCATGTGGACCCTCCAATTGGCCAGTGCCACCGACTTCTCTGTGACCCCTCCATGCTTTCTTTTCTTTTCTTTTTTTTTTTTAAGACAGAGTCTCACTCTGTTGCCCAGGATGGAGTGCAATGGCATGATCTTGGCTCACGGCAACCTCTGCCTCCCGGGTTCAAGTGATTCTCCTGCCTGAGCTTCCCGAGTAGCTGGGATTACAGGCACGCACCACCACATCTGGGTAATTTTTGTATTTTTAGTAGAGACAGGGGTTCATCTTGTTGGCCAGGCTGGTCTCGAACTTCTGACCTCGTGATCCACCCACCTCAGCCTCCCAAAGTGCTGGGATTACAGGTGTAAGCCACCATACCTGGCCGACCCCTCCATGCTTTCTACCCCAGTGTGTTAAAACGTTAGTTGTAAGTGACAGAAATCACGTTCATCCTGGATTAGGCAAAATAAGGGATTTATTGTCTCATTTACTAAAAGGTCCAGGGACGGCCAGATCTAGGTACTCATGCAATACTTATATTTCTTTTTTTTTTTGAGATGGAGTCTCGCTCTGTTGCCCAGGCTGGAGTGTAGTGGCTCGATCTTGACTCACTGCAACCTCCACCTCCCGGGTTCACGCCATTCTCCTGTCTCAGCCTCCCGAGTAGCTGGGACTACAGGCGCCCGCCCCCATGCCCGGCTAATTTTTTTTGTATTTTTAGTAGAGATGGGGTTTCACCATGTTAGCCAGGATGGTCTCAATCTCCTGACCTCTTGATCCGCCCGCCTCAGCCTCCCAAAGTGCCAGGATTACAGGCGTGAGCCACCACATCCGGCAATACTGACGTTTCTCAGTGAAACTTTCCTCCCAGTTGGCTTCATTCTCAGGCAGGTGCTCCTCAAGTCTTGGCAACAGCAGACTTATATTCCACCAACCTAGCAAAAAGAAAACCTCTTCCCCTTCTGGAAAGCTCTGTCCACATGGAAAGTGGAATAATCATAATAGTGCAGGCATACATACAAGCTCCTTCTGTACTTCTGTAGCCAAAAACCATCAGCCAAGTATTTTCTAACACCCTACCATGCATGGAAGGACATGGAGTCCCCGAGACATGAGGCAGCTGTCCCCGTCACAACTGATGAGTCACAGCTGGGGTCTGAAGCCAGCTCTCCACACCCCCAGGTTTAACAACTTCCCCCAAATAGTGTAATTTTCTGTATCATCCCGGCTTCACAGATCAGGGCCTGTATTTGATCATCATGGCAACTGTGGGAGCTTTAGGCATGGGCTGGATGGCTCCCATCTAAGCAGAAAGAACGCTGTTAAAAGCTGCATCATGAGCTACTCAAAAGGGCCCCTTAGACAAAGCTGTTGGAGAAACCATGCCTTCTCGGCGGGGCCTGGTGTCTCACGCCTGTAATCCCAGCACTTTGGGAAGCCAAAGCAGGCGGATCACCTGAGGTCAGGAGTTCGAGACCAGCCTGGCCAACATGGTAAAACCCCCGTCTCCACTAAAAATACAAAAATTAGCTGGGTGTGGTTGCAGGCACCCGTAACCCCAGCTACTCAGGAGGCTGAGGCACGAGAATCACTTGAACCCAGGAGGTGGAGATTGTAGTGAGCCAAGATTGCGCCACTGCACTCCAGCCTGGGTGACAGAGCAAGACTCCGTCTCAAAAAAAAAAAAAAAAAAAAGGTGGGGTCGGTGGGGCGGCATGGTGGTTCACGCCTGTAATCTCAGCATTTTGGGAGGCTGAGGTGGGCAGATCACAAGGTCAGGAGATCGAGACCATCCTCGCTAACACGGTGAAACCCCATCTCTACTAAAAATACAAAAAATTAGCTGGATGTGGTGGCAGGTACCTGTAGTCCCAGTTACTCAGGAGGCTGAGGCAGGAGAATGGTGTGAACCTGGGAAGTGGAGCTTGCAGTGAGCCGAGATCACACCACTGCACTCCAGCCTGGGCAACAGAGTGAGACTCTGTCTCAAAAAAAAAAAAAAAAGAAAAAAGAAAAGAAAAACAATGCCTTATTGGCCTGTCTCTTGGAGGTGTTTTTGTTGTTGTTGTTTTGTTTTGTATTCTTTTTGAGACGGAGTCTCTCTCTGTCACCCAGGCTGGAGTGCAGTGGCACGATCTCAGCTCACTGCAACCTCTGCCTCCCGGGTTCAAGTGATTTTCCTGCCTCAGCCTCCTGAGTAGCTGGGATTACAGGTGCAAGCCACCACGCCTAGCTAATTTTTGTGTTTTTAGTGGAGGTGGGGGCTTCACCACATTGGTCAGGCTGGTCCCGAACTCCTGAACTCATGATCCACCCGCCTCAGCATCCCAAAGTGCTGGGATTACAGGCATGAGCCACTGTGCCCGGCCCTCTTGGAGATTCTTAATGTGCTTTTGCTCATTCAAGGCTCTGGGAAGTCCTGCCGTACAGAAACCTGTTGAAATGTTTTTTATTTATTTATTTATTTACTTATTTTTGAGACAAAGTCTCACTCTGTTGCCCAGGCTGGAGTGCAGTGGCGCCATCTCAGCTCACTGCAACCTCTGCCTCCTGGATTCAAGTGATTCTCCTGCCTCAGCTTCCTGATAGCTGGGATTACAGGCGCATGCCATCAGGCCCAGCTAATTTTTGTATTTTTAGTAGAGACGGTGTTTCACCATGTTGGCCAGGCTGCTGTCGAACTCCTGACCTCAAGTTATCCACCCACCTTGACCTCTCAAAGTGCTGGGGTTACAGGCATGAGACACTGTGCCCGGCCTGACATGCTTTCAAGCCCAGCATTTCCCAAACTTGTTTGCCCATGGAACCCTTTCCCACTCCTTGGGAAACACTGGATTTGGAACCCGTTCTTCCTTCTCAAGCTCTTAGTCACCTAGAGCCACGGGAAAAGGCAGGGGTGGGACAGAACCTGGACCCCCAGTCCACAGACTCAGTTCCTTTGACAGGTACACCCAGAAAGAATGGACATCTTTGCTGAAGACTTCAAAATACAGAACTGGAAGATGGTTGCACTGCAGCGGGAAGTGGTGAGGGCCACCATCCCTGTCTTCCCCCACTCCCCCTGGGACCCCCCAACCTCCCGGGTCCTGGGTGCTGAGGGTAGGGAGGTGCAAGGAGGAGAACACAGCCTGGAAAGGTTTCTTTGCAGGTGTGGGGGACACTGCCCCCTCCAGGCTCACAGCCCTCATTTTCTACCCCCACCTTGCAGGCTTCTCTCCAGAATAAGTTTAAAACCATCCCCAAAACCGAGGACATGGTGCTCTGGAGTGGCCTTCATGATGCCATGTTCACCTCAGTGAGTGAGGAAGGAAGGGGAGGTTAGCAGGAAGCTGGGGAGCAGGCGGGTGGCTGACTGAGAGTGGGAGGCGGGGCTGGAAGCCAGCAGAGCCCCTCTGCCCCCTCTTCTGCAGGAAATTGGTTCATCACCACTGGACCTGTGGCAGTCTGTAGAGCAGCTCCCAGAGGCTGCCCTGGCCCAGACCACCAAGTACCTTGAAGCTACTCGTGCCATCCAGGTCTCCGAGCCCGTCCAAAACCCCCAGCTACTGCAGACTGTCTGGCATTATGAGGTCCCAGAGCTCCTCCCGGAGGGCTCATCTGCCCAAGCAGTTTCACTCAGCAGAGCCCAGGAGCCAGCGCAGCCTCCGGCCCTCACGCCTGAGTCTGCACCTGGGTGCACAACTGAATTTGCACCTGGGCCTGCACCTGGGACTGAACCTGTGCCAGGACTGGAGCTGGGGCTGGAGCTGGAGCCTGTGCCTGCCCTGGGGCCTGTCCCAGGGCCCAGTGTGACACCTGGGTCCTTGCCAGCACCTTGGCCTGTGCTTGGACCTGTGCCTGCCCCAGGTGCCCAGCCTCCACCACTGGGAGACTGGCCTGCACTCCCAAGACGCTGGCCTCTTCCCCAAGGCTGGCCCAGGGTGGGCTCTTGGCCTCTGTGGGACTTAGGTGTCCTGCGGCCAACTCAGCCCCAACCCTCCAGGGCCCCACCACCAGCCACTGAGTTTGGCTCATTGTGGCCTCGACCACTCCAGCCATATCAGTCTCGCCAGGGAGAAGCCCTCCAGCTCGCAGCTGTCCAAGTAAAGGGGGAGGAAAATGATGTCCCCAGCCTAAGGGGCCTTCGGGAGAGGGCCCGCAAGGATGGGGCCCCCAAGGATAGAACTCGCAAGGATGGGGTCCCCAAAGATAGAGGTGGCAAGGATGTGGACCCCAAGGATAGAGCTCACAAGGATGATGTCCCCAAAGATAGAGGTGGCAAGGATGTGGACCCCAAGGATAGAGCTCACAAGGATGATGTCCCCAAAGATAGAGGTGGCAAAGATGGGGACCCCAAGGATAGAGTTGGCAAGGATGGGGCCCCCAAGGAAGCACAGCCTAAGGCTCCCCAGTCTGCCCTTCACCGGCTGAAAACCACCGCTGCCATCGCCGCCGCTGCCGCCGCAGCCTACGCCGCTGCCACATCCTCCGCTGCCCAGGCAGCCAAAGTTGCTGCCAAGTTTGTCAAGGATGCCCCAGCCACCAAAATGGCCGCCATTGCAACAGACACGGCTGCAGCTGGGCCCCTAGGGGTCTTTGCAGATGTCCTGGGTGCAGGGCCTTCCCGGGGAGCCACAGAATCCCAGATCTTGGGCGATGATTCCGAAATCTACGAAATCCTCTCTCCCTCCTACTCTGCTGCCAGCATCGGTCCCGATCCAGCCCTGTCCCAGGCCATGGTGGCTACCAAGCAGGCCATGAGCCCTGAAGACAAGAAGAGGGCTGTCAAGTATTCCATGAGCCACATAGCCCAGATACCTGTCAAACACGACTCTCTGAAGGAAGAATTTGCCCAGCTGTCCTGTAACCTGAACCAGCGCTTGAGTTATCTAGGTAGGCCTGGTCTGGCCCTGGGAAGGGCACAAGGGAGTGGGGCTCTCCCTGCAGCCTTTGAGAAGTGTGTCCTGTCCTTCACTGGGCTCCACCAACAAAATCTGCATTCCACCATTAGCCATTCTTTCCTTTGGCTTAAGCATTTGGCTCTTAACGAGTCTATTCTTTTCTGTTGAATGTACAATGAGGTCTTATCTTAGGGCAGGGAGGCTGTTAGGGTCTAAAGTTGGCACGAGGAAAATGGCATGCCAAAATTACTCTCAAAAACTCTTGTGGCCAGGCGTGGTGGCTCCCACCTGTAATCCCAGCACTTTGGGAGGCTGAGGTGGGCGGATCACCTGAGACCGCAAGTTCAAGATGAGCCTGACCAACATGGAGAAACCCCGTCTCTACTAAAAATACAAAATTTGCTGGGCGTGGTGGTGTATGCCTGTAATCCCAGCTACTCGGGAGGCTGTGGCAGGAGAATCGCTTGAACCCAGGAGGCAGAGGTTGCGGTGAGCCAAGATCATGCCATTGCGCTCCAGCCTGGGCAACAAGAACGAAACTCTGTCTCAAAAACAACAACAACAAAAAAAACTCCTTTGTGATAGCCCATAAAACAGTATTGTATTGGCTAAGCATGGTGACTCATGCCTGTAATCTTAGCACTTTGGGAGGCCAAGGCAGGAAGACTGCTTGAACTGGAAGTTCGAGACCACCCTGGGTAACATCAAGACCTCATCTCTAAAAAAATTTTTAAACACTAGCTGTGTGCGGTGGCTCACGCCTATAATCCTAGCACTTTGGGAGGCCAAGGCAGGCAGATACGGAGACCATCCTGGCTGACACGGTGAAACCCCGTCTCTACTAAAAATACAAAAAAATTAGCTGGGCATGGTGGCGGGCGCCTGTAGTCCCAGCTACTCAGGAGGCTGAGGCAGGAGAATGGCGTGAACCCAGGAGGCGAAGCTTGCAGTGAGCCGAGATCGTGCCACTGCATTCCAGCCTGGGCGACAGAGCTAGACTCCGTCTCAAAAAAAAAAAATTTTAAACATTGGCCGTGTGCGGTGGCTCACGCCTGTAATCCCAGTCCCTTGGGAGGATGAGGCAGGTGGATCACTTGAAGTCAGGAGTTCGAGACCAGCCTGGCCAACATAGCGAAACTCCGTCTCGACTAAAAATACAAAAGTTAGCCAGGCTTGATAGTGCGCGCCTGTAATCCCAGCTACCTCGGAGGCTGAGACAGGAGAAACACTTTGAACCCGGGAGGCAGAGGTTGCAGTGAGCAGAGATTGTGCCACTCCCGCCTGGGCGATAGCGAGACTCCTCCTCAAAACAAAAAAAAAAGCCTGAGTGGTGGCGCAGGCCTGTAGTCCCAACTACTCAGGAGGCTGAGGTGGGAAGATTGCTTGAGCCTAGCAGTTCAAGACTGCACTGGGTTATGATCGTGCCACTGCACTCCAGCCTGGGCAACAGAGTGAGACCTTGTCTCCATACAAACAAAATTTAAAAAAAAATTTTTTTAATTATTGTTATTATTTTTTGAGATGGAGTTTCACTTTTGTCGCCGGTTGGAGTGCAATGGCGTGATCACAGCTCACTGCAGCCTCCGCCTCCTGGGTTCGAGAGATTCTCCTGCCTCAGCCTTCCAAGTAGCTGGGACTAGAGGCATGTGCCACCAAGCCTGGCTGATTTTCGTATTTTTAGTAGAGATGGGGTTTTTCCATTTTGGCCAGGCTGGTCTCAAACTCCTGATCCCAGGTGATCCACCTGCCTCGGCCTCCCACAGTGTTGGGAGTACAGGCGTGAGCCACTGCACCTGATAAAAAAAATTTTTTTTAATTAATTTAAAAACTAATAGGCCGGGTGCGGTAGCTCATGCCTGTACTCCCAGCACTTTGGGAGGCTGAGGAAGGCGGATCACGAGGTCAAGAGATCGAGACCAACCTGGCCAACATGGTGAAACCCTGTCTCTACTAAAAATACAAAAATTAGCTGGGCGTGGTGGCGTGTGCCTGTAATCCCAGGTACTCGGGAGGCTGAGGCAGGAGAATTGCTTAAACCCAGGAGGCGGAAGTTGTAGTGAGCCGAGATCGCGCCACTGCACTCCAGCCTGGTGACAGAGCGAGATTCCATCTCAAAAAATAAATTAATTAAAAAATAATGAAGAAATAAATAAAAAGGTACCACAAGCTGCGAGGCCCAGTGCATTTCCACTGGGCAGTGCTGCCTGAGATGCTCCATAAGAGAAGCAGCTAGAGCCCAACAGAAACATCTTCCTCCATCCGAGCCCTCAGCAGCCACCCTGTCCTCTGCTTTCAGCCAATATGGGAGGTCCTTCCAGCCTCGGGACAACAGTGGACATATTGCAGAAAAAGATTGGCAGCCTCCAGAAATCTAGGCTCAAGGTTAGTGTCTCCGGCGAAGGGCTTTTGAGGCAGTGATGGCTTGAGGTGAGCTGGCTGAAGACTCCTTGACTCTGCCCCCCTCCCAGGTGCAGCTGTGTTCTGCAGCAAAACAGGCTGGGGGAAAGCGAGCTGGCTGCGAAGGCAGCTGCTGCCTCTCAAAGCTGATTCACTGGTGCGGTGGGGGGGCCCAGCAGGTGTGGGGCTACACGGTTCTGTGTCTCAGGTGGCTGTTCAGAGGGCAGGTGAAGCCGGTGCGGTGGCTCATACCTGTAATCCCAACGCTTTACAAGGCTGAGGCAGGCAGATCACTTGAGCTCAGGAGTTCAAGACCAGCCTGGGCAACATAGTGAGATCCCTTCTCTGCAAAAAAATACAAAAATTATCCAGGTGTGGTGGTTTGTCCCTACAGTCCCAACTACTCGGGAGGCTGAGGTGGGAGGATCACTTGAGCCTGGGAGGTGGAGGCTGCAATGAGCCAAGATCACGCCGCTGCACTCTAGCCTGGGTGACAGAGCAAGGCCCTGTCTCAAAAAAAAAAAAAAAAAAAAAAAAAAATGGCAGGTGGAAGGCACCCTGGTCTGATACCTTATTTTTTTTTTTTTTTGAGACGGAATCTTGCTCTGTCATCCAGGCTGGAGTGCAGTGGCGTGACCTCAGCTCGCTGCAACCTCTGCCTCCTGGGTTCAAGCAATTCTCCTGCCTCAGCCTCCCTAGTAGCTGGGATTACAGGGGCCCGCCACCACACCTGGCTAATTTTTGTATTTTTTGTAGAGACTGGTTTCGCCGTGTTGGGCAGGCTGGTCTCGAGCTCCTGACCTCAGTTGATCTACCCATCTTGGCCTCCCAAAGTGCTGGGATTACAGGCATGAGCCACCACGCCCAGCCTGGTCTGGTACATTCTTCTTGGCCTCAACCCTCCCTCAGGCCCCTTCCCGGCCATGGTAACTTCAGAAGCAGAGGCCTGGGGTGTCTGTGTCTCCCCCTTTTAGGAGGAAGAACTTGAGAGAATTTGGGGCAACCAAATAGAGATGATGAAGGATCGCTACATCACTTTGGACAAGGCGGTGGAGAACCTGCAGATTCGCATGGATGAGTTCAAGGTTAGGAGGACTGGGTAGGCTGGAGAAGGGCTGGCAAAGGGAGAATTCCTCACCTAGACCTTCTGGCCCTTCCCGAAGGTTCTGCATGAGGTGGGGATGCACTTGAGGCTGGGAACCAGTGGGGCTTTACTGGCATTTTACTGTGTGTAAATTACACTTCAATGAAAAGCAAACGAATCCCACCACCCCCCCCCACCCATATAAACAGAAGGGCCGGGACAATGTTCGTCTTTTTGACCACTGCGTCACCTGCCCCTGGAAGGGCAGGGGTAGTGAAGGCTCCATCACATTTGCTGAATGACTCAGTGAATGATTAAGAGAACTTCTTGTGCCAACTGTTACATTCTTAACATTTCCCTGAGCCAAGAGGTAGAAATATTTACTGACATTTTGGGCTGGGTGATAAAAATAAAAAAATAATAATAAAAAGAAATATTTAGGCTGGGTGCGGTGGCTCACATATGTAATCCCAGCGCTTTGGGAATCTGAGGTGGGAGGATCACTTAAGACAAAGAGTTTGAGACAAGCCAGGGTAACACAGGGAGACCCCATCTCTACACAAATAAAAAATTTAGCTGGGACTGGGCGCGGTGGTTCACGCCTATAATCCCAGCACTTTGGGAGGCCGAGGTGTGGTGGATCACTTGAGGTCAGGAGTTTGAGACCAGCCTGGCCAACATGGTGAAACCCCGTCTCTTCTAGAAAAATACAAAATTAGGCTGGGTGCAGAGGCTCACGCCTGTAATCCCAGCACTTTAGGAGGCTGAGGTGGGCGGATCATCTGAGATCGGGAGTTCGAGACCAGCCTGACCAACATGGAGAAACCCTGTCTCTACTAAAAATACAAAATTAGCTGGGCGTGGTGGCGCATGCCTGTAATCCCAGCTACTCAGGAGGCTGAGGCAGGAGAATCCCTTGAACCGGGGAGGCAGTGGTTGCGGTGAGCCCCGATCGTGCCATTGCACTCCAGCTTGGGTAACAAGAGCAAAACTCTGTCTAAAAATATATATGTATACATATATATATATATATATATATATATATATATATATATATATAATTAGCCAGGCGTAGTGGCACACACCTGTAATCCCAGCTACCTGGGAGGATGAGGCAGGAGAATCGCTTGAACCCGGGAGGTGGAGGTTGCACTGAGCTGAGATTGCGCCATTGCATTCCAGCCTGGGCAACAAGAGCGAAACTCTGTCTCAAAAAAAAATAAAAAGGGCCAGGCGCGGTGGCTCACGCCTGTAATCCCAGCACTTTGGGAGGCTGAGGCGAGTGGATCACGAGTTCAGGAGATTGAGACCATCCTAGCTAACGTGGTGAAACCCCATCTCTACTAAAAATACAAAAAATTAGCCGGGCGTGGTGGCTGGCGCCTGTAGTCCCAGCTACTCAGGAGGCTGAGGCAGGAGAATGGCATGAACCTGGGAGGCAGAGCTTGCAGTAAGCCGAGATCCCACCACTGCACTCCAGCCTGGGCGACAGAGCAAGACTCCGTCTCAAAAAACAAAAACAAAAACAAAAAAACCTAGCTGGATGTGGTGGCTCATACCTGTGATCCTAGTACTTTGGGTGCAGAGGCTTAAACCTGTAATGAGGGAGGATTGCTTGAGGCCAGGAGTTCAAGACTTGGCCAACAGAAGAAAACTGTCTCTACAAAAAAAAAATTATAAAATTAGCCAAGCGTGGTAGCACATGCCTGTAGTCCCAGCTACCTGGGAGGCTGAGGTGGGAGGATTGCTTCAGCATGGGAGGTTGAGGCTGCAGTGAGCTGTGACTGCATCACTGACTCCAGCCTGGGTGACACAGAAAGACCATCTCAAAAAAAGAAAGCAAAGAAACAAGCAAAAAGCAAAAAACTCACTAACGGCCAGGCGCGGTGGTTCACACCTGTAATCCCAGCACTTTGGGAGGCTGAGGCAGGCGGATCACCTGAGGTCAGGAGTTCGAGACCAGCCTGGCCAACATAGTGAAACCCCGTCTCTACTAAAAATACAAAAATTAGCCGGGCATGGTGGCGGATGCCTGTAATCCCAGCTACTCGGGTGGCTGAGGCAGGAGAATCACTTAAACCCGGGAGGCGGAGGTTGCAGTGAGCGAAGATTGCGCCATTGCACTCCAGCCTGGGCGACAAGAGCAAGACTCAGTCTCAAAAAATAAATAAATAAATAAATAAATAAATAAATAAATAAATAATAACCCACCAAGGTTGTTTCCGTGAAGGCTTCCAAGTCGGGGGGCTGTTGCTGGGATGCACTGGGGTGTGTTGGGGGAAAAGGGACCAAGGAAACCCATGGCGTATGGCTGACCCCAAGGCTGGCACACTGTAATCAGGCTGGGACCCATTTGAGGCAACTTTGAATGGAAAATAACTCATTAAAGGGGAACCAATTCACAGCCTATGAAGTGGGGGTGGACAGGAGGGTTGGCTGTCTCTGGAGATGCTGGGCCGAGTGTGGGTGGACTGCATGCAGGGGTACGTGCTCAGACTGTGCACCACTGGCCAGGAACCAGGTCTCCTGCCAACACTCCTCTTCAGAGAGACCCAGGCCACCATGTCCTGGGGTCATCTTGGTGCCCTTTCTCCATGGAGCTGGAGCCAGTTCCATTCAGCATGTCCATCGTGCACCCAGCACTACGCCAGACCCTGCATGGGGGTGAGCAGGGGCTGCAGTGTCTGCCTGCGTGTCCGTAGTTGTCACTTATTAGAAAGACTCTGAAGCTGATGAAGCCCTGCCACGTGTGCCAAAACAGAGCACATCCCTTGTCCCAGGACCGTTGTCCCAGCTTCCTGGCTCTTGTGCTATGAAGATTTCATTGCTGGCCAGGCTCGGTGGCTCACGCCTGTAATCCCAGCACTTTGGGAGGCTGAGGCAGGCGGATCACCTGAGGTCAGGAGTTCAAGACCAACCTGACCAACATGATGAAAGCCGATCGCTACTAAAAACACAAAAAAATCAGCTGGGCGTGGTTGCGGGTGCCTGTAATCCCAGCTACTCGGGAGGCTGAGGCAGGAGAATCGCTTGAACCCGGGAGGCAGAGGTTGCAGTGAGCCGAGATTGTGTCATTGCACTCCAGCCTGGGCAACAAGAGCAAAACTCCATCTTGGGAAAAATCTCAGCACTTTGGGAGGCCAAGGCAGGAGGATCCCTTGAGGCCAGGACTTCAGGACGAGCCTGGACAATACGGCAAGGCCCCATCGCTAAAAAAATAAAAATAAAAATATTAGCCAGATGTGGCAGCGTACGCCTATAGTCCCAGCTACCAGGGAGGCTGAGGCAGGAGAATCACTTGAACCCAGGAGGTGGAGGTTGCAGTGAGCTGAGGTCATGCCACTGCACTCCAGCCTGGGTGACAGAGTGAGACTCTGTCTCAAAAACTAAAGTAAACTAAAATACAGTCTTAGGATTTTGAACCACACAAATGGTTTGTATTACCAATAGTTAAAGAAGAAAAATAAAAAATAATGTAGAACAAGTGTGGGAATAGGCAAATCAATAGGCCAAGAAGACTGGGCATGGTGGCTCACACTTGTAATTCCAGCACTTTGGGAGGCCGACATGGGCGGATCACTTGAGGTCAGGAGTTTGAAACCAGTCTGGCCAACATGGTGAAACCGTGTCTCTACTAAAAATACAAAAAAATTAGCCAGGCGTGGTGGCGCATGCCTGTAATCCTAGTTACTTGGGAGGCTGAGGCAGGAGAATTGCTTCAGCTCAGGAGGCGGAGGCTGCAGTGAGCCAAGATCGCACCACTGCACTCCAGCCTGGGCGAGAGAGCAAGACTGTATCTCAAAAAAAAAAAAAAAAAAAAAAAATAGGCCAAGAAGACCAGATCTAAGATTTACAAGAATTTAGCATATGACCACTACAGGAAGGATGGATTACTCCACAACCAGTGTTAGGAAAACCATTTCAAGGAATAACAGTAAGTCTTAAGTCCGATAGCAATCCTCTAGATGACACAAGGCAGTAGCACGGTGACAAATGCAGGATGGGAGCAAGATCTCATGACTGTGTCTCTGTCTTGCTCTCCACCATGTGACTTACATGTAAGACTTAGGTTTCCCAGTGTCGTTTTGGGTCTTGCTCTGTCCCCCAGGCTGGAGTGTAGTGGCCTAATCATGGCTCAGTGCAGCCTTGAACTCCCAGGCTCAAGTGATCCTCCCACCTCGGCCTCCTGAGTAGCTGGGACTACAGGCGTGTGCCACCATGCCTGGCTAATTTTTTTTTTTGAGATACAGTCTCGCTCTGTCGCCCAGCCTGGAGTGCAGTGGCGCAATCTTGGCTCATTGTAACCTCCGCCTCCCGGGTTCAAGCAATTCTTCTGCCTCAGCCTCCTGAGCAGTTGGGACTACAGGCGTGTGCCACCATGCCTAGTTAATTTTTGTGGTTTTTTTGGTTTGTTTTTTGTTTTTGTTCGAGGCAGAATTTCACTCTGTTGCCCAGGCTGGAGTGCAATGGCGCAATCTTGGCTTACTGCAACATCTGCCTCCCGGGTTCAAGTGATTCTCCTTCCTCAGCCTCCCGAGTAGCTGGGGTAACAGGCGTTTGCCACCACACTCGGCTAATTTTTTATTTTGAGTAGAGACAGGGTTTCACCACATTGGCCAGGCTGGTCTTGAACTCCTGACCTCAGGTGATTTGCCTGCCTCGGCCTCCCAAAGTGCTGGGATTACAGGCGTGAGCCACCGTGCCCAGCCAATTTTTTTGTATTTTTAGTAGAGATGGGGTTTCACCATGTTGGCTAGGCTGGTCTCGAACTCCTGACCCCAAGTGATCCACCCACCTCAGCCTCCCAAAGTGCTGGGATTACAGGCATTAGCCACTGCGCCCAGCCAAAATAATAAGATTATAAAACATGAATATAGCCTGGCATGGTGGCTTGCACCTATAGTCCCAGCTACTGGGGAAGCAGAGGTGGGAGGATCACTGGAGTCTGGGAGGTGGAGGTTGCAGTGAGCTGAGCTCGCACCACTGCATTCCAGCCTGGGTGACAGACTGAGACCCTGTCTCAAAAAATAAAAATAAAAAGCATAAATAAGGCCAGGTTTGATGGCTCTTGTAATCCCAGCACTTTGGGAGGCTGATGGGGGAGGATCCTTTGAGCCTAGGAGTTCCAGATCAGCCTGAGGCAACATAGTGAGACCCCTGTCTCTACAAAAAAAAAAAAAAAAAAAAATCCAGGTAGGTGGTGTCACCTGCAGTCCCAGCTCCTCTGGAAGCTGAGGCAGGAGGCTTGCTTGAGCCTGGAAGGCTGAGACTGCAGTGAGCTGTGATCAAGCCACTTTACTCCAGCCTGAGTGACAGAGCAAGAGCCTGCCTCAAAAAATTAAAATAAAAAAATTAAAATTAAAATAAAGAGGAGGTAACAGAGACTCAGCAAAGAAACGAGCCCAAGCCTGCTGGGCTGGGAGGGGGCCTGGAGTGGCTGTGGTTCAGAGCCCAGGCTTTGGAACAGACGTGCCTAGGTTTGAATCCTGATTCTGCCACCTGCTGGTTGGATCAGTTCCCTGCGGTTGCTGCGGCAAATCACTCTTGGGGTTCTGGAGGCGGGAATTCTGAAATCAAGGTGTCATAGGCTGTGTTCCACCTGAAAGCTCAGAGGGGCCTCCTCGCCTCTCCCAGCTTCTGGTGGTTCAAGGTGTCCCTTGGCTTTGGAGCAACTTGGATGGAGGCCGGGGTCATTATTCTAAGTGAAGCAACTCAGGAGTGGAAAGCAAAGACTGCATGTTCTCACTTGTAAATGAGCTAAGCCATAGGTGTGAAAAGACAGACCGAGCAGGATAATGGACACAGGAGACTCAGGATAATAGAGAGAGGGAAGGATAGAAAACTACATATTGGAGCCAGGCGCGGTGGCTCACACCTGTAATCCCAGCACTTTGGGAGGCTGAGGCAGGCGAATCATTTGAGGTCAGGAGTTCGAGACCATCGTAACCAACATGGTGAAACCCCATATCTACTAAAAATACAAAACTTAGCCAGGCGTGGTGTTGGGTGTCAGTGACCCCAACTACTCGGGAGGCTGAGGTGGGAGAATCTCTTGAACCCGGGAGGCGGAGGTTGCAGTGAGCCGAAATGGCGCCACTGCACTCCAGCCTGGGCGACAGAGCAGATTCTGTAAAAAACAAAACAAAACAAAACATGTTAAAGATACCCATTCACTTCTGTTGACACCCCAGTGGCCACACTAAGCTATAAGAGAGGCTGTGAAATGGAGTCTTGATTCTGGGCAGCTGGGTTCCAGCTAAAAGTCCAGAGTTCTGTTCGTAAGCGTGAGCGGGACACCCGACAGGAAGAGAGAAGTAGAAGCCTGTTTGCAGCTTTGCAGGAACTATGGCCCGACCCTCTGGGGAAATGGAGGCTCTTCCCAAGCTGACCAGCTGCTGCTCCTATTACAATGGGGATGTAGTAATTGGAGAGAGGGTGGAATTCATGGGGGCAGTTGGTTCTTTGTGGAGTTGTGGGGATAGGACGTGAGGTTTTTCCCTAACGCTTGAGCACAGTGTGTGTGGCTGTGATAAGTGCTCAGTTCATAGTAGACTGGAGTTCCTGCTGGGACCCCAGGACAGATCAGAAGTAGTAAACATGCCTTAAACATCCAGGGAGCGAAATCGTCCACATTGGTTTGTGCTTTCCTTCCTTGGGTCTAACTCCCCGTGGAGGAAAGTTCCTATGATACCATCTCTGAGGGGACAGCTTGTCCCAAGTCGCACGTTCCTTCCCTTTTCATCTGGGCACCTGGAGCCCTTGAGCCTGAGTCTTGTAACGCCCATGCCCACCTGCCTGCTGTCCACACGGCCTGCTATCCCTCCCCAGCATATGGTAATGGTAGAGGTGGGAGGTTGACATTTTATCCTCAAGGCTCTCCAGGATGGCAGACATGCCTGTGCTTCTGTTCTTAGACTCTCCAGGCTCAAATCAAAAGACTGGAAATGAACAAGGTGAATAAGAGCACGATGGAGGAGGAGCTGAGAGAGGTGAGTGAGCAGAGGTTCCTCTGCCTTCCCTGCTCCCCTACCCAGGGAAACGGCACCATCCAGGCAAAGCCCACCAAAGAGTCTTCCAGAATTTCCCTCCCCCTTTGTTCATATTGAAACCAGGAGTTGGCTGGGCGCAGTGGCTCATGCCTGTAATCCCAGCACTTTGGGAGGCCAAGGCGGGTGGATCACCTGAGGTCAGGAATTCGAGACCAGCCTGCCTGGCCTACATGATGAAACTCCGTCTCTAGTCAAAATACAAAAAGTAGCCAGGCGTGGTGGCAGGTAACTGTAATCTCAGCTATTTGAGAGGCTGAGGCAGGAGAATCACTTGAACCTGGGAGGCAGAGGTTGCAGTGAACCAAGATCATGCCATTGCACTCCAGCCTGGGCAACAAGAGCAAAAACTCTGTCTCAAAAAAAAAAAAAAAAAAAGAAAGAAAGAAAAAGAAAGAAAAGAAAGGAAAACAGGAGGCACATCAACTCCCATTTTCAGCAATTGAGGATTATTAACACTCTACTTGAAAATCACACATCAGCTGTGCACAGGGTGGCTCATACCTGTAATCCCAGCACTTTGGGAGGCCGAGAAGATAGGATCACTTGAGGCCAAGAGTTTGAGAACAGCCTGGGAAACATAGGAAGATCACATCTCTACAAAAAAATAAAAAAATGAACTGGGCATGATGGAACATGCCTGTAGTCCCAGCCACTCAGGAGGCTGAGGTGGAAGGATCCCTTGAGCCCAAGAGGTGGAGGCTGCAGTGAGCTATGATTGTGCCACTGCAATCCAGCCTGGGCAACCTTGAACAAGATCCTGTCTCAAAAAAACACATAATAATAAAATACATCAACTTCCCTGTTATAGGAAAACCTTGGCTTTGATCTCGAGATCGTGTTTGAATCCACGTAGACCCCAGGGTTGCATTTAAGCCAAGGCTAAAAGTCCAGAGTCCCAAACTAGAAGCATCAGACCCAAGGGGTGTGATGTCTCCCAGCTTTGCCTTCCTCCATCCCAGCAGCCATGCCTCCCTGAACTCCCTGTCTCCCTAGAAAGCTGACAGGAGTGCCCTGGCAGGCAAGGCAAGCCGCGTTGACCTGGAGACTGTGGCCTTGGAGCTGAACGAGATGATTCAGGGCATACTCTTCAAGGTCACGATCCATGAGGACAGCTGGAAGAAGGCTATGGAGGAGCTCAGCAAGGACGTGAACACCAAGGTGAATGCCCCCATGTTGATTTTCACTTTATTCCTAACAAATTAACCCAGAACTTAGCAACTGCAAACAACAAACGTTTTCAGTTTAGGAGGAGCAAGAATTTGGGAGTGACCCAGCAACTTAGCTGGGTGGCTCAGGGTTTCCTGTGAAATTGCAGTCAAGATGTCATCCAGGGCTGGTCTCATCTGAAGGCTCGAATGAGGCTGGATGAGCCAATTCAAAGAGATTCCCTCACATGGCTGTTGGTAACACTCTTCAGTTCCTCATCCCATGGACTCTGCCTTTGGGCCACTTGAGAGTCCTCATGACATTGCAGCTGACATCTCCCAGATCAAATGATCCAAGAGGGGAAGGAAGAAGCAGCAATGTCTTTTTTTTTTTTTTTTTTTTTTTTCATACAGGGCCTCACTCTGGGCACCTGCCCCATACATAGTCAATAAATGAATTGATCCCCATTTCACAGAGGAGAACACTGAGCCTCAGAGAGGTTATTATACTTCCCTCAGGAAACGCTGCTGCTCATGGTGGAGCTTGAGACTCAAACCCAGAGCTGCCTGATTCTAAACCTAATTTAACCTCTTTGGGCCAGTCCAGCCACCTCAGTTGCAAGAACCATGTAGCACTGTTGTTGGACCAACTGTTCCAGTCTACTATGAGGAAGGGGCTGTGACTCCTCTAGACACTTCCCCGGGGTCTGACACATCACTGGCAGTCAGTAAACGATGAATGAATAAATGAATGACTGTCACAGTCCCTCAGAGACTCTCCTCCTCCACCCCACATCCCTGCACTTACGCAGCCAGGAGAGTGGCATAGTTAGCCTCCAGGGCGGTCGCCAACCATACCTCTTGGTATTCACACAGTTGTTTAGCCCCCTCCCACATTGAATGGGACCAGCTTGTGTAACCTACAGGATATTAGAGAGATGATGGAGGGTGACCACCTTCCATCATAAAAGACATTGCAGCCAGTTGTGGTGGCTCACGCCTGTTATCCCAGTACTTTGGGAGGCCAAAGCAGGCAGATCACTTGAGCCCAGGAGTTCAAGACCAGCCTGGGCAACATGGTGAAACTCTGTCCCCCTACCAAAAAAAAAAAAAAGCCAGGTGTGGTGGCACATACCTGCATTTCCAACTACTCAGGAGGCTGAGGTGAGAGAATACCTGAGCCTGGGAGGTTGAGACTGCAGTGAACCAAAATCGTGCCACTGCACTCCAGCCTGGGCAGCAGGAGCACCCTGGCAGGCACTCAGAGTGAAACCCTATCTCACAAAAAAAAAAAAAAATGGGCGCAGAACAACCAAAAGCAACACATGAAGAGATTTTACTTGTTTCCTGGTTTAATTGAACCACATCTACAAATGGGCTGGAGATGACATCCAATTCAGGAATAGTTGCTAATTGTATTAAACATGATAATAGTGTTGTGGTTATATAATAAAATGTTATCACACTCAAATATTTATTAGTGAAATGTCACCATTTCTGTAACTTAAAAAAAATACTCCATCGGCTAGGCACGGTGGCTCACGCCTGTAATCCCAGCACTTCGGGAGGCTGAGGCGGGCAGATCACGAGGTCAGAAGATTGAGACCATCCTGACCAACACGGTGAAACCCCATCTCTACTAAAAAATACAACAAAAATTAGCCAGGCCTGGTGGCGGGCGCCTGTAGTCCCAGCTACTTGGGAGGCTGAGGCAGGAGAATGGCCTGAACCCGGGAGGCAGAGCTTGTAGTAAGCCGAGATAGCGCCACTGCACTCCAGCCTGGGCGACAGAGCAAGACTCCGTCTCAAAAAAATACTCCCTCGGGTGGCACAGTGGCTCACACCTATAATCCCAGCACTTTGGGAGGTTGAGATGGGAGGATCACTTGAGCCCAGGGGTTTGAGACCAATCCTGGCAACATAGAGAGACTCCATCTCTACTTTAAAAAACTATTTTTGGCCAGGCGCGGTGGCTCACACCTGTAATCCCAGCACTTTGAGAGGCAGAGATGGGTGGATCACTTGAGATGAGGAGTTCGAGACCAGCCTGACCAACATGGTGAAACACTGTCTCTACTAAAAATACAAAACTAGCCGGATGTGGTAGTGGGGGCCTGTAATCCCAGCTACTCGGGAGACTGAGGCAAGGAGAATCGCTTGAACCCGGGAGGTGGAGGTTGCAGTGAGCCAAGATCGCACCATTGCACTCCAGCCTGGGCAACAGAAGTGAAACTCTGTCTCAAAAATAAATAAATAAATAAATAAAATAAAAGTAAATAAATAAGGCCAGGTGCGGTGGCTCACACCTGTAATCCCAGCACTTTGGGAGGCTGAGGCGGGCAGATCATGAAGTCAGGAGTTTGAGACCAGCCTGGCCAATATGGTGAAACCCCGTCTGTACTAAAAATACAAAGATTAGGCTGGGCGTGGTGGCTCACGTCTGTAATCCCAGCACTTTGGGAGGCTGAGGTGGGCGGATCACCTGAGGTCAGGAGTTTGAGACCAGCCTGGCTAACATGGTGAAACCCCATGTCTACTAAAAGTAAAAAAAAAAAAAAAAAAAATTAGTCGGGTTTGGGGGCACACGCCTGTAATCCCAGCTACTTGGGAGGCTGAGGCAGGAGAATTGCTTGAACCTGGGAGGCGGAGGTTGCAGTGAGCTGAGATCACACCACTGTACTCCAGCCAGGGCAACAAGAGCGAAACTCCCTCTCAAAAAAAAGCCAGGTGTGGTAACACGCACCTGTAGTCCCAGCTACTTGGGAGGCTGAGGCAGAAGAATTGCTTGAACCCGGGAGGCGGAGGTTGCAGTGAGCAGAGATTGCACCACTGCGCTCCAGCCTGGGCAACAGAGCGAGACTCTGTCTCAAAAATAAATAAATAAAATTAAAAATAAATAAATAAATACGATTGATTATGATGGTCACACAACTCTGTAAATATACTAAACGCCATAAACCTGCCCACTTTACATACAGACCGTCAATAAACATGTGTTGAGTGTGTGAATGTCAGGTGCAGTGGGACCATTGCCAGAAAGGTGTCTCAGACCGCCCAGCCTGCAGCTGAGCTTGGTTTGATTTGGTCTTTTGCAGACAGTAGCTGATGGTGTTTTTTGCTTCTGCTGCTAGGAAGCTCACCTTGCAGCTCCCCTCTACCAATAGCATCTAGTAGGGGTTGAGCCTCATCGAAGCTGTGTCATTTTCCCTTTCCTGGACTCCCTCACTATTTTAGTTGAATTTTGTTACACCGTGTAACTTCCCAGGTTGCTGCAACCCTCTTCTGGAAGGAGGCAGGGTGTGAATTCATAGAGTATTCTTTCTTATCTTCCCCTTGGCTGTTGGCAGTTAGTCCACAGTGATCTGGATCCCTTGAAGAAAGAAATGGAAGAGGTCTGGAAAATCGTCCGGAAGCTGCTGATTGAGGGCTTAAGACTGGATCCTGACAGTGCTGCTGGCTTTAGGAGGTGAGTGCCCGCCCGAGCCCCTCCTGGTAGGGGTCCTGCTGCCCAGGCTGTGGGGAACACACCCTGGAAGCTCTGGGAGGAAAGATTCCAGACCTTTGGATGAGGGGATGGGGGCTTGGCTGTGGCTGAAAGCACTGAGGAGGAGGGAAGCTCTGGCCTGAGCTGGCAGAGGTGATCCAGCCCTATTCCTGCCAATGGGGAAACCAAGGCTCAGAGAGGGAAGGGGACTGGGCAGATCCAGGACCCCTGACCCCCACCCAGACAGTGCCCCAGGCAGAGGGACCCAATATTTATGGGGCTCCTGTCCTCAGACCACCCCTCACACAGCTTTAAAAACCATCCGTTGTGTTTGGGGCGGCAGAGAAACCACAAGAGTGGTTGGAGACTGCAGGGCCTGTGGGGCTGAGCTGGGCCGGGCACTGGCAGGAGGGATGCAGCCCTGGGGCTCTGGCTGGCTGCAGCCTCCCACACATGGCCTGGGCCCAGCAGGGGCAGCGGCTGATGATCATGTGCCTTTCAGGAAGCTGTTCAAGCGCGTGAAGTGCATCTCCTGTGACCGGCCTGTGGAGATGATGACTGGCCCGTGAGTACCACCGCCCAGGGTGCCCCGGCCCTAAGGGCTTGTGGGGCCCATGGAGGTCATCTCCGTGCACCTCCATGTGCACCGTTCCATGCACGCTGTGTGTCTACACATCCATATACAGCATTCTCTCCAGCCATCAAGTCCATACACGCCCACATGCACCATTCTCTATGCACCAGGTATCTACACATCCACATCCACTGTTCTGTACCGTCAAGTCCATACACATCCATGTACACTGTTCTGTATGTGCCATGTGTATCCACATTCATATACAGGGTTCCCCAGCCTTCAAGATACACATGTCCACATACACTGTTCTACAGCCATCAAAAATATACAAATATGCGGCCTTGTATGATAGCGCCTGCCTATAGTCCCAGCTACTCAGGAGGCTGAGATGGGAGGATGGCTTGAGCCCAGGAGTTCGAGGCTGTAGTGAGCTAGGATTGTGCCACTGCTCTCCAGCCTGGGTGACAGTGAGACCTCATATCAAAAAAAAAGGCCATGTTGGCAAGGCTGGTCTCAAACTCCTGACCTCAGGTGATCCGCCCACCTCAGCCTCCCAAAGTGCTGGGATCATAGGTGTATGCCACCGCGCCTAGCCTGGTTTTTACTTTTGGAAATAGAACAATTGTTTTTTGTGTCTTACTGTGATGATCAGAGGTCCTGAGATGCCTTTCGGGGGGGCCCCTTCTACTTCTATGCTGTGGACGCTTCTGGCATTCGAGGGTGGTGACCTGAGTCTGCACCTCCTTCCTCCTGCTGGGAAGGCTTCCTGGAGGGGTGGGAGACGAGCCCTCTGCTGGCCTAGCACGCCTCCCACAGCCCCTGCTGTGCCCTTGTCCTCCAACAGACAGCTGATCACCATCCGCAAAGCCCACCTGCTGTCCCGGCTGCGGCCAGCCAGCGCCAACAGCTGCGAGTACTTGCAGCGGCAACAGATGAGGTGAGCAGGATGGGCGCCCCGCAGGGAGGCCGCCCCGCATGGAGGCCACTCTGGAGCCTGGGAACCCTGTTCCTGCAGAGACACATCCTCCAGGCCCAGGGACCTAAGATTGTCCTGGACATGGCCAGCCCTTCGCAAGACAGGCACTCCGAGAGGTGGCTGGGGCGGCAGACAGGCCCACGAGATGATGGCGGAGGGAGGAACTGACATATTTACTGCACATCTATTGTGGGCCAGGAACTGTTAGACGGTTTCTTATTTAAATCTCACAACCCCCTGTGAGCTAGGGTTCCTATGCCCATGTCCCTGTTTCTTGGCGGAGGGAATCGGTGATGATGGGGAACCCTCAGGGAGCCGCTGCTGTGCCCGGCAGGCACTGTGCCAAGCGCTGGGGCTCACCTGGCCTTGTTGAGTCCTCACAGCTGCCCTCTAAGATGTATCCTGGTACCATCCCATGTCACAGTTGAAGAAACTGAGGCTCAGAGAACTGCAGTGACCTGCCCAAGGTCACTGCTAGCAAGTCCAGGGCTGATGTCCAAACCCTCAGGTTTCCACCGCACCCAGCTGGCTCCCTGGGTGCCAGCCCCACCCCTCAACCTCCTGACATCCCACAGCTCTATGGATCTCCCCAGCCTCCAACCCTGCTGTGGGGACGTCTGGCCAGGTGGGGGAAGAACCGGTGAATCGTCACCACAGCCGTGGGAAGGGGAGGGACGTGGGGGCCTGTGCTGACTCTGCCACCCTCCCTCCCTGGCTCCTTGAGATCAAGAGATTAGAAGGACACGCTCTTCAGGCCAGGGGTCCAAAGGGAAATGGCTGGGTCTGGGGAAATGCAGGTCTCAATTTGATTCCTCTGCCCCACTGTGTGTGTCTGTATCCATCCGCCAGGCCCCAGGCCTGCCTGGCTGTGCCAGCTAAACACAAGCTGAAAGAAATGCTGGTCTTCCCTCGATGCTGGCCAGGCCCTTGGGGCCCGTCCTGGGCTCTGGGGTACAGGGTCTCCAGGTCGCTGCTGACCCACTGCCCTGCTGCAGGGAACAGCAGTGGCTGCAGCTCCAGGACCTCGGTATCCAGGAGGATTGTCAGCAGGACTGGGGTGATGGCCCCCAAAACGCCACCAGCCTCAAGTGCAAGTCCTGCAACCTGTTGACGCTCTATCCCTACGGGGATCCCCACGTGATCGACTATGACAGCGTGAGTCTGGCCGGGGCCTCCTTCTCAGAGGGTGGACGTCAGCGCACCCCAGCCCCAGGTGTGGGACCAGGCACTGAGCAGTGGGCAACCCCAGCAGAGGCTGCACTCTGTCTCCTGGGCTTCTGCGTGTACCAAAGTTCGGGGGCAGATCGGGTCGGGGGCTCCCTAACCCGGGACCTGGGCCATCCAACAGGCCGAGGTGGACATCCTGGGCGTGGATGGGATCCTGTACAAAGGCCGCGTGAACAGCCAGCGTGGGGCTCAGCCCTTGGCCGTCGCAAAGGAGCTGGCAGGTGAGGGGCGTAGGGCTCCCTGGGGCACCCTTGCCTGGGGCCCTGGTTCTGCTGGGCAGGGTGAGAGGGTGCAGGTGGGGCCCAGAGCCAGCACTATCCCTGACCGGGGAGTCCTCACACAGTCAGTCACAAAAATTGGGTCACAGCAGGCCCCCAGGAGACTCAGTCTTTGCAATGGGGGAGGGAGACCGCGGGAGCGAGGATCTGCTGTTCCCGAGATCAACAGCTGACCAGAGAGAGGGCCGTGGCCACAGGACCATGGCCTGTGACGAAGGACGATGAGCTAGGAAAGGTGCTGGGCTGGTGCCAAGGGACGCCAGTCCACGGAGGACGGACTGGACAGCTGCCCTGAAGCCCTTGAAGAGGGACTAGGACTTAGCTGGATGAAGGGGTCGGGTGAGAGGAGAGTGGTCGTGTGGCAGGAACGGTGGGTGCAAAGGCCCTGTGGTGGGTGGAAGCCACTCACAGGCAGGAGCTCAGGACGCCGAGTCTCCCTGAAGGGTGGAGACTGGGGTGGGGCAGTGGGGTGACAAGGAGGAGACTTGGGCCAGACCCCAGAAGCTGTGTGTTAATATCACAGGCAAGGGTTGGGCCAGCGGGAGACCCAGAATTGTGCACATCTGGAATCAGTCAATGTGGTTGCTGCAGTGCTGAGGCCCGGCTCTGGCCGGCTCCTGCTGGGACCCCAAGACTCTGGAGTCCATCACTGGGTTCGAAGGACAAAAAGAGGAGCCTTCTCTGCACACCCCTTGAAGGCTCTTCCCCCTTGGGGATGGGGAGTTCTAAATTTTGCCCCTGGGTGGGAGCTACACGCCGCCCCATAAGGAGCAGTCCCGGAGCCACAAGATGGCCGGGGCCTGAACTCCACCTGCAGAAATTCTGGTTTTTTGTTGTTGTTGTTGTTGTTGTTTGTTTGTTTTTGAGGCGGAGTCTTGCTCTGTCGCCCAGGCTGGAGTGCAGTGGTGCGATCTCGGTTCACTGCAACCTCCAACTCCCGGGTTCAAGCGATTCTCCTGCCTCAGCCTCCCGAGTAGCTGGGATAACAGGCACGCACCACCACGCCCGGCTAAATTTTTGTATTTTTTAGTAGAGACGGGGTTTCACCATGTTTGGCCTCAAGTGATCCACCTGCCTCAGCCTCCCAAAGTGCAAGGATTACAGGCATGAGCCTCTGCGCCTGGCCCACCGGCAGAAATTCTTTCTTGCCAACGCTGTGCCTCCATTGACTCGAAGACCAGACATGGAAGAAGGGAAGGGGGACTGTTTCATCAATGTGCTGGGCAAAGGAGGAGGCACCCTGATTCGTCTCCTGGGGTTGCCGAGACAAATTACCACAAGCAGGGTGGCTTAAAGCAGCTGAAGTTCCTTCATTCCCCGGCCCATGTAGCACGCCGTCCCATTGGCCGGGCACGGTGGCTCACGCCTGTAATCCCAGCACTTTGGGAGACCGAGGCGGGCGGATCACAAGGTCAGGAGTTCAAGACTAGCCTGAACAACATGGTGAAACCTCGTCTGTACTGAAAATACAAAAATTAGCCAGCCATGGTGACACACGCCGTTAATCCCAGCTACTCAGGAGGCTGGGGCGGGAGAATCACTTGAACCCAGGAGGCAGAGGTTGCAGTGAAACAAGATCACGCCACTGCACTCTAGCCTGGACAACAGAGCGAGACTTCGTCTCAAAAAAAAAAAAAAAAAACAGCTGAAGTTCCAGCTGGGCAACAACAAATTAGCTGGGCATGGTGGCGTGCGCCTGTAGTCCCAGCTTCTCAGGAGGCTGAGGCAGGAGGATCGCTTGAGCCCGGGAATTTGAGGCTGTAGTGAGCCATGATCTCACCACTGCACTCCAGCCTGGGCGACAGAGCCAGGCCCTGTCTCAAAAACAAACAAACAAACAAACAAAAACAGAACAGAACAAAACCAAACAACAACAACAACAAAAACAAAATACAGCCAGAGTTGATCCTCCCGCTGTCCTGGAGGCTGGAAATCCTAAATCAAGGAGTCAGCAGGGCTGCACTCCCTCCAAAGGCTTGAGGAGGGTCCCTCCCTGTCTCTTCAGCTTCTGGGGCCGATGGCACTCCCTGGCACTTCTCTGTCCCCATGTGAGCTTCTCTTCTGTGTGTCCTCTCCTCTGTCCCCCATAAGGACATTTGTCTTTGGATTTGTGCCCGACCTAACCCAGGATGATCTCATCTCAAGATCCTTAAGCTAATTATACCTGCAAAGACCCTTTCTCCAAATAAGGTCACATTCACAGCTTCTAGGAGATGTATCTTTTTGGGGAGCACATTCAACACACCCTGTTTCCAGGCGGGCCAGACACCGTCTCAAACCCTGCATTCTCCTGGGCGGGATGTGGCTTCTCCTCGAGAGGACTGGCCGTTCCAGCCCCTGCCCCCTGCCTGGTATCTGCTGGGAGGGCTCAGGCTGGGCGTCAGGGATCACCAGGCAGGATCACAACGGTGGCTAATATTTAATGAACCCCGACTTCGTGCCAGGCCCTGCCCCACCTCCTTCACCCTCCAACAACCTGCCAAGGAGTTTCACAAATGACCAGCTGAGTGAGGGCTGCTTGCCGGGCGGCCAGGGCAGATGGAGTCCACATCTGATGCACCCAGTCCTGTCCCCACTCATTCACTGGCCTCCCCAAGGGCTGTCATCTAGAGGGAGGGGCTTTCCCCCTTGGCTCATTCATTCCCAAGACCCACACAGCAAGCCAGGACTTGAATCATGATGGCGTCAACTGCTTCATCTTTTTTTTTTTTTTGAGACGGAGTTTCGCTCTTGTTGCCAAGGCTGGAGTGCAGTGGGGCGATCTCAGCTCACTGCCATCTCAACCTCCTGGGCTCAAGAAATCCTCCCTCTTCAGCCTTCCAAGTGACTGGAACTACAGGCGTGCGCCACCACGCCTGGATAATTTTTGTATTTTTAGTACAGATGGGGTTTTGCCATGTTGGCCAGGCTGGTCTCAAACATCTGGCCTCAAGTGACCCACCTGTCTCAGCCTCCCAAAGTGCTGGGATTACAGGTGTGAGCCACTGCGCCCGGCCTCATGTAACTTATTGACTACTATATATTACATTGAAATTGTGACGGATTTATAGCATCTTAAAGCTGAAAAGTGGTAAGTCAAACCATCATAAATCAGGGACCTTCTGTATTAGAAATCAATTGGAAACCTGTCTGTGGCCAGATCTTGATCAGTTTGCTGTTGTCACTCATTTATTTCCCCAAAAGAACTTTCTAACTCAAAACAGACTCAAAGCCAGGTATAGTGGCTTACACCTGTAATCCCAGCACTTTGGGAAGCTGAAGCCTGAGGATCACTTGAGCCCAGAAGTTCGAGACCAACCTGGGCAACATCGTGAAACCCCGCCTTTATAAAAAATACAAAAATTAGCAGGGCATAGTGAGGCTCCCTGCAGTCCCAGCTACTTGGGGGGCTGAGGCGGGAGGATCACTTGAGCCCAGGAGGTTCCAGCTGCAGTGAGCCATGATTGCGCCACTGCACTGCAGCCTGGGCAAAAGAATGAGACTTGGTCTCAAACAAAAAAGAAAGAAAAAAGAAAAGAAATGTCCAGAATAGAAAAATCTATAGACAGAAGGAAAATTGGTGATTTCCAGGGGCTGGGGTTTGGGGCGGGGAAAGGGAGAGTGACTGCTTAATGGGGACAGGGCCCCTTTTGGGGTAATGGGAAAGTTTCAGAACAAGATAGTGGTGGTGGTGTGCAACGCTGTGTGCGTCCTAAATGCCTCTGAATTGTGCACTTTAAACTGGTTAATTTTACGTTATGTGGATTTTACTTCGAATAATGAAAAAAAAACAAAGGTGAAGGACAGGAAGATGGGGGCATTTAGGTGCTCTGGCCCCCAGCGGGACAGCTAAACCATAAATAGCCCTGCCAGCATTTCACCTGTGTCTTACTGTGCTGAAATCACGTCACACTCCTCTCTGGCCTAGAGTTACTTTCAAAGAGCCTTCTTTTCTTTCTTAGCCTTGAGACACTCTCCACTCAAGAAGGCAAGGAAGGCTGGGCGTAATGGTTCACGCCTGTAATTTCACCACTTTGGGAGGTCAAGGTGGGAGGATAGCTTGAGCCCAGGAGTTCAAGACTAGCCTGAGCAACATAGCGAGACCTCCTCCCTAGGAAACATTTAAACAATTAACCGGGAGTAGTGGGGCACACCTGTAGTCCCAGCTACTCGGGAGGCTGAGTTAGGAGGATTGCTTGAGCCCAGGAGTTCAAGGCTGCGTGCGCTCCAGCCTAGGTGACAGAGCGGAGACCCTGCCTCAAGAAAAAAAAAAAAAAAGAAGCCAAGGAGGGAAGAACATTGATTATCCCATAAAGGAATGGACCGGGGAGCCTGGGAAATGGGGTTGGTCCCACCAGAGGGAGACTGCCCAGTGCTGGGATCGGCCTGACACAGGCCCAGGGGTGGATGCCACCCACACCTGTCTCTTTTCTTTTCTGCTAAGCTGTGAAGGCTCCATCTCCCCCGTCACAAAGCCTGTATGACCGTGTGCACTCCAGTGCCCTATTTGGCGCCATCTGCCCCCGTGAGTACCTGGTTCCCAGCCCCAGCCCAGCTGTGATTCTGGAAGGGTCTCCAGTCCCTCCTCGTCTCATCCCATCCCCCACACCCCGCCTGGGCTCTCCTGTCCACCTCCTCCACCTCCTGCCTGCTTTGCCTGCCTATGGCACTTCAGAGATGATTCCTGGCCCCGGTGCCATCCCCGGTGCCCAGGCCAAGCATCTGTCCCCAGCGTCCACCCAGCTGCAGGGGCGGCAACAAGGGAACTGAGGTTGGAAGGAACTGAGCTTCTCTGGTTCGGATCACCACGTAGCAGGCACCTGAGGGTACTTTACAGTTTACAAGGCAGTTTCTCCCTTATCTCATCAGAACCTCATCCCGACTCCTGTGAGGCAGGCACTGTTTGCCCATTTCACAGAGGAGGGAGCAGAGGCTCGGTCACTTTGAGCTGTGGCCCAAGATCACAGAGCTAGTGAGCTGGGAGCTGAGCCCAGATCCGTGGACTCCAAGCTTCATGTTCTCTCCCGGGGGCTCTGCTCCATTTAAGCAAACATTCCTGGTGTCATTTATCTTGGGTCACCCACCCAGGACATTTAGGGTGCCCAGGGCCCAGGTGAGGTATGGTGCCCAGCCGGCCATGGCCTGTACAGCACTTCTAGTCCTGGGCTTCTCTTCTCTTTAGTGGGGATGGCCCCATCAGGCTAGTGTCTCCCAAGAAGGTTCTTGGCACACATCTAGGGTTTCTCCTGCCCCTCCCCAGCCCTGTGCCCCCGCTCCAGTGCCTGCTCAGCTGCCTCGGGCCCTCACCTGACGATGCCAGCTCGACCACCTTCCCTGCCACCTCTGCTGCTGCTGCCACCGCTGATTCCATCCCTAAGGGACCCCCAGCAGGCCCCAGGGTCCACCAGGCTCTCAAGAGCTCCACACATTGAGTCCCGAGTCGGCAGGAAGCCCCCCGAGGAGCCCGCCAACCCGTGAGCCCCACCCCGCTGCGCCCCCCATCGCCAAGTCCCCTCCACGTCCGAGGCTGAGGCCCATGTGGCCCTCCCACTCCCACCAAGTCCCCTCCACATCGGAGGCTGAGGCCTATGTGGCCCCCCACCCCCACCCCCACCAAGTCCCCTCCATGTCCGAGGCTGAGGCTCATGCGCCCCCCCCCATCCCTACCAAGTCCCCTCCACGTCCGAGGCTGAGACCCATATGCCCCCCCCACCCCCACCAAGTCCCGTCCCCGGCTGAGACCCAGGGCCCTGAGCCTGGCCCAGAAAGGGTGCTGGGGCCCTGGATAGAGGGGAGGGGTCTGTGTAGGGGACCCCCATGCTGACCCAGTGGCTGTTTTATCCTGTGCATATAAATACAAACAGCACAGTGCACATTCTCATTCTACATTGTCATATAAACACAGCTTTCTAGAGTGAATTTTCCAACAAGCCAATTTAATTCCTTGATCCATTTTCAATACAACACCAAGTGGTTTGAAAAACACTTTTCCAGCCGGGCACAGTGGCTCACGCCTATAATCTCAACACTCTGGGAGGCCGAGGTGGGCGGATCACCTGAGGTCAGGAGTTTGAGACCAGCCTGGCCAACATGGTGAAACCCCATCTCTATTAAAAATACAAAAATTAGCCGGGCGTGGTGGTGGGCACCTGTAATTTCAGCCACTTTGGAGGCTGAGACAGGAGAATCACTTGAATCCAGGAGGTGGAGGTTTCAGTGAGCCGAGATGGCACCACTGCATTCCAGCCTGGGCAACAAAGAGCGAAACTCACTCTCAAAAACAAAAAACAAAACAAAACAAAAAACACTTTTCCTTTTTATTTGCTGAAATGATTTCATTAGAATCACTTCCAATTACAGTTCCTGGCACTGTGCCTTTCATTTGGGGGCCATTATTTCCAAGACCAGTTCCCCACGGGAACCAGACTGGGCTGTGTGCATCCTTTTTATTTCATGTTCTTTCTACCAGTAACTAGTTATTAATTTTTTTAAACAAAATCTGATTGTTTATATTTGCCTCTTGGCTGATCCATGAGGAGGCTGGTGCGGCGCCCGTGGGATATTCTGGGATGGCCATCCCTTCCAGGGCCAGGTGCCACTTGCCTGTTTCAAGCCTTTCTGGTTCCTGTGCTCACCACCGATGCGTTTGGTGGAAAAAGAGCCAACTGTGAGGTCACACGGTCTTGCTGCGGCAATTCAGGGATTGGCCTTGGCACGCAGAGCAGAGGGCTCCCCCAGGCCCCCCTCCCAACAATGCTCCTGGCCTCATTTCTTCCCCTTCTGACAGTTTGCCTGTCTCTCCCTTCAATTTCCTCCCTTTCAATCCTCCTCCCTCTTTCCTTTCTCGCCCCTAACGCTGTCTCGTTTTGCTCTCTCCTTCTGTACTATTGACGGTTCTATCCCATCTCGGAGACTAAAACAATGTCCCTGTGCAGGGGTGAAGCCTGACCCGCCGCCATAGTCCCCAGTGTCCACTGGATCCCTGGGGTGGTGCTGGGGAGTTGAGGGGCTGGTGGGGAGCTGCCAGGAGGGAGCTGGAGGGGGGCTCCCCTTTCACTTCCCTTTGGCTGCCTAGGGGGGGACTTTGGGCTCCAGTCTCTCCCCCGGCCCCGGTGGCCATCGGAGTCTGGGGACACTGCATGCCTACTCTGTTCCTATTGTCCTCAAGGTCCCTGGCCCAGCTCACTGCGACCCACGCCCCCCACCCTGGCTGCTCTTTTCTTTCTCCAAAGACTGTGTCCAAATGAGGCCAAGCCCCTCTTGACCTGGGTGACACCTATCCAAGCTGCCTTGGGGGTGCTGTCTGGTGTAGCCCTGGCCCCCACCCCGACCCCTATACCACAGATGAGTATTTTGGGCAATTTCTGCCCAGAACAAAATCTTCCACATTTCTGACCGTGGATGAGGGGACTGGCGGAGTGCCTTCTGTGTGGGGAGGTGGGACTTGCTGGTCCCTCCTCCAGCCACCACCCGAGGCTCAGCCCGTGGGCAGGAGAGAAGGCACCCAGGGTCACAGAGAGAGAGGCCCCAACTTGCCGGCCCCCACCAGGAGGCTGAACCTGCTGGGTCCTGTGACTTCCACCCCCTCCCACTGCAGTGAGGCGTGGCCCCCGCTCTGCTGAGCTGGGAGGGGAGGGCTCCTGGGGGACACCAGGCCAGGCCATCTTGACACGTGACACCCAGGGCATCCCCCGGTCCCGCACAGCTGGGCCCCCCTCTCCCTAGTGCCCCTCACTGCCTGTCCCCACTGGGCCCCTCCAGAGCACCATCCCAGCCCCTTTCTTGGGTGTACAAGCCAGGGCTGGAGTGAGTTTCTGCAGCCCAGCAGGTGAGGAGCGAGGCCTGGGGGCATCTCCTCTGCATCCTCACGGGCCACCTGGGGGCTTGGGAAGGTGGGGACTCCGGCCCCACAGCAGGCCCGTGAGGAGCAGTCCCGGAAGAAGGCAGTGCCCAAGGGAGGGTGTGGGGAGGCTGGCCTTGGCCTGGGTCCCAGGTGGGAGCTGCAGGCAGAATCTCCCCTAACCCACACTAGTGCAGAGGGGTGGCGCCTGCAGGCCTTGGAAGCTGGGAGGGGGAGCTGCGCTACTCCCTAGGCAGCAGCTGTGGCTTGGTTGGGCATAGCGGCTCATACCTGTAAGCCCAGCACTTTTGGAGGGAGAGGCTAGAGGACTGCTTGAATCCAGGATTTCCAGACCAGCCAGGGCAACAGTGAGACCCGTCTCTACAAAAAAATAAATAGCTATGCGTGGTAGTGCATGTGTGTGGTCCCAGCTAGTTGGGAGGCTGAGGCGGGAGGATCAATTTAGCCCAGGACATCAAGGCTGCAGTGAGCTATGATTGCACCACTGCACTCCAGCCTGGGTGACAGAAAACAACAACATGGCCGGGCGTGGTGGCTCACGCCTGTAATCCCAGCACTTTGGGAGGCCGAGGTGGGCAAATCACCTGAGGTCAGGAGTTCGAGACCAGCCTGGCCAGTATGATGAAACCCCGTCTCTATTAAAAATACAAAACATTAGCTGGGCATGGTGGCACGCGCCTGTAATCCCAGCTACTCAGGAGGCTGAGGCAGGAGAATCGCCTGAACCCAGAAAGCAGAGGTTGCAGTGAGCCAAGATCGCGCCATTGCACTCCAGCCCCGGGGACAAGAGTGAAACTCCGTCTCAAACAAAAAAAAAGAAGACAGATGAATTGGTCATGTGGGGAGAGGAGGGAGGGGCGCGGGGCTCTGTGAATGGGGTGGGCAGGAAGGGAAAGGAAGGTCCCACCTTGAGGTGCTGCTGGAATAGAGGAGATGCTGTGTGGTGACCACCTCACACTGCCAGGCCCATCCCAGCCCACCCCTGCAAGTGAAAGGTCATTCAACGTGTTCTCCCTTTCAAGGACCATGAACTCATTAACACTAAGGGATAAACAACAGACGCCAGCACGTGTGTTGGAAAAGGGCACTGTGAGTACCCGAAAGTGGACTGCCCAGGGTGGAAGTTCAGGCACCAGACAGAAGGGCGTGGCATGCAGCGACTTCTTAGGGACGCAGGAACCAACACATGCTCCCTCCAACCCCCCACACCCACTGTCCTGGCTGGCTTGACTTCTGACTCTCCATGGATGTGCGAGCTCTAAGCAGAGACCTTCCACACACACAACCGGCAGACAAGGGTTTCTCTCCTCTGCCTCCCTCACCTTGCTCGTGGCTCCACTGGGATGAGGACAAAATGACTCCATCAAGATCGTGGCTTTGCAATTCCCCAGGAGATGAGAGATGACCCCGGGAAGCAGAGCAGAATTTCACCAGCAGGCTCCTCGGTGCCTAGTGCTGTGCCACTGACAAGTCCTTGGTCATCCTGGAAGGGGCCCCCAATTTCTGCCCTCCCTAAAAGGACTCGGTAGCCCCTCACCTCCAAAACAGCCGTGTTCTTTTAAGGCTCTGTTGAAATACATCCGTTGTCCAAATATGAGCAGTGCTCAAAAACCCAGAGAACTTTCCAAACGCAGGAATTAGAAGTAGCCTTGTGTCAAAAGAACTCCATTCCGGCCAACCTAGGAGGTCTCCCGTATTCGGGGAAGAAGACCGGAGTCAAAGGACTCATCTGTCCTGTGCCAGGGACTGCTGTGAAAGCCCCTCAGAGACCTCCAGGGCCACAGCAGCCCCACCCAGCCCCGCAGTCAGCCTCGGAGACAGCCTGGTTCCCTGTGGCTGACCGCAGGGTGTTCTCAGAGAACCCTGGCTGGACCGCTGCAAAGACCCTGGGGACACTCAGCAGCCCCTGGTGAGTCCCTCTCGACCGAGAGCATCTTGCAGAACAAGCCGTCTGTTTTCACGGCCGTTTCCAGGGGGAGCCCTGCCCACCGCCGTTCATCCTACCCCACTGGACAGGGCATTTACTTCTGAAGCTCCCCGTGGTGAAAAGACAGACCCCCTCCAGGGATTCCAGCCGATTCCCACGCAGGAGTTGGACTCGTGCATGGCTGTGGTGGCGTAGAGCAGGCTGGCAGGGGCAGGCCACGCCGTGTCCCCAGTGCCATGGTCAGTTTCAGCCAGTTATGGCCTTAAGGGAATTTGCACCAAATCTTCCAGTTTCCAAGATAAGTCGGAAGTGAGGCTTTTCCCATAAACTCTCCTGATTTTTTTTCTTGAGACGGAGTTTCGCTCGTTGCCCAGGCTGGAGTGTAGTGGTGCCATCTCGGTTCACCGCAACCTCTGCCTCCTGGGTTCAAGCGATTCTCCTGCCTCAGCCTCCTGAGTAGCTGGGATTACAGGCATGCACCACCACACCCAGCTAAGTTTTTGTATTTAGCAGAGATGGAGTTTCACCATGTTGGTAGGGCTGCTCTTGATCCCCTGACCTCAGGTGATCCACCCACCTCGGCCTCCCAAAGGGCTGGGATTACAGGTGTGAGCCACCGTGTCTGGCCTCCGGTTGGTTTTGCTTTCGATTTTCCAGGCTTAGAGAAGTCATGGGAGGCTCCAGGTTCTTTGTGTCACATTCAAGGTCTGGGGCATGTGGTGATTTCGTAGGCCCACCTCTGGCTCCCCTAGAGTTAGTCCTAGCCCACGTGCACAGCCCCCTTCTTTTTGTAAGATGCCCCTGCGACCAAGGGCTCCAAGCACACCTGGTAGGGCCTCTGCATCTGCCGGAAAACACCTGCACTGCCAGCCCCAGCCCCAGCCCTGCCCTCCCCAAGGCTCCCAGACTGCTCCCACTGGGAGTGGTTCCCACCTGGCCTGGGGCACTTATTAAAAATCAGATCTGGGGCTGGGTGAGGTGGTTCACGCCTGTAATCCCAGCACTTTTGGAGGCCAAGCCAAGAGGATCACTTGAGGCCAGGAGTTCAAGGGCAGCCTGGGCAACATAGCAAGACCTCATCTCTACAAGAAAATTTAAAAAAAATTAGCCAGGTGTGGTGGCGTGCACCTGTAGTCCCAGCTACTTGGGAGCCTGAGGTGGGAGGATCACCTGAGCCCAGGATTTCAAGGCTGTAGTGAGCTATGATTGCATCACTGCACTCTAGTCTGGGGAACAGAGCAAGACCCTATCTCTAAAACACAAATCAGATTCTTTGACCCTCCTCCAGAACAACTGCCTCAAGGGAGAGGCCGGGAACGTGGGTGTTCAGCAAGCACCCAGGGGACGCTTGTGCTCTGGAAGTCCGGGGATCGAGTCTGCAGGCTCCCACTCACGATGTGGGGGGCATGACTAGATGGCACGTAAAAATATATGTGAAAGGAGCTATTTTCATTTTTTTCTGTTTTTTTTTTTTTTTCTTTTGAGGTGGAGTCTTGCTTTGTCTCCAGGCTGGAGTGCAGTGGAGCGATCTCTGCTCACTGCAACGTCCACCTCCTGGGTTCAAGCGATTCTCCTGCCTCAGCCTCCCGAGTAGCTGGGACTACAGGCGCCCGCCACCACGCCTAGCTAATTTTTTGTATTTTAGTAGAGACGGCTGTTTCACCATGTTGGCCAGGATGGTCTCGATCTCTTGACCTCATGATCCCCCCGCTGCACCCTCCCAAAGTGCTAGGATTACAGGCGTGAGCCACCTGCCCAGCCTGTTTTATTTTCAATAACAGCCTTGAGGTATAATTGACACACCAGAACGTCCACATTTCTAAAGCATGCCATTGAGTGGCTTTTGGTACAGTCACAGATCAATCACCATCATCTACCCAGGGAGCTTCCACGATTGTACGTCAGGGCCTCGGCCTCGGCCTCGGCCCAGAGAGTCTGATGGCATGAGGCCAACGAACCTGTGGTTTGCCAGTTTTATTTTACCTGCTGTGCAGCCAGGTATGAGAGCCACAGAACTAGCACAGAGGCACTCCACTGGGACCATGGTGGCCTGTAGGAGACATGAGCACTGGCTGCAAACACTTCCGATTGTCCTAATAAGGGGGCTGCCCTTGGATTCAGTGGGGAGGGCTCAGGGATACTGCTCAGCACCACTGCAGGACAATAACACAGCCCTCAATGTCAACAGTGACCACGCTGAAAAAGCCAGCCCTGCAGGAACCTCAAGTCTCTCCCGTCCTTAATGTGACCACTTGAGACCCCCAGGCCCAGCCCACAGTGGCCCCCAGAAACAGAAATGAGGGTGGTGGGACAGTTTCCCCGGTATTAGTGACGATGTAGGGATGAAGTGTAGGGACAATTCCTAAACTTTGATGTCTATCTGGAACCAGGGGCTCCTGTTCAATCAGTTTCTGATTCGGGGAGTCTGGGCTGCAGCCTCACTCTAACAAGCTCCTGGCTGATGCTGGGGTCCGAACCATGCCTTGAATAGTGAGGGTGTGGTTCACTACAGGCCACCCCAGGGCTCATGGTGTTTAATAAATGGAACTCCCCGCGGGGCGCGGTGGCTCACTCCTGTAATCTCAGCACTTTGGGAGGCCAAGGCAGGTGGATCACTTGAGGTCAGCAGTTCAAGACCAGCCTGGCCAACATGGTGAAACCCCGTGTCTACTAAAAATACAAAAACTAGCCAGGCGTGGTGGAGGGTGCCTGCAGTCCCACCTACCAGGGAGGCTGAGCCAAGAGAATCACTTGAACCTGGGGGGCAGAGGTTGCAGTGAGCTGAGATGGCACCACTTCACTCCAGCCTGGGTGACTGAGTAAGACTCCGTCTCAAAAAACAAAAACAAAAACACAGCACTCACGAGCCTCACACTGTGCAGAGTCCTGGACAGCGCTGCCTCATGCATGGCGGGCACGTGCAGCTACCTCAGCATGTGAGGTGGGAGAGTCCAGGGGCACTCACCCCACTTTGCAGATTACCCCAAAACACTTCTCTCTGCAAAGCATTTTTCCCACCACTGGAAGGCGGCTATGGCAGTTTCCTGAGAATTTTTTTTCCATATCAAAGAATCGAGGAGCTGCAAAGTAAAGACTCAGGAGGCCAGATATGTCCCCCCGTCTCCTCCTGCCACGTTCTCTCCCTCCCCTGCTACCCAGGCACCCCAGGCGGATGCAGGGGGCTAGCTGGCTGGCCAGGATCACCCGTCCTGTGGGCTCCGAAAGGCTATTACAAAGGCAGATTCCTGGGAGGGCCCATTCCTGGGAAGCAAGTGCGGCTTGAGCGGAGGTCACAGCAGCCAGTCGCCAGTGCCAAGCAGCCAGTGAGCAGCTGTCCCAGGTGGGCTCTGTCAACACAGCCTCTGCAGGTTCCAACCAGGAGATGAAGCCAGGCACTGGTGTGGCAAGAGCACCGAGGCACGCTTCCTGAGAGGCACAGTCACATCCCTGGGAGCCAGGAAGGGTCAGTGGGGAGTGTCGGACGCCAGGGGAGCACGGGACTTTCAGAAAGAGAAGATGCTCTTCCACCCAGCCGGCAGGGCCTCCGCCAGGGGCTGGTGCTATCTTAGACAGAGTGGGTGTTGCCCTTGAGGAGCTGTGAGCTGAGTCCCGTGGGGGTGTTGCAGAGGCCCCAGTCTCCCTTCTGCCCCAAGTCCAAGCCCACTCTTGGGGAGCTGTGAGGCTGAGGGTGCATTCTCCCAAAGCTGCTCCAGCTCATCCCAGGCAGCCTCGGGTTGCCAGTCTCCTAAGTGACCCAACATCTGTGCCCCCTTTGCTGGCAGCACTCCGCCCCATCCTTGTCCCCTGCCTCGTCCTCTGCCCCTTGCAAGCTTCCCTGGCTCTGTCTGCCCTCTGCCCAGAGGCCCTGCCCTACCCAGTGTGTGCTGGAGGCCGGGCTCAGAGGGTCCAGCCTGTGCCCAGCCACTGGAGCCGAGACCGAGAAAAGTCCTGAGATGAAACCCAGGACAACAGAAGGCAGGTGTGAGCCCTGCGAACTCCTAACTGGGCGCCGGGATCTGTCCAGCCAAGCAGGGGCAGGGGTGGGCCGACAGGATGGGGACCCAGGCCAGGAACTAACTTCACAGGAAAAGCCCTGGGTGGGCAGGAAGATTCCAGAGCACGCTGTGGCTGACAAGGGCTACAGGCAGCAGTGTGGAGCCGGGGAGGCTCGGGGTGGCCCTGTCTTCTGGGCGGCGGCCCCCAGAACCAGCTGGCAGCAAGCCTCGTATACAAGGTAAGACCACAGAGCCTGGCAGTGGTTTGGAATTCGTTCTTCTCTTTTGTTAAAAGGGGGAAAGGAAGTGGATGCGGGTACCCCCAGGTGCAGGGGAGGCATGCAGGCAGCCCCAGCAGGCAGGCGCTGGGAGGCGGTGGGAAGAGTCCTGGAGTTTCCCACAATCCTTTTCTCTGCAAGGAACAGCAACGCTGGCTGACGAGGGGGTGGGGAGGAGGCAGGGCCCTGGGGAGGGGGCGGCGGGCAGGGGGCTGGGGGCTCACACTAACATGCAAAGTCCAGCTGCCCCAGGAACTAGGTTGCTTCTGAAGAGCGACACACGTAGAAATACACAGACACGGCCACGCGCACACATGCGGAGAGGCTCTGCATTCCCTAGGGTGGGGGTCGAGGCCTGCCGGCCCCCAAGGAGCTCCAAGCCAGGGATCAGCAATGTCTCTGCCAGGGTGGTCCTCCACGGCACCCCTGGGCTGGGCTGGGCAGGTGCGTCTTCGAAGGAAGGCTGCGTGGTCTCTGAAGTTCTGTCCGCCAGGCACCCAGGCCGCGCTGAACCACTCCATGTGCCGGGGCCGCTGGGGCCATGACCTTGCGTGTGGGCAGCTGCGTGTTCTGGCACCAGACGTGTCCCTGCCTGGCTAGAGTCCGCGCTCTCCCCTCCAGGGCTCCGGGGAACAAGGGGTGCAGACAGAAAAGGGGTGAAGGGGGCCCGCAGAGACGTCCTCTCCCCCGCCCCACGGGGTCCTGGCCTCCGGGAGGGGGGAGGGGCCTCCCTTATCTCTCTGCCTCCATGGCAGGGTGGGCCCTGGGTTCTGAGGTGGCCTGTTGGGGGGCCAGGGGTGGCCAGTCTGAAGCCGGAGAAGGGGGTGTTGGAGTCCACAGGGGCGGCTGTGGCTGGTGGTGCTGTGGGCCCCCCGGGGGCGAGGCCGCCGTGGGCCAGCTGGAGGCCGCAGAGCTGCTGGTGGCGGCATGGGGGAAGTGTGGCGGGGGTGACGTGGCTGTCGCGGCCATCGGGCTGCCGCTGCCACCGCTGTGGAAGCTCTCGGAGGCCTTGAGACGGGAGAACATGGTGAGAGCGTCAGGGAAGTTGGGGGGTGTAGCAGGGGTATTGGCGGGGGTGCACATCTGTGAGGGGAAGAGAGGAGAGATGGGGTGAGCACCCCTTCCTGGAGGGGCCCCCACTGCCTCCCAAGGGGAGATGCGTGGCTGGCCCATTCTCGGAAGGCTCTGTGTTCCTTCCCCAGATCCCCAAGCCTGTCCGCCGCCCAGGGGTTCCCAGAGGAGAAGCCTTGAGATGAACCGACCCAGCCTCACTCTCAGGAGCCCACGGTGCCTGGGGCCACGAGGCTTTCCCAGCCCACCCCTTTCCATCAGCCACAGCATCCCCGGGGGCTGTAGGGTAAGGAGCTTCATTGCCCCAGAGGCCAGCGCCCCCCAGGTCTCAGGGGGAGCTGGCACAGGCAAGATTAAGTGCAGGACCCACGGAGCCGGGACTCCTGCTGACCCATCTCCAAAGAGGTCGAGCCCCGCCTGCACCAGCGCCCTCGTACACCGGGGCCAGGGGCTGCTTATACACAGAACTAGCTCGGCCTCCTTCCGCCCAATCCAGAACTGGGGACTCCGGGGACACTTACCATCTGGTGGTGATGGTGGCTGTAGGGGATGTTGGTCTCCTGGAAAAAGGCGCTGAGGGCTGTCTGCAGGAAGAAAGGCCCCTGCTCACCCTCCAGGCCCCCGCCGGCCCTGCCGCTGCCCTTGTTCCCAGGCTCCTCTGAGGCTGGGGATGACCCTGGCTGGACTGCTGAGTGGGAGGGGTGAGTCGCGGTGCTGAGGCTCAGTGGCTTGCCTGTCACCCCCAACCCTCACTGCTGTCTAAGGAGGAGCCACGGAACCTTGGGCAGTTGGGGTGGGTGGAGAAGACCCTTCCCCTGCTGCTCGCCACCTGCCTCAGTGCCTAAGGCCTGCAGAGCCCTCCCCCTGCACCAGCTGGCACCAGCACCATGACTGGGGGAGGGCGGGCAGTACACCCCATCCTGGGGGAAAGGCGCCCGGCCCCAGGTAGCCCAACCAGACCTCCCCACCCTGCCCCGTTTCAGGAGATTCTAGCCTGGCTGTTACCACCTCAACGGGTAGCAAGTCTCTACTCTTCTCTAAGCCTCGGTCTCCTCATCTGCGAAGCAAAAGCATCCTGAAGGAGTCTGAGCCTGGTGGTGGGGATCCCCTGCTGCCCCACCCAGCTCTGCTTCTGGCTGATCAAGGGGGCCACTGTTTGGGCCTTGGTTTCTCCATCTGTACCACAAAGAGGTTCGACTAGGTGGCTCCTGGGTCCCCTCCCTTGCAACAGTGACCTCCTAAGATCACCAGATTCCAGCAAGCAGGGCCTGGCACCAAGGAGACAAGCCTGGGCTTTAGGCTCACTCGCTTCCCCACCTGAGCCTCCCTCGGAACAGTGCCCGGGAAGTGGAGCAGAAAGACGGCCCTAGGATCAAAGCCACCACGGGTTTACGACAGCTCCCAGCACAGCTCCCCAGCCACCCGCCCTTGGCTGGCACCACGCTAGGCACGGGATGCTCCACCGTCTCCCTCCACACCCGGGCCGCATGCCACACTGAGCACGGTGCGGGCACCCAGCAGGGCTCCATCCCAGCGGGGCCGTGGACTGTCATCATTAACCCCACAGGCAGGGACTGCTGTCTTACAGGCAGGGAAATGAAGGTAGGAAGTGACTTGCTCAGGGTCAGCTGGTCGGCAGAAGACAGAGATGGGGGCGCTCAGAAAGGCCAGGACAGGTGGGGGAGACAGAGCGAGCCTGGAGCCCTTTCCTGTGTGTGTCAGCTCAGCAGGCTCCAGAGGTCCTTGGTGACTGGGAACTGAGGAGCCCCAGAGGGAGGCGCTGGGATTTGCTATGTCCTGGCTGAGGCCCTGCAGGGGTGGGGAGGCCTGTCCCAGGAAACGGAGGCTGCTCTTGCGCAAGGGCCAGTGAGGGAGCCCCACAAGTATTTGAGGGGTTCTCGGGGCCCTGCCAAGTCCCAGGCCCAGACTTGGAGCTTCAAGCCGCCGAGGTGCCCCTACCGCCACCCCTCAGGCCCACTCCCCTAATGCCAGCTTGACTTCCTGGCCCTCCCAGGCCCAGCACACCCAGAAATCCAGCCTGGCTCCTGGGGCCTGCCCTCGATCAGGGGGTATGGGTGGGAGGCTATTTAGATTTTTTTTTTTTTTTTTTTTGAGACGGAGTCTCGCTCTGTCACCAGGCTGGAGTGCAGTGGCGTTATCTGGGCTCACTGCAACCTTTGCCTTCTAGTTCAAGTGATTCTCCTGCCTCAGCCTCCCGAGTAGCTGGGACTACAGGCACGTGCCACCACACCTGGCTAACTTTTGTATTTTTAGTAGAGATGGGGTTTCACCATGTTGGCCAGGATGGTCTTGATCTCTTGACCTCATGATCCGCCCACCTTGGCCTCCCAAAGTGCTGGGATTACAGGCATGAACCACCGTGCCCGGCAAAAAATATTTTTTAAATAAATGAATTATGTGGGGAATTTCCTGCAGGAGACACCCTATCTGGGTGTCCCTAAACAGGGGTGTGGGAGCTCAGGCATGGGGGCCGGGCTTTAAGCACCTTCCCAGACCCCAAGACCCTCTGTCAGCAGCAGCTGTGCCCCAAAGCCCAGGCTCACTGTGTAAATCCCAACCCCAGGAGCCCCAGGCCACACCAGACCCCCTCTGCAGGCCGCTGTGAGCATTCTCCATTGAGAAACATCTGCCCCACTAGACACCGGCCCCTCCCCCTGCAGCCTCCTGCCCCCATTAGCACCTGAATTGCAGCAAATGTGACCCAGAAACACCGCCTGGTGGATGCAGCCAGCGGGTGGAGCGTGGAGAGGGATGGGGTGGCCATGTGAACCCCTCACTCAGCCCCATTCCAAGGCCTGAAGTCCCGTCACCTTCCTCCAGCCTCCCTGGCGGCCCCCACTTTACAGATGGCACAACTGAGACTTGGGAGTGGAGGGCACAGGGCTCCTCCCATGGGGACCCTGGGAGCCACCAGAGGCCCCAGATGCTCCTGCCCCTCTGGGAACAGTCTTTCCCCAGACATTGCACTCCTCAAAGCTGCATTTTCAATTAACTGTGCCGCTGAGGGATGTGGCCTGGGTGCCAGCTGGGTGCCAGGTTTTGAGGGCTGGGCTGAGTCCTGCAGGCAGGGCCCGCTTCCCACCGGACACCTACCTGCCCAGCCCCAGGCAGCGAGGGAACCCTGCGTGCAGATGTGTAACTGCCATGAATGCGGTTTTGCAAGTTTTGCCACATCCAGCCCCTGACACAAACAGGGCTGATGAGGGCTGTGGAGACCAGGAGGGAAGCAGGGAGCTTCCTCCGGGTGGGGCTGCCTTGGGGCACAGGGGGCAGTAAGCTGGCCAACAGAAGCTGACTCATGCCCCCCAACCCCACCATACAGATGTGGAAACTAAGGCCAGAGGGACAGAGCAGCCTCCCACGTCCTGGGGTGAACACCACACAGGATCAGTGGCCTCCGCGACGGCTGGTAGGAGGGAAGTAGGCAAGGAGAGAGGGATGTACTCATCTGGATGGGATGGCCACTGCCTTCCCAGACTGTCCCAAGCTTGGGACATTCTGATCCCCCTGCAGTCCCCAGGAAGCGGAGCCTCAGAGTCCTCTGGCTTCTAGTCCCTCCTGCAGGCCCTGGGATGGCTCCTCATGGAGAAACCAGGTTCCCAGTCCCCGGCTGGGCACAGATGGTACCGGGATGGCTGAGGCCATGACCCTACCCCTGTGAGGGGCACAGCTCAAAGGGCTCTGGCCTCATCCCCTGATACCAACCACCATGGGGTTAATCCTGGGGTCGGTGAATTAGGGAAAGCCAGGTAGCCTCTGGGCAGCACAAGCCAGGAGCACTACTGTCCTATGGGTTAGGAGAGGCCCGGGGGAGTGGGTGCCAGACCGGGGCAGCATCACCTCCTACCCAGCTAGCCCGAAAGCTGGTGAACCGTGTGCACCCTCCCCATTGCACCGGTAAAGGGACAGATGCCCCTGCCAGCCCCAGGAGAGCACCTAGTCGCGCACACGGAGTCCCCAGGCACACCTCTGAAGGGGATACACGCTCATCCCTGTGGTGTAGTGTGGGGCTCCGACACGCCACCCCTACACTCCAGGCCGTGTACACACATCACACCGTGCCGGGCACGGGCGGCATCTGCACACCCGCCACATGTGTACGCGTTGATCACACACCAAACGCACCAGGGGGCTGCGCGTTCACACGCGCGCCAACGTGCCCGCAGGTCCGCCACCTCCCCGGTGCCCGGCCGACGCCGTGGCGCGGTGCGTGCGTAAACACAAATGCACATGGACGTGTGCGCACGCCGCCGACCGCCCACCAGGCACGCGGACCCTCGGACCACTCGCCCGGAGCGGCTCCGCCCTCCGGCCCAGCTCTGCCGAGGCCTGGGGCGTCCTCCTTCCGGCCGCCCGCCCGACTGTCCGTCTGCACCGCGGGGCCGCCCGGCCCTCGGCCGTTACCCGGACAAAAGGGGTGGGGGGGGTCCCCGTCTCGATCCCGGGGGACTCGCGGCCCCGCGGGGGCGGCGTATCCCCGACCGGTGGCCCGGTTCCCACCTCCGCCCGCCGCGAGCCCTTGGGATCCGGACGCCGGGCACCGCCGTCGGGAAAGCGGGTCGGGTCTGCGGCCCGGAGGGGGCGCACAGCCGGCACGCGTCCACGCCGTCCGCCCCCGCCCGGCGGCCACGCGGGACACACTCCGCCCGTGGCCCCGGCCCTCGCCCGGCTCCGGCGCCGCGCACCTCGAACTGCCAGTGGGCCGCCTGCAGCAGTTGCTTCGCCTGGTCGGCCGCGCAGCCCGCCGTCAGCACGAACTGGTTGATCATGACCTGGTGCTTGAGCTCGTCCATGTTCACGGACATGGCGCCGCCGCGCTGCCCGCTCCGGCCTCCCTCCTCCGCCCGCGCCTCCGCCTCACGCGTCCACCATTAGCGAGCCGGCTCCGGCTAATACAAATATTTACTGTGCGGCTCTGACTCACCGCGCCTCGCCTCGCTCCGCCGGCGCCGCGGCATGCTGGGATATGTAGTCCCCACGGTGCGCCGGGCGCCCCGGGGGAGCGGGGCCGGCACCCTAGGGGACGCGAAGCCCGGGAAGGGGCGTGTCTGAGCACCGAGCGCCCGCTGTGCGGATGTCCGGGCCGTAACCCGAGCCGGGCGCGTCCACGTCGTCCTCGTTGCTCTCGGTGGCACCCGTGCCCCTGCTCTGGCACGGATGGGGGTCCGCTGGCGGGGGCCACGTCTGTGCATGGGCGCAAATGCCTGACCACAGGATCTTGGCCAAGGCCTGGGGACCGTGTCTGAACTGTGAGCGCCTACTGTGTGTGGATGCCCGGGCCGTGACCAGGGTTGGGGGAGTCCACGTCGCCCTCGTTGCTCTGGGTGGCACCCGGCCCCTGCTCTGGCACGGATGGAGGTCCGCAGGCGGGGGCCTCAGGTTCGTGCATAGGCGTTTTTGCCAAGGCCCAGGAACGGTGTCTGAAAACTGAGTGCCTAATGTGTGCAGGCGCCTGAGCTGGGACCAGAGCCAGTCACGTCCACGTCGCCCTCGTTGCTCTCGGTGGCACCCACGCCCCTGCTCTGGCGGGAATTAGGAGCCCAGAGGCCGGGGCCACAGATCTGTGCATGGGCGCAAACGCCAGGCCACAGACGTCTTTGCCATGCCCCGGGGACTGTGACTGAACGCTAAGTGCCTACTGTGCGCAGCTGTCCAGACCGTGACCAGAGCCAGGCACGTCCATGTCGCCCTCATTGCTCTCGGTGGCACCCGTGCCCCTGCTCTGGCACGAATTGGGGTCCCAAGGTGGGGCATACAGATCTGTGCATGGGCGCAAACGCCGGGCCACAGGCGTCTTTGCTAAGACCTAGGGACCCTGAACCCCTCTGTGATTGGCATCGCTCTGTGTTAAATAGTAGGCACGCCCTTAAGAGAGGGGTCTCTAGGAATTTTGGCCCAAATCGGCTGGTCTAGGCTGAAAGGCCCGGCACACTGTAGGCGCCGACAAATACTCGTTCAGTGAATGAATGAATGAGCCACTTAAAAGCTCCGCCGCACGTCACCGCCTATAGCTAGCCTCCTAGCTCTCCTCACTCAATCTCTCATCGCCCACTCGTGGCATGGGTCCTTCCTAGCCTGGCTCTGGGCCTGCCCCACTGTAGCCCCATGACCCTCTGGACGGCGCCTGGGACAGGCTGGCGGGGCCAGCAGCCTCTGGTGCTTCGGGGTCCCCCTCCCAGCAGTTCTCCCGCTTTCCCACGCAAAATCTCGTGCTCTTTGCCGGAAATCTCGGCCCTTAGCGGGCGGGCGCCAAGGCCCGGCAGAGCCAGTTCCGGAGCGGCCCCAAACTCCCTTTCCCAGAATGCCTCGGTTTATTTGCATCGTTTGGTCCCGGTGACGTCAGCTGAGTGAGGTCGTGCCTCGACCAATGGACAGCCTCGGGGTGTTAGGACCTGGCCATATAAGGTAAACAAAGCTGGTCGCCCAATGAAGAGGCGGCGGGGGCGGGCGCTGGGCCGGGGAGGCCGGGGGCGGAGCCGGGGGCGGGGCGACCGGGCGGTGTTTACAGACCGGCACATGGCGCTTCCGGTTGACGTTGCTGACAGCTAGTGAGGCTTTAGCCCGCTTCGAGCGCCCGGGGGCGGTAAGGCGCGATCATAGCAGCTCTAGGTGACCTTGGTCCGGCTCCTTGCGCCCCCTGGCCCCAGCCTCCTTCGTTGAGACACTATTTGTTGAGTCTTTCCTCTTTTCCTGGCCCTGACCTAGCGTGGGGCGACAGAAGAGCAATAGCCGGGTGGGGGCTGTGAGAACGGCTGGGGTTGGGAGCGAATTTCGGAAACCCGGAGGACGAGTATAGCCTTGCAAGATGGAAAATGCCCTCCCGGGCTGGCGCGGTGGCCTGTAATCCCACCTACTCGGGGTCCGAGGAGGGAGGATTGCCTAGGCCCAGGACTTTGAGAACACGCCTCTACAGAGATTTACATTTTAAGAAAATTAGCTGAGTTCGGGTCGGGCGCAGTGGCTCACGCCTGTAATCCCAGCACTTTGGGAGGCCGAGGCTGGCGGATCACCTGAGGTCAGGAATTCGAGACCAGCCTGACCAAAACGGCGAAACCCGTTCTCTACTAAAAATACAAACACTAGCCGGGCGTGGTGGCAGTCGCCTGTAATCCCAGCTACTCCAGAAGCTGAGGCAGGAGAATCGCTTGAACCCAGGAGGCGGAGGTTGCAGTGAGCCGCGATCGCGCCACTGCCCTGCAGCCTGGGCCACAGAGCAAGACTCTGTCTCAAAAAAAAAAACCAAAAAACAAAGCAACAACAAAAAAACAGAGAATTAGCTGGGTTCCATGGCTCACACCTGTAAGTAATCTCAACACTTTAGGAGGCCGAGATGGGCGCGGATCACTAGAGTCCAGGAGTTTGCGACCAGTCTGGGCAACATAGTGAGACCCTCGTCTCTACAAAAAATAAAAAATAAAAAAAATTGGCCGGGCGCCGTGGCTCACGCTTGTAATCCTAGCGCTTTGGGAGGCCGAGGCGGGCAGATCCCTTGAGGTTAGGAGTTCCAGACCAGCCTGGTCAAACCGTCTCTACTAAAAATACAAAAATTAGCCGGACATGGTGGCACACGCCTGTAGTGCCAGCTACTGGGGAAGCTGAGGCAGGAGAATTGCTTGAACTCAGGAGGCGGAGGCTGCAGTGAGCTGAGATCGCGCCATTGCATTCCAGCCTAGACGACAGAGCAAGACTGTCTCAAGAAAAAAAAAAAAATTCTGGAGTCCCAGCTACAGATTGAGGTAGGAGGATTGCTTGAGCCTGGGAAGTCAGAGGCTGCAGTGAGCCGTGATTGTGCCTGGGGAACAGCGCAAGATCCTGTCTCCAAAAAATAAAAAATGCCCTAGGGAGGCCGGCACTGGCCCTGGGGGTGAGTTAGGGGATACTGAAATGTGTAAACAGATCTGATCCCTTGGACACGTTGGGATCACTGTGGCTGTGGCTGTGCTGGGATCAGATGGTGGTGGAGAGCTCCGGTCTGAACTAGGCGACGTTCTTGATGTGTCTGGTTCCAGGGGAGTCTGCCCTGCCTTCGGAATTGGATGGAATGGAGGGAATTGCCTCAAGCTGCGGCTCCTACCCGGGCCCCTCAAGCCTGACCAAGGACTCTCCCATTGGGTGGTGGGAGGAGGACAGTAGGGGAACTAGTGGACTGGACCTGAAATGTCCTGGGGTGGGAGGGTAGGGTGGTGGGGAAGGCTTGGGGCACTGAGATAGCGGAGAGGGCTGGGGAGGGAAGGGAGTCAGGGTGCAGTGGAGTTGGTCTCTGAGGGCTGGGGCTGGGAGCCTGGCCTATAGGCAAGGGGCGGACACTGAGTCTTGGCTTTTCCCAGGCAGGCACTTAGCCTCGGCAGAAGCCATCTGACCACGGGAAATACAGTTTAAAATTCTTTCCTGCTGTTTGCGGATCACTTAGGGGCCACAGTATTTTGTAAACCCTGATGGTTCCAAGAGATGTTTGCTCTTGCTAAGAGTTGCTCCTTAACCTTTGCAAAGCTCATATGCATGAATTAATATGGGCAAAGTGCTCCACAGGGTAGGCCCACAGTAAAAACCAGCTCTGAATATGATTCCCGCTATAATAATTACCACTAGGACGACAACACAGTGTGGTAGAAGGTGGGCAGGTTCGGGAGCTAGACAGACCTGGGTGTCAGGCTTGACTCCGCTGCTTAATGACTTAATGCTTAATGTTGAGCGAGTTACCAGAGCTCTGGGCTTCACTTTCTCACTGGCGGGGCTGAGTTCTGGCCTCACTGCTGTGGAAGATTAATGCCTGTAAAATGCAGAGTGCAGGGCCTGGTGCTATTTGCACGGTTCTAGTGCTCTCACCTGTTTGCCTCCATCTGGACCACTCTGGGAAGCCCTAGCCCTATTTTACAGATAAAACTGAGGCTGGAATCCAGCCTTACCCTCTGACATTCAGAACCTGTGGAGAAGAGCGGGCACCCATGGTGCATTTCTGGCAAGGGAGGAGGGACACTGTCCCGGCAGGGCCCACTAAGGGCTTGCCTTGCATAGGGAGGCAGGAAGTGCCTTCACCCCTCCTTCCACCATCGTCCAGGTACCACTCAGCTGCCTGCCCAGGCTTGCCCAGCTCAGGAGGATCTCTCTCAGGCCAGCAGGCTGGCAAGAGTTGGGCAGGTGGGGCTGGCAGAGTCAAAGGTCACCCTACTGGTCTCCATGCAACCCCCTCACCCCCATCCCCTAAGCCAGCTTGTTTTTCCACGGGCAACAGGGAATTAAAAAACAACCTTGTTTTTAGCCAGGATTAGCCTGGTTGGAGAATGAACTTTGGATTCCTTAGCAGGCTGGGATGGAACCTGACAGCTGGGGCCAGCACCTAGTGGGAGGGAGAGGAGAAGGCATTTCCAGCAGTGCCCTTATGTCACCTGAGGGCCCAAGAGGTTCAAGGCTTTGCCAGACTTCACATGGCCAGTCCATGGGGGGCCCAGGGCCCTGGCCGCCTCCTCCTCACCCCATTCTTTGATTTATTCCACAGATGTGCTTATCAGACACCCACCGGGTGCCTGGCTCTGGGAGCACCAGAATACGCCAGGATCCTGCCCACTCAGGGGGTTGAGAAGTCTAGACTTGAGACTCAGGCACTCAGACCAGGAAGCCACCAGTCGTCTCCAGCGTCTGTCTTTATGTTTCTTTTTTTTTTTTTTTCATTTTATTTTATTTTTGAGACAGGGTCTCACTCTGTCACCCAGGCTGCAGTGCAGTGGCACAATCATGGCTCGCTACAGTCTCGACCTCCCAGCCTCAAAGGATCCTTCCACCTCAGCCTCCCAAGTAGCTGGGACTACACATGTGCACCACCACGCCTGGTTAATGTTTATATTTTCTGTAGAGACAGGGCTTTGCCATGGTGCCCAGGCTGGCCTCGAACTCCTAGGCTCAAGCGATCCACCTGCCTTGGCCTCCCAAAATGCTGAGATTACAGGCGTGAGACACCGCACCTGGCCCTGTCTTTACGTTTCAGAGAGCCCAATGCTGGCTGAATGTGAGGCAAGATCTGGCCCTTGCCTTGCCATCTCCCTCACTTGATTCTAGTCCTGTGCCGTACTCAGTTCTTTCCCACTATAGAGGTTTTGTATATGCCATTACCCCTACCTAGAACCTGGAGCAGCCTAATCCCTCACACTTTGCCTGGCTGGCTATTAATTGTATTTCAAGTCCTGGTTTAGCAACCGGCCGCGGTGGCTCACGCCTATAATCCCAGCACTTTGGGAGGCCGAGGTGGGTAGATTACCTGAGGTCAGGAGTTCAAGACCAGCCTGGCCAACATGGTGAAACCCCATCTCTACTAAAAATACAAAAATTCGCTGGGTGTGCTGGCACGCGCCTGTAGTCCCAGCTACTCGGGAGGCTGAGGCAGGAGAATTGCTTGAACCCAGGGGGCGGAGGTTGCAGTGAGCTGAGATCGCTCCACTGCACTCCACCTCGGGCAACAGAGTGAGGCTGCGTCTCAAACAACAGCAACAACAACAGCAACAAAAAATAAATCAAGTCCTGGCTTAGCTGTCACCTCCTCAAAAAAACCCCTTCCCTGACTCCCCTGCCAATAGTGTCAATTAATTGCATCTCAACGTTTTCTGCAGAGCACCCACCACATTCTGGAATTATATACTTGTTAACCTTTCTAGCGTCTATTTCCTCACCTGCCTGCAGCCTCCATGTCTAGCTTGTCCTACCATTTGATGCCTGTTGCCTGGTTCATCACCTGTCACATAGTAGCTGCAGGATAAATATTTGTTGAATAAATCAATGAATTGGCCAGGCATGACGGCACACGCCTGTAATCCCAGCACTTTGGGAGGCCAAGGTGGGGGGATTGCCTGAGGTCAGGAGTTAAAGACCAGCCTGGCCAACGTGGTGAAACCCTGTCTCTACTGAAAATACAAAAATTAGTTGTGGGTGCCTGTAATCCCAGCTACTCGGGAGGCTGAGGAAGGAGAACCGCTTGAACCTGGGAGGCGGAAGTTAAAGCGAGCCGAGATCCCACATGATCATGCCACTGCACTCCAGGCTGGGTGACAGAGTGAGACTGTGTCTCCAAACGTAAATAAATAAATGAATCCAGGCCGGGCACGGTGGCTCACGCCTGTAATCCCAGCACTTTGGGAGGCCGAGGCGGACAGATCACCTGAGGTCAGGAGTTCGAGACCAGCCTGACCAACATGGAGAAACCCCGTCTCTACTAAAAATACAAAATTAGCCGGGCGTGGTAGCACATGCCTGTAATCCCAGCTACTACGGAGGCTGAGGCAGGAGAATCGCTTGAACCCGGGAGGCGGAGGTTGCAGTGAGCCGAGATTGCACCATTGTCCTCCAGCCTGGGCGACAGAGCGAAACTCCATCTCAAAAAAAATAAAATAAATAAATAAATAAATAAAAATAAATGAATCCACTCAGATGTTGATAATGGAACTTGGACCAAATCGGGAAGGGCCTGTCTTCCATCTGGGTGTGGGTAAGCACAGAAAAATACTGCTGAAAGGGCTTTGAGGACACCTTGAGTCCAAAGCTCTGTTGAGAAGAAGAGTTAATGAAACATCCACCTGGTGGAAATGACTGCTCTGGCACAGGCTCCATAGGGAGGATATGCTCTTAGTGTTGTTTTTCAGTGGGAACAGCTGATGCTCAGGACTCTCCCTTCCTCCCCGCAAATGAGGAGGGCAGTCAGTTGAATGCAGCGTTGATACACAAATACATGTACATGTACGTGAGTTACGTGATTCAATGGAAAGAAATATAAAATGAAGAGAGATCACAATGGGTGGGGGGCTTCAGGCCCATCCATCTGGGGGCAAGAGCCTGGCAATCTGGCACTCTGGAGCATGCCTCTGTGGAGGCAGGGACGTGCCCAGGTAAGAGCAGTGGCCTGGCTCAATTCCAGCTGTGCCACCCACCTACTGTGCAACCTCATTAGGGTACTTCATTTTTCTGAGCCTCACTTTACTGTTTTGTAAATTGGTAATAGAAATAGAATCTACATCAGATTGTTTTTCTGTGACAGAGTCTTGCTCTGTCGCCTAGGCTGGAGTGCAGTGGCGCGATCTCCGCTCACTGCAACCTCCGCCTCCCAGGTTCGAGCAATTCTCCCATCTCAGCCTCCCGAGTAGCTGGGATTACAGGCACGTGCCACCACACCCAGCTAATTTTTGTTTTTAGTAGAGACGGGTTTTTGCCATGTTGGCCAGGCTAGTCTCCAACTCCTGACCTTGAATGATCCGCCCACCTCGGCCTCCCAAAGTGCTGGGATTCCAGGTGTGAACCATTGCACCCGGCCAGATAATTGTTTTTTAATTATTATTATTTTTGGAAACAGAGTCTCGCTCTGTCACCCACACTGGAGTGCAGTGGGGCAATCTTGGCTCACTGTAACCTCCACCTCCCAGGTTCAAGCGATTCTCCTGCCTCAGCTTCCCGAGTAGCTGGGATTACAGGCACATGCCACCACACCCAGCTAATTTTTATGTTTTTAGTAGAGATGGGGGTTTTGCCATGTTGGCCAGGCTGGTCTTGAACTGACCTTGGGTGATCCGCCCACCTCGGCCTCACAAAGTCCTGGGATTCCAGGCGTGAACCATTGTGCCTGGCCAGATAATTGTTTTTTAATTATTATTATTTTTGGAAACAGAGTCTCGCTCTCTCACTCCCACTGGAGTGCAGTGGCGCAATCTGGGCTCACTGTAACCTCCACCTCCCAGGTTCAAGCGATTCTCCTGCCTCAGCCTCCCCAGTAGCTGGGATTACAGGCGCGCACCACCACGCTCAACTAATTTTTTGTATTTTTGGTAGAGACAGGGTTTCACCATATTGGCAAGGCTAGTCTTAAACCCTTGACCTCAAGTGATATGCCTGCCTCGGCCTCCCAAAGTGCTGGGATTACAGGCGTGAGCCACAGTGCCTGGCCTGTTTTTTTAATATTTTATTTTTTAAAATTTTTATCCTTTTTAGAGATAGGGTCTCACTCTATCACCCAGGCTGGAGTGCAGTGGCATGATCATGGCTCACTGCAACCTCGACCTCCCAGGCTCAAGCTATGCTCCTGCCTCCACCTCCAGAGTAGCTGTGACTACAGGGGCGTGCCATCACACCTGGCTAATTTTTACATTTTTGGTAGAGACAGGGTCATGACATGTTGCCCAGTCTGTTCTGGAACTCCTGGGTGCAGGCTATCTGCCTGCCTCGGCCTCCCAAAGTGTTAGGATTACAGGTGTGAGCCACTGCGCCCGGCCAACATCAAAGAATTATATGAGAGGATATGTGCAGAGCCCTCAGCATGATGCCTGGCACATAATGCTCAGTAAGTGTGGATCTTGGTTGTGGGGCAGGGAGATTTAATCAGGCTCCTCCAAGACCTGGACCTGCATCATAATCACACAAGTCTCTTGGCTGCCGTACTCATTTGGCTTCCCAAGTTCCCCTGACAAGAGGAAGTCTGAGGCCAGGTGCAGTGGCTCATCTCTAATCCCAACACTTTGGGAGGCCAAGGCAGGCGGATCACTTGAGGACGGGAGTTCAAGACCAGCCTGGCTAACATGGTGAAACCCTGTCTCTACTAAAAATGCAAAAATTGGCTGGGTGTGATGGTGCATGCCTGTAATCCCAGCTACTGGGGAGGCTGAGGCACGAGAATCGCTTGAACACGGGAGGCAAAGGCTGTAGTGAGCTGAGATTGTGCCACTTCTCTCCAGACTGCGCGACAGAACAATTTAAAAAAAAAGAGGAAGACTGGATCCTGGACTGTGGTCTCTGGAAGGGTATAAGAAGCATTTCCACATGGACTGTGGTGAATTGACCATTGGAGACTCAGTCTGCCTTGCCCTCCCTAGCTGCTTTCTTGGTACAGCAGGCTTGACTTGGGAAATCACTCTGCTCAGAATCCAAGTTCCTCAACTGAAAAGTAGGTAAAAAGCGATCTATTTGCAGAGCTGTGTGTGACTCAAAAGCCAGGGAACACCTTGCACACTGCGAGGTTTTCATTCTGAAAGCGATTCTTGCAATCTTGCCCGCAGCGCCATTTCATGCGGCTCTCTCTCCTCTGTGCCTCAGTTTCCCTGTGTGTAAAATGTGGGAGAGTCTACTGCCTTCCGTGGAGGCTGTGAAATTATGTCTTTAAACTAATTGGTCCAGACGTGGGGCCAAAGTATCGGGATTACAGGTGAGCCACTGCACCGGGCCTCAGCCTTGTCAGGGGGCCGGAGGTTGCTTAACCCCCTGGATCCCAGCTTCCTCATCTGTAAAACGGGCTGATGCCTATACAGCTCTCAGAACCACACCTGGTTCAGAAGTCCCCAAATGGTAGTCCTCAAATTCTGGCCAAGGCCAAAGCAGGTGCTTCACTTCTTCCGTGCACACCCTGCAAGTGGGCTCCGGGTGGCAGGTGCAGCTACGCCCTCTGCCGGTCGGGGCGGGAGACAAACTCAGGGGAGTGGGGAGAACCACAGCGACTCAGGGAGCTATTTCAGAGGGGGCAAGTGGAAGGCGCTGGGGCTCCAGGAGAGTCTGTAAGCGAACAGATGAGGAAATGACCAAAGAGTTAATATGTTAGTGCAGCGCTTGGAACGCAGAGGGAAGGACCATTTGCCCTGTGGTTGGTTGGTTCCTTCCCTCTGAATTTAGGTCCATTTGGTTTGTCCCGGAGTGCTTGTCAACCCGTCAGAGGGCCTGGGAACGGAGCATCCTGGGAAAGATAGTTCCCAGACGGGCTTCCCGCGCTGCTTCCCGGCGCCTTCGGCGGCGAGAGGACTCCATTTCCCGACGTGCCCCGGGACCGGGAGGCGGAGGGCCGCCGTGGCGTCGGTCCCCGGGCCGAGCCGGGGGTGGGGGCTCGAGGCGCCTCCGCGGCCGTGGACGAGCGTCCGTGCGGCCTGGTCCGGGCCATGTCCGCGTGAGGACCCCGCCGCTGTCGCCGCTCCCGTTCCGGCCCTGGCCCCTCTGCCCGGCAGCGCCGCGCACCATGGGCTCCATTCTCAGCCGCCGCATCGCGGGGGTGGAGGACATCGACATCCAGGCGAACTCGGCCTATCGCTACCCTCCGAAGTCCGGTGAGCGCCCGGCCCCAGGCGCGGACTGCTAGGCACGCGCTGGAACGCGGACCCGGCGGGCGCGGGGGCGGGGACTCGGGGCGGGGCGCCCTGCTCGGCCCCCTCCGGGCCTCGTTGCTACCCCGAGCCTTCGCGCGGCCCCACGGCCCCGATCCCTAGGCGTGGCTGGGGGCCCCGGAGGAACCTGCCCGAGCCGTACCTGGCGCTGCTACTGCCCGGCTTGGGTGACCTTGGGGCAGTCCCTTCGCCCCGGGCACCTCAGCTCCGTCCTTGCAACAGGGGGGAGCTCCTGGGGGAAACCCCGAGGGCGGGGCGGGGTGCTGAGCGCGGGTCCCGGCGCATCGCTTCTGCCTAGAAAACTCTCATTGTCATCAGATTGACCTCACCGCGGGGGCCGGCTTTCGCTTTCTTTAGTGGCTTGGTGTGAAGGCCGAGCCAGTGGTTTGGGCAATTTCCCTCCCATCAGGACGGAGGCTCTTGGTGTGTGGGTTGGAGGAGTGGGGCTGGGCCCAAGGAGACGATTATAGTTGATCGGGAGGGGCCAGGGTCCTTGCTGAGAGGACCCAGCCGATACTCGGGCCTCTGTGTTATGGCTGAGGGACGTAAGACACCAAGGAGGAAGTGACTGCCAAGATCTCAGCTGGATGGAAGCATAGTTGGGACCGGGACCAGCTGTGGGGCTCCCACGTAGCTTTGTTCCCAGCTCTCTTTCTGCCTCTATTGATGAGTTATGTGTTGACTGGGAGCATCTAGCTCCAAGTCTCACCCTCCATCTCCTCGTGGGGTTCTTTGTGGTGGAAAGGAGAGAAGGAAGAGGAGAGAGAACTTGGGCATCATGGGGACATCTAGATTGGGTCCTCAGATCCTGGCGTCTCATCTGATCTGATGTCTCAGTCTCCTGGGTGTCTCCGGACACCCACAGGCCAGATTTCTCTGAGTGTGGGCCAGGTCCACAAGTGGGGGAGGACTGCTAGACATGCCAGGGCCTGCCTGGGACCCCTTGGGGCCTGGGAACCTGCATTTTCAACCCATTCCCCATGTGAGTTTTACGTCCACTCAGGTTTGAAAAACTGCTCTGCCCAGGTTTTGTAAGGTGTGACTAGGTGAGGGCCTGGGGCCACTGGGATGAAGTGAGGGGAACCAGCACAGTTTGGGGGCACTCTGAAGGGGATGGACTCAGAGCTAGGCAGAACGCACTGTTGCCTGCCTGCTGGGGAGAGCACAGCTGTATCCCAGGCCCAGCAGCGGGTCAGCCTGGCCTTTGGGTGGTTCCACCCTGGGGTTTCCCTAGAGGTTCCGAGGGCTGATGGCCCTACATCAGATGGAGCAGTTTGCTGTTGTCCTCTTTCATCTCTGATATTCTTCCAGCCTGCCTCTGGCTGAGTGACCTTGGTCGAGGTTGCTTAACCCCCTGGGTCCCAGTTTCCTCATCTGTAAAACGGGCTGATGCTTATACAGCCCTCAGAACCACACCTGGCTCAGAAGTCCCCAAATGGTAGCTGCTACAATTGCTCATAAAGGAAGATAAGTGACTAGCTAATGACCATAATCATAGTAAGCAGTGGCATGACACAGATATCAAAAAGTTGAGTGGCACTTCCTGTCACCTGGGACCTGAGCTCACTTGATGTCCGTTCTTCACTTGGGCTGAACAGAATAACATACATGTCATTTACAGCCCGCTTCGGGATCCCACTGTGGCTGAAATGTCATTGCTAATCACTCGTGGCCCTCCCTCCCACTGAGCATCCATCGCAGAACACTCGCGTCAGCCACTATTGGTTGGCACTGGCACCCAGGTGCAACCCATCAGCTAGCTGCCTGGGTCATGTTGCCAGTGCCAGCAGTGTTCTGCGCCCATCCAGTCCACAGGTCCTCTCCAGCTGTGCTTTTTCCCTTTCTCTTCTCCATCCTTCCCTGGGGCCTTGCAGATACTTGTTCTTCTCTTTGTTCATCTCTTCTGGTCCTTGCCTTTGTGCCGCACTGGTTTCCTAGACTCCCCGCCTCTCCTGTCTCCTTAATGAGAACTCCGTCAGGTCAAGGGTGGGAGGCAGGCCGGGCCTCAGCAGCATTTTGGTGTGTTTCCCCAAGGGCAGACCGGGGACCGTGGAGACATTTGAGATGATTTTAGGGGTTGCCCCCATGGACCATTCAATCACCCGATGAGAAAGCTTTCTTTTCACATCTCTGTCAATTTTGTTGATTATGTCAAGGAGAAAGAGTCACTGGGTGGTAATATATGCATTTTTAACACCTAACACTGTCCATTTTTCTTAAGGGAACTTTCAGCATGTTCTGCAGCAGCGCTCAGCTTGAATTTAATATTTGCTTTGTTTTCACTATATCTGTTTTACTCTTCATAGCTTTATTGAGATGTAGTTCATGTACCACACAACTCATCCATTGTAAACATGATTTGATGATTTTTAGTTAAATTATAGAATTGTGCAGTCGTCTGGCCAGGCGCGGTGGCTCACGCCTATAATCCCATCACTTTGGGAGGCCAAGGCGGGCGGATCACAAGGTCAGGAGATGGAGACCATCCTGGCTAACACGGGGAAACCCCGTCTCTACTAAAAATACAAAAAAATTTAGCCGGGCGTGATGGCAGGCGTCTATAGTCCCAGCTACGCGGGAGGCTGAGGCAGGCTGAATTGCTTGAAGCTGAGAGGTGGAGGCTGCAGTGAGCCGAGATTGCGCCACTGCACTCCAGCCTGGGTGACAGAGCGAGACTCCGTCTCAAAAAAAAAGGCTGGGCGCGGTGGTTCACGCCTGTAATCCCAGCACTTTGGGAGGCTGAGGCAGGTGGATCACAAGGTCAGGAGATCAAGACCATCCTGGCTAACACCGTGAAACCCCATCTCTACCAAAAATACAAAAAATTAGCTGGGTGTGGTGGCGGGCACCTGTAGTCCCAGCTACTCAGGAAGCTGAGGCAGGAGAATGGTGTGAACCCAGGAGGCGGAGGTTGCAGTGAGCCGAGACTGCGCCACTGCACTCCAGCCTAGGTGTCAGAGTGAGACTCCGTCTCAAAAAAAAAAAAAAAAAAGAATTGTGGGTGGGTGCGGTGGCTCACGCCTGTAATCCCAGCACTTTGGGAGGCCGAGGCAGGCGGATCACGAGGTCAGGAGATCGAGACCATCCTGGCTAACACGGTGAAACCCCATGTCTACTAAAAATACAAAAAATTAGCCAGGTGTGGTGGCAGGCGCTTGTAGTCCCAGCCACTCGGGAGGCTGAGGCAGGAGAATGGCATGAACCCGGGAGGTGAAGCTTGCAGTGAGCCGAGATCACGCCATTGCACTCCAGCTGGGCGATAGAGTGTGACTCTGTCTCCAAAAAAAAAAAAAAAAAAGGAGGGGACATTGAAGCAACAACAACAAAAAAAAGAATTGTGCAGTCATCACCACAATTGCAGACATTTCCCTTGTAAAAGTTTCCTTCCATCTGTTTGCAGAGTCCCTACCCCAACCCCCACCCTCAGCCCATCAGCGATCTGCTTTCTTTTTTCTTTGAGATGGAGTGTTGCTCTGTCGCCCAGGTTGCAATGCAGTGGCATGATCTCGGCTCAGTGCAACGTCCGCCTCCTGGGTTCAAGCAATTCTCCTGTTTCAGCCTCCTGAGTAGCTTGGATTACAGGTGCGCACCACCACGCCCGGCTAATTTTTAAATTTTTGGTACAGATGAGGTTTCACCATATTGGCCAGTCTGGTCTCGAGCTCCTGACCTCAGGTGATCTGCCTGCCTTGGCCTCCCAAAGTGCTAGGATTACAGGTGTGAGCCACTATGCCCAGCCTTTTCTGTTTTTTTTTGAGACAGTCTCGCTCTGTTGCCCTGGAGTGCAGTGGTGCAATCTTGGCTTACTGCAACCTCTGCCTCCTGGTTTCAAGTGATTCTCCTGCCTCAGCCTCCCAAGTAGCTGGGATTATAGGCACTGGCCACTATGCCAGGCTAATTTTTGTATTTTTAGTAGACACGGGGTTTCACTATGTTGGGAAGGCTGGTTTCGAACTCCCGACCTCAGGTGATCTGCCCACCTCAGCCTCCAAAGTGCTGGGATTACAGGGGTGAGCCACTGCACCTGGCCTGCTTTCTGTTCGTATGTGTGTGTGTGTGTGTGTGTGTGTGTGTGTGTGTGTGTGTGAAAAGTGTCTATTTGAGTCTTTTGTCCAATTTTCAAAAACTGGATTGTTTATCTTACGGAGTTGTAACAAAGAGTTCTTTATGTGTTCTGGATAGGATTCTCCTGTCAGCCATGTGATTTGCAAATATTTTCTCCCAGTCTGGCTTGTCTTTTAATTTTCTTAATGGTGTTTCTTTTGAAGAGCAAAAGTTTTGAATTTTGACGAAGTCTCATTTACTGCTTTTTAAGTGGATACTGCTTTTGGAGTTATGTTTAAGAAATCTTGGGCCCAGGCATGGTGGCTCACGCCTGTAATCCCAGCACTTTGGGAGGCCAAGGTGGGCGGATCATGAGGTAAAGAGATTGAGACCATCCTGGCCAACATGGTGAAACCCCATCTCTACTAAAAATACAAAAATTAGCTGGGCGTGGTGGCACACACCTGTAGTCCCAGCTGCTCAGGAGGCTGAGGCAGGAGAATTGTTTGAACCCGGGAGGCGGGGGTTGCAGTGAGCCTAGATCGCGCCACTGCACTCCAGCCTGGTGAAAGAGCGAGACACCGTCTCAAAAAAAAAAAAAAAATCATACAGGCGGCTGGGTGTGGTGGTTCATGCCTGTCATCTCAGCATTTTGGGAGGCTGAGGTGGGCGGATCACCTGAGGTCAGGAGTTCGAGACCAGCCTGGCCAACAAGGTGAAACCTCGTCTCTACTAAAAATACAAAAATGAGCTGGACGCAATGGCGCACGCCCGTAATCCCAGCTACTCAGGAGGCTGAGTCAGGAGAATTGCTTGAACCTGGGAGGTGGAGTTGGGTTGCAGTGAGCCAAGATCATGCCACTGCACTGCAGCCTGGGCAAACAGTGAGACACCATCTCAAAAAAAAAAAAAAAAAAAAAGCGCAGGTGCAGTGGCTCGCGCCTGTAATCCTAGCACTTTGGGAGACTGAGATGGGTGGATTGCCTGAGCTCAGGAGTTTGAGACCAGCCTGGGCAACATGGTGAAACTCCATGTCTCCTAAAATACAAAAAATTAGTTGGGTGTGGCAGCATGTGCCTGTAGTCCCAGCTAATTGGGAGGCCGAGGCAGAAGAATCGCTGGAACCCGGAGCGCGGCAGAGGTTGCAGTGAGCCGAGATTATGCCACTGCACTCCAGCCTGAGCGACAGAGTGAGACGCCGTCTCAAAAAAAAAAAAACAAATAGAAAGAAAAGAAATCTTTGCCTAGGTCAAGGTCACAAAGATTTTCTCCTATTTTTTTCTAGCATTTTGTTGTTGTTGTTGTTGTTGGTTTTTTTTGAGATGGAGTCTCCCTCTGTCACCCAGGCTGGAGTGTAGTGGCATGATCTTAGCTCACTGCAGCCTCTGCCCGGGTTCCAGCGATTCTTCTACCTCAGCCTACTGAGTAGCTGAGATTACAGGTGCGAGCCACCACGCCCGGCTAATTTTTGGATTTTTTAGTAGAGACGGGGTTTTCACCATATTGGCCAGGCTGATCTCAAACTGACCTTGTGATCTGCCTGCCTTGGCCTCCCAGATTGCTGGGATTACAGGCGTGAGCCGCTGTGCCCGGCCTTTTCTAGAAGTTTTATAGTTTTAGCTCTTACATTTAGGTCTTTGATCCATTTAGAGTTAATTCTTTTTTTTTTTTTTTTTTTTAATTTTGAGATAGGGTCTTACTCTGTCATTCAGGCTAGAGTATAGCGGCATGATGTCACTCTAGCCTTGACTTCCTGGCTCAGGTGATTCTCCCACCTCAGCCTCCCAAGTAGCTGGGTTTTCCCAGCTATGTATGTGTACCACTATGCCCAGCAAAGTTTTTGTATTTTTTTTGTAGAGACAGGGTTTCACCGTGTTGTCCAGGCTGGCCTCAAAGTCCTGGACTCAAGCAATCTGCCCACCTTGGCCTTCCAGAGTGCTGGGATTACAGGTGTGAGCCGCTGTAGCTGACCAAATTAATTTGTTTCACTTATGGCTTGAGATAAAGATCTAAACCCCCCTTTTTTGTGGATGGAATTCAATTATTTTAGTATCATTTGTTGTAGAGACTATCATCTTCCCATCAAATTGCCTTTGCACCTTTGTCAAAAATTAGTTGACCTAAGCCAGGCATTGTGGCTGGATAACAAAGCAAGACCATGTCTCTTAAAAATCAAAACAACAGCGACAAGAACCCCACCAGTTAACCATGAATGTGAGGGTTTATTTTGGGACTCTCCATTCTGTTCCATTGATTTATGTGTGTCCCAGAAGTTCTCAACTGGGGCATTTTTGCCCTCTCAAGGGACATTTGGCCATGTCTGGAGACATTTGTGATTGTCACAGCTGGGGGCATCTGTTGGGTAGAGGCCACAGGACAGTCCCCCACAATTAAGAATAAATCGGCCCAGAATATCCATAGTGCTTAGACTGAGAAATCCTGGTCTGTTCTTAGACCAGCAGCACACTGGCTTGTTTACAGTAGTTTGATAGTAAGTTGTGAAATCAGGTAGCATAAGTTCTCCAACTTTGTTCTCTTTCAAAATTGTTTTGGTTATGCTAAGTTCTTTGCATTTCCATATACATTTTATAATTAGCCTGTCAATTATTTCTACAAAAGCAGCCTGCAATTTTGATAAGTATTACATTGGATATATAAATCTATGTGGTGAGAATTGCTGTCTTTACAGTGCTGACTCTGGGAATCCATGAACATGGTATATCTCTACATTAATTTTGATATTTAGCTTCTCAGTTGTTTTTTTTTTTCAGATAACTTTACCTATTTAAGGCAAGTGATATTTGCCAATCTATTACTGATATATTGCCTTCCCAATCTAGTAGTGATAAAAAATTTCCTTTTTTTTTTTTTTTTTTTTTTTTGAGATGGAGTCTTGCTCTTGTCACCCAGGCTGGAGGGCAATGGCGCAATCTTGACTCACTCCAACCTCTGCCTCGCAGGTTCAAGTGATTCTCTCCTGCCTCAGCCTCCTGTGTTGCTGGGACTACAGGTGCATGCCACCACGCCCAGCTAATTTTTGTATTTTTAGTAGAGATGGGTTTCACCATGTTGGCAGGGATGGTCTTGATCTATTGACCTTTTGACCCGCCTACCTCAGCCTCCGGAAGAGCTGGTATTACAGGCATGAGCCACTGCGCCCGGCTATTCTTAATAACAGTTTTGTTGAGATCTAATTCACAGCATACGAGTCACACTGAGAACATCTAGTCCAGTGGTTTTTTTTGTTTGTTTGTTTGTTTTTGAGACGGAGTCTTGCTCTGTCGCCCAGGCTGGAGTGCAGTGGCGCAATCTCTGCTCACTGCAAGCTCTGCCTCCCGGGTTCACGCCATTCTCCTGTCTCAGCCTCCTGAGTAGCTGGGACTACAGGCACCCGCCACTACGTCTGGCTAATTTTTTTGTATTTTTAGTGGAGATGTGGTTTCACCGTGTTAGCCAGGATGGTCTCGATCTCCTGACCTCTTGATCCGCCCGTCTCGGCCTCCCAAAATGCGGGGATTACAGGCATGAGCCACCGTGCCGGGACCAGTGGTTTTTGGTATACTTGTGTTGTGCAGCCATCACCACTGTCTAATTCCAGAACATCTTCATCACACCAAAAAGAAACCCAGTGGCCATGAAACAGTCACTCACGGCCAGGCGTGGTGGCTCACATTTGTAATCCCAGCACTTTGGGAGGCCAGGGCAGGCAGATTACTTGAGCTCAGAAGTTTGAGACCACCCTGGGCAACACGGCAAAACCTTGTCTCTACAAAAAATAAAAAAATTATCTGGGTGTGGTGGCGTCCACCTTTAGTCCTAGCTACCTGGTGGGCTGAGGTGGGAGGATTGCTTGAGCTCAGGAGGTCGAGGCTGCAGTGAGCTATGATTGCCCCACTGTACTCCAGCCTGGGCAGCAGAGTGAGACTCTGTCTCTAAAGAATAAATTAATAAAATTTGGCCGGGTGCAGTGGCTCACACCTGTAATCCTAGTACTTTGGGAGGCTGAGGCGGGTGGACCATTTGAGGTTAGGAGTTTGAGAGCAGCCTGGCCAGCATGGTAAAACCCCACCTCTATTAAAAATCCAAAAAATTAGCTGGACGTGGTGGTGGGTGCCCATAATCCCAGCTACTCAGGAGGCTGAGGCAGGAGAACTGCTTTAAACCAGGAAGCAGAGCTTGCAGTGAGCTGAGATCACGCCACTGCATTCCAGCCTGGGCAACAGTGCCCAGGCTTTATTTATTGAAAAATTAATAAAAATTGGCTGGGTGCCGTGGCTCACACCTGTAATCTCAGCACTTTGGGAGGCCAAGGCGGGTGGATCACCTGAGGTCGGAGGTTTGAGACCAGACTGACCAAGATGGAGAAGCCCCATCTCTACTAAAAATACAAAATGAGCTGGGCGTGGTGGTACGTGCCTGTAATCCCAGCTACTCGGGAGGCTGAGGCAGGAGAATCACTTGAACCCAGGAGGCAGAGGTTGCAGTGAGCCGAGGTCGTGCCATTGCACTCCAGCCTGGGCAACTAGAGCAAAACTCTGTCTCAAAAAATATATCTATCAATAAAAAAAATTATTATTATTATTATTGAGACGGAGTCTCACTCTTTCTCCCAGGCCGGACTGCAGTGGTGCTATCTCGGCTCACTGCAAGCTCTGCCTCCCGGGTTCACGCCATTCTCCTGCCTCAGCCTCCCGAGTAGCTGGGACTGCAGGCGCCCGCCACCGCGCCCGGCCAATTTTTTGTATTATTAGTAGAGACGGGGTTTCACCGTGTTAGCCAGGATGGTCTCCATCTCCTGACCTCGTGATAAAAATTTTTTTAAAAAGGGCTTGGGTTTCATAGTAGGATGCATTTGAAGGTAAAAGCAATCCTAACAGGCTGTGAAAATTGCAGCTGCCATTGGGGGCAACCCTGTAGGCGTGTGGTGGGAGGAGCACTAGCTTCAGAGTCCTGGGCTGATGGTAGCCCCTCCTGTGCCAGTGACTTCCTCAGTGGCCTTGGCCAGTGTTTTGCTCAATGGGGCCCCAGGTTTCCCTGGCTGAGCCCTGGGGGTCACCTCTGATTCCCTGGGCCCCTTTCAGGTCTGGCTGCCAGTCCATGTGAGCCAGCAGGGAGGGACAGGCCCTGGCCCTCGCCCAGCCCAGCCCAGCTTTTGTTTTTCATGATGCCCAGAAGTTTTCTGGAAAATGTTCTGTATTTCCTGGATGACCCTGAAGTGGTGACCACTCCTGCCTGCCCACCTCCCAGACCCGGTGCCGCCTGGGTCCGACATTGCCTGGCTTTCCCCGCGCCCTTCCGCTGTGTCCCGTGAGGCTCTCTAGCTTTGCGCTTTGGGGTCATCTTGTCCAGTGGACGACGGCGTGGTGTCGTCTGCACCATCCCTGCAGTGCCTGACTTGTGCTCGCTGAACAGCTGTAGAATTACCCGGAGCTCAGCCCTTTGCTGCGCCCTAGGAGGGGCTGGAAGAGGAGCGGCCTGTGTCCCTCTGCTTGTTTGTGGAGAAGCTGACCTGGAGCAGTGTTGGAGGGGTCCCTGGATCCTGAGCGAGTGTTCGGTCATTTGCCTTTCCATAGACCTGGGCGAAGAAGCGAGAGGTTTGAGGAGTGACTGAAATCAAGACCTGAGGCCGTTAGAAGAAACACCGTTTGCTCAGTCCTTTCATCCAGCTCGCGGGGGACTTGGGTCCTCTCACGTGGTCTTGGGTATGTGGCCTCAGCGGGGCCTGGCATCCCTGAGGTGGGCAGAAGGTTGCATTGGCTCCCCAGGGCTCAGCACTGGCGCCACTGCTCACATAACTGAAGCTTTCTTCTAACAGGGCTCTCGCCCCGCGGAACAGATGCTCTCTGTGATGTCTCTGAGAGCCCAGACTCCCAGGGAGCCTTCTGGGGAATCGAAAGAAAGAAAAGATTGCTTCAGTGCTTTGGGGAAAAAGTGTGTGTGTACATATACTGCACATAGACATTAAAAATCAGAGGCTGGGGGCTGGCTGCAGGGGCTCACGCCTGTAATCCCAGCACTTTGGGAGGCTGAGGCAGGCGGATCACTTGAGGTCAGGAGTTTGAGGCCAGCCTGGCCAACATGGCAAAACCCTATCTCTACTAAAAATCCAAAAAAAAAAATAGCCAAGTGTGGTGGTGCACACCTGTAATCCCAGCTGCTCAGGTGGCTGAGGTGGGAGAATCTCTTGAAACCAGGAGGTGGAGTTCACAGTGAGCCAAGATTGCGCCACTGCACTCCACCCTGGGTGACAGAGTGAGACCCTGTCTCTAAATAAATTAATAAGTCAAATAAAAAATAATAAATTGAGGCTAACATATTCTTTTTTTTTTCTTTTTTTCGAGACAGAGTCTTGCTCTGTCGCCCAGGCTGGAGTGTAGTGGCATGATCTTAGCTCACTGCAACCTCTGCCTCCTGGGTTCGAGCAATCCTCCTTCAGCCTCTGGAGTAGCTGGGATTACAGGTGTGGGCCACCACACCCAGCTAACTTTTTTTTCTTTTTTTTTGAGACAGAGTCTCGCACTGTCATCCAGGCTGGTGTGCAGTGGCGCAATATTGGCTCACTGCAACCTCCACCTCCCAGGTTTAAGCGACTCTCCCGCCAAAGCCTCCCGAGTAGCTGGGATTACAGGTGCCCACTACCACGCCCAGCTAATTTTTTTTTTTTTTTTTTTGTATATTTAGTGGAGATGTGGTTTCACCATGTTGGCCAGGCTGGTCTTGAACTCCTGACCTTGTGATCTGCCTGCCTCAGCCTCCAGAAGTGCTGGGATTACAGATGTGACTACCGTGCCCGGCCTCAGCTAACTTTTGTATTTTCTGTTTTTTTTTTTTAAGTAGAGACAGGGTTTCACCATGTTGGTCAGGCTGGTCTTGAACTCTTGACCTCAGGTGATCCACCTGCCTCGGCCTCTGCAAGTGCTGGGATTACAGGCATGAGCCACTGGGCCTGGCCAAGGCTAGCATACATTTAGGAAATGTACAGCTCATTAATGTGCAGTTTGATAAATGATCACAAAATGAACATGTTGAGAAAAATAGAGCAGTACCGGCCCCCAGAGGCCCCCTATTGTCCCCTTCTGAACAACCTGCCTCCCCCTTCTTCCCTGGGAACCACCCCCCTGACTTCCTCCCTGGGTGACTTCTGCTTGGGTTTGAGCTTGAAAGAACTGGAAGGAGGCGCTCTTCTTGCTCCACCTCAGGATGAGATGGGATGCAATGGCCGGGCGGGGTTTGTGAGCAGTGAGTGATCTGGCGTCTGCTGTGGGACCTTCCAGCGTCCCAGTGCTGCCCGTGGACGGGCTCCGGGGGAGCTGGGGACATCCTTGTGTCTGGCGGTGGTGCCCTTGAGCCTGATCTCTTTGGGTGCGTTTTTATGCCTGGAGTGGACTTGTTGGGGCTGTTGGGTGCATTCAGCCTTCGTAGATTTTAAACTTTTAGGAGTGAACGAATTTGCATGTCTGCAGGCAAGAACAAGGGTGTTGGTCGCTCTGCATTCATACTGGCACTAGGTAGGGTGAGGGGTGTGTGCTATTTTTAATTTTTTTTCAATTCCACCTTGAATTTCTCATTGTACTTTTCCCTGATGACCAGTGAGGTTGAGCGCCTTTCTCTATGCGAATTGGCCATCTGTTTCTTGTCCTGCTGTTGAAGTGCCTTGTGAAGTCTTTTACACATTAAAACAATTGAGTGGCCAGGCTCAGTGGCTCACACCTGTAATCCCAGCACTTTGGGAGGCCGAGACGGGCAGATCACAAGGTCAGGAGATCGAGACCATCCTGGCTAACATGGTAAAACCCCGTCTCTACTAAAAATACAAACAATTAGCAGGGCACGGTGGCGTGCGCCTGTAGTCCCAGCTACTTGGGAGGCTGAGGCAGGAGAATGGCGTGAACCTGGGAGGTGGAGCTTGCAGTGAGTCAAGATTGCGCCACTGCACGCCAGCCCGGGCGACAGAGCAAGACTCCATCTCAAAAAAAAAAAAAAAAAAAAAAATTGAGTGGCCAGGTTCAGTGGCTCACACCTGTAATTCTAGCACTTTGGGAGGCTGAGGCGGGCAGATCACCTCAGGTCAGGAGTTGAAGACCAGCCCGGCCAACATGGTGAAACCCCGTCTCTACTAAAAATTCAAAAATTAGCTGGGCATGGTGTTGGGTGCCTGTAATCCTAGCTCCTGGGGAGGCTGAGGCAGGAGAATCGCTTGAACCTGGGAGATGGAGGTTACAGTGAGCCAAGATCGCGCCATTGCACTCCAGCCTGAGCGACAGAGTGAGACTGTCTCAAAGAAAAAAACAAAAAAAAAATTGAGTTATCTTTTTTTCTTACTGGTTTATAGGAGCTCTTTCCTAAGTGCTTTTTATTATGGTTTTAATTCTTTGGAAATTGGCCGCCTTAGTGCCGTTTATGGAAGCTAGCCCAGGCAAGAAATGGAGTGTATTGAAGGCTCCGAGGGAAGTCCCAGTAACCTCAGGGGAAACGGACAAGTGGAAGCTGCGGGAACCCAGAGCCTCTGTTCGGCTCCAGCCTCAGCGCCATCCTGCAGTCCTGCAGAGCGCCCCAGCTGCTCCGGCGTGTGTGAGGCCATCGCCACCCACCAGGCTGGTCAAGGGCCAAGTGCTGCCGTCGTCCCTGGTCCCATTCCACAGGAGGGAGAATTCGGATGGCCCAGTGTGCCAGTGTCCACCTTAGGGCCAACCAGCCCTGTCTAGGGGGTGGGGGCCACCCTGAGGGTGGTGGAGGCTGTTTCCAGAAAAGGGGAGGACACACCCCCAACAAAAAAGGTGACTACAGCTTATGCCCCCTCCGTGCCCCAGCGTCTTTGCTTAGTCAGAGTTGTTCTCAGCTTTGTGTTCCGCACTGGAAGCCAGAGCCCTGTATTTAATATGGTATCACGTTTACATATGGGAGGTCCGAAAGGGACTTCTAGCCAGTGTGTTCACACCTGCCGGAGGCTCCTTTGTGTTAATTGGCATTTTTTATCCTCAGGACGTCCTGAGTTTAGGGTGGCCCTCTCATCTCAAGTTTGCAGTTAAAGAAATCAAGGTTGGGTGTGGTGGCTCCCTGTAATCCCAGCACTTTGGGAGGCCGAGGCGGGTGGATTACGAGGTCAGGAGTTTGAGACCAGCCTGACCAACATGGTGAAACTCCGTCTCTACTAAAAATACAGAAAATTGCTGGGCGTGGTGGCGGGTGCCTGTAATCTCAGCTATTTGGAAGGCTGAGGCAGGAGAATCACCTGAACCCGGGAGGCAGAGGTTGCAGTGAGCCGTGATCGTACCACTGCACTCCAGCCTGGGTGACAGAGCGAGAGTCCGTCTCAAAAAAAAAAATAAATAAATATCTCAGCCCATGTTGACTTCCCCAGCTGGGTGGGGGACTGGTAGTAGGCAGGGAAGCATGGTAGGCCCAGGGGGATCAATGCGTGGGTGATACAGCTGGGTGGGACCCCCAGAGCACTCGAAGGCTGTGGGGCTGCCACCCCCTCTGGCCTCCCACCTGGTGGGGGCATCCTGGGACCTGATCTTGTGCAGGTCTGGCCCACCTGGGGTTTATTGGCAATGCAGCAGCTGATTTTGTGAGACTGGTAAGCAGGAACACCTGTCCTGTTAGAACACGAGGAGAATTTTCAGCAGGTGGAATCAGTGAGCTGTTCGGAGCCCCTGCAGACACCTCGTGGCCTTCCCACTCCCCCTTCCTCGGGTGGGAACGATGGCTGAGGCAGCCCAGTGAAGTCCACCCCTGGTGTCCCGGGTCCCTGGGCCGCTGTGTTTCTTAGGAGGCAGACATGCTGGGTGTCTTCATTCACATCCTGGCTTACTTCCCATGGCTGACAGTGCAGGCTCTGGAGTCTGCCCAGGGGTCCCAGTGAGAATGTCTCTCACTGGTTGTGTGACCTGAGCAGGTCACTCAGCCTCACCGGGCCAGTTTCCCTGACTGTCAAACACCAGTAACAACAGCATCTGCTTTCATTCATTAGGTGAGTGTTCATCCAGCTCTTAGGCATGGAGCGGGGAGGTCATGAGGATGCGGGGCCGTGGACAGTTGAGGATGATGCCTACTTTTGGGCTGGGGAGGACAGAGGGAACCAACAGGTACACGAGATAAAGCAGCAGTGACACTATGAGGAGAATGGCGGCGGGAGCGTTGACCACGAGCTGGCAGTTGGCCTGCGTGGTGGTCCAGGCTGGCCTCACCGCGGCATCCCAAGGAGGGAATAGCCCAGGCCGGGAAGGTGGGGCGGGGTGGGCAGGGCATGTGGAATCACTGGTCTGCAGAGCGGGGAGCTTGGCCATGGCCTTCAGGTCAGGGTGCAGCAACCTTCACCATTGGGCATCATTAGGCTGGGGGCATCTGGAAGGTCAGGAGGAAGCCTGGGCTACCTAGGATGGAACAGGCAGGACAGTTGTCTCCAAGGCCTGCCTATGACTTGGGCATCCTGTCCCCAGATGCACAGCGTCTGCCCCCTCGGTGCGGGAGGATGAGGAACGCCTGCCTGTGGATCCACACATGGTCCCCGTATTGGGGGTGTGGAGGAAAGGCCTTTCTGACATGATCTGAGCCCGGCCTCTTTCTCTTAGGGGTGTACCAGGGTTGGTGGGTTTGGAGGCAAATGCATTTCAAGGGTCCAGATCACGAACCTCTGACCCGGTGGGCCCTGAACTCTGGTCTGATAAACATGGGTCAGACTTCTCCCTGAAAACTGTGAGCGTGGAGTTCAGGCACAGGCAGGCGGGGCAGGTGCTTTCAGGCTTGATAGCAAGACCCTACTTTACTCATCTGCCCTCCACGCTCCGCGGCTCCGACGGTGTTTGCTGCGGCTCCTCTGCTGCGTTGAGTCCGTCTGTGCACTCAGATGGCCTGTGCTTCGCCTTTCGCCCGCGTTCTTGGGAGGCCTTGCCGCGTCCCGGGCCTCCCGCCCTTCCAAGGTTGGCTTGTTTCAGTGATTCGGAATGTCCCTGTTTTCCTCTCGCAGATGTCTGGTGGCGTTCATTGCACACTGTGTACCACAAGATATTGACAAGGTGCAAGAGACACAAGACGGGCCCAGAAGGCTTCTTGGCTCACTCTGTGGCCTGTATGGAAGGGACAGGGCTGTCCCCCTCCCCTGGCCATCCCCAAGACAGCCTCTGACCTGTGGCCTTGTGGTTTTGGTTTTTCTCAGCTGTAGAGATGACAAACGTATGTATCCTCCTGCCTGGAGGCATGTGTGGAGAGCATTGAGGCTGTTCGGGGAATGCCTCGAGGCCTCCCACGGAAGGGATTTTGCAGTTTTCATTTCTGTGGCTGTTGTCTCCCTGTGCAGGTTGCCCGGACACCTGCAAGCCACCCAGAGTCCGAATCCCTCGGGCAGGGAGGCAGTGAACTGCTGGGCTCCAGTCCCCCTGGGGGTGACAGTAAACCAGGGGAGAAGGATGCCTTTGTTTTAGTGGTGTTCGAGGACTGCCCTGAGGCCCTGGGTCCTTGAGTGTGTTGGTTCCACATAGCCGGGATTTCCAGGACAACCTTGGGACCCTGTGGCGTCTGTCGGGCTCTGTGAGCCCACAGGAGGATTTTCAGCCATTCTGCTGGGGAAGCCCCTTGGGTGTGGTTTTTTGTGTGTGAACAGTGCCCATTGTCACTGGCGATGACACCACTGACTCCTGTCCCCGTGGTCCCCCGGCTGCAGGAGGGGAGGTGCCCAGCACAGAGACTGAGAAACAAGTGGGCTCTGGAGTCGGGGTGTGCGCCCCAGCTCCACCGCTGATGAGCTTGGGGGCCTTAGCCAAGCTTCGTTTCCTGTATGTTTGAAAGTGTGGGCCTTGTCTGCCCCTCTTTCCTTGGGGCCAGCGGGAAAGGGGGTGAAGGCGCTGACCTCAGCAGGTGTGGAGGGAGAGCCTGGTGGGTGTGGTTCCACCTGCGTTCTTTCACCTCCACAGCTGCCTTCCCACTTCCCACTCACAGTCTCCTTTTCTTTTTCCTCCACCCCCTTGGCAGCGCTGCCTGCTCCTCTTGGTCCTGAGCTGGTGCACATACAAATGTACACAGCTCATGCACGCACACACCACATGTGTGTCATTCTTCTTGAGGCAAAGGAAAGGGCGGCCCCGCCCCTAACACTTCCCCAGGCCTGGTCCCTTCCTCCTGCCCCATCAGGGACCTAGGGTCTCCTTCCCGTGTTTCTTCTCCATGTGTGGATACCCATGTGTGAGCAATAGGATTTTTTTTTTGTTTTTTGGAGACAGAGTCACGCTGTTGCTTGGGCTGGAGTGCAGTGGCCCAGGGGCCCAATCATAGCTCACTGCAACCTCAAATTGCTGGGCTCGCATGGTCCTTCTGCCTCAGCCTCTTGAGTGGCTGGTACTACAGGCACATACCACTGTGCCTGGCTACTTTTTTTTTTTTTTTTTTTAAGACAGCGTTTTGCTCTTGTTGCCCCAGGCTGGAGTGCAGTGGTGCAGTCTCGGCTGACCGCAACCTCTGCCTCCCAGGTTCAAGTGATTCTCCTGCCTTAGCCTCCTGAGTAGATGGGATTACAGGCACCCACCACCATGCCCAGCTAATTTTGCATTTTTAGTAGAGACGGGAGTTTCTCCATGTTGGTCAGGCTGGTCTCGAACTCCCAACCTCAGGTGATTCGCCTGCCTCGGCCTCCCAAAGTGCTGGGATTACAGATGTGAGCCACTGCGCCTGGCCACTTTTTGTATTTTTTGTAGAGACAGGGTCTCGCCATGTCGCCCAGGCTGGTCTGAAATTCGTGGCTTCAAGCCATCTTGCCCACCTTGGCCTCCTAAAGTGCTGGGATTATAGGCGTGAGCCCCCTCGGCTGGCCTGGATTCTCTGTGAGGTGTTTCCAGTTCTTCCCAGTTGGTCTCGTCTCCTGCAGGTGTGAGTTGTTGATTGTCTGCGCCGTGTTGATCACGTAGACCCTGTTCTTGAGTGCTGAGGGTCCATCCGGTAACCCTGCACTGTCATGCATTTCCCTGTCAGCATATGACTTGGTTCCTTTTTTTTTTTTTTTTTTAAAAAAGACCGTCTTGCTCTTTCGCCCAGGCTGGAGTGCAGTGGCGCGATTTCAGCTCGCTGCAACCTCTGCCTCTTGGGTTCGAGAGATTCTCCTGTCTCAGCCTCCCGAGTAGTGGGGATTACAGGCATGAGCTAATTTTTGTATTTTTATTTATTTATTTATTTTTGAAACGGAGTCGTCTTCTGTCACCCAGGCTGGAGTTCAATGGTGTGATCTCCGCTCACGGTAACCTTCGTCTCCTGAGTTCAAGCGATTCTCCTGCCTCAGCCTTCTGAGTAGCTGGGATTACAGGCATGCACCACCACGGCCAGCTAATTTGTGTGTGTGTGTGTGTGTGTGTGTGTGTGTGTGTTTTTAGTAGAGATGGGGGTTTCACCTTGTTGCCAGACTGGTCTTAAACTCCTGACCTTGTGATCCGCCCGCCTCGGCCTCCCAAAGTGCTGGGATTACAGGCGTGAGCCACCGCACCCGGCCCTAATTTTTGTATTTTTAGTAGAAACAGACTTTCCCATGTTGGCCAGGCTGGTCTTCAACTCCTGACGGCAGACCTCAAGTGATTTGCCTGCCCTGGCCTCCCAAAGTGCTGGGATTACAGGGGTGAGCACCGTGCCTGGTGGGTTATAATTTTTAACGCTTGAATTTTTTTTTTTTTTTTGTTAAAGGGTCTGGCTCTGTTGCCTAGGCTATAATGCAGTGGCTTGATCAGGGTTCACTGCAGCCTTGACCTCCCAGGCTCAAGTGATCCTTCCACCTCAGCCTCCCGAGTACCTTGGACTGCAAGTACGCATCACCGTGCTAGCTAATTTTTTTTGTTTTGTTTTGTTTTGAGACAGTCCCACTCTGTCACCCAGGCTAGAGTGAAGTGGCACAATCTCAGCTCACTGCAGCCTCTGCCTCCCAAGTTCAAGCGATTCTCGTGCCTCAGCCTCCTAAGTAGCTGGGACTATAGGCACACACCACCATGCCTGGCTAATTTTTGTATTTTTAGTAGAGATGGGATTTCGCCATGTTGGCCAGGCTGGTCTCAATCTCGATCTCCTGACCTTGTGATCCACTCCTCTCGGCCTCCCAGAGCACTGGGATTATAGGCACGAGCCACTGAGCCTGGACTAATTTTTGTATTTTTGGCAGAGATGGGGTTTTGCCATGTTGTCCAGGCAGGTCTCGAACTGCTGGGCTCAAGTGAACCTCCCACCTTGGCCTCCCAAAGTGGTAGGATTACAGGCGTGAGCTACTGTACCCGGCCTTGCTTGATTTTTTTTTTTTTTTTTTTTTCTGAGACAGAGTCTCCCTCACTGCAACCTCCGCTTCCTGGGTTCAAGGAATTCTCCTGCCTCAGCCCCTCCCAAGTACCTGGGACTACAGGCGCGTGCCACCACACCTGGCTAATTTTTTGTATTTTTTAGTAGAGACGGGGTTTCACCGTGTTAGCCAGGATGGTCTCCATCTCCTGACCTCGTGATCCACCTGCCTTGGCCTCCCAAAGTGCTGGGATTACACGCGTGAGTCACCGCGCCTGGCAAAAATCTTGTATTGATCATATTGTGTGTCTGCAACCAAAATATGCGCACCAATTGAAATTAGAATTTTAAATAATTTTACATCATAAGCTGTGAGTTTTTCGTGTTTTGAATGGCCATTACTAATACCCAATTGATCAAACAAATATTCCAGTTTTTATCAATAACAAGAAGAAATACGAAAAAACATTGGAAATATGTCTCTTGAGTAGATGGGTTCCTTTTTCTCCTGGTTAATTCATGCATTCACAGTTGGATACAAGCTGTTGCTAAAATGATTTCAGCCTCAATGCTAGTTTTTTTTGTTTGTTTGTTTTTTTTGAGATGGAGTCTCGCTCTGTTGCCCAGGCTGGAGTGGAGTGAGGTGGTGCAATCTCGGCTCCCTGCAACCTCTGCCTCCCAGATGCAAGCAATTCTGCTGTCTTGGCCTCCTGAGTAGTTGGGATTACAGGCATGTACTACCACTCCCGGCTAATTTTTTTTTGTTTTGTTTTGTATTTTTAGTAGAGATGGGGTTTTACCATGTTGGCCAGGCTGGTCTAGAACTCCTTACCTCAAGTGATCCACCCCCCTCAGCCTCCCAAAGTGCTGGGTTTACAGGTGTTAGCCACCGTGCTTGGACCCCTCAATTACCAGTTTTTTTTTTTTTTTTTTTTTGATGGAGTTTCACTCTTGTTGTCCAGGCTGGAGTGGACAGCTGGCCCAATCTCAGCTCACGGCAACCTCTGCCTCCCAGGTTCAAGCGATTTTCCTGCCTCAGCCTCCCAAGTAGCTGGGATTACAGGCACACACCACCACGCCTGGGTAATTTTGTATTTTTAGTAGAGACAGGGTTTCTCCATTATGGTCAGGCTGGTCTCCAACTCCTGACCTCAGGTGATCCACCCACCTTGGCCTCCCAAAGTGCTGGAATTACAGGTGTGAGCCACTGCACCTGGGTTCTGTTTTTTAAGTTGAGAAACCTTGATAACATCAATTAGATAGGAATTAGCAAGATTTTTATGTAACAATAGCATCTATTTCCAAGTTACTTCACAAAAATTGACATAAAAACCTAGTACAAAAATTAATGATTCATCACCTCACAACTTACGTCCTTCCAGTTAAGTTTTTTTGAGGTAAAATTCACTTACCATGGGGACACCTTTTTAAAGTGTACAAGTCAGTGATTTTTGGTATATTCAGTCATGCAACCATTACCTTGATCTAATTCTAGAACATGGTCCCAGTTTTGTGATATTACAACCATTGCTTTAACAAACACTCTTCTTCCTTGTCTCTAATCTTTTAAAAATAATTTTTCTTGTTTTACAAATGATATATGTTAATTGTAGAAAACTTAATTTTAAAAAGATAAAGGAAAAAATTAATAATCACTTATTACCTATGCAGGTGTTTTAGTTTGTAGCATTTGTTTCTCTGAAGTTATTTATATGTATATATGCGTGTGCATATATATATAGAGTGAGAGTTGGCGGGGGTGGGGGTGGTGGTGGGGGGACGGGAAGAGAGACAGGGTCTTGCTCTGTTGCCCAGGCTGGAGTGCAGTGTGGTGTGATCATGGCTTACTGCAGCCTCGAACTCTTGGACTCAAGCGATCTTCCTGCCTCAGTGAGTGTCCTGAGTAGCTAGGACTACAGGCATGCGCTGCCATGCCCAGCTAATTTTTAAGAATTTTTTGTAGAGACAGCGTCTCCCTATGTTGCCCAGGCTGGTCTTGAACTCTGGGGCTCGAGCGATCCTCCTGCCTTGATCTTCCAAAGCGCCCAGGCATGAACCACTGGCCCAGCTTAATTACTTTCTCTGAAGTTATTGAAGCTTAAAACTACATACAGTAAGATCTTAGAGCCTCCAGCCTAGAACACCAGGCTGAAAAGTGCTGTGGAGAAGAATAAGGCTGGAAAGGGGAGTGGAAAGATTGGTTGGCAAGCTGGGGTGTGGGAGGCTTGGCAAGTTGTAAAAGGGGTGTCAGAAGAGGCCTCGTGGAGAGAGCAGCCTGAGGTAGAGCTGGAGCTCCAGGGAAGAGCTGGATGAGCTGAGGACTCCAGGGCCCCGAGGTGTGAGTGGGCCGGGGCTGGCAGAGTGGCCTTGTCTGGGGCCTCGGAGGCTACTGGGACCTGCCCCAGTGTGGCTGGGACGCCAGCAGAGTTTTGAGGGCAGTGGGTCCAGAAACAACAGACCTGGGGACCCAGGGGATGTGGGGAGGCTGGTGAATGGGCACAGTCACAGGGCAGATGGTGCCAGAGGCTCTAACCAGTGCTGTGGTTGTAGAAATGAAATCGAATTGGGAGTCAGGAGAGGAGAAATGACAGTCACGTAGACCACGTCTCAGAAAGACTCGACGTCTCTTTCTGGGTGACTCCTTCAGAGTGTAGTGGCTTAGCACAGTGAGCACTTCCTACCTTACGGTGAGGGTCGGGATTGGGAGCGGCTCCGTCGGGGGGCTCTGGCTCACCATCACTCGTGAGTCCTCACTCAGGCTGTGTCACGGTGGCTCACGCCTGTAATCCCAGCACTTTGGGAGGCAAAGGTGGGAGGATTGCTTGTGCCCAGCAGTTTGAGACCAGCCTGGGTAGCATAGTGAGACCCCATGTCTACAAAAAATAAACAAAAATGAGCCAGACATTGTGCACACTGTGATCCCAGCTACTTGGGAGGCTGAGGCAGGAGGATTGTTTGAGCTCAGGAGGTCCAAGGCTGCAGTGATCGTGCCCCTGCACTCCAACCTCGGCGACAGAGCAAGACCCTGTCTCAAAAAAAAAAAAAGCTGTGGGTGGGCTGTGGTCCTCTGAGGGCTTGCCTGGGCATGGAGGGGCTGCCTCCCTGGCTCACAGGCCCGGCATGCCGGTGCTGGGTTTAGCGGGAGGCCTCAGGTCCTCCCCTCGGGACCTCTCCATGGGGCTGCTTGGGTGTCCTCACAGCATGGTGGCAGCTTCCCCCAGAGCCTTAGAAGCCACACACCATCATTTTCATGCAGTCTCTGTGGTCATCATTTCATGCGGTCACCTGGTCAGCCCTGTTCAGTGTGGGTGCAGTCTGCCCAGAGACATGTCGGCCGGGAGGTGAGATGCGCTGGGGGCCCTCGTGGAGGCTGGCCACCTCGCTCATCTTCTGCCTACAGCGGGGGCTTCTTGGACACAAAGTGGTTGTGCCTTGAAGGTGCCCTGGGAGGAGGTTGGAGCAGGAGGCTTCTGGACCAGGGACCTGTCTCCTGCCTGGGGCCATGGAGTGCCCAGTGCCTCGGCCTGGAAGGCCTGGCAGGGACAAGCCCGCTCCTGAGTGTCCCTCCAGACCAAGGCTGCCCGGCCTTCTGGACCCCACCTCAGTACGTCAGCGCTGGGGAGAGCCTGGAAGGGTGGGGGCTGATCACTGCTAAGGGTGCCCCCGACGATGGGTCCTGGGCTGGTCAGCAGGGTCACTGGGCTTCCCACACCCTCTTGCCGTGCTGCTGTGGCCCTTGTCTGCCAGCAGCTAGTGCGGGGGTTCCCAGCAGCCGAGTCCTTCATGTGGTTTTCATGAACATGGTGCACATCTTGGAGGAGCAGGCAGGTGGCTCTGGGCCGGGCCCTGTCTCAGCCCTGCTCCATGACTGGGGCTTGAGGTTGGTCTGAGGCCAGCATCCGGAGACCACCGTGCCCTGAGGCACGGGGTGCCTTGTGGCCCCTGGCCCCGCCCCGTAGGCTGTGTGGAAAATTCACCTTTAAAGACTTTGTGTATTTCAATGTGGTGGGGCTATGTTCAAGGCCCAGGTAATCAGGGAAGGCATCCTGGGCTCACTGTACTGCAGGTGTTCTTTCTTTCTTTTGATTTAAAACCACCACATAGGCTTTGCTCCACCCCTCGTCTGCTCTGCACCAATTTCCCTGGCAGCCTTGTGGGCGTGTCCTTCCAGAACATTCTCTGTGTATTCACAATTTGTGTTGCGCACATCTCAGTGCGTGCGGTGACCCCTCAGAAAATGATCTTGCAGTGTGTTAACTTGTTTTCTTTAACCTGCAAATACTCTGTGACTCGCTCCACATCGGTATGTCTGGATCAGCTTGGTTCCAGCAGCTGTGTGGTGGGCCATAAAATCAGGGCGTCCCACTTGCTGAAGCAGTTGCCGCTTTCTTCTTTGTTTTTGGTCGTCATCAGCTCTCAGTGGTCCCTGTTCTGCATGCTGGGTTAGGTGGGGCTGCGGCTCCCAACCACTGTTCCTGGCAGTCAGCAGCCATGCTGGGCACCTGGCTCTGGGCCACCTCCCTCAGGAGGAGCACCCTGGAATCACTGTTGGGGCCCGGCTGGTCTTGGTGGCCGTGGCTGTGCCAACTGTAACTGGGGCCGTGGTTCTCGGGAAGGACACAGACCATGCAGCGCCTGAAGGTCTCAGAATTCCCGCTGAAGGCCCCGGGAAGGGCCCACCTGGCCTCAGGTGGGAATTCTGAGAAGGAATAGGGATTCTGGGGCCCCCAGTGGGAATTCTGAGAATTCCCAGAAGTCCCTGCAATACGTGAGGTTGAGGACCATGTATTCTGAGCATCCTTGAAATCCACAGGTCCCTGCAGCTACCCGGGTCCTCCCCTCGGAGACTCTTCCCGTGGTCACCCGGCTCCTCCTCCCGGGGACTCTTCCCGTGGTCACCCGGCTCCTCCTCCCGCGGGCTCTTCCCGTGGTCACCCGGCTCCTCCTCTCGGGGACTCTTCCCGTGGTCACCCGGCTCCTCCTCCCGGGGACTCTTCCCGTGGTCACCCGGGTCCTCCTCCCGGGGGCTCTTCCCGTGGTCACCCGGCTCCTCCTCTCGGGGACTCTTCCCGTGGTCACCTGGCTCCTCCTCCCGGGGGCTCTTCCCGTGGTCACCCGGGGGCTCCTCCCGGGGCTCTTCCCGTGGTCACCCGGGTCCTCCTCCCGGGGGCTCTTCCCGTGGTCACCCGGGTCCTCCTCCCGGGGCTCTTCCCGTGGTCACCCGGGTCCTCCTCCCGGGACTCTTCCCGTGGTCACCCGGCTCCTCCTCCCGGGGACTCTTCCCGTGGTCACCCGGGTCCTCCTCCCGGGGGCTCTTCCCGTGGTCACCCGGCTCCTCCTCTCGGGGACTCTTCCCGTGGTCACCCGGCTCCTCCTCCCGGGGCTCTTCCCGTGGTCACCCGGGTCCTCCTCCCGGGGCTCTTCCCGTGGTCACCCGGGTCCTCCTCCCGGGGCTCTTCCCGTGGTCACCCGGCTCCTCCTCTCGGGGACTCTTCCCGTGGTCACCCGGCTCCTCCTCTCGGGGACTCTTCCCGTGGTCACCCGGGTCCTCCTCTCCGGGGCTGTGTGCCAGGAGAAATGGGGCTGGATCTGGGCGTCAGGTCAGGAATCCAGGGGAGAGGCCATGCTCTCAGTGTTCCTTGGCAGGGCTGTGAGCGCAGGTCTCTGAGGATGCCCAGCTGTCCATCCCCTCCTCATAGGAGAAGCGCAGATCTCATGCCTAAGTGTGCCAGGGTCCTGATGGGCGCCACCTACAGCCTCCCGCCCTCACGCGGGAGTCAGACTGAACGAACTAGCCCAGATCCACAGAGACTTCTAAACCCGGCTGGGTGCTGCCATGGAAAGTACACAGGGCTCAGATTTGGGGGTAAGGTGACTTAGCCTGGGGTCACGAAATGTGTAAGGATTTCTTGGGGTGGCTGTGACAAATGACCTCTAACCGTGGCTTGAAACAGCAGAAATGTATTCTCTCACCATCACAGAGGCACACGTCAGAAACCGAGGTGCCAGCAGGGCCACGGTCCCCGAAGGCGCTGGGGGAGGACTCTTCCTTACCTCTCCCCACTCCTGGGGCCCCAGGCACTCATTGTCATCCCTGGGCTTGTGGCCGCATCACTGCAATCTCTTGCCTCCATCTCTTCCCTTGGCCTTCCCTTCAAGTCTGCGTCCAAACCTCCCTCTCCTTTCTTCTGTTAAGAACCAGTCACTGGATTTAGAGCCCCTCAATCCAGTATGACCTCCTCTTAACTTGATTACATCTGCAAAGACCCTAGATCCAAATAAGGTCACATGCACAGGTAGGGGCTGGGTGTGGAGTAGGACCCGAACTTCATCGGAAACACAGCTCAGGCCACTACAGAAGAAAGTGGTGTTGGAGCTGGATGCTGGCTGATGGGCTGGGAGCAGCGAGGAGCCGTCCAGGGAAGGGTGTTGAGGCTGGCAGTGTGGAGAGGCCAGGAGGCCACCTTGGAAGGCCCGAGGCCAGGTGGCCGAGGCAGAGGGTATGAGGGGCACCCGCTGGCCTGTCTGCATCAGCTCCCCTCAGGTGGAGCCTTTCTCAGGGCCGAGCTTCTTGGCCGTCAGATGTTCCCACCAGGCTGTGTTCAGCCTCAGAGTCGATAACTGTTTCCAGGCTGGGCGCCGTGGCTCATACCTGTAATCCCAGAACCTTGGGAGGCTGAGGCGGGCGGATTACCTGAGGCCGGGCATTGGAGACCATCCTGGCCAATATGGTGAAACCCCGTCTCCACTAAGAATACAAAAATCAGCTGGGCGTGGTGGTGGGTGCCGGTAATCCCAGCTACTCGGGAGGCTGAGGCAGAAGAATCGCTTGAACCCGGTGGGCGGAGCTTGCAGTGAGCTGAGATAGCGCCACTGCACTCCAGCCTGGGTGGAGCGCCACTGCACTCTAGCCTGAGACTCTGTCTCAAAAAAAAAAAAAAAAAATCTATAATCGTGTTTCCTTTTTTAAACAGGAAACTACTTTGCTTCGCACTTTTTCATGGGAGGAGAGAAATTCGACACCCCCCACCCTGAAGGTTACCTCTTTGGAGAGAACATGGATCTGAACTTCCTGGGCAGCCGCCCGGTCCAGGTGGGTCTGGACAGGGCTGTCTCATGGGGCTGTGGGGGTGGGAGGCCCCTGTCCCCAGCAGTCCGCATCCCAGCCATGAGGGCAAGCAGGCACCAAATCACCCCTAAAGGGGGCAGAGCTCCTGGCAGGATTCCAGTTGAGCTTGGGTGTGGGCACGTGCCCTGGAATGGGTTGTGTCCTGGTGCTGCCCCCTAGAGGCCAGATGGCCAGGGGCAGGTCACTGAGAAACAGAGCAGCCATACTGAATGGGTGCGTCTGGGCTGCAACGGCTGCGGAACATGGTGGATTTGATTCCAGCCTTCTTGGATGACTTTCTTTACAAGGCAAAAATAGTATTTACAGACTGGGCATTGTGGCTCACGCCTGTAATCCCAGCACTTGGGGAGGCTGAGGCGGGCAGATCACCTGAGGTCAGGAGTTTGAGACAAGCCTGGCCAAAATGGTGAAACCCCGTCTCTACTGAAAAAAAAGAAAAATTAGCCGGGTGTGGTGGCACGTGCCTGTAATCCCAACTACTCGGGAGGCTGAGGCAGGAGAATCACTTGAATCTGAGAGGCGGAGGTGGCAGTGAGCCGAGATTGCACCACTACACTCCAGACTGGGCAACAAAGGGAGACTGTCTCAAAGAAAAAAAAAAAAAAGAATATTTACTTTCCCTAGAACAGTGGGCAAGAGACATGGTCCAAAGGAGAGATGCAGACAGCTGGCTAACATCTTCCCCTCGTTGCCAGAGAAGGGCACATTCGAGTACTGTCATAGTACTCGAGTACTGTGAGCTGTCTGTTCAGCACACATGTGGCACCTGCTGCGTGCCTAGTGCTCTTCCAGGGCTTGGGGTGAAAGCAGACCCTGCCTCTGCTACCTGGTGGGGGCGTAGACAATTAATACGGGACAAATGGGTAGAAGAGAGAAGGGGCAGAAAGGGAGGCTCTACTGGAGAGGCCATGGCTGAACCAAGCCATGATAGGTGGGAAGGGGGCCCCTCCAGAAGAAGCTAGAAGGCAGGGGGCCTGGGAACAGAGGAAGAGGTGAGAGGGTGCAGGCCTCAGGGGACAGGAGGCCGGAAGAGCCAGTAAACTTTGGGGGCCCTGGGGCGGGTTGCTGAGCTGTGCTCGTAGGAAGCTTTGGGGATGGAAAGGGTGGGGACTGAGGAAGGGGCTGAGGGTGCTCGGGGCAGTGATGGATATGGGAAGCCTGGGAGAGCAGGTTGGGGATGGGCAGCCCCAGCGTGCAGGGGTCTGGCGTTGAGGCTGCCTGGCTGGATTTGCTCAGGGTGATTTGGTCCTGGCCGTTGCGTGTGCTGGCTGCGTGGCCTGCAGCTTCTACCTGTAAATGAGAACAGTGCACCCAGTATAGCCCCTCCCATGGGACTAGATCCCAGGGATACCCTCTGGGGCTGTGGCTGCTGCACCCTGACCCGTTTTCTGTTGTTGGCTGCTCCTGAGGGAGTCACCTGGGGCCCTGTGGTTTTTCTCCTAGTTTCCCTACGTCACTCCTGCCCCCCACGAGCCCGTGAAGACGCTGCGGAGCCTGGTGAACATCCGCAAAGACTCCCTGCGGCTGGTGAGGTAACTTCACCCTGCCCCTGGGGACCCTGTGGCTCTGTGGGGCGCAGCCTGTGGTGGAGGTTCTGGCTTGATGCTTGAGGAAAAGGGCAGGCGGGAGGGGCCCCAGTTTCTGCGCCCTCCCGTGTGGAATGAGAGGCTGTCCTGGGCTGAGCGAGGGAAAGGGCATGTGGAACAAGAGCCGTTTAGCCAGGGCTTCTCAGCTGTGCCGCACAGGGACCCTGGGCAGTGTCTGGAGGCAGCCAGGTGGGGTGCTTGGCATCTCAGGTGGGTGCCAGGGGTGCTGCAGACTTCCTGCCATGCACAGGACGGCCCCCCCACAGACAGGAATGACCCAGCACCAGATTTCAGCAGGTTCAGAAACTGCTTAAACCGACTAGACTTGAGGCATCTGGGGCTGTCTCTGAACCAAAAGCACGTACCCCGTCTTCTGTGGGCAGGAAGAAGGAGAGGCAAGCCCTGGACCACTGGGCTTTCATGTACAAATAGGAAACAGCCCCTATGTCTACTGGAGAAGCGGGCTGTGTCCACATAGCCACCTCCACGGCCCCTCAGCCTGGCAGGGGAGGAGGCAGCCTCCGCAGATGGGGCCGCTGACCCGCTGCCTTTCTCTCCACCGCCTGGGGTAGGTACAAAGACGATGCCGACAGCCCCACCGAGGACGGCGACAAGCCCCGGGTGCTCTACAGCCTGGAGTTCACCTTCGACGCCGATGCCCGCGTGGCCATCACCATCTACTGCCAGGCATCGGAGGAGTTCCTGAACGGCAGGGCAGTGTGAGTCCCGCGGGCGGCTGGCACCGGCCTGGCTGGGGGCCCCAGACTCCTGGGGGAGGCTTCTGTCCACCTTACTAACCAGAGGGAGAAAACCAAACCGTGCTCTTTGACCATACTCCCAGGACTTTACCACGATGTGAGGGGTTTCTCCCACCCCAGGGACTCCCCACTTTTCTGCGGGAACCAGCTGGGGTCCTTTGACTGGTTTCAGTTCCAACGCTGCCTGGAGGTCATGCAACCCCTGCACTTTGAGGGCCCAGTCCCACAAGACTGCCCCACTTCAGATGCCACTCATAAGCCCCCGCTGTCACCTGAACTTCTCAGCAACCAGCCATAAATCAGGCTCCCACAGTCCCCTCCTCAGGCTTGATGAGTTGCTAGTGTGGCTCACAGAACCCAGGGAAACACTTGGCTGGTGTTTGTTGGTTTATTGTAAAGGATTCAGATGAAGAGGTTCACAGGGTGAGGTGTGGGGGAAGGGGTGGGGCGCACCACCTTCCTCGTATTCAGCAAACCAGAAGCTCTCCTGAAAACCCCATTTCAGGGCCTTTTCTGGAGGCTTCATCACGTAGGCAGGATTGATGATTAACTCCATCTCCAGCCCCTGTCCCCTCCCTGGAGGATGGGGCTGGGCTGAAATTCAGTTCCAGGTTTTTGTTTTGTTTTTGTTTTGTTTTGTTTTGAGACGAAGCCTCACTCTGCTGCCCAGGCTGGCGTGCAGTGGCACAATCTTGGCTCACTGCAACCTCCGCCTCCCGAGTTGAAGCAATTCTCCTGCCTCAGCCTCCTGAGTAGCTGGGACTACAGGCACGTGCCACCACGCTTGGCTAATTTTTGTATTTTTAGTAGAGATGGGGGTTTCGCCATGTTGGCCAGGATGGTCTCAATCTCTTGACCTCATGATCTGTCCATCTCAGCCTCCCAAAGTGGTTTTTGTTTGTTTTTGAGACAGAGTTTCGCTCTTGTTGCCCAGGCTGGAGTGCAATGGTGTGATCTTGGCTCACTGCAACCTCCGCCTCCTAGGTTCAAGTGCTTCTCCTGCCTCAGCCTCCCGAGTAGCTGGGATTACAGGCATATGCTACCATGCCTGGCTAATTTTGTATTTTTAGTAGAGACGGGGTTTCATCATGTTGGTCAGGCTGGTCTCAATCGCTCGACCTCAGGTGATCCACCTGCCTCGGCCTCCCAAAGTGCTGAGATTACAGCCGTGAGCCCCCATGCCCGGCCCACCTGGCCCAGGTTTTTGTTTGTTTTTCCTCGGGAGCTCTTAGACGACACTTCCAAGTCTCTAATCATGGCTTGGTCTTTCTGGCAGCCAGCCACCTCCAGGAGCCAAGAGTCACCTCACTGGCACATAAGACACTCCTACCACCCGGGAAATTCCAAGGGTTTGGAGTTCTGTGTTGGGAGCAAAGGTCAAGGAACAAATATTAGAACAAAAGAGGCTCCTAGCACCCCTGTTGCTGAGGAAATGACAAGGGTTTTAGAGGACTCTGTGTCAGGAACTGGGGCTGGGACCAAATATTTATTTTTTATTGTGTCATAATTAGATATTTGTACTTTCAGAGGTTTTATTTGAGATAAGGGTCCTTCTGGCCCTGAAAGTTTGAAAACTGCAACTTCAGCAGGAGCTGGCAGGACTGCCTCCAGGCTACAAGGGCACATGTGCCCCAAGTGGCTTTAGAGACAGGCAAGAGCGTGCCCCCTGCCTTCCTGCACTGGAGCACACCGCTCAGTGGTCAGCTTTGCATCTGGGGATAGGGTGTGGTTGAGAGCCTAGGCTTTGAATGCTGTCCCCGCTGAGTGGCTTGGGGGCACATGACTGCTTGTGCCTCTGTGTCCTCAGCTGGAAGTTCGGGTGGGTGGTGTGAGGAGGGGACCATGTGTCCTGTGCACAGCCCCTCGCGTGACAGGTGCTCTTGAAAGGAGCCTGAGTGCTCGAGTTGAGGGGCTGGTGGAGACGACTTATGTGGGGAGGTTCTTAGGGACCTGCCACCAGGTGAGGCCGCCCTTGGGCTCTGGCCTTGGGCTCCCCGGCAGCCAGGGCTCCTCCTGTGGAGCAGCACTTTGGGGAGGAACAGGTTCCTTTTTCTAGACTTTGTTCTTTGAGGCTCTACCTTGCCCCGGCACTTGATTATATTTCTTTAATGACACTAGTAATGCATGCCTGTGTGCTATGACAGGCGTCGAATTCTTGGGCGTAGGAGCATTTGGAGTGACCAGGGCAGGCCCCTCTGTCCCCTCCTTGCACCCCACTGCTTGGGGTTGAGTGTTTGACACCCACGGGGCCTGGTGCCCTCCTCGGGCCTGGCCGACATGGTGGAGGAGCTGGGTTGTGGCGAGGTGTCCAGGGGCTGCCACAGAGAGGGTGTGGGCTGAGGACACAGGCCAGTGTAAGTTGTCTATCCGCTGCCCCCCAGTGCTCCAGCTGTCAGGGGCTGGGTGACCATCTCAAGTGCACTTGAAGAGAGGGTCCCGCTGCTACCAGAAAGGCTAGAGAGAGCAGAGAGGGTGCCCTGCCAGCCCTGGCTGGTGTCACCCTCTCCTAGACCCCTGCGGGCTAGTGATGAGAGAAATGCCACAGTCCCCCCCTCTCAGGACCTGGCACAAGGCCAGCTTCCCCTCCCAGCAGGAATCACAGAGCAGGAACAGCTCCAGTGCCACTGTCCCCCTCTGTCAGGACCTGGTACGAGGCCTGCTTCCCCTCCCAGCGGGGATCACAGAGCAGGAACAGCTCCAGTGCCACTGTCCCCCTCTCTCAGGACCTGGTACGAGGCCTGCTTCCCCTCCCAGCAGGCATCACAGAGCAGGAACAGCTCCAGTGCCACTGTCCCCCTCTCTCAGGACGCGGTGCAAGGCCAGCTTCCCCTCCCAGCAGGGATCACAGAAAAGGACCTGGAGGCTCCAGGACCTGGAGGCTGTGCCCAGGCACCCGGACACCATCCAGCCTGCCAGTGCTCCATCCATTTGAGCTGCAGGGCAAGCCACCCTCCCTGCCTCCTGACAAGGAAACTGAGGCTCAGACAGAGGGGTGTGTCCAGGCCTCCGCATCTCACAGGAGAAGGCTGGGGTCCACCTGAGGGTGGCGTCTTAACTGTGCCTTTTACTGAGGCTGAGCCCGGGCCTCCCCTGTAGTGCCTCCAACCATGCTGGGCTCTGGCGGCCATGGCAGGCCTCTTCTGCCTTTGTGTGTACAGTGGTGGCCCCCCCACGCCCCATCCCATTTCTGAGCTTGGTGTGCCTTTGTCCAGGAGAGCCTGTGGAGCCCTGGCCACAGGCAAGCAGGGCGGTGGGGTGGAGGGGAGGGGCTGTGGATTGTGAATTGGGTTCCTGCATGGAGTTTTATCAGAAATGAAACTGCTTGAGGCACCTGTCTTAGGGATGCACTCGTGCCTGTGGCTAAGACATGCAGAAGGGCGGTCCTTGAAGCAGTGTTGGGAAAAGTGAGATGTTGGTGACCATCTGCTGGTGTCCCCCAGGGGCCCTGACTGAATCAGTAAAACCAAAGCGGGACCTGTGTGGTGGTTCACAGGACACAGCCCCTGATGTGTGCAGACGCATGAAAGAGCAGTGTTGACGCCTACCCCGTCTGAACGTTGAGGAAGAGAGACCCGCGCTGCATGTGGGCACCATTGTGCCTCCGCCTTCCGGGAGTGATCTGTGGGTCTCTGCTGGGGCGGACAGCAGGCCTCTGGGAGCAGGCGTGAGGGTTGGGGAAGATGCATTTTGCACTGTGTATACTTAAGTACTGTGTTCATTTAAAAAGTAAACTCAAGCTGGGTGCAGTGACTCAGGCCTGTAATCCCAGCACTTTGGGAGGCTGAGGCAGGTGCATCACTTGAGGTCAGGAGTTCGAGACCAGCTTGGCCAACATGGTGAAACCCCATCTGTACTAAAAATAAAATATTAGCCTAGCATGGTGGCGCACACCTGTAATCCTAGCTACTTGGGAAGCTGAGGCAGGAGGATCACTTGAACTCAGAAGGCAGAGGTTGCAGTGAGCTGAGATCACAACACTGCACTCCAGCCCAGGCGACAGAGCGAGACTCTTATCTCAAAAATAAATAAATAAATAAATAAATAAATAAATAAATAAATAAATAAACAAACCAACTTAGCACCGATGGAAAGGAAAAGCACAGCTACACTGGGGAGGTATCAAAGGGATTGGGCAGGTGTGGGCTCTGGGAGAATTGTAGCCAGGCCTGACCTGGGGAGAGCTGCATGGTGAGCAGAGAGGCCGTGGAAGGCCCTGGAAGGGTGAGGGCCACGTGGCCATGTAGGCTGTTTGCTGTTCCCCATGAGAGAGGGTCCCCAAAAGACAGGTGTCTGCGGCCCTTCCAGCTGTCGGAGTGGGAGGGACGGGCACGGAGGGCCCTCTTCCTGCCGCAGCCTCACTGCTTGCTCCTGGCTCCCTGCAGATACAGCCCCAAGAGCCCCTCGCTACAGTCCGAGACCGTCCACTACAAGAGAGGGGTGAGCCAGCAGTTCTCCCTGCCCTCCTTCAAGATTGACTTCTCGGAATGGAAGGATGACGAGGTAATGCTGGCTGGGCGGCTCCTTGCCCTTCGCTCCTCCTGAATTCTCTCCCCTTGGGGGTGGGGCCAGCACAGTGGGGTCTGTGTGTTTGGCTTCCTCCAGGGTTCATAAGACCTGGGAACGGCCGCCCCAGTCTGTGCTCAGGTGGACGTGTGGATGGGCGGGAGCAAGGCCTGGGCCATGTGCTGATGGGGCCAGGGGACCAGAGGCCGACCAGGCAGCCGCACTCGGAGGCTCAGACACTGGGGTTTGGGGAGATGTGAAGAATGGGGCACCCCCTGCCAGGCTGCAGCAATGCAGGGTCTGTTCACACCAGGTGGCATTCCTTCAAGCTTTTTAACCTTACTTTTGTTTAAAATCTTGGTGCAGACATCCTTTTTTTTTTTTTTTTTTTTTTTTTTTGAGACAGTCTCGCTCTGTCGCCCAGGCTGCAGTGCAGTGGCGCGATCTCGGATCACTACAACCTCTGCCTCCTGGGTTCACAGCATTCTGCCTCAGCCTCCCGAGTGGCTGGGACTACAGGCGCCTGCCACCACGCCCGGCTAATTTTTTGTATTTTTAGTAGAGACGGGGTTTCACCGTGTTAGCCAGGATGGTCTTGATCTCCTGACCTTGTGATCCGCCGGCCTCGGCCTCCCAAAGTGCTGGGATTACAGGTGTGAGCCACCGTGCCCGGCCATTGCTGCAGACCTCTTTTAACCAGGTCTTTTGTAGGTTGCGGCTTGAGTGGCTGCTTTGCTAGTTGCTCCTCCTAGGCCCCTCTCCAGCTTTTAGTCAAAGCTGTGTCCTCCCTCCTTCCCCCTTTGCCTTGTTTTCCAGCGTCCATCTGGTCTGCAGCTTGCAAAGACCCTGGTCCAGGGGGTTCCTGTGTAACAGTACAGACCTTGTGTGGCCGGGCGCGGTGGCTCATGCCTGTAATCCCAGCACTTTGGGAGGCCGAGGCAGGCGGATCACGAGGTCAGGAGATCAAGACCATCCTGGCTAACACGGTGAAACCCCGTCTCTACTAAAAATACAAAAAAATTACCCGGGTGTGGTGGCGGGCGCCTGTAGTCCCACCTACTGGGGAGGCTGAGGCAGGAGAATATCATGAATCCAGGAGGTGGAGCTTGCAGTGAGCCGAGATCACGCCACTGCACTCCAGCCTGGGCGACAGAGTGAGATTCCGTCTCAGAAAAAAAAAAAACAATGTAGACCTTGTGGGTCCCAGGTCTGAGGCCAGGAGGAGACACTGACCACATGCCCTGCTAGCAGGCCTCATGAGCTGACTTACGCTGGGGCCAGTCCTGTGGCTGTGTTCCTGACGTTTAGCCACTCTCTGTAAAAAGCCTCCCTTGTCCTTGCATTAAAAATAAAACAAGCCAGGTGTGGTGGCTCTCGCCTGTAATCCCAGCACTTCGGGAGGCTGAGGTGGAAGGATCATTTGAGGCCAGGAGTCTGAGACAAGCCTGAGTAAAACCTTGTCTCTATGAAAAATACAAAAATTAGCTGGATGTGGTGGTATTTGCCTGTAGTCCCAGCTACTGAGGAGGCTGAGGTGGGAAGATCGCCTGAGCCTGGGAGATGGAGGCTGCAGTGAGCCATGATCGTGCCAGCGCACTTCAGCCTGGGTGACAGAGCGAGACCCTGTCTCAAAAGTAAGACTACCTGGGAGTGGGGGACCACCAGGTTGTCTAAGGAGGGGTGAAAACCGAACAGATCAAAACTCCCATGCTGATCAGTAGTGGGATTGTACCTTGGAATAGCCACTGCAGTCCAGTCTGAGCCACATAGCGAGACTCCATTTCTTAGGAAGGTAAAAAAAAAATAAAAATAAAAATAAAATAAAAGTAAAATAAACGTCTCCCCAGACTCCCTCGGGTGGGTGGAGTCTCTGTCCTCTCCCGGCATCACTGGCGTGGACCCTGCACCCTGCTCTCACGTGTGACTGTGGGTGCTGTGTGGCGTGTGTGCTGAGCTCTGGGGAGTGGGAGTTTGGGAGGTGTCTGTGTTTCCTGTTTGTTTCATGTTTCCTGGGGTCCCTCCCCAGCCCCTCTGGGGAGCCCCAGTCTCCGAGCCCTGTGAGCCATGGGTTTGCAGGTGAGGTGGCCGGGGTAGGGGAGTGGTCATTGTGGCCAGCTTCCTGAGGGGTACGGTGTTTAGGGCCCAGAGAGGGTTGGAATCACGATGCCCCCAGTTGTCCTTACCTCTGTCCCGGACTTGGCACTGGACCCGCCAGGGGGCCTTTGGTGAGGGTTTGCTGAGGAAGCTGAAGGAGGGCCCGCGTGCAGCATAGTGCTGGCTCGTCTGTGGATGGCCACGCTGAGTTGGCGCACATAAGGGGCAGCTGCTGCTGCGGGGCCTTCAAGGTGCTATCCTTGTCAGGACTTTTGTGGATGCAAGTGACAGAAAAACATTTGGTCTGGTTTAAGAAAAGAAAACCAGAGACTTACTGGTGTAGATTCAGAGAAGGCTGGGTGGCCTGAGATTTCTTCCAGGGCCTGTGTCATCAGGGTGGGGATCTCTGTGGCTTAGCCTCCCATCTCCCTCAGCTGGCCCTGCTCCAGCGCGTGGCCATCCGGCTGGGTCCGGAGATGCTTGGAGGCCGTGTGTCTTCTCTTTGTGGCCCCATTTGGGGCGGGGGCCTCCCGTCCTGCAGCCAGGCCGCAGAGACCTGGAGTAGGAGGGAGACGCTTCCCCGAAGAGAACCTGAGGGGCTCAGATGCTGGGCCAGGCATGGCTTAGCATCAAGAGCGCAGCTGCAAGGACAGGCCACAGGGGTGCCCAGCATGGCTGCACTGGCCTTGCCCAGGAGCAGAGAGGACATGTGTGGAGGGGCTGGGGGCCCACTTTCGTTCTGCCGCTTTTTCTCTCTAGAGTGTTAGGCCAGTTCTGCAGCTCTGTGAGCCTGGGTTTGCCCCTCTGTAGACTGGGGCTGGAAGCAGTCCCTCGCAGGGTGGCCACGAGGGGTCCGTGATCAGCATGCAAAGGGCTTTACCTGGAGCCGCCCACTGTAAACCCGTCTGCCAGCCGGGGAGTGGGAGAGAAGGCTATAGCCACCATCTTGCACGCCTCCCCAGACCGTTGGTTTTTATTCCACACCAGTAAAGCACTGTCAGCACCTAGTTTCTGCAGTGTGATGAGAAAAAAAATCACAGCTCACTCAGAGGCTCCTCAGAGCACAGAGCGGCCCACGCCAGTGCTGAGGTGCTGGCTGCGCGGATGCATTCCAGGCCTGGGCAGAAGCGAAGGGGTGGGCAGGGGCGCGGGGGTGGATGCGCTCCAGAAAGCTCTGCCTCCCCCGTTTGGCTCCATCACCTAAAGGAGTGGCTGCCGGTGCGCGAACTCCCCATTTCCGGGCTTCATGACAGCCCTTGTGGCAGCAGTGTGGGAGCGTTGCCAGGCAACCCTGGGACGATGACTCCTGTGTGGACTCAGTGGAGTGGGCAGGAAACAGGCTCACAAGGGGCCTACAGTCCCAGCATGATCAGCCCTGACAGGCCCCCCAGACCGGGGAAGGGAGTGTCCCTCACTCTGGCAAGCCCAGGTGTCTGTGGTATCCCTCAGACGGCTGGGAGCTGGAGGCCTAGCTGGGTCCCAGTGGGTGTGAACATGTGCCCCACGTCCCTGCAGCCTTTTATTTTTCCCCCTTTTTTTGAGACAGGGGCTCACTCTGTCTCCCAGGCTGGAGTGCAGTGGCACAATCACAGCTTGCCGCAGCCTCGAACTCCTGGGTTAAGCGATCCTCTCACCTCAACTTTCACAGTAGCTGGGACTACAGGTGCCACAACTACTGGCTGATTTTTTTTTTTTTTTGGTAGAGACAGAGTTTCTCTATGTTGCGTAGGCTGGTCTCAAACTCCCGGGCTCCAGCAATCCTCGTACCTCGGCCTCCCAGAGTGTTGGGATTATAGGCGTGAGCCACCACGTCAGGCCCACCAGTCTGCAGCTTTCTGATGTGTGTGGACGTTTTCACAAAGCCGTGGCCCAGGATTGGCCGCCTTGGCCACCTTTCGCACCCTTTTCTCCTGCACCCTCCAGCCCTCTCCCGGAGGAGGCTGGGTCGGCTCCTGTTGCCTGGACACACAGGGCTTCAGGGTGCTGGTGTTGACTGTGTGTTCTGCCAGCCACAGCACTTGGAGCTTTGTGTTAGGCACGGCTTCCGTTCCATTTTGCCAAATGGGGAAACTGAGGCTCAGGTGGGGTTCTAATTGTAGTGAATGGGTGAGGAGCTAGACTTGATGCCGGCAGCCTTGACTCTGGCCCTGGGCCAGTGCCCTGCCAGCTCCTGGCTCCACCCTTCCTCACTAACAGAGACCACGGCACTTCTCAGCCTTCACAGCATAGCCCCCAGCATCAGTGTCTCTGTCCACCTCTGTCCATGTGTGCGTTGTTGTCCATCCCATGGGACTTGTGGCTGGAACCCCTGACCCTTCCTCGTGAGATGCGGGGCCTAGGTCCGTGTGGACTTGGTCTCCAGGCTTGTGGTTTGTTCAGCAGATGGCTGCCTGCCCAGGGCTTCTTGTGTGGATGGGTTACGTGTGCCATTCATTCTGGTCTGAATGGAACTCTTAGCTCCAGATGGCAGGAAGCTGCGGTAGCCGTGTGCCAGGTGCCTGTGGGTATGGAGTCCCTGCTGGGTGGGGACATGCCTGGGAACGCCAGGGTGCTGCCAGCCTTTGCCGTGTGTCCATGTCCACATAGCCTCCCTGGTTCGCAGTCGGGTACTTTCTTGACACTGATGTTTGTCCCCGTCCCCTTCTCCTGACTGCTGTCTGTGGTCCGCTGTAACTCCTTTCTTCTCGTCTGTATTTTTGGTAGGAAATTCGCTGTGTTGACAAATGTTAGGAAGAAACATTTCCCTCGGTTCCTTAAATAATAGTAATATTTGGCCGGGCGCGGTGGCTGACACCTGTAATCCCAGCATTTTTGGAGGCTGAGTTAGTCGGATCACTGGCGGTCAGGAGTTCGAGACCAGCTTGGCCAACATGGTGAAACCCCGTCTCTACTAAAAATACAAAAATTTAGCTGGGCGTGGTGGCGGGCGCCTATAATCCCAGTTACTTGGGAGGCTGAGGCAGGAGAATTGCTTGAACCCAGGGGGTGGAGGTTGCAGCGAGCCGACATCCTGCCACTGCACTCCATCCTGGGTAACAGATCAAGACTCTGTCTCAAAAAAAAAAAAAAATCATAATAGTAATACTCACAACAACTGTAGCAGCCACCACAGGCAGTGTCTCTGTGCTGGGTCTGTCGAGAGGACTTCATTTGCGCTTTATCCTTGAAACCCATGCGGTAGCGTGGTATTGACCCCATTTTACAAGGAAAGAAGCCGAGGCTCGGAGGGAGGAGGGCCTGAGATGAAAGCCACCCTGGTCACTGGGGTGGGGACGTGTGCCCCTGCCCTGCTTCCGCTGCCCACTTCACGGGGGGACAGCAGGGGAGAGGAGACATCCTATGTGTCTGTTGGTTCTGAGCATTGCTGTTCAGGGGCGGGTGCTTGGCTGCGGGCTCAGGGTTCCCTTGTGCTGGGCCAGGAGTAGTCCCACCTGGACATCCGTGGGGGTGGTTGCTGCAGACATGGAGGGGCTTGTCCCTTCCTCATGGGTCTTAGTCAGTGAGGCCTGTGGTCGGTCTTGGGAGGCAGGAGGCTCTCCCCTCACCCAACTGCCCTTGCCTGGGCTGGGCCTGCCAGGCCTTTCCTATTTGATGTTTCATCCATATTTTGTTTTTGTTTTTGAGACGGAGTCTCACTGTGTCGCCCAGGCTGGAGTGCAGTGGTGTGATCTCGGCTCACTGCAATCTCCGCCTCCCGATTTCAAGTGATTCTCCTACCTCAGCCTCCCGAGTAGCTGGGATTACAGGCATGCGTCACCATGCTTGGCTAATTTTTGTATTTTTAGTAGAGACAGGGTTTCACCATATTGGCCAGGCTGGTCTCAAACTGCTGACCTCAGGTGATCCGCCACCTAGGCCTCCCAAAGTGCTGGGATTACAGGCGGGAGCCACGGCACCTGGCCTTGTTTTTTTTTTTTTTTTTTTTTTTTTTACACCTTTATTGTGTTATAATTACCATCTCCTGCAGCTCACTCGTGTTAAGCGAATGATTCGCTGGCTTTTAGAATGCTCACAGTGGCACAGCCAGCATCTGTTCTTTCAGTAAATCTTCATTGAGAAATAAATGATTCTTTTTCTTCCCAGAATAAACAGATGCATGTGTCCATTGCTGTTCTGTGCCAGACACCGAGGATGTCATGGTGACTGGAGAGGCAGGGTCCCTGCCCTCTATGGAGGGAGTCAGGGAGCCTGATGGTGGCCGGTGGCTTTCCTGGTTGCCAGGGTATGAGCAATAGAAGCCCAGGGGCGAAGTGCTTCCTGAGGCCCAGAGAAGGACGTGGCCTGTAGAGAGTAGGGCGAGACCCACAGAGCAGTGCTGGGGAGCAGGGGTCTGAGAGGATGGCACTGTGCTGGGCTGACTGCTGGGGCCCTGGGGGCCGTGGGGAAGAGGGTGGCCTTCAGCCTGTGCACAGCAGGGGGTGGGATGAACGCAAGAGGAAGCTTCTCTTTGGACTCAAGCCAGCCTCGTGGTCTCCCTTGCTTGCCTTTTGTGTTTGCTGGGGCCAAGTCCGGTGCCTTCTTCAGAAAGTTACAGGGAGTTGCCCAGTGACCAGCACTTCCCCTCAGAGGCACGCACCCGGGAGAACTGAAAACGCGGTTCAGGCAGACACTTGCGCACCGGTGTCCAGTGCAGCGCTGCTCACCGTAGCCAGGACACAGGCCCAGCCCGGTGTCCGTCGCAAAGGAACGCGTGCACAGCGTGTGGATATCCACACAGTGCCTGTTATTTGGCCAGAAAAAGGAAAGCAGCACCGATGCGTGCTGCACCGTGGGTGAACTTTGGAAACATACCTAGACACAGAAGGTCACCTGTTGTGCAATTCCATGTAAATGACAGGTCCAAAAATGGCAAATCCCTGGAGACAGGAAGCACATGGTGGCTGCCGGGGGCTGGAGGAGGGGATGGGGAGTGTGTGGGTGCTGATGGCTACGTGTGGGGTTTCCGTTTGGGGTGATGAAAAGTTCTGGAAATGGATGGTGGCGGTTGCATGACATTATAGATGTACTTTACTCAACGCTGTTGAAACGTAGTTAAAATGGCAGATTTTGTGTTGTATCTGTTTTAACACACACATAAAAAAGGTGCCAAGCCTGGCATCCGCCTTCCCTGCCATCTCGAGGCGTGTCCTCTGAGCTCTGCTGCTGCCTCCTGCTCCTGCCTGCTTTGTCCAGCTCATTTGTTGACCGACTCCAGGCTTCCAGGCTTGGCTGTGTGGGTCCTGACCATTCTTGGCAACTCTCTCCTCAGCTGAACTTTGACCTGGACCGGGGCGTGTTTCCAGTAGTCATCCAGGCTGTGGTGGACGAAGGAGATGGTGAGTGCGTCCTCTTCCGTCCTCCTGGGCGTGCAGGCCGTGCAGGGAGGAAGCACGTCTTGAGGGAGGAGTGCTTGCAGCAGTGATGAAGCAGGCCAGGCATAGGGCCTTGGGCTTCCCACAGGGCAGGGTGTGAGCAGCTTGGAGTCCCGGGCAGGTGAGGAGGTGGAAAGTGCAGGAGGGCAGGTCCCAGAACAGGCTCAGGACTCTATGGACTCTGTGCAGGCTGAGCCCTCGGTGCCGCAGGCCTACCAGGGTCGGGGAGGTGAGATGCCTGGGTGGGGCAGGCCCCGACTCTGACTACTCTGCCCCTCTCTCCCCAGCAGTGGTGGAAGTGACTGGCCACGCCCACGTGCTCTTGGCTGCCTTTGAAAAGGTAAGTGCCATCTGGCCATCACTTTCCCGGGGACCTGGGAGCTGGGCAGGGGGTGGCCTTTTGAGACGAGAAGCCTGAGCAGGGGCTGGGGCTTGGTGGGGTGGCTGAGTGTCAAGGGCCCCGGGGCAGGTTGGGGCGTGTCTGTGGCTTCCTGCTTTCTAGCATTCTGGTCCTGAGGCCGAGTGCCGCTGTCAGGAGGCTTAGCATTTCCTTTTTTTTTTTTTTTCTTTCCTGAGCCGGGCTCACTCTGTCACCCAGGCTGGAGTTCAGTGGCGTGATCTCTCTCGGCTCACTGCAACCTCTGCCTCCTGGGTTCAAGCGATTCTCCCACCTCAACCTCCCGAGTACCTGGGAGTACAGGTGTGCACTACCACGCCTGGCTAATTTTTGTATGTTTAGTAGAAACAGCGTTTCATCATGTTGGCCAGACTGGTCTCAAACTCCTGACCTCAAGTGATCCACCTGCCACGGCCTCCCAGAGTGTTGGGAGTACAGGCGTGAGCCACGTGCCCGGCCTTTTTTTTTTTTTTTTTTTTGAGGCGGAGTCTCACCCTGTCATCCAGGCTGGAGTGCAGTGGTGGGATCTGTGTTCACTGCAACCTCTGCCTCCCAGGTTCAAGCGATTCTCCTGCCTCAGCCTCCAAGTACCTGGGATTACAGGCCCATGCCACCATGCCTGGCCAATTTTTTTTTTTTGAGACAGAGTCTCGCTCTTTTGCCCAGGCTGGAGTGCAGTGGCATGATCTTGTCTCACTGCAGCCTACGCCTCCCGGGTTCATGCCATTCTCCTCCCTCAGCCTCCCAAGCAGCTGGTACTACAGATGCCCGCCACCATGCCCAGCTAATTTTTTTGTATTTTCAGTAGAGACAGGGTTTCACTGTGCTAGCCAGGATGGTCTCGATCTCCTGCCTCTTGATCCACCTGCCTCGGCCTCCCAAAGTGCTTGGATTACAGGTGTGAGCCACCACACCTGGCCATCTCTTTTCTTTTTTTTAAACAGGGTCTCGCTCTGTTGCCCAGGCTAGAGGGCTGTGGTGTGATCTCAGCTCGCTGCAGCCTTGACCTCCTGGGCTTAAGGAGATCCTCCCACTTCAGCCTCCCGAGTAGCTGGGACTATAGGCATGCACCACCACGTCTGTCTAACTTAAAAAAATTTTTTTGTAGAGAAGAGGTCTCGCTATGTTGCCCAGGCTGGTCTCAAACTCCTGGCCTCAAGTGATCCTCCCACCTTGGCCTTCCAAAGTGCTGGGATTACAAGCGTGAGCCACCGTACCTGGCCAAGAGGCTTTTCAAAGGGTACTTGGAGTGTGTTGAGGGAGAACATTGTAGACTGAGGCCAGCCCTGTAGAATTCTGTAGAGCCTGCTGCCATGCCACGGGCTGGGGCTCCCACAAGGAGGGCTGTCTGCGGTAGACTGCCTTCGCCCTGGGGTGTGCAGAGATCAGCAATGTTGTTACCTCCTCGGGCTGTAGCTTTTTCCTACCAGGCTCAGTGTCCTTGGGTGTCACCTGGCACATGTCACAGACCCCCAGTCCTGCTGCTCCTTCCGCCACCTGCCTGCGGCACTCTGACCCTGCAGGCTGGGCAGGCCCTGCTTCCTACAGGAGCCTTTTCCTGACACCACTCAGGACAAACATCTGTTGTTCCCACTTGATGTTCACGAGGGCAGCACTGTCCTCTTGGGTGTCTTGGCATCCCCAGAGCTGAGTTTGATGTCTGGCACAGAGCAGACACTCAGAACACTGGCAGGATGGACGAGGGGTTGCTGCCCACCTGGCATGGGTTTCTGCTGAGAACCTGGCGGAGGTGGTGGGACGCACGCTTGTTTGATAGTGCCTTGGTGCCTCGGTGGCCCCGCCCCCAGTGTGCACTGACGTTCATCAGCACCCTGCCGTTGCAGGTCTGCGTGGCACCATCCTGCTGCCTAGGAGTCGGAGGGGGAAAGGATCCCGTGTGACAAGGCCCAGCCTGCCTGCTGCGGGCTTCACGCTGCCTCTGGGTCCTGCCTAGCCCAGGCTCTCCACCCACCTCCAGCCCCATGTGCAGCCGCAGCCCCTGAGAGCTCTAAGTGCAGAGTCCAGCTCTTACCTGTGATCTGGGTCTTTCTAGAGCACCCCAGGGTCGGGGGTTCTGTTAGCTGGGTAGAGGACCCTCTCCTCTGTGTGTCCTGTGGCGAGGCTGGGTCTGTTCTCTCCCGGGTCCAGGACCACAGACTGTGGTGACACAAGTGCCCTGGGCAGAGGGCAGCCTTCTGCCTTTTTAGTACTGGGCTCCCCAGCTGCTCTCCCCGGCCCGGACTCGTCAGAAGCCACGGTGACTATTGACACATCTGCATCCTCTGGCAGAGGCAGATGGGACATCTCTGGCAAAATGGTCTATTCTGTGCTTGAAGTACAGAACCCAGTGGGAAACTGCTTTATTTTTGGAGTCCAACATTCTGGAAATTTCTGTTAGAACCCACCAGCCTCACTGGAAAATTCTGAGTGCTGATGGTGGTTGACTGAGAAGGGATAATGAGTGTTGTTGCGAGGTCTCCGATCTCAAGCCGTAATTAACCTTGTTGAACTCTGAGCGGTGGTGTGTTTCCCTGGATACCGCCGGGTGTGCTTGTTCTATTTCGTTCCTGCGTTTTTAGAGCTTTGCGGTTCCCTGTGTGTGCACCACTGTGCGTGCTCCCGCTCTGTCTTTCTAACTCAGCCGGGCCTGGGAGAGCAGGAAGCTGTTTTGTCTGTCTTGATTCTTGCTGCCAGGTGATACTTCTCGGTGTGCAGGAGGCCCTTGTCCATCATCTGAACTTGGCTGATTGGCATTCAGCTTGAGTGTGCTTGAGACCAACCGAGGAGAGTTGGGTTCTGTGGGTCAGCAGAGGGTCCCCGGGCTGTGTGTTCTGGAGGCCTCAGATAGTTGCACAGCCAGGCCTGAGGCCGTGTTTTCAGAAATCCCGGCTCTTTCGCTGTCAAGTGGCCCCACCCTTTTTTTTTTTTTTCTTTTTTCTTTTTCCAGCTGTGGGCATGGATTGGCTGGGGCAGGGTGGCCAACCCAGGCGGCCACGCAGGGGTGCTCAGAGGCGCCAGCTTGACCACCTTAACCTCTTTGTCTTTCTCCCCTGCAGCACATGGACGGCAGCTTCTCTGTGAAGCCTTTAAAGCAGAAGCAAATTGTAAGTCATCAGAGGAAATATGACGTGCTTGAATTAAAAGACACACATATACAATCACTCACACGCATACTCATACATAGACACACACTCATACACACGCACATATACTCATACACGCTCATACACACTCATACACATTCACTTGCACATATATACGGACACACATACATACCATCAGACACTCACATTCACACATATATAGACACATAAACACACAGACACACACATACACACATAAACACACTCCTACTCGCACACACTCATACAGACACGACACTCATACACACATACACTCACACTCACATGCAGTCATTCAGATGCACACACTCAGACACACTCATATACTCAGTCACACACATATACATAGACACACTCGTACACATACACACATACACTCACACTCACTCACATATACATAGACACATACTGATACACACACATATACCCATTCACACACACATAGACATTCATACACATATACACATACACACACGTATACAGACACACACTCATACACATACCCACACATATACTCACACACATAAACTCACATGTATACTCATACACATATACATAGACACACATTCACTCGCACACATATACAGACATACATACACACAATCACTTGCACACATATACATAGACACACTCATACAATCACTCACGCACATATACAAAGACGCATACACTCACATAGACACACACACATACACATATGTACAGACACACATATACTCACACACACTTATATATAGACACACACACACACTCTTCAGTAGTCTTCATGCACTGGTCTTCCTAGGCTACCCTTGCTGCTGCCTTTGAAATAACTGTGCAGGGGCTGGGCGCAGTGGCTAACGCCTGTAATCCCAGCACTTCGGGAGGCCGAGGTGGGCAGATCACTTGAGCCCAGGAGTTTGATATCAGCTTGGCCAACATGGTGAGACCCCGTCTCTACTAAAAATAAAAAAATTAACCGGGTATAATAACACATGCCTGTAATCTCAGCAACTCAGGAGGATGAGGTAGGAGAATGGCTTGAACCCAGGAGGTGGAGGTTGCAGTGAGCCGAGATCATGCCACTGCACTCCAGCCTGGGTGACAGAGGAAGACTGTGTCAAAAAAAAAAAAAAAAAGCTGTGCAACAGCCTGTTGACTTCCCTGTAGAGCTCTAAGCTCTGGGACGACGGGTCCCTGTCTTGGGTGAGCATATATGTTTTGCGTGCCCGCCATGTACAGGGACGCCTGCAGGCCCTGAGTTCTGTCCAGTTTGAGCCATTGTGTCTGGAACATAGTGTTAAGTAAATATTTGCCGAATGGATGGATGGAAAAGGAAGGAAAGAGACCAGAAACAAAGTCTGCAACTCCTTCTCCTCTTCCTTACAAATTGTCCAATATGTCAGTATTGGACAGAGACTTAGCTTGACTTCATCAATACTTGAAAAGAAGGATTAAATAGTTGAGAATAAATGGAGCTATAGAGCAGTACATCTGTTCTCTGGGGTCAGCGATCCTGGGATGCTGCATTGGGAAGTGTTATTCCTGGTGGCCTCACAAGTAGGCACCGAGAATTTAGAGGATGGGGTGCCCTAAACAGCAGTGTTAGATCTTGCTAATGAGATGTCCTAGGCCACAGCTAACAGTTACTCCGTGTGTACTGTTGGGGCGCATAAGACCTGTTTCAAGCCACCACTTGGGAATGATTTTTGTTAGTTTTTAATTTTTTAAATATTTAATTTAATTTTAATTTTAATTTTATTTTATTGAGACAAGACAGAGTCTCGCTCTGTTGCCCAGGCTGGAATGCAGTGGCGCGATCTCAGCTCACTTCAACCTCTGTCTCCCAGGTTCAAGTGATTTCTCGTTCAGGCTCCCAAGTAGCTGGGACTGCAGGTGTGCGCCACCACAGTTGGTTAATTTGTTTTGTTTTATTTTGTTTTGTATTTTTGAGATGGAGTCTCACTCTGTCGCCGAGGCTGGAGTGCAGTGGCATGATCCCAGCTTACTGTAGCCTCCACCTCCTGGGTTCAAGTGATTCTTCTGCCTCAGCATCCCGAGTAGCTGGGACTACAGGCACGCGCCACCATGCCTGGCTAATTTTTGTATTTTTTGTAGAGATGAGGTTTTGCCATGTTGGCCAAGCTGGTCTCAAACTTTTGGGCTCAAGTGATCCACCAGCCTCGGCCTCCTACTAAAGTGCTGGGATGATAGGTGTAAGCCACTGCACCCGGCCATCTGTTAGCTTTTTAGAAGAGAGTTTGTCCAGGTGCAGTGGCTTATGCCTATGATCCCAGCACTATGGGAGGTGGAGGCAGGAGGATTGCTTGAGCCTGGGGATTCCAGACCAGCCTGGGCAATGTAGCGAGATCCTGTCTATTTAAAATGTAAATCACAATAAACAAAAGAGAGGTGCAGCAAACTCTAGCAGGTCCAGGTCCCTGCAGGTACCAGGGGAACAGGAGACCCCAGTGATGGTCAGGGCCTTGTGTTGAGAGAGCTGACCAGCAGGCCCTGGGCTCCCTGGAGTGGTGCTCCTGGCCCATGGTCTCTGGGAAACCCAGCAGCACAAACCGCTTTGCAATGTGGTCAGCGTGAGGCTTTTTGGTTGCAAGTGGGTGGCAGGACAGAATCAGCTTGGAGACATTGCTTTGGCGTCTTTGAAACCAGAGAGGCTTCATGCCTTTTGGAAGGAGGATCTGGAAAGCAGTGGGAACTTAGGCTGCTGTCTGGTGCCTTCAGGCGTCAGCTCCTGCTTTCCTCGTGGGGCTGGTGGTGGTGGAGCCAAGTGGTGTTGGGGGTGGTGAGGCGGTCAGGGGGTGGTGGTTGGGCCTGTGGGTTGGCTTCAGGCCCCCAGTAGTGGGGAGAGCCACCGGCTCCAGCCCTGTTCCAGGTGCTGCTGGTTGGGTGGGGGCAAGCAGCAGGTTTTCCCTGCCCTTCTCCTGGCCCCCAGGGGTTGAGCTGGACTGACCCCTGGTATGGAAGCCTGGTAAGTTGGAGGCAGGGCTAGGCCAGGTGGGTATGGAGGAGCCCTCATATGGCAGTTGGCGAGGGCCCAGTGAGCCCCTCTCTGCTCTCCAGGTGGACCGGGTCAGCTACCTCCTGCAGGAGATCTATGGCATTGAGAACAAGAACAACCAGGAGACCAAGGTGTGTATCTGGGTGAGGTTTCCCTCTGCCATTACAGAAGCCCACACCAGGAGCAGCCGCGGACAGCAATGCTTGCCGGTTCCCTTCCATGCCTTCCCCTGGAGTCCTAGACCCGCTAGACAACATCATTTTTCCTTAATTTTTTTTAAAGCTAACAGTTTAGGGAACATTTTATCCTTTCTCCAGCAAATTCACTAGCTTCTGATGTAAATTGCCATCCAGGTTCCCCAGGGCAGCCCAGGAATGGGGGCCAGTGTCTCACCCTCTAGGCTCAGGTGTGTGGCACCCTGCTGCCCGGCTCCTGCCCGCCTCCCCAGAGACAGCACGTCCCTGCAGCTCCTGGGGGAGGGATGCTTATTCTGTATGTCCATAGAACCAGTCCTGGTGCCTGACAAATAAGCCGTGGTGTACCCCAGTCAGGGAATGTAGCAGGGGATGAAATTAGTTTTTTTTGTTTTTGTTTTTTGAGTCAGTCTCACTCTGCTGCTCAGGCTGTAATGCAGCAGGGAGATCTTGGCTCACTGTGGCCTCCGCCTCCCGGGTTCAAGCGATTCTCCTGCCTCAGCCTCCTGAGTAGCTGGGACCACAGGCACGCGCCACCACACCCGGCTAATTTTTTGTATTTTAGTAGCGACGGGGTTTCACCATGTTGGCCAGGATGGTCTTGATCTCCTGACCTTGTGATCCACCCTCCTCGGCCTCCCAAAGTGCTGGGATTACAGGCGTGAACCACCGCGCCCAGCCTAATTTTTAATTTTTGTATTTTTAGTAGAGATGGGGTTTCACTATGTTGGCCAGGCTGGTCTCAAACTTCTGATCTCAAGTGATCTGCCTGCCTCAGCCTCCCAAAGTGCTGGGATTTCAGGCCTGAGACCACCACGCCTGGTCGATGAACTTGTTAAAAGGCACACTGACATGAGTGAAACTCCTGCCTCTTAAGATCTCTTGGAAAGTCTCACAGGCCCGCTTCATTATGGCATCTGGGCCCAGGACAACTGGAGCAGCTCCACGTGGCGGGAGCGGAGCACCTGGCCGGGCCTCGCCTCAACCCAGGGAAGTCAGTGCATTCATGTTTCATACCAGGGGGCGGCCCACTTTGAGAAAAGGTTCAGAGAGGGAATGTTTTCAGCCGCCCGGGCATATGGTCTCTGTTGCACTGACTCCACGCTGCCATTACAACAGGAGCAGCGGGGACTGTATAAAAATGAGTGGGTGTGGCGGTGTTCCAGTAAGATTTTATTTATAGAAACAGGCCACAGGCCTAGTTTGTGGACACCTGTTTTAGATTTTTGGCTTTCTTTTTGTCCAGTTGCTAATGTGGTTTCTGGTAGCTGCCATTAATGAAAATACTTCTAACATATTAACTTGTTTTTTGTTTTTTTTGTTTGTTTGTTTTGAGATGGAGTCTTGCTCTGTTGCCCAGGCTGGAGTGCAGTGGCAGCCATCTTGGCCCACTGCAAGCTCCGCCTCCTGGGTTCACGCCATTCTCCTGCCTCAGCCTCCTGAGTAGCTGGAACTACAAGCACGTGCCACCATGCCCGGCTAATTTTTTGTATTTTTAGTAGAGACGGGGTTTCACTATGTTAGCCAGGATGGTCTCGATCTCCTGACCTCGTGATCTGCCCGCCTCAGCCTCCCAAAGTGCTGGGATTACAGGCGTGAGCCACCGCGCCTGACCATTAACTTGGTTTTTTTTAAACCAAAGATAACGGGTACCCTGACCCTCAGGAAGATGTGTTTCTTAGGTGCATCTGTTCCTCATTTTTTCTTTAGGTCTGAAGAACAGAAAGAGACCATGTTCTCATGATTTGGGTGGGTGAGGGGCACAGACCCTCCCCCTCTGCCAGGTGCTGAGTTTGCACTGGATTTGAGCCTGGTGATTCTGCTCTGGGGCAACCTCCCCCTCCCCTCTGGACTTCTCTTTGTCATGACAGCCCCCAGGGTAGGGTGGAGTGGGGTGGGACAGCTGGGGACAGGAAGCAGGAGCCGTACTCTGGCCTTTGGGAGGCTGCTGACCCACAAGCCCTTGTCCCGGCAGCCCTCGGACGACGAGAACAGCGACAACAGCAACGAGTGTGTGGTGTGCCTGTCCGACCTGCGGGACACGCTGATCCTGCCCTGCCGCCACCTGTGCCTCTGTACCTCCTGCGCCGACACGCTGCGCTACCAGGCCAACAACTGCCCCATCTGCCGGCTGCGTGAGTTCCCCGGCCGGCTGTTCTGTGGAAGGTTCTGGAAATTAGGGACTGGCCACACCACGGTGGTCCTGGGATAGGGGGCCACAGGTCCGTTGATGGCTAAGAAAGAAGAGTTGTCATTCATCTAGTCTGTGCTGAACGTGGGCGTGTTGGCTGTCGGAGTCAGTCACCGTGAGAGAGCTGGCAGGGACGCTAGCACGGGGCATTCAGATCTTCACGTCTGCCTCCAGCCAGGCAAGGCTTGCAGAACAAAGGGCTACAGAGGCGCTCCAGGGCAGATGAACTGAACGAAAATTGATGAGTGAATGAAATCTTTATTCTTATTTTATTTTTATTATTTTTTGTTTGAGACAGTTTCGTGCTGTCGCCCAGGCTGGAGTTCAGTAGCGAGTTCTCAGCTTACTGTAACCTCTGCCTCCTGAGTTCAAGCAATTCTCCTGTCTCAGCCTCCCTAGTAGCTGGGATTGCAGGCAACTGCCACCATGGCCAGCTAATATTTTACTTTTATTAGAGATGGGGTTTTGCCATGTTGGCCAGGCTGGTCTTGAACTCCTGGCCTCAAGTAATCTGCCTGCCTCAGCCTCTCAAAGTGCTGGTGTTACAGGCATGAGCCACCATGCCTGGCTATTTTATTTTATTTTATTTTTTTGAGATAGAGTCTCGCTCTGTCACCCAGGCTGGAGTGCAGTGTTGCAGTCTCGGCTCACTGCAAACTCCGCCTCCCGGGTTTAAGTGATTCTCCTGCCTCAGCCTCCTGAGTAGATGGGATTACAGCCCTGCACCACCATGCCTGGCTAATTTTTGTGTTTTAAGTGGAGATGGGGTTTCACCATGTTGGTCAGGCTGGTCTGGAACTCCTGACCTCGTGATCTGCCCTCCTGGGCCTCCCAAAGTGCTGGAATTACAAGCGTGAGCCACCGCTTTTTTTTTTTTCTTTTCTTTTCTTTTTTTTTCTTTTCTTTTCTTTTCTTTTTTTTTTTTTTTTTTTTTTTTTGAGACGGAGTCTCGCTCTGTCGCCCAGGCTGGACTGCGGACTGCAGTGGCGCAATCTCGGCTCACTGCAAGCTCCGCTTCCCGGGTTCACGCCATTCTCCTGCCTCAGCCTCCCGAGTAGCTGGGATTACAGGCGCCCGCCACCGCGCCCGGCTAATTTTTTGTATTTTTAGTAGAGACGGGGTTTCACCTTGTTAGCCAGGATGGTCTCGATCTCCTGACCTCATGATCCACCCGCCTCGGCCTCCCAAAGTGCTGGGATTACAGGCGTGAGCCACCGCGCCTGGCCGAGCCACCGCTTTTTAATTAATTACTTACTTTTATTTATTTATTTATTTTGAGACAGAGTCTTAACTCTGTTGCCTAGGCTGGAGTACAGTGGCAGGATCTTGGCTCACTGTAACCTCTGCCTCCCAGGTTCAAATGATTCTTGTGACTCAGCCTCCTGAGTTGCTGGGATTACAGGCATGTGCCACCATGCCCGGCTATTTTGTGTATTTTTAGTAGAGATGGGGTTTTACATTGTTGCCCAGTCTGGTCTGAAGCTCCTGACCTCAAGTGATCTGCCTGCCTTGGCCTCCCAAAGTGCTGGGATTACAGGCAGAGCCACAGGGCCCTGCCTTGTTTTTAAAATTTTTTTTGTAGAGACAGGGTCTTGCTATGTTGCCCAGCCTGGTCTCGAACTCTTGGGGTTAAGTGGTCCTCGTGCCTCCTAAAGTGTTGGGATTATGGGCATGAGCCACCATGGCCAGCTCAGATCTTTATTTTAAAGGTAAAATAGAAAATATTTCAATAAATTTTTAGCATAACGCTGGTTGCAGATCACACCTATAATCCCAGCACTTTGGGAGGTCAAGGCAGGAGGATCGCTTGAGCCCAAGAGTTCGAGACTAGCCTGGGCAACATGGCGAAACCCCATCTGTACAAAAAGTTAAAAGTTAGCCAGATGTGTTGGCTATAGTACCAGTGACTTGGAAGGCTGAGGCGGGAGGATCGGCTGAGCCTGGGAGGTTGAGGGTGCAGTGAGCTGTGATTGTGCCACCACTGCACCCCCGCCTGAGAGACAGGGGAAGACCCTGTTTCAAAAAAAAAAAAAAAAATTATAGCGAAGTGAAAACAAAGTATGCTGGGTAGAAAATTGACCAAGGAATTAAATTGGGTTTTCTAGAGCATTCCAGACATTTCCTCAGTGAAAAGCCGCTCGTAGGGCCCCGTTCTGAGTGTCTTCCAGTAGAGGGAACAACCTGAATGTTCTCAGGGTGAAAAAACGACCAGGTCAAAGTGCACATCCCACTGGTAGGCCCTTGCCCTGGATCCTGGGATCCCTGGCCTGGGTCCTGGCGGTGGGGCCGGAGCATAGTTGGGGATTTGCCTGCGCAGCTGCAGGACACATGCGCTTAGTAGGCCAGCAGACCTCCAAGCCGGGCGTGGGGCTGTGCGAGGATGCTGGTCTGTGCAGTCAGGCCATGGGGTCACTGGATGTGTCCAGATCCCAGGAGTAAGTGAAGAGGCTGCTGGGGCCTGGAGGGAGAGGCCGGCCGCCCAGCCTGTGGCAGATCCTGTAGCAGGGAGGGCCGGCCCAGGCTGTCTGTCGGCCTCTCCTGTCTGAAAGCCACAGAGTTGCGGGGGCAGGGACCAGGAAGTGGGGGCAGGGGTGGGCTGTCTAGGAAGGTTCTCTGTGCCTGCCCAGGAGGCAGGCAGTGTTGAGGACTGAGCCTCAGGGTGGCTGTGTGGCTGGAGATACAGCAGGGCTGCTTTCCAGGGAGGGTGCCCTGAACCGAGTCCAATTCTGGAATCTTCAGGTGTGTGGGGTCAGTGGGTCGGGGCCATCAGACTGGAGTTCAGAGCTCCCGTGTGGCTTTGAGCCTCAAGGACGTGGCGGTAGAGGGGCCCCTCACAGGCGCCCGAGGGCAGAGACTGCTGTTCTCAGTAGAAATTGACACAGAGGAGGCCTGAGGCCCTGTCCCTGGGCTGACGGCAGATGCATTGGTTTGTTGGAGGTGGCTGGTTTGGTGGTTTGGTGGTTCGGTTTCCTGGCCTGCACACGTCACTAAAGGTGTCTCAGGAACATTCTACAGCAGCCTGTGGGGCCCTTGTGTGAGCAGGACTGGCACTGTGGGATGACAGGGCATCCTAGGTCCTGGTTTATCTTCTCTGCTCCCAGTGGCTGCTGTCTGTGCCCCTCAGCTTCCCCAGCGTGATGTTTTTGCCTCAGTTTCCCCAGCGTGACTCCCCACTTCAGCTTCCTCAGCATGATGTCCTTGTCTCAGTTTCCACAGCATGACATCCCCACCTCAGCTTCCCCAGTGTGATGTCCCCGCCTGCCATCCTGTCCTGCAGCCAAGAGCTCCTCTGGGCTCAGCCAGGACTGCTGATTTGCAGTCACGTCCTGTCTCGGGTGCAGCCTGGAGCTTCAGGGGTGTGACGCTTTGGGGGTCATGGCCACCAGCCTCTTGGAAACACCCTCTGGAGCCCCGCCTTGGGCAGCACTGCATGGCCTTGCTGTGTTTCCTGCCCGGGGCCATTTCATTAATACTGTGTTTGCGGGAGTTCTGTCTCTCGTCTTTGGAGCGCCCCCTCCCTCTATTTCTGTACAGGGGAGCTGCTTCTTTCTTTCTTCCCCCATCTTTCCTGCCTATTAAATTCCTGCTCCTTAAAACTAAAAGAAAAAAAAAAGACCGTTGTGATCTGGAAGCGGGGTCACCCCAGGACCCCTATGGTGTGGGGGGGGTGTTGATCCCTGGGGCTGGGAGGGTCCCCTCGGGGCTGGGTGTGTCGCCTGGGCCTGATCTGAGCCCTCCTTCTGCCGCAGCTTTCCGGGCCCTCCTGCAGATCCGGGCGGTGCGGAAGAAGCCAGGAGCCCTGTCCCCCGTGTCCTTCAGCCCCGTCCTGGCCCAGAGCCTGGAGCATGATGAGCACTCTGTAAGTGCCGCCTCCTGCCTGCGGGATGGGCGGGAGAGGGGCATGAGTGCCTGGGCCAGGCGCAAGGCCCAGACGGTCCAGCCAGCAGCCCCGTGTTCTCTTCTGTCCAGTGGGCAGGCATGGCCCCCATGGATGGCTGTGAGGCATGAAGGGGGTGGCCAGGCTGGGCCCTGGGGTGCCGCTGCTGGGAACAGCGCTGCTGCCATCAGTACCAGAGCCTGCGACAAGGCTGAGCGCGGTCGAGGTCTCGGTGGAGCCAGGTGCTTTTTTTTTTTTTTTTTTCTTTTTGAGGCAGGGTCTCGGTCTGTCACCGAGGCTGGTGTGCACCCAAAGTGGTGCAATGTCAGCTCACTGCAGCCTCGACCTCCCGCCTCAAGCAATTCCCCCATTTCAGCCTCCCAAGACGCTGTGACCACGGGCGTGTACCACCACGCCGAGCTAATGTTTTGTATTTTTAGTAAGGTGGGGTTTCCCATGTTGCCCAGGCTGGTCTCGAACTCTTGGGCTCAAGTGCTAGTCCTGCCTCAGCCTCCCACAGTGCTGGGATTACAGGCCTGAGCCACCGCCTCCACCCCGTGGTTCTTAGTGAATGAGCCATGCTGTTTCCCCCATGCGCTGCTGTGCAAGGGGCACTGGTGACCCTCCTCCCACGCTCCAGGCCCACCAGGCGCCCTCAGTGGGGACCTTAAGGGCAGGCCCTGCTTCAGCAACACAAGGGAGGTGGAACCCTGGCTTCAAGGACCCAAAGACAGACAGAGACATGGAGAGAGATGCACAGAGAAACACAGAGACAGGGCGAGAGAGAGGTGGAGAGACACAGGGAGAGGCAGAGACAAATGTGGAGAGACACAGAGACAGGATGAGAGAGATGTGGAGAGACAAAGGGAGAGACAGAGAAAGATGTGGAGAGACATAGGGAGAGACTGATGGAGAGATAGGAAGAGACAGACAGATGTGGAGAGACGGAGAGACAGATGTGGAGAGACAGGGTGAGAGAGATGTGGAGAGACACAGGGAGAGACAGAGATGGGGATGGGTGGCAGGGGCTGTGGTGGGCAGGGAGCAGAATGGGGGAGTTGGACAGTGACTGGTTGGGCCCGGGTCTTAGGCCCCCTGCTCCCCACTGGCCACGCGCATTGTCAGATTGAGTGCCTTTCTTGGCTCTTAGCTGTGGCTGTTATGAGCCGTTGGTTCTTCCAGGCTCTGCTGCCTCTCTAAACAGAAAAGAGGAGCAGAGCCCTGAGGACTGGCGTTCACAGACAGCGCCTTTGCTCTAGAAGGCTCCTCCCAAGCCCCCTTGATCAGGGCCTTGACCTGGGCCCTATGGGCCTCCCTGGCAGCAGGTGCAATGTTTCTGAAATGGGGTCAATGTTTAAAAGTCTGGAATTTCCCTTAAAACCCAGATTTTGGGTTTGTCTTTTAAAATCTGACATGGTCTTGATGCTAGAGGAGAAACATGGCTTGGGGGTCCCTGTCAACCCAGGCCCTCTAGGCCCCTACCATCGTGGGGCTCCTGGCACCACGCTCTCCAGCACTTTTGATGTTGGCTTTGATTCGGAAACGCTGCGTGTGCTCAGGTTTTTGGTGGAGAGAGAAGCAGCCCCTGAGGGATTTGCCTCTGAGAGGGTTTCACCTAGGGAGTGATCGATGCTCAGGCGTGGCTAGGTTTATTGTCCCTTGTTTTTGCCCCTCCCTGTTTGTGTTCTGGTGGCTGAGGATCCAGTAGGTCCCTCCATGTTTGTCCCTCTTATGCTGAGTGAGCTGGGCGGCCGGGGTCCGAGGTGTGACCAGGCAGCTCTGACCTCCACATGCCCCAGAAGGGCTGGCACCCAGCCAGGGAGCCGCCGTCCTCTCTGCATGGAGCAAAAGCAAACGCTCCTCCTCACCTGCCAGGTTCCTGTTGGAGCCCCTTCCACGTAGTGACAGAAAGAGCCACCGTGGGTGTTCTCTCCAGCGAGTGCCTAAAGATGATGGTGGGGTGGGTGGGTCTGGGGCTGACTCTTCTCCCCAGCCCTCTTGAGGGGTTCATGGTTGGTGATAAGTGAGCGGCGGTGCCTGGGCACCGGCTGGCTGGGGGACTTTGACCAGTGTGGCTTCAGGATCTCCACCCTGCACCCAGCCTGCATTAGGCAGCGTTCAGCTGCCCTCACGTCCACCTTGGCCAAATCTGTTGCCCCAGGTGACCCAGACTGCGGGGGGACAGGCAATGGGGATGAGATTGGGCTCCACAGCCTCCCCACTGCAGCAGCACAGCTCCCGGGAGCTGCCGAGACGCACACATGGCCCACCCAGACCCGAGTCAACCCTCACTTAGGACAGTCCCGAGATTCACGTCCCCCGGAAGCTTGTGAAGTTCTGCGCCACGGTGTGGCAAGAGGACAGCCAGTCAGACCTGTCCAGCCCACTCCAGGGCCGCGTGGGGGTGGTAGTTGTAAAACATATGATTTTTATCTTGACAGTGTCCCTTTAAAAAATCAAAGCCGCACCCCGCCTCCCTGGCCAGCAAGAAACCTAAAAGGGAAACAGTAAGTGTCTGGTCCTCCGGCTACGTTTTTTTGCCCCCGCCCTCATTTTTAAACCCACGACAAGTAGGGGAGATCGTTTCCGCCCCAGGCTAGTGTCTGATTCATATAACCCGTCAGCTCCACTTGCCCAGTCCCGGCCTCCCTGCCCAGGGAGTTTGTGGAACCGGAAAAGCTCTCGGTCCGTGGGCGAAACGCCAGGTGCGCTGGCCCCGCCGCCCTCCCCTCAGCTTTGCCTCCGCCCCGCGTGGCCCCCGTGCCGTTTCCCTTTTTTTTCTTGCTGGCAGTGGAATGGACGTTGCAGGCGGAACTAACGTCGCTGCTGCGTTTTGCAATCGCGCCCCGCGCATGCTTCTTGGCCCCGTGTCCCGCTCCTTTACCCTGCGGGTTCGAGCTCCTTGGGCTGAGCTTTTTGGTTTCCTTGGGCTTCCCTTGTGCCCCAGGGAGCAGGCAGGGGGACCAGCACACAACCACCTGGAGCCTCCGTGGCCCAGGCAGACCCAGCCGAAACCCTGTGTGCGTTGGTGTAGAAGGTGGAGGCCACTCCGGAGCCACCCGGACCGTGTTTTCCTTTCTAGAGGGGTGAGGGGATTCTGTGTGGTTATTTACCCTTAACTTGGAGGCAGGTATGGGAGCAAATGTGGGGTACACAGAGGTCCAGAAAAGCATCCCGGGCTCATTGCCCGGGCCGTGCCCGCTCCCCCATTTCTCCCCCACCTCCCCGTGGTCTCCAGGCATCCCGCACCCATCTCACTTTCCCCTTCCTTCCAGGAGCTCGGTCAGGCAGGCCGGGGTCTCCCGAAAGGAGCACTGACGAGCGTTGTGCCCCTCAACCTGGTTTTGTGGGGACAGAGCAGGGGCCCCCGCAGTCTGACTTCCGTTCCCCAGAACCTGGGCATTTTCCTTCTTCCTCAGCCTTGTTGATTCTGTCTGCTCCCAGTGAGGGAAGAACAGTGGCTCTTAGCCAGGGTGCCCGTTAGAACCACCTGGAGCAGGTCAGCCCCCAGAGGCCCGGGCAGGGCACAGCTCCCAACAGCTCAGCTCTCCCTGGTCCAGGACGCCCCTGACCGTGTCTCTCGCCTCTGGCATGGCTTTGCTCTGCCCCCGCTCCCAGCTCCTGTCTGTCACTAACCCTTCACTCTCCACCTGGGGCCAGGCGGGACTGAAAGCCAGGGAGGGGCTGGTTGAGGCCAGGGCTGGGGCGGTTCTTGGCAGATGCCCTCGTGCCCGTCATCCCAGGCACCAGCGTGGGCATTTGGGCATCCAGCCCCGTGCTGGAGCTGATGGCTGAGGCAGGGAGGGCATCGGTGCTGCCAGGGAGCTCTTGGCCACCCTCTGAGGGTGGGGGAGTCTCAATCCCCCAAAGAACAGAGTGGACAGGAGGTCATCAGGAGGAGCGTCTGGGGAGCAGGTGGTCCCTGGGCATGAGCCCCCTCACGCACCCTGTCCCTACAGAACTCTGACAGCGTCCCACCTGGCTACGAGCCCATCTCGCTGCTCGAGGCGCTCAACGGCCTCCGGGCTGTCTCCCCGGCCATCCCCTCGGCCCCTCTTTATGAAGAAATCACCTATTCAGGCATCTCGGACGGCCTGTCCCAGGCCAGCTGTCCCCTCGCGGCTATCGACCACATCCTGGACAGCAGCCGCCAGAAGGGCAGGCCGCAGAGCAAGGCCCCCGACAGGTGAGCAGCAGCCAGGCCAGGTGCATGGCAGGGTGTGTGGTGGCGCGCGTGCGGAGCGGGTGTCTTTGTGGTTTCAAATCAGTTTGTGATGTGTTCTGTGTGGCGATTCCCCAGAAGGACTCGGAGACCCCGTATCAGGTTAGACTCATGGGTAAAGTTTATTACGGCAAAGAACGCAGCAGACGAGGCAGGAAGAGCGTCCGGGCAGCTGGAGGCTTTGATCCCCCGACCAGGGCCACACCGGCGTGCAGGCGCATACGTGCTCTCGAGCAGGAAACTGCAGGGGTCGGTGCTGTGTCTCTGCTGAGGGGAGCCCCTTTGAGCCTCTGGGTTCCCAGACTTCATTGGGGGGCTGGCCACGTAGGCCCACTCTGCCGGTGACCAGCCAGGGCAGCCGAAACTCAGGACCTGACAGTGACCCAGGCACACTCACTGCTCTTGCCGTTCGCCCGTGACGAGCCACGGGGCACGGTCCCTCTCCAGGCGATGAGTGCATCATCCATCACTCATACGACAGCCTTCGGAGGGCCTGGCTCCTGGGGTTGGCCACGGGTCATTCGTGGTTCCCCTGGAGCCTTGCGGTGTATAGAGCGGCGGCTGCCAGGGGGACTCTGTGCCTCAGGCCTGTCGGTTCTCGTAGAAGAGTGTCAGGAAGGCGCGGGTTCTGCAGGCCCGCCCTGGGCACCCTCCATGCCCACGAGGAGGCAGCGCCAAAGCTCAGAGAAACGGGGGCCTCTGTCTCCTGCTGCTTCTCCTCCCCAGGAACCACCAGCGGTTTCTCTTCTCCTTCTAGAAAGAAAAGGAAGGCTAGGCCCGTGCCAGTGTGTCGGGAGCCCCTCTGTCGGGCGGGTCTGTGGTGGCCGCTGTTGCCTGTTGGCCGTTTGGGTTGGTCCCGGTGGCTGGTGATGCCCTTCTCCAGGGAGTGTCCTTGCGTGGGTCCTGGCAGGCGTGTGCAGGGGCCCCCAGGTGCCCTGCATGGCTTTGGCAGGGTTAGCCTTCCTTGTCGTTATCCTCTCACCCCTGCCCACCCTCTCCTCTGTCCCCAGCACCCTACGGTCCCCGTCTTCCCCCATCCACGAAGAGGATGAGGAGAAGCTCTCCGAGGACGTGGACGCCCCTCCCCCACTGGGTGGCGCAGAGCTGGCCCTGCGGGAAAGCAGCTCCCCTGAGGTGAGGCCCCCCCGGGGAAGCTTTGCGCACCCGCCCGGGCCAGCCCTCCTCCAGCTTCTGTCGCTGGAATCAGACCCCATCCCACTGCCCGCCTGGGCGCCCCCGTGCTTGTTGGCTCTTGCTGAGCTGCGCGGCTCCTTAGCCTCGGTCTGTGGAGGCAGCACCCCCTGGTGGAGCGGCTGTGCGGTCCCGGGAGGGCCGTGCCTGATGGCGGCTTGTCCTGGAGCGGTGGCCGCGGCTCTCTGAGCTCTAGGCTACTTTCCCCTTTGTTTCCTAGAGTTTCATAACAGAAGAGGTTGATGAGTCGTCGTCACCACAGCAAGGTGAGCGCCTCCTTCCATGGGCACAAACCGCATGCAGGGACCAGGCAGCCCTGGCTTACTGGGGCCTTAGGGCTCCAGGTGGTGTTGGGCCAGCACCTCTTCTGCCCCAGGAACCCTCGGCCAAGAGGCCCCCCTCGGCGGCACTGGGATCCCGGCTGGGAGGGACTGAACGGGTGACTGGGTCAGGCTGCGCTGTTGACCCTGCAGGGCTGTCTGCCTGGGATGGGGAACACCTGCCAGCATTCAGTCCTGGTTTTGAAACATGAGCGTGTAATGTTTCTATGACCAAAAAAAAAAAAGCCCTATGCTCTGAACATCCAGGACACAGTGTAAAAAAGGGGAAAAAAAAGCCCCATGCTGGGGGATGGGAAGGAGGGAAATAGAAGGGAAACACCCAGCTTTGGGGTCCCTGGAGAGCAGGTGGGGTCACGGTGGAGTCCTGCTGGAGCACAAGCCTGGGGTCCCCACAGTGGCTACAGAGCCCTTGGGTAAGAGAGACGGCCTCCTGCCCAGAGGGACCTGCCGGGACCTGGCCCCTGCCTGTAGGTCCCTAACCTCACCCTCTGCCTGCAGGGACCCGAGCAGCTTCCATTGAGAATGTCCTGCAGGACAGCAGCCCCGAGCACTGTGGCCGAGGCCCACCTGCTGACATCTACCTGCCAGGTAAGGGGCTGGGGGTCTGGGGGTGAGGGGCTGGGTGCCTGTCTTAGTCCCCAGGGAGGGGGCCCTGCTCTGATGGTCGGTGCATAGCAGCAGAGGCTGTCCATTGGAGCCTGGTTCTCTCCCTGGCTCTCAGCCATGCCCCTGCTATTGACCGTGAAGCAGGATGCGGGCCAGGGCCATGGCCACAAAGCAGCCTCAGGCAGGGCCTGGCTCTTGGGAGCGGAACCTGCACCAAAGCCCCTTCCCTCCCTGGGGCCACATTGGCCACAGGAGGTGAGAGACGCGAGAGAGGCTGCCTGTGAGAGGATGGGGTCCTTTTCCCTCTGCCTGCTGCTCACGCCAGGAGGGCAGATCCGGCCCCACTGGGATCACCACATGTTCCCCCACTCCTGGTCCTATCGTGGGCCCACAGGCCCCATGCTGGGTGCCACGTGCGCTCCTGGCAGTGCCTGAGAGCTGCAGACAGAGCAGGAGCAGGTACCACACGCTGTGCTGGGTAGCGGGGGCCCTGGGCCACAGAGCGCAGGGGCAGTGTCTTCTGGGTCACCCTGCCCCGGGCCTGACAGAGGCCACCTGATGCAGCAGCACATCCCAGGCCAGGCACAGAGGACGGCGGGGGCGCCAGGCGCCAGCGGGGAACAGCAAGGCAGCAAGGCTGGGACAGAGGGTTGCTCTTCTCACCTTTCCCGGAGGCTCGGGCCCCAGACCCCATCAGCCAAGCACCTTCGTGCTCTGCTCTGCTGGGATAAGATCCTCAGTTTCGAATCCTAAGCTCTAAAGACCGGGAGGGAATGGGGGCTCTCAGACTAGTGTCTCAGCACCTGCCACGAGGCTGTCTGCGGCTCTGGAACTGCGATAAACAGCCACGGTGCTTTCAGACATGACCCCAGAGCCACTGCTTAGGGAGTGTGGCTCTTCCCTCGCGGCTGCCAGGCTTCACCCGCTTCCTGGCCCCAGGGCCCACCATTGCTCAATCCTCCTGAGTCACCTGGTGACCTGGGCCTGACATTGGGTGGTTGTGACGTGCTTTAGTTGGAAAGGGGCTCTTGTGCCCCCGGACTCTGGCTGAGCAGTGGCCTGTGCTCATGGGCTGGGCGTGACAGGTCGCAGGTGCAGGAGCAGGCACTGCCTCTGGTGCCCTGATGACCACAGCGGCCTGCCCCGAACAACTCACAGCAGAAGGTGTGTTTAGGACCAGCTTACCTTAAAGTGACACAGAATTCGAGTAAGGTCTTTCAGAGGATCTCAAATATTTCATTCTGATTAAAAACTTGGGGGGTGATCGGGGAAGAGGCCAGAAGGACCTCAGCTTCTGGGAGCCACGAACATGATATCTGATCCTGCAGGGTGGCCCTGTGGGGGAGCATCTCAGAGGCTGCGCCTCCCCTCTGTGGCCAGGCCTGGGAAGGATTGGGACAGCTACAGAGGAGGCCCACACAGAGGAGGCCAGGACTCCGAGTCTCATGCCCCACCCACAGGGGAGGGTCTCGGGCCTTCTTCAGGCCCACAGACGGGGGCAGGCAGTCGTCATCTGTGGAGGCGGTAGAGGAGAGGCCGAGTCTACATCGGGGCAGCCTGAGGTGAACTCCTGGGCCCTGGGCCCCGCTCTTGGAGTTGGCTGCTGCTGAATGCCAGCAGGTCAGCCTGCACGGCCTCAGTTCTGAGCCACGGAGAGCACATGTGCCTTTGGGGGCTGTTTGGCGCCATCTCCGTGGCTGTCAGCCTTGTCAGCACAGGTTTCTGTGTGTTTTTAAATCCATGTGGTGGCCCCTCTGTTCCACTGACTTTTTCACATCACAGAGCCCTTGACTGTCTATCCGTGTCTGTGCGTAAGGCATGAACACACGCCAGAGCCTTTGGTTTCTCATAGGGGTGCAGCCGCTGCCTGGCGGGGTGGGCGGCATCACTGAACCCTGCTGTCCCTGTAGATGGGAGGGCCCATGAGATGGTGAACACTGGGGGCCCTGGTGTCTTGGACTTGGCCCTGAGCTCGGTCCTGTCTAGCCTCAGCCCCCCACCCAGGGCCTTCACTCCTGAAACCAGAGGTGGACTGCGCCCGTTAGGTCCTTCATGCGCCCTTCCCTAGGCTGCGGCAGCGGGAGGTATGGGAGGGAGGGGCAGGGCCAGTGCGCTCCTCCGCGTTGAATTCTGGCTGCGCTCTGCCTCCCAGCTGTGGTTCTCCTTGTGGTTCTCTGTGGTTGCAGCAGAGTGTTTGTTTCTAGACGGCCTCGACCGTGTCCCCAAGCTGGTGCCCTTGCTGTGGCTGTGCTGGCTGCTGCGCGCTTGCTAACCGAGCTTCCGTCTGTCTCTCCCCCTCTCCGCGCAGCCCTGGGGCCCGACTCCTGCTCTGTTGGTATAGACGAGTAAGCCGGTACGTGACCTCCCAGACGCGCTTCGGGGGCTCTGACGCGCGTCCTTGGAGAGAGGAGCCCTCCCCTGCTCTCTGGCGGGGGTTCCTTCTGGTTTTTGGGTCTTCGTCCGCATCCGCATCTTCCCAGGGGCCCTGGATTCCGAATCCAGAGCTCTCCAGTGGCTGCTGCACCTTCCCCCAGAAAGTGGCCTCCTGGGGGGTCCTGACTTTCGGGGCCAGAGGTCTCTCCATCTGGACTAGGCGGCCGGTCAGGCTCTTCTTCCAGCCTTGAGGGGCCCTGGAACAGTCCCAGCCCAGGCAGGGAGACAGACACAGCCCAGGTGCGCCAGAGCCACTGTCCACTGCGGGAGGCAGGAGCTTGAGGGATGAGGGCAGCACCGTGGAGGGAACCCCAGGGAGACATGGGGTGAGCGTCCCAAGGGGAGAGGCCTGGGCCTGGCCTTGTTCCGGATGGTCCCACCATGAGTTCGCATCGGTCCTGCAGCAGACACGTTAGGACGCTCAGCAGGTCCACTCCCGTGTTCCGGTCGTGGCTTTAACAATTCATGGGGAAAGAATGCGCCCCGATTGGGAGAGCCCCTGGATCACGTCTTCCCAAGCTCAGTCCCTGTCTCTTGGAGGGAGTCCGTCCTCGAGGGGCCCTCTGGTGCCCAGGGGAGAGTATCTTGCGTCCTGTCCTGAGGGCGTCCGCTCACACAGCCACCTGCTCCCCCGCTCCCTCCTTCCCTTGTCAGCATGGCCACCGTGGGCCTGGCATCACCATGGGCCTGGCACACAGTCCCTCGTGGGCTGCCTTTGTGCCATGAGCCCACTGCTGCCGACTCACCTGTCCCTCCCAGTACTGGAACCTTCTGGAACACCAGCACTAAAAGATAGGAGGCCCTGTGAGGTTGGCATCCCCCATCCCCCCCAAGAGGCGCCCTCTACCAGGGTGGCCCAGGTGAGTGTTTTACAGAAGGCGGCTCTGTCCAGGCAGTGGTTCGCACCTATAAGCCCGGTACTTTGGGAGACCGAGGGGATAGATCACTTGAGCCCAGGAATTCAAGATCAGTGTAGAAAACATAGACCCCCTCTCTATGAAAAATAAAAAATTGGCTTGGGCGTGGTAGCTTGTGCCTGTGGTCCCAGCTACTCAGGGGTGCTGAGGTGGGAGGATTGCCGGAGCTGGGGAGGTCAAGGCCCACTCCAGCCTGAGACGCTGTCTCAATAAAAAAAAATACACACACACCCACCCACCCACTCCAGCCTGAGACCCTGTCTCAAGAAAAAAAAAATACACACACACACACACACACACACACACACGGGGGAGAGAGAGAAGGCAGCTCCAGGAGTGCCACCAAAATGTAGGCAGACGGATTGGGGACCCTCTGCCTTCCCAGAGGGTCTTGGCACACAAGCTGCGTGCAGCTCTGGTCTGCCGAGGCCCATGCAGCCTGCTGGGAGGTGCCTGGCCGGGGGTGCAGGCTCTAAGAGGCCCTTTCCCCTTGGGTGGACTTGAGCCGGGTCAGGGAGAACTTCGCTTCTTTTGACTGCGCTCTGCATTCCCATGAACCTCTGTCTTCTTGAGCCCAGCGAGTCCCTCTGTTGACCCCTGTCCTGAGCCATTATACCCCTAGATTGAAACAGTCAGCACCTTTCAGACGGCCCCGGCCTGCGCATCGGTGGAAGGTGCCGTGCGAATGTCACGATTCAGGTCAAGCTTCCGGAGCTGGGGAGTGCAGGTGTGATCTAGAACAGGGCTCACAGCCTCGGAAACCTGCTCTCGCCGCGGCCCCCGAAGAAAATAGACGCCCTTCACCGGAGAGTGGGGCCTGGGCCGTGTCTGCTGGGAGCCATGTGTCAGGGCTGGTGGCTGGGTGTCAGGCAGCCCTGAGGCCATGCTGGCCCCGTCCCAGGCTCTGCACCAGCACCATTGCCCAAGCCCCAGGGACGCCAGACCCATCTGGGGACAGCGCCCGGCGGCGTCGTGCAGGCCACAGTCTGGGCATTGGGGCTCTGTGGGAGGCTCCTCTCTTTGCCTTGCAGTAGCCATCCGGGGGCTACTCTGAGCACGGGCTTGTTCTCACCCAGGGCCGCTCCCCACCCCTGCACCCTGGGTTGACCGAGTTCCACCCTAACCCAGCCGTAAGAACCTTGGCAGGACAGTGGCTGGCCACATCCCAGGAAACCGGAACCAGGGCAAGGGCAGGAGGCCCAGAGGGCATCCACCGCGGTGCCGTGTCGCGCTCTGACTCGGGGCTGCAGATCTGCTGTGGGTGTCCGGGGATCTGGGATCGTCTGTCCCAAGAGGGACACAGCGTATTTGGCACAGTTAGGGAGTCCCCGGGCCCTTGGTGTGCTCACATCTGAGTGAATGCTGTTGTGGCCACAGGCGGCGGGAGTGGGGGTGCTGGATGGCCCAGCCCCTCTGGGGCTCCAGATCGGTAGGAGCGGGTGGCGTGGCACCAGGCATCCGAGTGTGACCCTCCTCCCTCTGCTCCCACCTGCAGGACGGCCCACCTCCATGGAGACGGCCCACGGCCTCGCCACCACCAGCCCCACCTGGCCTCCACTTGGTGGCCCCAGCCCCGATCCCAGCGCCGCCGAGCTGACCCCACTCTGAGAGCCTGGCCGAGCTGGCAGCATGGAGCCCTCGGCTCCCCAGACTTTGCCGAGGGGCTGCTCCGGACCCCGTTGTGAGCCGGCCTCCTGTCTGCATGCCCCCTGTGGCCACCAGGCTCCGAGGGGCCGTGGTGACTCTTGATCAAAGAGCACAGTGAACTGTCCCTTCTGAGTCTCCCTTTTCTACAGTTGATATATTTGTAACTGGTACAAGATGAAGGACAGCAGCTTTCCATCCCTAGTTCAGAGCCCCCGTTCCCCAGGGTCCTGTGGGCTGAGCGGCTGGGGCTGGGGCTGCCCACGTGTGGCCTCCGCTGGCTCTGCCTGCTCCTGCAACAGTGCGGTCCCTGCCCGGAGAACTCAGGAGGCCTGCAGAAGAGAACTGATTGGTGGTCGAAGCACCATCTTCACAGATGTTCAGGGGCAGTGGGGGGCTCCAGGCACGGTCAATGAAGGAAACAGTGCCTGTCCACCCACCCTGCGTGTCACTGTGGCGGCCTGGCTGTCGCTGCTTTTTGTCCTCTGCCGTGTTTGCGCGGCCTCAGTGCCCTCCCTGGTGCGTCTGCGCTGGGGCCCTCAGTGCTCGGGGCCTTGGGGTGCATGGGTGCCGCCCTGGGCAGCTAGAGTGTCTCAGCCCGGTGCTGGGCCTGGCCGAGGGGCGGAGGCACAGCTGCTTCCAGCAGCCAGCATTCAGTGGCCTTGTCACCAAGCTCCACACCTCCTCCTGGTGCTGGCTTTGGTGACATCACAAGGCCCCTCCAGGTGCAGGGGCTTCTGTTTGGCAGGCCCCTGCCAGGGAGGACCTGGTGGCCTCCTCATTCTCTTTTGCCATTGGAATGTCCCCTTGCAGTTCTCTTCTCTTTTTTTTTTTTTTTGAGATGGAGTTTCACTCTTGCTGCCCAGGCTGGAGTGCAGTGGCTCAATCTCGGGTCACTGCAACCTCCGCCTCCCGGGTTCAAGTGATCGTCCTGCCTTAGGCTCCTGAGTAGCTGGGGATTACAGGTGCCTACCAGCATGCTCGGCTAATTTTTTTGTATTTTTAGTAGAGAAGGGATTTCACCATGTTGGCCGGGCTGGTCTCAAACTCCTAAGGTCATCCACCTGCCTCGGCCTCCCAGAGTGCTGAGATTACAGGCGTGAGCCTCCGCGCCCGGCCCCCTTGCAGTTCTCTCTGATTTGGTTTGTTCTGTCTCAGGCTTCTGTGGCAGGACTGGCCCAGGGAGGAGGAAGCCAGCAGCACACCTGGGGAATGGGGTCCCGGCCGGGAGGCTTGGCCTCTGGGCGACCTCGTCCTGTTTTTTTTGTTTGTTTGTTTGTTTTTTTAAAGGTAAACCTCCTGGGCCGCAGATGGCAAAGGGAGTGCCTGGGCCTGGTGACCCAGGGCTGGATCCACCCCTGCGGAGCCCTGGGCCAGGCAGGTGTCTGCTGCTCACCTGGCTCTGGAGGGCTGCCCTGCAGCTGGGCCTGGGGACAGGTCGGCTGTGGGGCAGCTCAGTACCCTCCCTGAGGCTCACGGTGGCTCCGAGCATGAGGTCCGCCTCCTGGGCGAGACCCAGCAGTGGACAGCATGGTCCTCACACCCAGCTCCCTGCACACCCAGGCCAGCCACCCCTCCCGCTCGTGCACAGGCACGCAGATGCGCTCACACGTACACACACACAAATGCACGCCCACTTGCACATGCTCACGCACATGTTCACACATGCACACTCACGCTCACACATGCTGTCACGCATACACACACGCACATACTCCTGCACATGTTCCCATGCATGTGTGTGCACTCGGACCGAGCATCTCCCACGCACCTCTACCCCACCCCAAGCACCTCTCTCCCCCCATGCACCTCTCCCCAACAACACACACAGCCCCCTGCACCGCCCGCCCCCCGCCCCCACCAAGGCCCCAGCCTCTGGCCATCAGTCCTGGTGCCAGAGCTTTGCGTGAAGTTCGGGCCGCAGAGTGGCCCGCTGGGACTCCCATGTGCTGCCGTCTGATGTGCTCAGATGGGCTCATCGTTGGTTCGTTTTTACTGTATATTTATAGTAATAAAATCATGCAGCAATATCCTGTCTGCTCCTTCCTCCGGGTGCAGCCCTCAGGATTGTGGCTGTTTCCTGACCCGGAGTTTTGCCGCTGGGTGGTTGGCGGTGGCTCCCGCACCGTGGCAGCTCCACGGCCTCTGCCTGGCTTCCCTCTGGGGTCAGGGCAGTGAGCAAGGTGAGGGCTAACGAGAACGGGCAGCTCCCAGCCATCCCTGTCAGGGCTAGTTGTCTGGTTGGAGGGAAGCCACACCCTCCAGATTGGGCTCTCTCGTGAACAGGTGGTTGGGGAGCCCAGGGCCTCCAGGTTTGTGAGTAGTCGCTCCGGTCCCCATCTCTAGTCCTGATCATCTCAAGGCATTTGCTGAGCACCTGCTGTGCGTCAGTGGAGGCAGAAGAGCTGAGGCCCCGGCCCTGGCCCCGGGCGCCTGCCTTCCAGGCAGTGAGATGCCCAGCAGCTAATCAGAATCCTGCCAGGTTTGGTTACTATTAGGAAGAAAGTCAGCATGGTGGTGAGATGAACCCGTACAAGGTCTCATTTAACCGGGTGGCAGGGAGGGCCTCTCTGAGGAGACTTAAACAGCCCTGAGGGCTGAGGAGGAGCTGGCCCTGGAAGAGTGTTCCAGGTGGCAGGAGTGAGCCTGATGTGTCCCCTGGGGACGGAGCCCCTGGCTGGAGTGAAGGGTGCTGGATAGATACTGAAGAGCTTGTAGGGGCTGCTGGAGTGTTTTTATAAGGGGGAGTCAGTTTTAAAAACAGGCTTCCAAGCGGAGAAGCAGTGCTAGCACCCTGCGGCTGGCGTGTGGAGGCCGGACGGTGGGAGCAGGTCTAGCTGCCCATGGTTGTGGGCTCGCAGGCTGGAGCCCGGCCCCAGGCCTCTGCACAGCCCCCGCTCCCCTGCCCAGGGAGTGGCCAGTGCCCCAGGGCACCCACCACACCACTGCCTACCACTCAGGGCCCCAGCTCCTTTGCGTGCAGGTCAAGCTGCCACCATGGCCCTTCTTTGAAGACTGTGAGGGTGGAGGGAAAGCCCGTGTTCTAGCCCATCAGTCCCTGCCCCGAGAAGGCTGCCACCCATGGGCCCTGCAGCTGCTCTGACCTGCCTGGGTCTGGCCCCATCCCAGTGTGGGTAGAGGGGTGCCCAGGGTGTCAGACGGGTGCTTGCATGGGCCAGATGGGCTCCCCCTCTGTACCTCCCAGAAGAGCCAGCGCTTGTATTGATGTCTGGTCTCGGGGAGGGGCTGCAGCAAGGGGAGCCTCTCCTCCTCTGCCCCTGCGTCCCACGGGCCCTGGGCGCTGGCTGGGCTTGGCTGCCTAGGGGTGGGGCCCTCTTTGGGTGAGAGGACCCTTCCCCTCGCTGCCCTCTCGCCTTCTCACATGGTCGCTCACTCTGGAATCTGGACTTCCCCTGCTGCTTGCAGCTGTCCCATGTGACCCCTGACCCACTGGTGGCCACAGGAGGAGAGAGAGGTGCCCTCTCTGGGTCCTTATTCTCCACATCTGAGGCCACCACGGACCTAACAGGTGAGTTTCCAATGCCCACCCTCTCCCTCTCTCTTCTCCTGCCTGCCTCCACTGAAGGCAGCCTTCTCTGTGCCAGCGAGCTCGGCCTCACTGCACGGCTCTCCCGAGGCTGTGCCCCAGCCCTGGGCACCCATGCTGTGAGTGCAGGCAGGGGGGTTCATGTGCTCAGCAAATCCATTCCCCTGGTGGGGAGGAAAGTGGCCCTGGGCCCTGCTGCTGGTGAGGTGAGCCTTGCCATCATGGAGTTCAGGGCACCTCGCTCTGCCTTGGGCTGTTTCGGATGCTTCTGAGCCCCAGAGACATCTCCAGTACAAACACAAGGTAAGTGGTAAGTACCTCAGGCCCTTGTGGAATCGGGATTCTGCCTCTGTCATCAACTGCCAGTTGTACTTAGGCAAGTTATGTCCCTCTCTGAGCTCCAAGTTCCTCATCGTAAATTGGGGAAACCCCTCTTCCCCCCACAGTACCTGGCACAGGGTGCCCGGCTTGGAGGATGCTGGAAAGGTCCAGCCCCGGAATTTAAGTCACTTTCTGCCCAGCAAGCTGGGTCCACAGAGCCCCAGAGCTCCCGGTCGTCCGCCCTGACCCAGCGTGGACTCGGGGACTGGGGCACTCAAGCCCTGCCAAGCCCTGCTCCCCGTGCTGTCCTGGATCGAGCCTGCCAGCAGGGTGGCTAGGTCGGGACAGCTGTCGTGCATGGCAGGCGAAGGCCATCTCCCTCCGGGCTTGGGTCCGGTGGCGCTGGCGGAGCAAGGCTCCGGGGCATCTCTGGCTCGTGTGGTCGTGCCAAGGGTGCCATTGCGGATGGACGGGGCCATGCGGGCCGGGTCGGCCTCCTGGGGAGAAACGGGTGGGCGCAAGGGGATCGGCGCCATCGAGGGTGGAGAAACCGCAGGGAATTTCGGCTGTCCGCTTTGGGGCGCCAAGGAAGATGTTCGTCGCCCACAATGTCAACCTTGAGCCACCACGGCACCGACCAGTCGTCTAGGCTCTCCCGTCGGAGGCGGGGCCGCCGCCCAGGGTGTGCGACTATTGGGTGACGGCTGACGCGCACCGCCCTCCTTTGCACACCGCCCGCAGCACCTCTCGACGACGCACCGCGGCGCTGCGAGGGGCTCGGTCCCGGGGCGCGCCGGCGATTGGCGGGGGAACCGGACCCGGGGGCGCGGCCGCCCGCGGATTGGCGAGGCACGGCGGGGGCGGGCTCGCGCATGCTCTTAAGTGGCAGCGGCGGGGACGGGGTCAGTGCCAAGATGTCGACGGCGGCGGTTCCGGAGCTGAAGCAGATCAGCCGGGTGGAGGCGATGCGCCTAGGGCCGGGCTGGAGCCACTCGTGCCACGCCATGCTGTACGCCGCCAACCCTGGGCAGCTCTTCGGCCGCATCCCCATGCGCTTCTCGGTGCTGGTGAGGACGGGCGAGGGCGCGGGCGAGGGTGCCGGCGCGGGCGGGCCCGGGCGGGGGCGTCCGTCGACCCCGCGGCTGTGACCCGCGCTCCCTTGCAGATGCAGATGCGTTTCGACGGGCTGCTGGGCTTCCCCGGGGGCTTCGTGGACCGGCGCTTCTGGTCGCTGGAGGACGGCCTGAACCGGGTGCTGGGCCTGGGCCTGGGCTGCCTGCGCCTCACCGAGGCCGACTACCTGAGCTCGCACCTGACCGAGGGCCCACACCGCGTCGTGGCGCACCTGTACGCGCGGCAGCTGACGCTGGAGCAGCTGCACGCCGTGGAGATCAGCGCGGTGCACTCGCGCGACCACGGCCTGGAGGTGGGGCCGCCGCCCGGGCCCCGCCCCCCGCCCCGGGGTTTGGCTCTGGCCCCGTGGAAGGCACCGATGGGTAACACGTCTCCTGAGGGTCCCCTGGCCGGGCTGGGTCGGGTGTCGCTGTCTCCAGCAATGGGGTGGGGAGAGGGGTCTGGGGCTGGGAGGCCGGGAAAGGAGGGGCGGGGGTGGGGGCCGGCGCTGGGGCTCCCTCAGGGCTGTGTTACATCCGCCTTGCTGCCTGCCATTGCCAATCCTGGGAGTGGGGGAGTGGGATCGGTGGGGAGGAAGGGATGGGGGAGGAGCGGGGATTGCTTGGGGAGTTGGGAAACTTGAGCACAGCGGGGGTTGTAAAACTTGGGAACCTCATGTTGGGCGTGAAGGCTCTTGGGATTTGTACTTTGTGGTCTGGAAGGGCTGGACTGCGGGTGTTCAGGCTTCGTTGGGTGGACGGGGGGAGCATGGGGTGCGGACCCCGGGGTGGGGTGGCCTGGGTACGAGGGGGGGGAGTGCATGGGGTCAGCCTCCACACTTGCTTGGGGAGGAGGGGGCTGCACTGCTCCGAGGGAGCTGGCTGGCTTCTGCCAGGCCCTGCGTGGGTCTCCCATTAAGTCCTTGGCAAAGCTGGCTGCTCATACCCTGGCCTCATAGCTTCCAGGCCCCTCCTGCTGGAGGTGCCATTGTGTGGCAGGCCTGGCCCCAACCCCTACCTCCTGTCTGCGCAGGTGCTGGGCCTCGTGCGGGTCCCGCTGTACACCCAGAAGGACCGAGTCGGAGGCTTCCCCAACTTCCTGAGCAACGCCTTCGTGAGCACGGCTAAGTGCCAGCTCCTCTTTGCCCTCAAGGTGCTCAACATGATGCCCGAGGAGAAGCTGGTTGAGGCCCTGGCTGCAGCCACCGAGAAGCAGAAGAAGGCCCTGGAGAAGTTGCTCCCGGCCTCCTCTTGAGGGCTGCCTGAGCTGGTGGCACCCTCCCCTGGGCCGGAAGACTGGGAATTCCTGCTAAGTGTGGCTTCTAGAGTGTTTGTGTGTACCCCGCTTCTGACTGCCTAGGGCGAGTGGGCATCCTGTCATCATCTCCACTGTCCCAAGCAGTCACTAGGTGGCGGCCGGGCCAGCTGGAACCCAGCCCATCCTCTCAGGCAGAGCAGGGTGGTCCGGGCACACTGGGCCTGCCTCTCCAGCCTCAGGATGCTCTTGTTTATTCTGGGCTCAGACCCTCCTCTTGTACGTCTCATCACAGCTGGTAGAGACCCAGGAGTGCCTGATTGTCCCACAGGGGTGGCGCACAGCTCTGGGACCACTCAGAAGATGGGATGTGTGGGTGGAGGATGCCTTGTCTCGGTCAGCTCATTCCTGCCTCCTTCCTGAGCCAGTTCAGGGCCTGGGGGAGAGCCAGCTTGGGGTAGGAAGTTAATAATACTGTTAATTTGGGTTGTTGTTGGATTTACTTTGCTAGATTTTCTCTTTCACCACGTGTGAACTGTGGGTGAGGTTTCAAAGTAGCTTCACCCCACGTGGCTTGGTTCCCAGGGACAGTCAGGGCCTCGGGGGCCCAGCTATGTACAACGAAGCTGTCGAAGGAGAAGACAATAAAGTCGCTCCGCAGCTGCTCTGTGTGTTTCTCAGCTGCCCTGTGTGTTTGTTTTGGTTCTGGATGGAACCAGCTCAGGCCCCCTGCCCTAGGTGGGGGAGGGAGGAGCTGCCCCAGCCAGGGGCACGTTTGTTCCCCAGTGTTTACTGGGGGCACTCCCAGCATGAATGCTGTGCCCATCAGCCAGGTTGGGGCGTCTGGGCCGAGACCTTCAGGGCAGGCTCCCCTTCCTGATCCTGGTGGCCCTGGCTGCACCTGGGCTGACCTGCTTTGCTTTGCAAACCCACCATTCCCCACTGTCTGCAAGCAGCTCCAGGGGATGGTGTAGAAGTGCAGGCTTACTGTGCAGAAGGACAGCAGCAGAGCCATCCCTCGTGGTCTCCTACAGCCCCACATCTGGAAAGACTCCAGCGGCATCGTCAGAAAATTTGCACAGCCCATGCCTGGCCCGGTGAGGGAGGCAGTGTGCCCAGCTCCATCTCAGAGCTCGGTGTGAGAGCAGCATGTCCCGGGGGAGGCCCTGTGCTACGGCGGGCTGGGGATGTTCTTGGCTCTCAAAGCCTTATCTTGAGTTGTCTGGGCTCCAGGAGCAAAAGACACACCCCTGAACAGCAGAGGACAGGGCAGTCAGGGTTGCTGCATTGGCCAGTGCCTCATGTCATGTGACCAGAACTGAGCCCTTCACTAGCTGTTCTTAAATTTTATTTTCCAAAAAATGGCATTTTCCAGGTGCCCCAGTCCTCATTCCTAAGGTCCCACCTCAGTTGGCACCTGTGCGTGTATATGGATACACTTTCCCCCCAGGGCCCTGCCTGGTATGGGCCAGGGCAGCCCATGAACTCTGGGCCTCACCACGAGGTTCTGGGTGAGGCCCTCGTCCCGCCTCAGTGCTGGCCCGAGCTGCCGAGCCAGGGCCGCAGCCCCCGTCTTGCCTCTGTCTGCCGGCTGCTCCCGGGGCCTGATCCTCTGGCCCCCACTGGGCCTGGGCTGCACATGGCAGCTACCTGCTCACTGTCCTCCTCACTCCCTGGCACACAGCTTCAGGGTGGACCAATCACCCAACGTCAGATTCTGAAAGAAAAAGCCCCGGTGAGAAGGGAGGGGGACAGGTGGGTGCATACCCACACCTGCAGCCGCCCAGACAGGCCCTGCTGCTCCCACCACGCGGGATCCAGGCTGGCAGACACTCACCGGCCCGCAGGCTAGGTCTCCCGCCACTTCTTCCCGTTCAGCACCTGCAGCTTCTCCAGGCTCTGGGTCACTAAGCACAGTGCTTGCCCTGAGGAATGATGACCTTGAGCCTCTCCCGGCCAGGCTCAGGAGGGCTGGGTGGTGCTGCCCCGGGGTCTCAGCTGCAGGATGTGACCTGCCCCTCACCCGTTATGGCCCCAGCCCCGAGGTCAGCCTTGGGGTAGAGAGACACAAACCCGCTTTCCCTGGAAAGGGGTCCCTTTGCCTCCCTCGGAAACAAAAGGAGCGCTCAGTCGTCTGGTCCCCGGAGACTCACCCATCTCACGGACACGGTCCTCCAGGGCTCCCGAGAGCTCGGGGAGGCTCATGGCCTGCAGGGACGCTTGCCAGCCCTTGGAGTCTGTGGTGCAGGTGCAGGGACCGAGTTAGCTGGGGGTCTGCGTCCCCACAGGCCCTGCTTTATTCTGAGCCCATGCAACCAGGAGAACCTGCTTGGATCAGAACCTCCCTACCCGCCTGACAGTGTCTAAGCAACCTCCCAAGGCCGAGGCAGGGAAGCCCTGTTGTGCCCTTCCTCCCACAGGCTGAGCAAACACTACGAGGCCCGGGTCAGCCCGAGAGAAGGCAAAGCTCTGCCGGTGGGGACCCGGGTCTGGGCCCTGGCTGGAGGCTACAGAAGTCACTGGCGGTCTCAGCACAGCACAGCCAGCCAAGGCACAGGGCCTTTCTCGAGTACCTCCTACCCCTGGGGGATAGGCAGTTTTCCTGTCACAGGTGAGGAAGTGGGCTTGGGTCCCCAGGGCCCCCTCTTTTCCTTGGACTCTGGGATCATGTGCACACAGGGACCTGGGAGAGTGGCTGCCGGCCGGAGAACCAGGCCAAGCCCACTGGGTCAAACCTGGCTTCAGGGCTCCCCCACCTTCCCCTCTGCCCAGTGCGGAGTCAGGCCACTGCTCTTACCAGCTGGGGGGACGGCTAGGCCCAGAGTGGCTGCACCAGGGGGCTGGTCCTGCCTCACTCGAGATGACAGCTCAGCTTGACAGGCTCTGCCAGACACAGAAACAAATATTGGTGAGAGCAGAGGCCTGGCCGCTGCAGAGCCCCCACCTCAGACCTTCTAGGGGAGGGAGGGGCTCAGCCCTGTCCTTGCAGCTGGCCCTCATGGGCTGGGCCAGTGCCCCATGAGGCTGCACTAAAGAGCAGGAGGGCGACCGGTGCAGATTCCCGGACCCAACTCCTGCCTGGGTCTGCCTGCAGGAAGGAAGGGCCTGATGAAATGGGGGTGGGGTGGCTCCAGACCCTGAAATCCACCCCTCAGTTACAAAATCAGGAGGAAAGGATGTGTGGGGGCCCAGGGGCCAGGTGGCTGACCACTGGAGACCCAGCCCAGGGCAGCTCAGAGCCACTCACCGCAGCTGGTCCAGGACGAGGGCAGCATCCCGGGCCAGGGCCCACGTCTCCCGCAGCCGGGCCTGGAGGTCCTCGCGGGCGCGGTCCTGCTCCAGCAGGCAGCTCTCCACCACGGCGCGCAGCTCCTGCTCCTGACACACCTGGCCCCGCGTGGCCTCTACCTCCTCGCAGCGCTGCAGGGGGGTGGGGGGCGCGGGGAGGCTGGGAGGTGGCCGGTCAAGCCAGACCCTTGGCCACGGCCCTGTCCTGTGTGTGGGGCCCTCTCCCCACTGCATCCACCTGACCCCTCCACACAGCACCCACCTTTTCTGTCAGAGATGGAGCCAACTCACGGGTGTCACCCTGCCCCCCCATCCCCCACCCAGCCACTCACCTTGTGCAGCTGGATGGCGAGCTCCTGCATCTCAGCCTCCAGCCGGTCGGCGTAGGCCAGCTCCAGGGCATCCCCGGGTGGGCGGGCACTGCTGTGCCAGCGGGCAATGGCGGACGTCATCTTCCTCTTGGGCCCAAACAGCCTGCGGGGGGAATGTGACCAGGATATGCCTCAGCGTCCCAAGAGCGCTTACATGAGTGGGAGTTTGCCCCAACCCCGGGCTGAGGGCCAGAGCGGCCCTTCTGGACGCACGTGATGCCAATTTCCTTCAGGTCGCTCTCAGTGAGGGTCAGAAAGATGCGGAGGTCCACGTCCTGCTCCTCAAACACCTGCAGGTACTTCAGACACCCGATCTGCTCCAGCAGTGCGGCAAGGTCCTGGCAGGCACAGGGGACAGGTTGGGGGAGGTAGTGGCTGACGACGAAGCAGAGACGTTTTCCTCCACTCGGAGCCCCACCACTTCCCCAGGCTCAGAACCAAGACAGTGCCTTGTGTGTGGCGCCCAGGCTGTCCCCTCCTACTCTGGTGGCTCAGGCAGGGCAGGATGTTGCAGGCAGGTGAGTCCTCACACTATGGTCGGCCACGTGGGGACAATGTATGTTCATCACCAGAAACTGGCCTCCTCCTCCCACACATGCTCAGTTCTGTGAAGGGACCATGGAGCTGCTGATCTCGACAATGCTTTGTAGGCGGAGAGCGCTGCCCTCTAATTCTAGAGTCTCAGTGTCGGATGTTCTGATTTCCACTTGTCTAAGCGCAGCTCTTCTCCGAGTTCACCTGTCTGGAGTTCACCGAGCTCCCTGGATGTAAGATCCGTGTTTCTGATCCACTGAGATGGTCAGGCTGTTTCTCACCCATCGTTTCTGCTCTCCTTCTGGAATGCCACTGTATGGGGTGGTGTCGGTGTGCTTGAGGGGATCACAGATTTCTGTTAATTTTTTTTACTCATTCTTTCTGTTCCTCAAGCGAGATGATCTCAGGTGACCTGTGTTCACAAGTTGTCTGACTCTTCTGCCTGCTCAATTCTGCTGTGAGCTCGTCTAGTGATATTTTCATTTCATTTACTTTTCAACTCCAGAAATCCTACTTTTGAGAGTTTATTGCTTTTAATGGACAAACAAATGTTACTCTGACATTTTCTTCAAGCTATTTTCTGAAAGAAACATACTTAGGACACTACCCTGACCAGACTCCACTCAACGTATGTTGAAGGGACCGAGACGTGTGCCTGCTCACTGAGCCAGGGGCTGCAGGGAGAAGCCGGCAAATCCAAGGCTCTACTGAACAGCAAAGCCAGTGCTTTAACAAATAACCAGCCAGGCCGGGCATGGCACCAGGCCAGGTGTGGTGGCTCACGCCTGTAATCCCAGCACTTTGGGAGGTCGAGGCGGGCGGATCACGATGTCAGGAATTTGAGACCAGCCTGGCCAACATAGTGAAATCCCGTCTCTACTAAAAATACAAAAAATTAGATGGGCATGGTGGCGGGTGCCTGTAATCCCAGCTACTTGGGAGGCTGAGGCAGGAGAATCGCTTGAACCCAGGAGGAGGAGGTTGCAGTGAGCCGAGATCGCGCCACTGCACTCCAGCCCAGATGACAGTGCGAGACTCCGTCTCGAACAAACAAACCAAATAACCAACCAGAGCTTCCCTCTGCCTCTCCTCTCCGTGCCTCTTCTGCCCACACAGGGTAGGAGAACTCAGCAGACACAGGTGAGACAGCTGAGCTGTGAGTCACACCTCTGATCCCTAAGGTAATGTGTGGTCAGAGGGACCACAGAAAGGAGGAGGATGGTGGCAGCTGTAACCATCACCAAGCACACACTGTGTGTAGTTCCTGTCTCTGCTTCAACCACATCTTGTCAGACTCCTGCAGGCAGCTCTGAGGTCAAGTGTGCTTTTCTTCTCCCCAGGCTCAGGGAGGCCAACTCCAGTATGGAAAGCAGGGAGACAGGTCCTTTCCGTGGAGAGGAACAGAGTAGAAGCGCTGCAGCGGGGCTGCCAGCCATGGAGCCGGCTGTGAGCCTGTGGAGCCTAACAGGCCATGGGGATGCCACCGCCATTCTGTTCTCCTAGCAGCGCCTGGCACGTCATATACACAACACATGCCTCCTAAGTCACAAAAAGTGCCGTCTCTGAGTGTAACCTCCAGTTTCACAAGCGGTCTTACCTGGGGTCCTGAGTAGGGGGCCCTCTGAGTCTGGGGGCTGGACTCAGCGAGAAAGCCTTCCCTGTCAGTTGCAGCGCGGGGAGGCCACTGGCTGTCAGGATTCTTGGTCTTCATGTAACTTTTAGCTTGTTTGCGAGCTGAGCTTTTACAGGCATGATCCGAGTCCTGCAGTGAGAGGCGTGCATCTGAAAGAGTGCGCGGGCTAACTTGAGAGCCTTGGTGAAACCCCCACCCGCCACACAGGGGCTTGAGAGGCTTCGTGAAACCCCCCACCCGCCACACAGGGGCTTCCGGTGCGTTCGCTGTCGTCTGAGAAGCCAGACCCTGGACACAGCACGTCCCAGTGCAGCACACACGTGCAGCAGCTGCTTCTTACATACATGCTCATCTTAAAGTAACTGGGGGATGTCAGGCATCCCAGCCAGGGACCGGCTATGGGAGACCAAGAAAGAAAGAATCCGTACCTCGTTGCTCTCCACAGAAGCTTCGCTGCTGAGCCCCTGGGCTCTGGCCAGGCCCTCGCTGCTGCTGCTGCTCTGGACGGGCCCCAGGTTGGCACAGAAAGCATGTTCCTCTGAGGGCGGGAAGACAGGGCGTCCGCCTGCAGCCCTCACCGAGGTGCTGCGCATGGGCGTGCCCCGGGCTGAGCCGCCTCCACCAGGGCACTCCTTGGGGCCTGCAGCGGTTGCTTCCTTATATTTCAAACTTCCTGCCTGTCCTAAACCCTCCCCTCTATACAGACGGGCAGGGCTTCTGTCTTTTTTGTTCACTGATAAATCCCAAGCACCCGGAGCAGTGCTTGGCACACGGTGGGCACTATGGAAACAGCTGCTGCACGGAGGTGCAGTTATAACAGACATTCCTACTGGGGCCTGCCCTGAAAGCCTCAGGGGCTCCCAAGCAAGGAGCTAAACCTGTTGCTGTGGAACGGCTCCCTTAAGCCGCACGGGGATGCTGGACCAGAAGCTTCTCCCATTCCTCACAAGAACCAGGGCCGTCCACACCTACCCCTTTCCTGTCCTCTGCTGGATGGCTGTGTCCAGCGCCAGGCCCAGGGGATAAGTGGGGATGGGCACACAGGAGCTCCAGGACCTGCCTGAGCCACGGGCCGGATGGGTGGGGGTGCACGTACCCCGACTGCTGCTGCTGCTGCTGCTCTCCACATCCCGCTCATTGATGGGGGAGGTGACATCCCGGCAGCAGAGGCCCTCTTCTTCCAGGGGGTTCTCGCCACTGCTGTTGAAGGTGACATAGCCACGGGGAGGAGCCTGCTCTGTGTACAGAATGGGGCCCATAAGCCCAGGGAACTCCAAAGTGAAACCTCCTCAGAGGCCGAGGCCCAGGATGGAGGCAGGTGACTTCCCAGTCATGACCTCACCTACTTGCCCCTGCGACCTGGCATGGCTCTATCTGTGGTGTGTGGGTGGAAAAGATGCTCTGAGGGTCAGTCAGTGGCCCAAGCAAGTGCCTGGTGGGGCGAGGGCTGGCAGCCAGGTCAAGCCTGGGCCCTCTCCATTTCTTTTCCAAGGGGAAAACGTAGCAAATGGTCAGCTGTATTTACAGATGCCTGACCAGAGAAAACTATACCATGAGTGTTCCTTTTAGCAGGAGGTAGCTAATGACCTCACACAGACACCCATCGACCACGTGTCTTTATGTCCCTGTGACCTTTAACCACAGGCGCTTAGCGGGCCTCCTCTGGTCAGTCAACCCCGGCGAAAAAGAGACCTGGCTGAGCAGGAAGGAAAAAGGCCTTGAGGTAAAAATTAACAACAATAATATGAAATTACCTAACTCTACCTGCCTCTAAAACCAAGCAGAAAAAGGGGCATGTATACCAGGCAATTTCACTCCAGTTTTGCCCCTTTACATAAAAAGACTGACTTGACCAGTCACGGTGGCACATGTCTGTAATCTCAGCTACTTGGGAGGCTGAGACAGGAGGATCGCTTGAGCTCAGGAACTGGAGCCTTCAGTGAGCTATGATCGTGCCACTGCACTCCAGCCTGGGCTACAGTGAAACCCTGTCTCAAAAAAGAACCCAAAGGACTGGTTGATGGGACCATGGGGAACTTACTTTCCTCTTTACGTATTTTCCTAGTTATGGAGAAGTTTTTCTAATCAGCACATGCTATTTATCATTGCCCCCTAAACTGTTTTTGAGACAGGGTCTTGCTGTGTTATCCAGACTGGAATGCAATGGCACCATCATGGGTCACTACAGCCTTGACCTCCTGGGCTCAAGCAATCCTTCCACCTCAGCCTCTCATGTAACTGGGGCTACAGGCATGGGCCACCATATCTGGCTAATTTTCAAAATTTTTTGTAGAGATAGGGTCTTGCTACATTGCCCAGGCTGGTCTCACAACTCCTGAGCCCAAGCAATCTTCCTACCTCAGCCTTCCAAAGTGCTGGGATTACAGGTATAAGCCACTGCACCTGGCCCCCCCAATTTTTTTTTTTTTTTTTTGAGACGGAGTCTTGCTCTGTCACCAGACTGGAGTGCAGTGGCACAATCTCGGCTCACTGCAACCTCCGCCTCCCGGGTTCAACCGATTCTCCTGCCTCAGCCTCCCGAGTAGCTGGGATTATAGGCACGTACTACCATGCCCAGCTAATTTTTGCATTTTTAGTAAAGATGGGATTTCACCATGTTGGCCAGGATGGTCTGGATCTCTTGATCCACCTGCCTCGGCCTCCCAAAGTGCTGGGATTACAGGCGTGAGCCACTGCGCCCGGCCCCAAATTTCTTAATTACTGGCAAATAAAATATATGCACTTATAGAAAATTTAAATTTCACAAGGTATGAGAAAACAAAAATCCCCTGAAATACCACACCTGAGACCACCACCATGATTACTTCTCTGTGGATACATACAAAGAACCGCACACAAGCGGCTTCAGACATGTATGATTTTGTTAAAGCATTTGTTGTACAGCTATATAGATTAATTACCAACTCAGCCCCAGGATGACAGCTTCCTTCCTGTCCCCACCACACCTCAGGCTGTAGCAGGTGGCAGGGACCTTTTGGAAGGAAGAGACTCTGCCACTCAGAACGACCAGCCCGGTGTCCCAGAGCCAGTGCTCACAGCTCAGCGGACGGGACACGGGCGGGCCCTCATGCTGTGGTGGGGCTGGCCAGCAGCTCGAGAGAGGCCTTCCCAGTGGCCCAGTCAGCTCACCCTTCCCAGGATGATGGGAGAAGGTGGGTCTCCAGTTCCCAACCCAGCACCCAGGCTTGGGAAGACAGAAGTCTGCACATCTGCTTGTTCCTGGGGTCTAGAAGGGAATTCAATTACTGGTGGACCCCTGGCTGAAACACTGTCTACTCTCACTCTTCCAAGTCCTGGCCTCAAAGAGGCCTTGCTCCCGAGAAGGACCAGCCACCAGGCCTGTGAGACCAGCAGCCTTGGCCTGGCTATGAGTGGGTGACAGCCATCAAAGGAAGACATAACTCACACCTCCAGCTGAGCTCTGGGACAGACCACAGCAATAGAGAGTAGGCACCAAACCCAACTCCCCTAAAAAGAAACCCCAGCACTCCCCAAGAGCAAAACGCTCAACACCCTGGGGCTGGGAATCTGAGAATGAACGAGACTGGAAAACCCAAAGGCTAGGATTCTTCACCAGCAAGTCAACAAGCGGGCCCTCTCTCAGGAGGGTCTGAGTACAACTTCATCGCCCTGAGAAAACAGCAGGGCCTGTTTTCTTGGCCTCCTGCCCCCAGCAGCGCACCCGACCCAGCTGGTATGGGCAGGGCAGGGAAGTGAACTTCACGCTTTGCCTCCTCCCTGTATGAGCCAACCCACCTATGTGATGAATGAAATCTGACCTTAGCTACATTTCTGCTGCAGGAGAGAAAGTTCTATTCCTAAATTTAACCAACGAAAAGGAAACTCCAGGAGATAAAGCAAAAAACAAGAGCTAGTCCGTGACCAATGCATTTCCATCACAGGACTCAATCCTGAGTCTCCCTGAGCATGAAAGCTGGGCCACCTGTCCCGCTGCCACCTGAGGTCCAGCGACCCACATTTCAGGAGCCTAAGAGCTATTCCATTCTTGCCAACACAAAATCCTGGTATGCAATGAGAAAGAGCCCTCGGGAAACGCGGGCCACTCACCATAGCGAGGCCGTGGGGCTCTGCCGCCCAGGCCAATGCCTGTGATCCTGGCCAGGGCTCGCGGTCCCTCGTGGATGCTGACACCCTTCTTCCGGCAAGGCCTCTGTCTCTGAGGAGCAGGGCAGGACTCGTCAGAAGAGCTCAGATCTTCGTACTTTTCTGTGATCAAACACCAAGATTAAGATAGTGTGTTCAGTAATGGACTCATTTACTAATCCTTACGGCAAACTGAAAGAAAGTGACTGTCGCCGGTTTTGTTAAATTAAGGAGAAGGGTATCTGCCAGGGCATCACTTCTGAGAAATGCCCTAACAGGCCGGGGCGCTGCTCCAATGGGCCACAGGGAGCTGCAAAGTTAGTGAGGATGGGAAGTTTCATTTTTCTTGAGACAGAGTCTCACTCTGTCCCCCGAGCTGAAGTGTAATGGCATGATCTTGGCTCACTCACTGCAACCTCCGCCTCCTGGGTTCTAGCGATTCTCACGCCTCACCCTTCCAAGTAGCTGCGGTTACAGATGCGTGCCACCATGCCCAGTGTTTTTTTTCTTTTCTTTTTCAGTAGACACAGGCTTTTGCCATGTTGGCCAGGCTGGTCTCAAACTCCTGATCTGCCTGCCTTGGCCTCCCAAAGTGCTGGGATTACAGGCATGAGCCACCATGCCCAGCCAGGAGTTTATTATCTCTGTTGGGGTTTGCCAAATTGTTCATAAGTCTGTATTGTTCATAATCAGAAATTCTGTTCTAATTTGAATAAGTAAAACCCATCTCTTCATTAAAATATATGGTAATATAAGTCACAACTACTTTTTCCTAATCCCTTCCTTTGGAAACAACTTTTTTTTTTTTCTTTTGAGAAGGAGTTTTGCTCTTGCTGCCCAGGCTGGAACTTCCGCCTCCTGGGTTCAAGCAATTCTCCTATCTCAGCCTCCCGAGTAGTTGGGAATTATAGGCAGATGCCACCATACCCAGCTAATTTTTATATTTTAGTAGAGATGGGGTTTCATCATATTAGGCTGGTCTTGAACTCCTGACCTCAGGTGATCCACCCACCTCAGCCTCGCAAAGTGCTGGGATTATAGGCACGTTACCACTGTGCCCGGCTGGAAACAACTTATTAAGCAATTCTGTATTTTCTTTTTTTTTTCTTTATTTTTTTGAGACGGAGTCTTGCTCTGTCACCCAGGCAGGAGTGCAATGGTGCGATCACGGCTCACTGCAAGCTCCACCTCCTGGGTTCACGCCACTCTCCTGCCTCAGGCTCCCAAGTAGCTGGGACTACAGGCACCCGGCCACCATGCCCAGCTAATCTTGTTTTTGTATTTTTAGTAGAGACGGGGTTTCACCATGTTGGCCAGGCTGGTCTCGATCTCCTGACCTTGTGATCCGCCCACCTTGGCCTCCCACAAAGTGCTGGCATCACAGGAGTGAGCCACAGCGCCCAGCCACAATTTTGTATTTTCTAAAGCATGGCATGTGTTTGCTATGATTATAAACTGTTTCAAATCACTTCCCAGTCTGAGCTTTCAGAGCTCAAACCAGAGCTTTTATTATTTTGTAGCTTTTCAGTTTTTCATATTTGATTTGTATAAGGCTCTGATCTGATTCTACTTTTAAGAGATACGTGAGTTGTATACAGGAGGAAATGATGAGATCTCCTTGTGGAGTGGGTAAGCTGGGGCAGAAATGAAGGGAAAGGTCCTTTGCATTACCACCTGAGCTGTGTTTATTATGAAACAATCCCAATGCCAGGGAAGAGGCTGGGCTGAGCCTGACACTGAGAAAGGAGCTGCTCGCTCAGGTGCAAACTGACAGGACAACTCAGGGCAGGCCAGCAAAGAGGGAGAGCTCAGGCCCTGAACGTGGGCCACTCTGTCCTTCCCCATGACGAGGCTCAAGCTCTGGCGACTGAGCTAGCCATATGGACACACACCTCCTCACACTCAAAGATCTATAGCACTCCAGGGAGACTGTGCTTCCATCCAAGCTGAAGGGGAGGGAGCTGTAAGACAAATGCAAAGAGGCAGCAATAAGCAAGGGAACGGCAGCTGCGTGAATCTCAGCACCCAACACACCCTCAGAGCAGCTTAAAAAGAACAGGCAGATGGAAACCACAAAAGAGCCAGGGCTGCAATCCTGCTATCAACGTGGAATTCAGGGCAAAACACATTAAATATGACACGGAAGGACACTTTTTTTTTTTTTTTTTTGAAACAGAGTTTCACTCCGTCACCTAGGCTGGAGTGCAGTGGCACAATCTCGGCTCATTGTAACCTCCGCCTCCCGGGTTCAAGTGATTCTCCTGCCTCAGCCTCCCGAGTAGCTGGGATTGTAAGTATGTGCCACCATGCCTGGCTAATTTGTGTATTTTGAGTAGAGACAAGGTTTCACCATGTAGGCTGGACTGGTCTCGAACTCCTGACCTCAGGGGATCTGCCCGCCTTGGCCTCCCAAAGTGCTCGGATTACAGGTATGGGCCATGCCCAGCCAGAAGGACACTTCTAATACTAAAAGCCATAATTCACAGTGAATCTATAACAAGTTATGAAAATCTGTCACCAAAAAATGCACCAACTTCCTTCATAAATCAGAAACACGCTAATAGGTAATTTTGTAGAAAATGAACTAAGAGTACATAATCCTAAATAAGATAGACTCACAGATATGCTAAACTGTATACAGATAATAGAGAATACAACTTCTCAAGCAAAACACGGAACACTAAAAAATATTGATCAGGGCCGGGCGCGGTGGCTCACGCCTGTAATCCCAGCACTTTGGGAGGCCGAGGTGGGCGGATCACTTGAGGTCAGGACTTCAAGACCAACCTGGCCAACATGGTGAAACCCTGTCCCTACTAAAAATACAAAAAAAAATGAGCCAGGCGTGGTGGCAGATGCCTGGAATCCCAACTACTCGGGAGGCTGAGGCAGGAGAGTCGCTTGAACCTGGGAGGCAGAGGTTGCAGTGAGTCAAGATCGCACTTGGGCACTCCAGCCTGGGTGACAGAGTGAGACTACATCTGAAAAAAATATATATATATATAGATAGATCAGTAGATGATAAATAAGATGACAAGGAAGTTATGTAAATGTAAGAATTATAAACACTCTCTGATCAGACACATTAAAGTTAATCAGAATAACATGAGAAATTAATTGCAAGATCAAAAAGGCCCTTCCATCTAGAAATTAACAAACAAAAACAATCATAATACTTCTATTAGACAACTCCTGGGTGAAGGAGAAAATATAAATAAAAATTACAGAATTTCTAAAAATAACAAGGAAAGTATTAAATACAGAACCCCCAGAATACACTTAAAGCAGCAATCAGCAAAAATTCACAGCCTCTAACATTTAGCAACAAAAGGGCAACAATGAAAATGAAAGAAGTTTCCAACTCAAAAAACTAGAACAACAAAGTAAGCCAAATAAAAATAAAAGCAGAAATTAAACAGACAATCAGTAGGTCTCATTAATAAATCAAAATCCGATGGGTTTTTCTTGTTTTTCCACTAAACAGACAAAGTACTAGTATTTAACTTAAGAAAAAAAGGAAGAGGCTGCGCACGGTGGCTCACACCTGTAATTCTAGCAGTTTGGGAGGCCGAGGTGGGCAGATCACGAGGTGAGGAGATCGAGACCATCCTGGCTAACACAGTGAAACCCTGTCTCTACTAAAAATACAAAAAAAAAATTAGCCAGGTGTGGTGGTGGGCACCCTGTAGTCCCAGCTACTCAAAAGGCTGAGGCAGGAGAATCGCTTGAACCTGGGAGGCGGGGGTTGCAGTGAGCCGAGATCGCGCCACTGCACTCCAGCCTGGGCAACAGAGCGAGACTCTGTCTCAAAAAAAAAAAAAGAACAAACACAAATATTCAAAATAAGAAGTGAGGCCGGGCGCAGTGGCTCATGCCTATAATCTCAGCACTGTGGGAGACTGAGGTGGGAGGATCGCTTGGGCCCAGGAGTTTGAGACCAGCCTGGGCAACATACTGAGACACTGTCTCTATTTTTTTTAATAGAAGAAATTTTTGCCGGGTGCAGCGGTTCATGCCTGTAATCCCAGCACTTTGGGAGGCCGAGTCGGGTGGACCACCTTATGTCGGGAGTTCGAGACCACCCTGACCAACATGGAGAAACCCTGTCTCTCCCAAAAATGCAAAATTAGCCAGACGTGGTGGCACATGCCTGTAATCCCAGCTACTAGGGAGGCTGAGGCAGGAGAATCGCTTGAACCCGGGAGGTGGAGGTTGCAGTGAGCCAAGATCGTGCCATTGCACTCCAGCCTAGGAAACAAGAGCGAAACTCCATCTCAAAAAAAAAAAAAAATTAAAAAATATAAGAAATGAGATCCAGCAATTCCACTACTGGGTATTTATCCAAAAGAAAGGAAATCAGTATACCAAAGAGATGTCTACACCCTCATGTTTACTGCCGCAGTATTCACAGTAGCCTAGATAGAGAATCAACCTGTGTCCATCAGTGGATGAACGAAGACAGAAAATGAGTTTATATACACAATTGAATATTATTCAGACATAAAGAATGAAATCTGATCATTTGTGGCAACATGAATAAGCCTGGAAGAGACTATGTTCAGTAAAATAAGCCAGACATAGAAAAGAAAGACAAATGCCAGCTGTTGTGGTGACTCACACTTGTAATCCCAACACTCTGGGAGGCCAAGGCGAGAGGATCACTTGAGCCCAGGAGTTCAAAACCAACCTGGTCAGTATAGCAAGACCCCGTCTCTACAAAAAAATAAAACATTAGCCAGGTGTGGTGGTAGGTGCCTGTAGTGCCAGCTACTCGGGAGGCTGAGATAGGAGGATCACTTGAGCCCAGGAATTGGAGGCTGCAGTGAGCCAAGATTATGCCACCACACTCCAGCCTGGGTGACAAAGCGAGAACCTGTCTCAAAAACCAAACAAACAACAAAAAAGACTACATGACTACATGATGTCACCCATTTACAGGATTTTTAAAAGCTCATGTCAAACATGTAGAGTAGAATAGTGATTATCAGAGGTTGGGGGTGGGGAGGTAGTGGGAGAGATTGGTCAATAGGTGTAAAATTACAGATCGAAGAAAGAAGTTCTGGTGTTCACAGTAGAGTGACTATACGGAACAACAGCTTATACCTCAAAATAGCTACTAGAAGACATGATTTTAAATGTTCTCACCTCGAAATGATAAATGTTTGAGGTGATGGATAAGCTAATCACCTTAATTTGATCATTACACAGTGTATACATGTATCAAAACATCACACACTGTACCCCATAAATATGTAGTTATTTTGTGTCAATTAAAAATGAGATAAATATTTTCCAGGTCAGGTGCAGTAGCTCATGCCTGTAGTCCCAGCACTTTGGGAGGCTGAGGCGGGTGGATTGCTTGAGCTCAGGACTCTTGAGACCAGCCTGGTCAACATGGCAAAACCACCTCTCTACAAAAAATACAAACGTAAGCTGGGCGTGGTAGGGTGCACCTACAGTCCTAGCTACTCGTAGAGCTGAGGTAGAAGGATCGTTTTGAGCCTGGGAGGCGGAGGTTGCATTGAGTCGAGATTGGGTCACTGGACTCCAGCCTGGGTGACAAAGCAAGACCCTGTCACAAAAAATAAATCAATATTTTCCATGCCAAAAAAAGATAATAACAGGAGAAAATAACCACTGAAACAGAGTATTTTATTTTGTTTTATTTTATCTATTTACTTTTCTTTGAGATGGAGTCTCGCTCTGTCGCCAAGCTGGAGTGCAGTGGCGTGATTTTGGCTTACTGCAATCTCCCCCTCCCGGGTTCAAGTGATTCTCCTGCCTCAGCCTCCAGAGTAGCTGGCGCACACCACCACATTGGCTTATTTTTGTATTTTTAGTGGAGACGGGGTTTCACCATGTTGGCCAGGCTGGTCTTGAACTCCTGACCTCAAGTGATCCACACGCCTCAGCCTCCCAAAGTGCTGAGATTACAGGCATGAGCCACTGCACCCAGCCTGAAACAGAATTTTTTTTTTTTTTTTTTTTTTGAGACAGAGTTTCGCTCTTGTTGCCTAGGCTGGACTGCAATGGCACGATCTCGGCTCACCTCAACCTCTGCCTCCCGGGTTCAAGGGATTCTCCCACCTCAGCCTCCCGAGTAGCTGGGATTACAGGCATGCACCACTACGCCCAGCTAATTTTATATTTTTAGTAGAGATGGGGTTTCTCCATACTGATCAGGCTGGTCTCGAACTCCCGACCTCAGGTGATCCGCCCAACTCGGCCTTCCAAAGTGCTGAGATTATAGGCATAAGCCACCGCGCCTGGCCCTGAAACAGAATATTTTAAAAGGAGAAAAAAATTGGCCGGGTGCGGTGGCTCACACCTATAATCCCAGTACTTTGGGAGGCCCAGGTGGGCAGACCACCTGAGGTCGGGAGTTTGAGACCAGCCCGGCCAACATGGAGAAACCCTGTCTCTACTAAAAACATAAAATTATCCAGGCATGGTAGCGCATGCCTGTAATCCCATCTACTTGGGACGCTGAGGCAGGAGAATCACTTGAACCCGGGAGGCAGAGGTTGCGGTGAGTCAAGATCGAGCCACTGCACTCCAGCCTGGGGAACAAGAGTGAAACTCTGTCTCAAAAAAAAAAAAAAAAAAAGGGAGAAAATATTATCTTGTAGACCTCTGCAGATAAGTCTGAAATCCTAGATGAAGTGATCTCTCAGGAAAATATAATTTACCAAAACTGACCCCATAAGAAAAGAAAGTATGAGGAGGCCAATCTCTATAGAAGAAATAGAAAAACTGTTATCGAGGAACCACCTCACAGAAAGAGACCAGATGGTTTCATGGGAGGATTCTATCAAAACTTCTAAGACCAGGTAGCACTAATGCTACGTGTATTGTCCTAGAACACAAAAAAGGAAGGAAAACTTCCAAATTATTTTTATGAAGTAAACACTGATACCCATACCTGATAGACAGAACAAAAATAGAAAAGTATAGACCACGCCGGGAGCGGTGGCTCACGCCTGTAATCCCAGCACTTTGGGAGGCTGAGGCAGGCGGATCACTGGAGATCAGGAGTTCGAGACCAGCCTGGCCAACATGGTGAAACCCCGTCTCTACTAAAAATACAAAAATTAGCTGGGTGTAGTGGTGCACGCCTGTGATCCCAGCTACTCGGGAGGCTGAGGCAGAAGAATTGCTTGAACTCAGGAGGCGGAGGTTGCGGAGGTTGCAGTGAGCTGAGATCTCGCCACTCCAGTCCAGCCTGGGCAACAGAGCAAGACTCCATTTCAAAAACAAAAAAAAAGAAGAAAGAAAACTATAGACCAGTATCACTTATGACTGAATATCCATAGAAAAATACTAAATATTAATAAACAGAATTCAAAAACACATTAAAATAGTACAACATGTGGGATTTATGCCAAGAATGTAAGGTTGATTCATTATTAGGAGGTTCATGAAGACAATCTACCATATGAAAATTCACCATCGTCTCCAAAGATATGGGAACACAATTCAATAGTTACTCCTGTAAAACACCACTCAGGAATAGAAGAACTGAGGAATACTTTGTTAATAAGCTAAAATAACATATGCCTTCCCTTTTACAGTCAGCCTCTCATGTAACGTGGCATTTCCACTAAGATCAGGACCAAGGTAAGGAGGCTCACTATCTCCACTATGTTGAACAATGAGCTAGAGGTGTTAGCAACTAAACAAAAGAACGGTGCAATTCAACAAAGTCAGAGTCATGAGAATCAGCAGGAAGCAGTGTATCCATCGATACTTAAAGATTATATGTTAGTACACCTGTAAAGCCCTAAAGAATCAATAACAAAACTAACCTGAACAATGTAAGAATTCTGTAAGGTAGCAGAATATAAAATTAGTTTGCAGGGCTGAGTGCAGTGGCTCACACCTGTAATCCCAGCACTTTGGGAGGCTGAGATGGGTGGATCACCTGAGGTTGCGAGTTCTAGACCAGCCTGACCAACATGGAGAAACCCCATCTCTACTGAAAATACAAAAAATTAGCCGGGCATGGTGGTGCACGCCTGTAATCCCAGCTACCTGGGAGGCTGAGGCAAAATTGCTTGAACCTGGGAGGAAGAGGTTGCGGTGAGGCAAGATCGCTTCATTGCACTCCAGCCTGAGCAACAAGAGCGAAACTCCCGTATCAAAAAAAAAACAAAAGTTTGCAGAAATCCACTGCCTTCAAATGCACTGACAATATGCAGTGAAACGATATAATGACACCACTAAAGGACTTATTCACGTATCCAACCACCACCTGTTCTCCAAAAACCTACTGAAATAAAAAATAAATAGCACTGAATAATTAATACCCTGAGAGTTGGGGGGAAAAAAAGGATATAATGATAGGGAAAACCCCATTTACAATAGCGACAAAGATGATCAAACACTTAGGAATAAACTTAAGTCACATGCAAAATGTAGATGAAGAAAAATTTAAAACCCTCCTGCAAGACCCAAAAGTACATTGGAACAAGAAGTCATCCCTTGTTCTTGGATAAGACAACAACACAAAGATATAGTTAATTTATACATTGTCACAATCTCAGTAAAAATATCAATACTGTTTTTAAGGAGCTAGACAAGTTGATATTCAAGTTCATATAGAAGAATGAACAAGCCATAGCTCAGGAAACAGTGAAAACAGAAAACTAAGAGGGGCCTGCCCCTACTCGGTAGTCAAGCATACTACAGAAAGCCTCTACATTCACAACAGCCTGGTTTTGTACCACTCTCCATCGTAACCATCCTTATCTCCTGTTAGAGCAGGGGCCTCAACCTTGACATGTAAGCAGCTGGGGGAGGCAGAGCCAAATCTCAGAGAAGGTGGGAGCCGGGGAAGCGGGGGACATCTTTCTCTGCCAGGTCACCTAAAGCTCAAGGCAACCAGAGACCCCAGCAGGGCGCGGCTGGCAGGTGTGGGTACCTGGGCTCCGATAGAGGCTCTTGGGCAGAGAGGGCGAGTAAGTGTCCATCAAGGCCACGATCTTCATGTGTCCGTACTGCTTGGCCAGCATCCGGGCTGTGGCTCCACTGTGGTCTCTCGCGTCCACCTTGACTCCCTGTGAATGTCCGTGAAAGGGGGTTAGGGGCCTCTCCTTCAAAGCACCTGCCCTTCCTGGGCTGCTGGCTGGGAAGACAGAAGGGCATATGCTGGTTTCTGACTGCCTCCCTGTGTGGGAAACATCACATCTGCATGAGAAAGAGGCAGGCTTGTCTGCACCGCAGCCACAAGTTTTGCTCTCACTCTCTTCTTAGGGACAAGGATGAGGAGGGCTGGGGGCTGGGGAGTCATCTCCCACGCTCATGACCTCCCTTGCAGGGGGCTGGCAGCCACCATGCGGAGATCCCAGCCTTCACCTTCTGCGCCTGGGCTGTGTCCCACTCACTTCGCTTGTCTTCAAAGAAAGCAGCCTTTTAAACCAGTCAGAATGAAAGCACCATCCTCTGAAGCAGAATTCGTAACTTTGATCCAAAGCTCTATAATGTATTTACAGGTCTTGCAGCGCAACAATTCCACTTCCATGACCCTAAGGAAATAACCCTAAATACAGAAAAGGCTTTAGTGCACAAAGATGTTTGGCACAGGCCGGGTGCGGTGGCTCATGCCTGTAATCCCAGCACTTTGGGAGGCCGAGGTGGGCAGATCACGAGGTCAGGAGATTGAGACCATCCTGGCCAACATGGTGAAACCCCGTCTCTACTAAAAATACAAAAATTAGCCGGGCGTGGTGGTGAACGCCTATAGTCTCAGCTACTCGGGAGGCTGAGGCAGGAGAATTGCTTGAACCCGGGAAGCGGAGGCTGCAGTGAGCTGAGATCATGCCACTGCACTCCAGCCTGAAGACAGAGTGAGACTCTGTCTCAAAAAAAAAAAAAAAAAAAAAAAAAGGATGTTTGGCACAGCATATTCACAATAATGAAAACCTACCTAGAGAAAACTTGAATGCTCAGGGGGATAAGCAGTCAGTTCTGTTATTGCCATAGATGGTGATATTTACAAACAGCTGTATGATCAAGTTGAAAAAGGATCATGGCCAAGTGAGGTGGCTCATGCCTGTAATCCCAGCATTTGACAGGCCAAGGCAGGTGGATCGCTCGGCTCAGGAGTTGGACAACAACCTGGGCAACACAGCATGAACCCACCTCTACAAGAAAAAAAAATAAACTATAATCAATACAGCATGTTTTTGGTGTCACTGTACACTGTAACTGTCCTTCTCTCCTGTCAGACCAGGCAGCTGGGGGAGGCAGGGAAGCCAGAGCCAAAGCTCAGAGGAGGAGGCGGGACCCCGGAAAGGGGGAGCATCTTTAATAAAAAATTAGCAGGGTGTGGCGGCACATGCCTGTAGTCCCAGCTACTCAGGAGGCTGAGGCAGGAGGATCACTTAAGTCCCAGAGCTTGACGCTGCAGCGAGCTGAGATCGCACCACTGTACTCCAGCCTGGGCAATAGAGCGAGACCTTGTCTCAAAAAAATAAAAAAGGATCATGATACAAAACTACATATACATTACAACTCCGGCAAAATGAGACCAAAAAAATTACACAGAAAACAATATTGGAAGGTAACATACCCAAAATGTTGCTATTTTTAAGTTATTTACTATTTTTGATGGGGATTTTTCCAATTTTCCAATCTTCTATGTTTTTAAAATGTACTACCATAAGCATGTTTGCTTTTTTTTTTTTAATAGGATCTTGCTCTGTTACCCAGGCTGAAGTGCAGCGGCGCCTAAGGAAATAATGCAGGACATACACTACAATTTAGAATTTTCACTGTGGCATTCAGCATAGTGAGAATCAGAAGGAACTTAAAATAAGAGATTAATGAGCTACGTGAGAGCATATCCAGAAAACAGAGCGCCTCCCGCCCATTTACGTGGTGGGTGGGAGTACCTGCGGTGACACGGACTAGGGTGCACAAAACATCATTAAGAGAAAAAAGGCACAGCCAGGCGCCGTGGCTCATGCCTGTAATCCCAGCACTTTGGGAGGCCGAGGTGGACGGAGCACAAGGTCAGGAGTTCCATACCAGCCTGGCCAACAGGGTGAATCCTCATCTCTACTACAAATACAAAAAGAAATTAGCCGGGCGTGGTGGTGGGCACCTGCAGTCCCAGCTACTCCGGGGGGCTGAGGCAGGAGAATCGCTTGAACCCAGGAGGTGGAGGTTGCAGTGAGCCAAGATCGCACCACTGGACTCCAGCCTGGGCGACACACGGAGACTCCAACTCAAAAAAAAAAAAAAAAAAAAAAATCACAACCCTTAAGGAGTTTTGCTACCACCCATACGGCAACTGTCTCTCCCGTTAGACCAGGGGGCCTCAACCTTGACCCCCATATGTAGTTGGTGGGGGAGGCAGAGGTGGTCTCTGGGCAGGGATACAGGACAAAAAACTGTGTTTTCACAAAGTATAAGGAGTTTTACTTTCTAGAGTGCCCCCCATCCTACTTTTGACTCTGATTAAAAATTACCTATGAGACTTTGTGCCTTAAAAAATAATTTATAGGCCGGGCACAGTGGCTCACGCCTGTAATCCCAGCACTTTGGGGGACCAAGGTGGGTGGATCATAGGTCATGAGTTCGAGACCAGCCTGGGCAATGTGGTGAAACCCCGTCTCTACTAAAAAATACAAAAATTAGCCAGGTGTGGTGGTGCGTGCCTGTATCCCAGCTACTCAGGAGGCTGAGGGAGGAGAAATCCTTGAATCCAGGAGGCGGAGGTTGCAGTGAGCTGAGATCGCGCCACTGCACTACAGCCTCGACGACAGACTGAGATTCCATCTCAAAAAAATAATAATAAATAATAACAATAATTTATAAGCTGGGCACGGTGGCTCAAGCCTGTAATCCCAGCACTTTGGTAGGCCGAGACGGGTGGATCACCTGAGGTCAGGAGTTCAAGACCAGCCTGGCCAATGTGGGAAAACGTGGTAAAACCCCATCTCTACTAAAAATACAAAAATTAGCCGGGCGTGGTGGCACACGTCTGTACTCCCAGCTACTCAGGAAGCTGAGGAAGGAGAATTGCCTGAGTCCAGGAGGTGGAAGTTGCAATGAGCCAAGATCACGCCACTGCACACCAGCCTGGGCAACAGACGAAGCAAGACTCTATCTCAAAAATAAAAAATAATTTCTTGGCTGGGCACAGAGGCTCACACCTGTAATCCCAGCACTTTTGGAGGCTGAGGTGGGCGGATCACTTGAGGTCAGGAGTTTGAGACCAGCCTGGCCAACAACCAGCCTGGTCAGGAGTTTGAGACCAGCCTGTATCTACTAAAAACACAAAAGTTAGCTGGGAGTGGTGGCACACACCTGTAATCCCAGCTACTCGGGAGGCTGAGGCAGGAGAATCGCTTCAACACGGGAGGCAGAGATTGCAGTAAGCTGCTGCACTCCAGCCTGGGCGACAGAGGGCGACTCCATCTCAAGAAAAAAAAAAAATTCTAGTTTAAGTTTGATAGAAGGAACCCTAAGGTTTAACCAGAATAAAACAGTAGCCTCTTTACTGTAGGATTTTAACTCGTTATATATTTTTGGTTTTGTTTTTGAGGCAGAATCTCACTCTGTGGCCCACGCTGGATTACACTGGCTCATTGCAACCCTGACCTCCCCAGCTCAAGTGATCCTCCCTTCTCAGCCTCCCTGGGATTACAAACACACACCACAACTGGCTTTTTTTTTTTGAGACGGAGTCTCACTCTGTCACCCAGGCTGGAGTGCAATGGCGCAATCTCGGCTCACTGCAACCTCTGCCTTCCGGGTTCAAGTGATTCTCCCGCCTCAGCCTCCCAAGTAGCTGGGACTACAGGGGCACGCCACCACGCCCCGCTAATGGGGTTTCACCATGTTGGCCAGGCTGGTCTTGAACTCCTGACCTCAGGTGATCCACCTGCCTTGGCATCCCAAAGTGCTGGGATTACAGGCATGAGCCACCATGCCTGGCCAATTTTTTTTTTTTTTTTTTTTTTAATTTAGAGACAAGGTCTCACTGTATTGCCCAGACTGGTCTCCAACTCCAGCCTCAAGCGATCTTCCCACTTTGGCCTCTAAAAGTGCTGGGATTACTGGCATGAGCCACTATGCCTGATGTGAAAATAAATTTTTAACTACTTAGGCTTTAAGAGACTTTTTTTTCCTATTTTATAATGTCCATATTACTAAAGAGACACATGATCAAAACTCATTTTAACATGAAGGTGGGATCAGAAAGTTTAGAAACCCTGGAACAAGACTATCCGGAAGGCACGAATCAACTTTCTCTTAAAGAGAGAGGCCCAGACAGATCCATATCCTCTTCTCCTGACTGAGCTGCTGGGGCTTGGCCCCACTGGCAGAAGGGAAATGGGGGACAAGGAAAGCAGCCACAGCCCTTTCCTCCCCTAGCAAAGAGCACAAGATGCCCAGACTTGCCCCATTCTCTACCTCCAGAAATGGAGCCCAGCTCTGGAGGGACAGGCTGGGAAACCGGGTGGGCCCCCTCCTCTGGCTCCAGGTGGTCTAACTACTGGGCGGCAGGAAAAACGTGGGAGAGAGGAGCTTCCAGGCAGGGCTTGCCCACCAGCATCGCTGGCAGGCAAACCACCCAGGCCATCGGGCCACCTGCTGCCAGTCCTGCCCCATCCCCCAAAGCAGTCACTAACCAACACTTTGATTCTTGTCAAGTGCTGGAGGAAGAACTCAGTGTTGAGTTCCTGAGTCTGATAATTTTGTGTGACTGGGAAAGAGAACATTTTTGCTTTTAGGAAATACATAATGAAATTCTTACTCTCAGGAAATACATATTTAGGGGAAAAGGGGCATTATGTCACAATTTACATTTAAATGATTCAGAAAACATATGCATGTTATACATAAAGAGACTGATAAGAAAATGAGGTGAAATGTTAACATTTGGGGAATGTGGTAAAGGCATGCAAATTGTTGGCCAAGCACCGTGGTTCCTGCCTGTAATCCCAGCGCTTTGGGAGGCCAAGGTGGGAGGACCACTTGCAGCCAGGAGTTTGAGACCAGCCTAAGCAACTTAGTGAGACCCCAACTCTACAAAAAAATCAAATCAGCTAGTGTGATAGCATGCGCTTGTGGTCTCAGCTACTCAGGAGGCTGAGTTGCAAGGATCCCTTGAACCTGGGAGGTTGAGGCTGCAACAAACTATGATCGCGCCACTGTGCTCCAGCATGGGCAAACAGAGTGAGACTCTGTCTCAAAAAGAAACAAACATACAATCAAAAATTATAAGAGTACATATCTCTTATGATCTCCAGTTCTACCTTACTTAAAATGACTCTAAACTTACAAGTAGAGGCTCTTTATGGTTCTGGGCTATTGATTCTATGATGTGTCTTAAGGAAGTCTAGTTCATGTCAGCAGGATTATCTGTCAAAGAATTATCTGGCCGGGCATGGTGGCTCAGGTCTGTAACTCCAGCACTTTGGGAGGCCAAGGTGGGAAGATTGCTTGAGGCCAGGAGTTCAAGACCAGCCTGGGCAACATAGTGAGATTTTTGTCTCTACAAAAAAAAAACAGCCAGGCGTGGTAGTGCGTGCCTGTAGTCCCAGCTACTGAGGAGGCTGAGGCAGAAGGATTACTTCAGCCCAGGAGGTTGAGACTACAATGACCCATGATCAGGCCACTGCACTCTAGTGTGGTGACAAAGCAAGACCCTATATAAAAAAAATAAATAAAAAATACAAAAATAATTATTTGCAGAAAAAGAAACCCAAATGGCCAGGGAGCCAAAAAGTCTAACATCCTGGCCAGGCACAGTGGCTCACGCCTGTAATCCCAGCACTTTGGGAGGCTGAGGCAGACAGATCATGAGGTCAGGAGTTCGAGACCAGCCTGGCCAACATGGTGAAACCCTGTCTCCACTAAAAATACAAAAATTAGCTGGATATGGTGGCACACACCTGGAATCCCAGCTACTCGGGAGGCTGAGCCAGGCGAATTGCTTGAGCCTGGGAGTCAGAAGTTGCACTGAGCTGAGATCACACCACTGTACTCCAGCCTTGGGGACAGAGCAAGACCCCACCCCAAAAAAAAAAAAAAAAAAAAGGCCAGGCACGGTGGCTCACGCCTGTAATCCCAGCACTTTGGAAGACCAAGGCGGGCGGGTCACAAGGTCAAGAGATTGAGACCATCCTGGCCAACATGGTGAAACCCTGTCTCTACTAAAAATACAAAAATTAGCTGGGCATGGTGGCGAGTGCCTACAGTCCCAGCTACTCGGGAGGCTGAGGCAGGAAAATCGCTTGAACCTGGGAGGCAGAGGTTGCAGTGAGCCGAGATCGCGCCACTGCACTCCAGCCTGGGTGACAGAGAGAGACTCCATCTCAAAAAAAAAAAAGAAGTCTAACACCCTAAGGGGAGGGGTGTGAACCAGGACCACTATGGAACAAAGCAAGTTTACACTACCCACTACCGACTGAACCCACCTCACACAACAAAGACTCTACTTTGAAGAACACATCCTAAGCTCCTGAAGAAATTCCCATATGTGCTTAAAAAGACGTGTAAGAAATGTCAACGGTAGGCCAGGCGCAGTGGCTCATGCCTGTAATCTCAGCACTTTGGGAGGCCAAAGTGGTAGATCACTTGAGGTCAGGAGTTCAAGACCATCCTGACCAACATGCCGAAACCCTGTCTACTAAAAATACAAAATTAGCTGGGCGTGGTGGCACACGCCTGTAATCCCAGCTACTCAGGAGGCTGAGGCAGGAGAATCGCTTGAACCTGGGAGGCAGAGGTTGCAATGAGCCGAGATTGCGCCACTGCACTCCAGCCAGGGCTACAGAGCGAGACTCCATCTCAAAACAAACAAACAAACAAACAAAAAAACTCTGATTCATCCCTACAGGGAATACCATGCCACCATAAAAAAAAAAAAAAAAAAGAGAGGCCAGGCACGGTGGCTCACGCCTGTAATCCCAGCACTTTGGGAGGCCAAGGTGGGCGGATCACGAGGTCAGGAGATCGAGACCATCCTGGCTAACGCGGTGAAACCCCGTCTCTACTAAAAATATGAAAAATTAGCTGGGCATGGTGGCGGGCGCCTGTGGTCCCAGCTACTCGGGAGGCTGAGGCAGGAGAATGGTGTGAACCCGGAAGTCTGAGGTTGCAGTGAGCCGAGATCGTGCCACTGCACTCTAGCCTGGGCAACAGAGCAAGACGCCATCTCAAAAAAAAAAAAAAAAGAGAGGGGCTGGGTGCGTTGGCTCGTGCCTGTAATCCCAGCACTTTGGGAGACCGAGGCAGGCGAACTGCCTGAGCTCAGGAGTTCAAGACCAGCCTGGGCAACGTGGCAAAACCCCATCTCTACAAAAAAAATACAAAAATTGGCTGGGCGTGGTGGCACGCACCTGTAATCCCAGCTACTTGGGAGGCTGAGGCAGGAGGATCACTTGAGACCAGGAGGTCAAGGCTGCAGTGAGCTGAGACTGCACCACTCCACTCCAGCCTGAGGGACAGAGCAAGACCCCATCTCTTTATTGATTTATTGATTTATTTATTTATTTATTTATTTATTTATTTAGAGATAGTCTCACTCTGTCACCCAGGCTGGAGTGCAGTGGCAACATCTTGGCTCATCGCAACCTCTGCCTCCCAGGTTCAAGTGATTCTCCTGTCTCAGCCTCCCAAGTAGCTGGGATTACAGCGTCAGCCACCTGTATTTTGTATTTTTGTATTTTTGGTAGAGGCGGGTTTCACCACCTTGGCCAAGCTGGTCTCAAACTCCTGACCTCAAGTGATCTGTCTGCCTTGGCCTCTCAAAGTGCTGGGATTACAGGAGCGAGACAATGCACCTGGCCCCGTCTCTTTATACACCAATATAGAAAAATCTTCATGATTAAGTTTTTTAAAAAATGCAAGATGGGAGCAGCTGCACATGGGGCAGGACCATGAGCATGTGTGGGTGTATTCCCAGAGTCGCCCGTGGGGAGGGTGCCAAGGAGACGCAGGCAGGGTGGGGGACAGGCCTGCGGTGCACCCACCTTCTGGTCTGCATGTGTACCATGTGCATGTTGTGTCCCAAAATTCTTTGTTAAAAAGAGATACCATGTGAATTTTTCACTATTTAAGAAATTCCCACCAATAAGTGAGAAAAAAACAAACTATCCAATAGAAAATTGGGCAATAAACATAGACAGCTCGTAAGAGAAATACAAATGGCCAGCCGGGCACAGTGGCTCACACCTGTAATCCCAGCACTTTGGGAGGCCAGGGCGGGCAGATCATGAGGTCAGGAGATCGAGACCATCCTGGCTAACACGGTGAAACCTTGTCTCTACTAAAAATACAAAAAATTAGCCGGGATTTTTTGTATTTTTAGTCCCAGCTACTCGGGAGGCTGAGGCAGGACAATCTCTTAAACCTGGGAGGTGGAGGTTGCAGTGAGCTGAGATCATGCCACTGTACTCCAGCCTGGGCGACTGAGTGAGACTCAGTCTCAAAAAAAAAAAAAAAAAAGAAATACAAATGGCTAAGAAATCAATTTAAAAATGTTCAACTGGCTGGGCGCAGTGGCTTATGCCTGTAATCCTAGCACTTTGGGAGGCTAAGGTGGGTGGATTGCCTGAGTTCAGGAGTTCAAGAGCAGCCTGGGCAACATGGTGAAACCTCATCTCTACTAAAATACAAAAAATTAGCCAGGTGTGCGGGCGGGTGCCTGCAGTCCCAGCTACTCGGGAGGCTGAGGCAGAAGAACTGCTTGAACTTGGGAGGTAGAGGTTGCAGTGAGCCGAGATCACGCCACTGCACTCCAGCCTTCCAGCCTGGGCGACACAGCACAAGACTTCTGTCTCCAAAAAAAAAAAAAAAGAAAAAAATTTCAACTACTCTAACAAGGACAAACTAAAATGAGACGCTACAATTCACCCGCCAGATTGACAAAAGGTTGACTGACATCAGGACTGGTGAGGACAAGAGAAAATGGACACCTTTGTCTATGACTGGTGGGCAGGACAACAGACAACCTTGGTAGTGGGAATTCATCAGGACCGCCTGCACTTCCCCCCATTGGGTTTAACAGCCTTATAAAGATATAATCCACATACCAACAAGTCACCCACTTACAATGTACAATTCAACGGCTTCTCGTATATTCACAGTTGTTCAACCATCACCACAAACAATTTTAGCACATTTTTATCACCCCAATCTTCCCATTCCCCAAGACCCAGGAAACCACTCATCTATTTTCTGTCTATGTATTTGCTTATTCTGGACATTTCCTATGAGTGAAATCACCTAGTGTGTGGCCTGTTGTGTCTGGCTTCTTTCACTGAGCCGAATGTTTTCCTTTTCTTTTTCTTTTTGAGGCAGGATCCACTCTGTGACCCAGAATGGAGTGTGGCGGCGCAATCATAGCTCACTGCAACCTCCAACTCCAGGGCTGAAGCGACCCTCTGGCCTCAGCCTCCCAAAGTGTTGGGATTACCGGCGTGCGCCACCGCACCCAGCCCAGCCTAACGCATCAGGGTTCACCCCTGCCGCAGCATGCAGCAGTACTGCATTACTTTGTAGGGCCGAATAATATCCTGCTATACAGATATATATTTTGTTTATCAATTCCTCAGTAGATGGACTTGTGGGTTTTTCTACTTTTTGGCAATTATGAATAATACTGCTATGAATATTTATGTACAAGGTTCTGTGTGGACAGGCTTGCACCTGTGATCCCAGCACTTTGGGAGGCTGAGGTGATCGCTTGAGCTCAGGAATTCAAGACTAGCCTGCACAACATACTGAGACCCCCAACTCTACCAAAAAAAAAAAATTAAATAATTAGCCGGGGCATGGTAGCATGCACCTGTAGTCCCAGCTACTTGGGGGCTGAGGCAGGAGGATCGCTTGAGCCCAGGAGGCTGAAGCTGCAGTGAGCCACGATCTCGCCACTGAACTCCAGCCTGGGATACAGGGCAACACCATGTCTCAAAAAAATAAATTAATAAAATAAAACAGAAATACAACATACAGAAATAACTGCAAATGTATTAAAGCTATGTGTAAAAGGATATTCCCGGAACACTGTTTATAATTGCAAAATGTTAAAAACTAAGTTTCTACTAATAAGAAACTCATTAAATTAACTGAGGCAGATTGTACACGGAATACTGTACAAAGATAAGATGTCTATAAGATGTCTCTAAGTTACAGACTATACGTAGAATCCCACTTTGTTCAAAACACAAAGCAATGTGCACACACTTGCCTACAGACACATCTTTCCACAGCAGAGGAAAAGTCCTAGGGCAGCTCTTTCTCAAACCAAGTGGGCATCAGGGAGGTTGAAAAAGAGAGGAGGATCTCTGCCTTCTTATTCTATATAATTTTTCTAAGTGACAGGATTATGAGTGCTATTTACTTTTAAAATATTTTTCCATAATTTTCAGATAGTATTTTCAAAATTATTACAGGAATAGGTGTCTATTTCTACTCACCACTGTATCCTTAATGCCTAAGCACCACTCAACACCGGGCGTCAATAGATAATGAAAATGTGTTGAATAAATGAATGAAAGTTATTTCTGTGCAAAGGAAAATTCTGTAATAGCTTATACTTCAGTAATATGATTCCTCATTTGCCGTGACTACATTACATGCTAATAATCAGGGTCACTTACGTGATTCAGAAAATACTGCACGATTATCTCATGGCCAGCAGCAGCTGCTTCCATCAAGGGAGTAAATCCACATATCGGCTCCCTGCAAGATGTGGGCCACAGTCAGATGATTGGAAGAGACAAGTTCCGCCAGGCAAAAACTCCCTGCTGAAGATAAACCCTGAGCAGTGCACGAGTCACCGATCCCTAAGCGTAGAACACTGTCCCTTTCCAGAATTAACAGGTGACATGAGAACAGTGAATATAACACATCAGCTCCATTTACTCTTCTGGTGTCTGTCCCCAGGGCTGGTCTTTGTCCTAAAGACAGATGTCTGCCTGTCGTCCCACCTGTTGGCTATTCCCACTGGCTACCTCTGAAATCTCCACCTCAATCATATTCAAAAAGCTGTTCTAATTCCTCACAGAAAGCCAGCATCTCCCATCCATTCATCCAAATCCTGGCTTCAAGTTCAACGTCCTCCATGAACCCACTCTGAAAAGTTCAAGTACTAATGATCTAAGCTATCTTTGCCACGCTTAGCTCCTGAAGCTTGCTTTTCATGCTTGGTTATGCTAACTCGGCACTGTCTTCAGAGGGCTTCCAAATCCCTCCTTGTCTCATGCTGGTTTGGAAGTCAGGAACCATGCATGGGAAATGCTGGTTTTCATCCATCTTAAGACACACAGTGTTCATATTTTAACATCTCTCAAGTCAGAAAACATCTTTAAATCAACAGGCGAGTTGAATGTTAATTAGTAGCATATTTTTTCTTTCTTAGTGGCATACAAAATTATCAGGTGTCTTAGAATGAATGACAGCCAGGGTGGGTGCTGCATTGGTACCCGCTGCGTTTGTTCAAAGGTGATTATTATCATGACAAGCTTTAGACAACAATCCCACTTCCAACTTATAAAACTCATGACTGGTTTTTTGTTTGTTTTTGAGACAGAGTTTTGCTCTTGTTGCTCAGGCTGGAGTGCAGTGGCACGATCTCTCAGTTCACTGCAACCTCTGCCTTCTGGTTTCAAGTGATTCTCCCGCCTCAGACTCCCGAGTAGCTGGGATTACAGGCACCTGCCACCACGCCCAGCTAATTTTTGTATTTTTAGTAGAGACGGGGTTTCACCATGTTGGCCAGACTGGTCTCGAACTCCTGACCTCATGATCTGCCCGCCTTGGCCTCCCAGAGTGCTAGGATTACAGGTGTGAGCCACTGAGCCCGGCCAAAACTCATGACTGTTGTTTTTGTTTTTTTTTTTTTGAGATGGAGTCTTGCTCTGTCACCCAGGCTGGAGTGCAGTGGTGCAATCTCGGCTCACTGCAAGCTCCACCTCCCGGGTTCACACCATTCTCTTGCCTCAGCCTCCCGAGTAGCTGGGACTACAGGCGCCCGTCACCATGCCCAGCTAATTTTTTCGTATTTTTAGTAGAGATGGGGTTTCACCATGTTAGCCAGGATGGTCTCGATCTCCTGACCTCGTGATCTGCCTACCTCGGCCTCCCAAAGAGCTGGGATCACAGGCGTGAGCCACCACGCCCGGCCTCATGACTGTTTCAAAGCATCACCTCACCTCATCCATACAAAAAGCAAGAAAATGGAAGGAATTTGCATGTAATGTATGACATTTAAATGCCATTCAGTATGTTAGGCCCCTGGCATACAATAAAACATGTAATTCTTACAACTGTATGACCCAGGTGGGTTTCAGATAAAGAAAAGGAAGCTGAGAGGGCTTGAAGAGATGCATCTCACAGATGTACGAAAAGGCCTGTGCCTGGAAGGACTCTGGTCCTACCCCTCATCTTGAGCCTCTCGTGCCGAAGCAGGGTGGCCCTAAACTCTGGTTAGCTGCCTCCAGAGCCACCCTCCTTAGAGTCAGATGACACCTAGGCCACTCCTGTGGCCACTAAAGATGTGGCAATCACCTCACGTTGGCATTGGCTCCACTGTCCAAGAGGAACCTGACCATGTGCTGGTGCCCGGCGCTGGTACAGTGGAAGAGGGCTGTCCAGCCCTGGATGTCTTTCATTTCTAGCTCTGCACCTTGCTTCAAGAGAACACAGAACGTGCGTTACGGCCTCATCTCCTCTGCGTGGGGCGGGCGCCCTCCAGGCGGCCATGCTGCAAGAATCAGAAGTGATTACACGAGCACACACGAACACCGTGGCCTGCAGTGGTTCGCATCTCTGTCAGGGTGGCCACGGAGCCCCTCAGGTTTCTGGGCCTGAGTTCCCTCGTAGCTCACCTGGAGAAGAAAGTAGGCGATGCTCTCGTTGCCACAGCTGGAGGCCAGCATCAGTGGAGTCTGCCCTTCTGGGGTCGGCACATTCACACTCACCCCCGCCTCAAGCAGCAGGTGCACGATTGTGTCGTGGCCAATGTAGGAGGCATACATCAGCGGGGTCCAGCCACCACCATTCTTCTTATTCAAATCTAACTCTCTCCTAAACAAACGCAAGATATGCTAGACATGGCCAGCCGCCTCGCATGTGGGGTTCACCAAAGCTGGTGGCGAGGCTAGGCCAGGCGGGATGAGTTGACAGGAAGCAGAAGTTATCTGCCACCCTGGACGTTGTGGGGATTGGAGGCAGGCAGGCAGAAAAATGCTGACAGTTGCTCGTACACTGCCTTGTGAGGCCCTGAGCCTTCGTCTCCTTGCTCTGATTTCGCATCCTCCTAGCCCAAGGCCAGCTATGCTCTTTCACACCACCAGATAGGCAGATGGCACTCAACCAGGGAATATGTGGCAATGTGTGAAGGCATTTTTGGTTCTCACAACTGGGCAGGGAAGGGCTGCTGGAGGCCAAGGCTGCCGCTAAACATCCCACAGTGTCCAGGACAGCCCCCACAGCAAAGAATGATCCAGCCTGGATTGTCAACACAGCCACAGTTGAAAAACCCTGACCACCACAGGCCTGGCATCTACTAGCCCACTGCTGGGTGGAGAGGAGCAGTGAGGAAAGAAGGGACTCCACCGTGGACAAGTCCCACCGCCACTGATTCATCCTTTGTCACCTCACCTTAAAGAAACATTCTTGAAAAATCTGTGACCAAAGAATCCCATCTTTCTCACTGATTGCTGTTAAAATTCTGGCAATGCATTTTCCCATGGGAAAAAACTGTGGGCTTCCTAGCTGCGACTCTGGGGTTGGGACAAGGGAGTCACATTTAAAATAATACCCACTTGCATGGTTACCTGGGATCCTACATGGTTAACGCCCACAGGCCTTCTTTCCCTTCCCCAGTTCTTGCCTGCAGAGGGGATAACAACTGGTGACTGAACCCCAGGATCTGTCCCTTTTACGGGATTCACTTTTTTGTTGTTTTTTTGAGACAGAGTCTCGCTCTGTCGCCCAGGCTGGAGTGCAGTGGCGCGATCTCGGCTCACTGCAAGCTCCGCCTCCCAAGTTCACGCCATTCTCCTGCCTCAGCCTCCCAAGTAGCTGGGACTACAGGCGCCCGCCACTACGCCCAGCTAGTTTTTTGTATTTTTAGTAGAGATGGGGTTTCACCGTGTTAGCCAGGATGGTCTCGATCTCCTGACCTCGTGATCCACCCGCCTTAGCCTCCCAAAGTGCTGGATTACAGGCGTGAGCCACCGCGCCCAGCCGGGATTCACATATTAGACCACAGCAGGCAACTACCTTCCATTGCCTGGCAGCCCTCAGTGACTCTGGGATGCACACCTGGGCAGCCATTCCAGAAGGTCCTGATACCAGGGTTCAGTGGCAGCCCCTGGCCAGGGGGGCTGCATGGAGATGCCTCTGCAGCAGGGCTCGAATGCACCCAGCTCGTCCTAACACTATCTTCCTTTACACAACAGCAGAGCATCTCCCTGGGGCTCTCTTACCACTCCTCGTTCAGCCCCACCCCTTCCTTCTGATGCCCCCAGCTCCCCTCAGGCCCCATCCTGTGCTTACTATCAGCAAGCCTCCACCTCAGCTAGTGTCAAAATCCCATCACAACACAAACGCCTCCCCCTGCTCCTCTATGGAGCGGTTATGGACTCTGCATCTTAACAGGACACCCAAAGACTTAAGAGCCTGAGAATTCCAAACGTGACCCTTTGAGGGGCCGTACTGACTGCATACCCAGCTGCCTATGCCTAGAGCCTCCTGTGGAGGGAGCGCAACAGACCACCCTGTACCAAGGTGCACCAGCACTCCATGGGCTGGGTATGTCTAAGTGAGGGCCACAACTTGGGAACCGGAGACCTGGGGCTTCAGCAATGCTTTGCTTTGGCTCACTGGGAACTGGAAGAGGCACGCAGAGAGAGGAAGAGAGGTCGCTGCACCACAATATCAAATGAGAACCAGGAGACAGAGTTAGGCTGTGTGTGGAACATAAGGGGGTGGAAGTGAGGAGACGACCCTTTTCCAAAAACAAGATGATCACATCCTACTATGGGCAAGACGCAGCCATGGACCCTGCCAGGGGCTTTATATTGTCTCTAACTATTGTACACAGATTAGCAAAGGGCAGGTGGGCAGTGACGTCGGGAGGTCATTCCCCAGAGGCACTGAAAGCCCAGCCTCTCTCCTCCTCCATGGCAGAAGCTAGAGGGGAACAGGGATCACAGGGATCGAATGAACCCTCCGGGAAAAGAAGGCCAGGGATCACTTTCTTTTTTCTTTTTTTTGTTTTTGAGACAGAGTCTCACTCTGTTGCCCAGGCTAGAGTGCAGTGGCGCAATCTCAGCTCACTGTAACCTCCACCTCCCGGGTTCAAGCGATTCTCCTGCCTCAGCCTCCTGAGTAGCTGGGATTACAGGTACATGCCACCACACCCAGCTAACTTTTATATTTTTAGTAGAGATGGGGTTTCATCATGTTATCCAGAATGGTCTCAAACTCCTGACCTCAAGTGACCCGCCCATCTCAGCCTCCCAAAGTGCTGGAATTACAAGTGTGAGCCACCGCACCAGGCCATCACTTTCTGTCTTTATTTTTATTTTGCTTGTTTGTTTGGGCATTTCTGCAATTAGTGAATAAAATTAGTCTGGTTAAAGAATGACTGTTTATAAGCTTCTGATCAAAGTTTACTCCCTCTTTTTCTTCCTAGGAATAAAAACGGCCTCTTTGTCAGGGCTCAGCATCAATACTTACTGACAGCTGCCTGAGATAAGCAGGTTAACCTATTCTACACGCATTAAACATCCACAACTGTGTGCAAAGCCCCATCACGTGGGATCGAAGCCATCACTGCGCTGCTCAAAATGTGAGAGGAAGTTCCCCGAGATCTCTTACCGCTGCACACACTCCTTCACCACTTCATACTGGCCAATGGAAGCAGCTGTGTGAAGATCCAGGGGGACATCCAGCTCCTCCCCGCTGACCTGTGTCCCGAGCCCGTGCCACATGGACAAGCTGCGGTTCAGGAGTTCCGGCTCGCTGGCTTCATCGCTGAGCTCGGACATCACTGAGGAGGAAGGCCCAAGGGTTAGATCTTTCCTGGCTGGTTGTTCCAGGGCATGAAACAGGCTGGTCCTGCCCCTGCTACACCACTGCACTAGCAGACTGATAACCCAGTGCAGTCAACCCCGGGAGTAACTCAGACAAATTTATTTGCTGAAATAATGTATGCTTTGGGCAGTCCCAACCATGCTAAATCTGGTGAGCCTGCTATCACACCAGTAAAGAGGAGCACATATGGTGAGGCATTAACTGTGGAGTACCTGCTCCTCCTTCCAACCGCAGGCACCAGGTAAAAGAGAATTCTCCACCAACTCTAGGAACCTGACAACCTCTTGGATGGGCAGTGAAGAAATGCTAATTGGGTTGTTTAACCCAATCAGTTCCTTGATGTGGTGGGGAAGAACCCTGGATTTGGGGTTTGATCAAAATTCAGCTTGGACCCGGTGCGGTGGCTCACACCTGTAATCCCAGCACTTTGGGAGGCCAAGGTGGGCAGATCACTTGAGGTCAAGAGTTCAAGACCAGCCTGGCCAACATGGTGAAATCCTGTCTCTACTAAAAATACAAAAATTAGCTGGGCATGAAGGCCAGCTACTCGGGAGGCTGAGGTAGGAGCATCACTTGAACTGAGGAGGCGGAGGTTGCGGTGAGCCAAGATCACGCCATTGCACTCCAGCCTGGGAAACAGAGCAAGACTTTGTCTCCAAAAACAAAACAAAAAAAAAAAACAACAAAAAAGCAGCTCTGCTACTTAGCAACTCCAATCCCTAGTGCCTCACTGTCTAACGGGGACATATCTAAAAAGGCTGCTATTATGATACATAAAAGAATGGATAAACAAACGGTGGCACATCCATATAATGGATGCTACTCAGCATTAAACACAAGGATCCAACAGTTGACATGCAACACGTGAATGAATTTCAAATGATTTACGCTAAATGGAAGAAGCCTGCCTACAGTATAATTTCACTTACATGACATTCTGGAAAAGGCAAAATTAAAGGGTTGGAGGTTGGGGCAGAGAGGGAATTTGGGGGACGATAGACCTGTATGACTGTGACGGTGGATCTGTGACTCCATGCCTTTATGAAACCACAGAACTGAACACCAAAATGAATTTTACTGTATGTAAATTTTATTTATTTTTTTGAGACAGTCTCGCTCTGTTGCCCAGGCTGGAGTGCAGTGGCATGATTTCAGCTCACTGGAACCTCTGCCTCCTGGGTTTAAGGGCTTCTTGAGCCTCAGCCACCTGAATAGCTGAGATTACAGGTGTGCGCCATCATGTTAGGCTAATTTTTGTATTTTTAGTAGAGACGGGGGTTTCACCATGTTGGCCAGGCTGGTCTCGAACTCCTCACCTCAGGTGATCCGCCCGCCTCAGCCTCTCAAAGTCCTGGAAATATAGGCGTGAGCCACTGCACCTGGCCTGTAAATTTTAAATATAAATTAATTTTTCTGGAATGGTTATGAAATTGAAAATTTCAAAAAAGTAAAAATAAATTTTTCTGAAAAAAATAGAAAGCAATTCCCCAACAGACAAACCAGGATGTGACTGGTGGCACGCAGCAACCGTCAACTGAATAGGAATCCACTTAGGCATCCTTTGAAGAGAGAGCTATGGGGGGAAATATAACAGGCCGGTGAACTGGTGAGGTAACACTTTCCCCGAGATGGGCCTACATGGGTAACGGCACACCAGGAATCCCCAAATCAAGGCAAGGTCATCAGCTTCCTAGTAGAATCCTTAGGTACAAGAGTGCCAGGAAACAAGGGTAGGAAAGGGAGCAAAGGCGAAAACAAAGGCCTTGTCAGGTTGTGATGACCTACAGGTGCTATGGTAGTTAATAGATGCGATGAGGACCTCAGTTTCTATTAAAGAATGCTTCCAAGCCCCAGGTGACAGCCAAGATGGCTAAAGAAACAAGCCACCAATGTGGGAGACGAACACTTCACAGACCCTTGGTGAAGAGTGTGTGTAGGTGCGGTGGGGCAAGCAAAGCCCTCCTTCCTGGAGCCACCACCTCTTCAGCTAGCAGAGCCCAAGATCGTGCAGTGCCCTTCCCTCACTTTGCAGGTGAGAATCCCACCCTAACAGCCCTGGCCAACGAAGCCTGGATAAGAAACCAAACGAGCTGAGGGTCAGTTCAGAGTCCCTTCCATACCTCCCTCAAGCCTTCACTGGGCATGTCTCTTCCACGCCAAAGGCCTCCTGCAGGGTGAGGCCGTGTTCTCTATTTACTGGAGACTTGCATATCTGACATCCCCAGAGGTCTGAAGGACAATGAGAACCAGACCAAGCGTGACGGACCACTTGAGGCCAGGAGTTCGAGACCACCCTGGCCAAAATGGTGAACTCCCATCTTTACTAAAATTACAAAAATTAGCTGGGTGTGGTGGTGGGCGCCTGTAGTCTCAGTACTCAGGAGGCTGAGGCAAGAGAATCGCTTGAGCCTGGGAGGCGATTGCAGTGAGCCGAGCTCAAGCCACTGCACTCCAGCCTGGGCAACAGAGCGAAATTCTGTCTCAAAAAAAAAAACAAAAAAAAAACACTAAAGTGAAAACTAAAATGTCCCATCCCGAGTGGTGTGGTGTAAAGTAGCATTAGAGATAAGACGTTTTAGTTTTCATTCAACTTTTTGGTTCTGTCCATTCTGAAAATGCTAAGTATCTGTTACCTTTACAGTGAATCCTAAAGAAAATGTGGTACTTAGACACAATGGAGTACTATTCAGCCATAAAAAAAGAATGAGATCCTATCATTTGCAAAAACATGGATGGAAGCGGAGATCGTTATGTTTAGTGAAATAAGCCAGGCACAGAAAGATAAATATTGCATGTTCTCAATTATTTGTGGTTATCTAAAAATCAAAACAACTGAACTCATGGACATAGAAAGTAGAAGGATGGTTACTTCTAGTGTAACCAAGGCTGGGAAGGGTAGTGGAGGGTGGGGATGCTTAATGGATACAAAAAAAACAGAATGAATAAGATCTAGTATTTGATCAAGCCACTGCACTCCAGCCTGGGCGACAAAGCGAGACTCCGTCTCAAAAAAAAAAAAAAAAAAAAAAAGATCTAGTATTTGACCGCACAACAGGGTGACTATAGTCAATATAATCTAATTGCACATTTTATTTATTTATTATTATTTTTTTTGAGACATAATCTCACTCTGTTACCCAGGCTAGAGTGCAGCGGCGTGATCTCGGCTCAATGCAACCTCCGCCTCCTGGGTTCAAGCGATTCTCCTGCCTCAGCTTCCCGAGTAGCTGAGATTACAGGTATGAGCCACCATGCCAGCCTAGTTTTCGTATGTTTAGTAGAGACGAAGTGTCCCCATGTTGGCCAGGCTGGTCTCAAATCCTTGACTTCAGGTGATCCGCCCGCCTTTGCCTCCCAAAGTGCTAGGATTACAGGCGTGAGTGAGCCACCGCGCCCGGCTGCACATTTAAAAATAATTCAAAGAGTATAATCATATTGTTTGTAACACAAAGGATAAATGCTTGAAGGGATGGAGACCCCCATTTTACATGTGATTATTACGAACTGCATGCCTGTATCAAAATCTCTCATATACGCCATAAATATATACACCTACTACGTACCCACAAAAATTAAAAAATTTTTAAAAATCTTAACAAATGTGATGCTGGTGGTAACTGTCACGCCCACAGAGGAGGTCTGTGAAAGCACCCAGGCACCCCCTCTCGCCCCGTGGAACCGCATCGCAAAGGTAGCTCACTGGCCCCGGGGCGGGTCCCTGGCCGACAAACCCGTAACTCACAGCAGTGACGCTTCCCGACGCCCCCCGGCCACATCCCCACAGGAACGCTACGGCGCACAGGGCATTACTGTGCCCCCACCACAACCACATAAAGAAAATGTGGGGGCTCGGTCCTCCAGTCACGCGGCGAGCAAGTGCAGCGCGGGACGCCCGAGCGCCGGGTCTAGGCGGGCTGCAGGTGCCGGCAAGTGCTGGGGCCGGGCCGCCGCGGAACCCACCTGTGCTGGGCCTCAGGCCTTGCGCCGCCCTCGGGCTGCCGTCGCCAACCCCCCCCAAACAGCTCGCCGCCACGCTCCCTCGCCGGGGCACCGCCCCCGGCACCCGCCCCGGAAGTAGTTGCGGGAGGGCGCGGAGCACGCCGGGAAGCTCGCGGGTCGGCACCGGGACAGCTCCCGGGCGCCGTGGAATGCACACGTCCCGCACCCGGACCTTCCGGTCAGCTTCCCGGCTCGCTGTCTGATGCCCGCGGTAGCCAATGAGCTAGTGGTGTTTGTCCTGCTCCGTCCCCGCCCTCCAGGGGAACCAATCCCATTGCAGGAGAGGCAGGACGCGCAAAGGCCCGAAAGAGGAGCTGGGCGGGGTGGGGGGAAGGCGGAGGCAGTCTAGTAATGTAAAGCTCCGCTGAGAGGGAGAGTGCTGAAGAAGGGGACAGCCTCTGTACCTGCGGCGCGGCCCGAGGGGCGGACGCGAGCGGAGTGACGCGCTGGAGGCTGTTTATAGCGCTGTCAGGACAGCGCGGGGAGTGGAGGCAGAGGCCTGAGGTGAGGGGCCTCGGGCCTGCTGCGCCTGCAGGGAGTTGAACAAAACGCGGGGAAATACGGGCTGGGGGTGGGTGAGAGGAGGAGCGATGGGCTTTCCACTTCCACAGCTTTAAAATTTAAAAGCTCGACCCGGGAGGCTGTTGGCGTCTGGTTGCCATAACAACCGGCAGCCTCGTGGCAGGCCGGCTGGGGGCGGGGCTCTGAGAACCGGGGCGGGGCTGTGGCGGGGCTAACAGGCTGCAGCTGAGAAACCCACCCCGAGACGGAGCCGGAAGGCCGTTATTCAGAGGCGGCTCCGAGCCTCCCCTTCGCCTTCTGGATGCTCTGAGCTCCTCAACTTGGCGTTCAGGGCCCTGCATTGTCTGGTCCGTTTTCACCGGAGAGTCCAGCAACTGACACTTTCTTCCCTTAAACCTGTTGGGCGGTTCATTCCTTTGAGCTACTGTACATGCTCTTCCTTCTGCCGGTAATGCCGTTCCCTCCCCTATTGTCTTGTCCGCCTGAAGGGTTTATCAGAGTCTCTGGAGGCCCTCTTCATCCCGACGATTCTGTTGCCCTAAGAAATACTGTGCCCTGAATTGCGGAACAGAGCTCTAGTTACAAAAAACACCCGCTGGCTGTGTGCACCAGATGCGTCCCCAACCCGCTGCTCCCAGTTCAGAGTGCACCAAGCACCTGCCCTATTCCCAGAAGTACAGAGGAAGCAAGCAGCCCCCAATTCACATCTCCTGCCGCTGCCCTGATTGGGGATGAACGGGCACTGACTGCAGGGCCAAAGCCACAGCGGCCTCTCGAGCTGCAGAGTTCTCCTGACACTGGCTCTAGAGGACCCTCACCCCCCAGCTCTCAAGCTCAAGCTCCCCAGCCCCCTGAATAACAGGACCATCTCCTTTAAGACTCTAAGATATAAATGCAGGGGCTGGTCAGAGTAGTGACTCCAAAAAAAAAAAAAAATCACTTAGTGACTCCAAACTGTCAGCCAGGCGCGATGGCACATGCCTGTAATCCCAGCACTTTGGGAGGCTGAGGCAAGAGGATCACTTGAGGCCAGGAGTTTGAGACCAGCCTGGGCAACAGGGAGACTCCATCTCTACAAAAAATAAAAATGTTAGCCAGATGTGGTGGTACACACCTGTAGTCCCAGTTATTCAGGAGGCTGAGGTGGGAGGATCACTTGAGCTCAGGAGGCCGAGGCTTCAGTGAGCTATCATTGTACCACTGCACTCTAGCCTGGGCGACAAAGCCAGACCCTGTCTCCAAAACAAAAAAGCAAGGTGTCTTCTGTTCCTTGGTAAAGGGCAGTAAAGGGTAGTAGGACTTGAAATTCCCCCTGATTCAGAGTCCACTGTTGCTATTTACTAAACACCCTGAGCCTATGAAATGAAGAGAATAGTTATGCTATATGGGGTATATATAAAATATACCTATATATCATTATATATCGTACATATGGCATTCTATATAACATGTACATATATCTACATAGGTATATTTATATCAATACATATATTTGTATATTATTATGTATATATCACTATATACATTATATACCTGCAGGCTCCACATGTGTGCATGAGTGGGAACACACACACACACGTACACACACAGTGCCTGGCACTAACAGGAGCTTGCATAACTAGAAGGAAACTGAGGCAGGTGGTGAGGCCTGCCAGCCTGTTTGGTCTCCTACAGCTGGTAGAGCAGCCCCTGCTCTCCTGACCTTCAGTGGCCCGGACCCTCTTCCATCACCCTGTGTACCCCACAGAGCTCCCCGGATTATGGTGCACTGAGAAGGCATCTGGAAGCCTGGGCCCTCATGGCATCCAACGATAAAGGCATGGCACCCTCGCTGGGCTCTCCCTGGGCCTCCCAGATGGGGCCCTGGGATGCCATCCTCAAGGCTGTCAAAGACCAGCTCCCGTCTCTGGACTCAGACTCCCCTTTGGTAAGCAAGAACTCTCTCCCTGGATGCCTTGTCCTTCCTACCAGAGCAGGCATGACGCTGGCCAGGACAGCTTTGGAGCACTTCTCTGAAGACTTTTCCTGCTGACCTGTGCAGTTTGTTGTCATTTTACTTTAAATCGCATGGCCAGACTCAAAGTTGTGTTTTCTGGGTGCCTATTTCCTTCTTTACTCTTTCTTCTGCCTTGATTGTCATCTCTGAGCATGGGTATTGGTGCTCAGCATCTTGGGAGACCCTTTCAGTGGAGTTTTTGGTGCTGACTTGGAACCCAGGTCAATTTGATGCAGAAGCTCTGTCCTTTCCATTCTGCTATTCTCCACTCTCTCGTGCCAGGACAGGGCCAGAACACCCACTGAGAATGCACAATTCCAGTGCATTGTGATAAGCCTTCGAGGGATTCTGCATTTGTGGTTTGGGGTCCCTGAAATGGCTCTCAAAGACGCTCAGACCAATAGCCCTAGGTGCAGGCATAAGACCCTGCTAAAGATGCTCCTGGCGGGGGCTGCTCAGTGCACAGGTTGGCACTGGGCGTTAAGAGACAGTATGAGGGTTTTAAAAGGAACGGGCAGGGTTTGGGTCCTACCTGGGCACCAGCAACAGAGCTTCAGGGACCTCAGACGTCATCCAGTGCATGACGAGGCTAAGGAGAACCTAAGGGGACCCCACGCCTCAGTGCTCAGGGTGTTTTCACACCTTCAGTCTCATTTGAGAGTATGAGCCCCAACCCCTTCAAGAAGACAAACTAAGCTGTGTAAGTGATGGCTCAGGGTCACAGGGGATGGGGAGGGCTGGACCCTGCTCTTTCAGCTACCACCTCACTGCCCTGTTCATGTCACGAGGCATTAATGAAGCACCTGCTGTATGCGAGGTACTTGCAGAACCAGGAGCCCCAGTCTCACCTCCACGAGGTTGTGCTGCCAAGCCCATTTCTAAACGGTGGCAAGAAGCCGCGCACAGCAAGGCTGACTGGGAGAGAACCGGATCTCCCCCAGGCTCCTGAGCAGCAGGGCTGGACGGGCTGGATGGGCTGGGCGGGCTGGGCTGGAAGTGAGAGTGGAGAGTGGAGAGCGGGGGTGGCTAGGCCCTCAGGGCTCTGCCTGCTGCCTTGTCCTCCAAAAGCCCTCTCATTTGTCCACAGTCGGACTATGGGGAAGAGGAGCTGTTCATCTTCCAGCGAAACCAAACCTCCCTGATTCCAGACCTGTCGGAGGAGCTGGCTGAAGATCCTGCCGATGGCGACAAGTCCAGGGCCTGGGTCGCTGCAGCTGAAGAGTCCCTTCCCGAGGTCTGTGGGACACAGAAGAGTATACGCCTGTGTGTGTGCGATGTTAGTCTAAACTGACTGGTCTAAACCACTGTTCTAGCATTTCCACGATATGCTAGAACATGGTCCTTTTTTTTTTCCCCCATGTACAACCCAAGGTATTCAGATGCCCAACATCTAACCTCCACGCACCTCCCTCTCCTGGGGAGCCCGGCACCTTAGGGCTGGCATGCACGCTTGATTTTCCATCCGATTTTGACCCTTCTCTTCTTCTTGATCGCTCCTATCCTGTTCTCTACCATGGCATCCTGAATAGCTTCTGGCCATTGTCACAACTGCTTGTCCTAATTGTCTCTCCCTTAACCCAGCTGGCTTCATGGCTACCTGGCTCATCCCAGCACCTGGCGAGTACACAGGAACTCTGGTTTACTAAACTGCTAAACTACACTGCTACAGGCTACAGTGGGGAGTGGGAGGGAGGAAGATGGCCCATCAGTGCCTGAGCAAGCACACAAGCTGGACCTCGTGGGAGGGACAACCCAGGAGACAATGAGCAAATGTGGACTAAGCGTGCCAACGCAGGCCTGTGTTGCCAGTGCTGGAGGCTGAGACAGAGGTTCCCATGAGGCCAGGAGTTTGAGACCAGCCTGGGCAATACAGCAAGACCCCATTTCTGGCTGAGCACAGTGGCTCACGCCTGTAATCCCAGCATTTTAGGAGGCCAGTATGGGTGGATCACTTGAAGTCAGGAGTTTGAGACCAGCCTGGCCAACATGGTGAAACCCTATCTCTACTAAAAATAAAAAAATTAGCTGGGCATGGTGGCAGGTGCCTGTAATCGCAGCTACTCCAGAGGCTGAGACAGGAGAATCGCTTGGACCCGGGGGAGCAGAGATGGCAGTGAGCCAAGATCACACCACTGCACACTCCAGCCTGGGCAACAGAGTGAGACTCCATCTAAAAAAAAAATAATAATAAAGAAAAGAAAACAGTGTAGAGGCACTAACCCACTTCCAAAATGGAGACGGGGCCTAGCTCCAGCGTAACTTCTCTCAGGTGTTCTGCTGAGAACAATTAACCTACTGAATGGGAGGGCATGGGCACCGAACCAGATCATCTCCCAGAACCAGGACATGCACCCACCCATCACCTTGAAGGAAATCTCCCATCAGCCCAGCCATTCCTAGACCTAGGTTTGAAATAACCCCACACAAGAGAGATCCCCAGGGCAGCTAAGAACTCTGGTGGGTTCAGGTGGAACAATTTGCATGTGATTTTATTTTGCTGCTTCATTTTTACAATCAATTACTTCAGAAACTCTTCTGGATGATTTTTTCTTGTTTTTTTTTTTTTTTTTTTTTGTAATGTGGGATCTCTACTAAAAAATTAGCTGGGTGTGATGGTGTGCCTGTGGTCCCAGCTACTCAGGATGCTGAGGTGGAAGGATGACTTGTACTCTAGCTTGGGGTATGAATTTCTGAGCCCCAACATTATCATGATTGATAATTTAAATATTGTTTCATTGCTGTAACAGTGCATTCCACTCTAGCCTTGTATTTAAATAGCAGGATGCCTCAGTGGTGCTGTCTTTAGCCAGCCCATATTCAACAGTAGCTTTCCAACTTTTTTTTTTTTTTTTTTGGGACAGGATCTTGCTGTGTCACCCAGGCTGGAATACAATGGTGCCCTCACTGCTCACTGCAGCCTCCACCTCCCGGGCTGAAGCGATCCTCCCACTTCAGCCTCCCAAGTAGCTGGGATTACACGCACGCCACTGTGCTGGCTCATTTTTGTATTTTTAGTAGAATGAAGTGTGCAGTTAAAAATGGTTAAAAGAGGTCAGGCACAGTGGCTTGTGCCTGTAATCCCACCACTTTGGGAGGCTGAGGCAGGAAAGATAGCTTGAGGCCAGGAACTTGAGACAAGCCTGGAAGACCAACTATGTTGTAGAGACTCTGTCACTACAAAATAATATTAAAAAAAATTAACTGGGCCTAGTAGTATGTGCCTGTCATCCTAGCTACTTGGGAGGCTGAAGTGGGAGGATCGCCTGGGCCAGGGAAGTCGAGGCTGCAGTGAGCTATGATCGCACCACTGCACTGCAGCCTGGGCAACAAAGCGAGACTTCACCTCAAAAAAAAAAAAAAAGTACATATTTTTCTATGAAAAACATTCCCTGAAGCATGTTTTTGAGGATGCTAACTGAACATACCTGTTTTCTTGACAGCCAGTTCTGGTGCCTGCAGAATTGGCCACAGAACCTGGGTGCAGACAGAACACAAGGACAAAGGATGCATCCTCTCAGGAAGGAAGAGACCCTGGCAGGCCTTTTGAAAGCTCTGGTGAGGTCAGCGCTCTTCTTGGGATGGCCGAGGAGCCCCCCAGGTGGCTGGAAGGCGACCTTGGAAGCCTGTCTTTCAACACCAAAGGATCCCAGGGTCCTCCCTGGGACCCACAGGCCGAAGCCACTCTCTCCTGCCATGAAGGAGACCCAAAGGCAGAGCCCCTCAGCACTGCCTCACAAGAATCTGTGAACCGCCGGGCCCTCCGACAGGAGAGAAGGAAGATGATAGAGACGGACATCCTCCAGAAAGTCACCCGGGATGCCTGCGGCCCGACCAGCAGTGACAAAGGTGGGGTGAAGGAGGCGCCCTGCCACGCTGCGGAGTCAGCTCCCAGATCCAAAATGCCCCTCGTGGAGCCTCCGGAGGGACCACCAGTGCTCTCGCTCCAGGTAGGCGCCTCCCCGTGCCTGGCTGTTTCTCAGGCCTGTTACCTGTGGCATGGCTGCTGTTCCCATGCACTGGAGCTAGAAGCAGCTTGAGGGCTGGCCCACTAGGACCTTAGGCCCATTATCCACCATTCTGTGTACCTGTCTCAGTAGAGGGGTGGAGGGTCCCAGCAGAGCACATCCTGGGGGAGGGTTAACAAGAACAAAGAACAAGCAGGGCCTGCCTTCCTTAAAGAGAGAAAAGGAGGCCAGGCACAGCGGCTCGCACCTGTAATCCCAGCACTTTGGGAGGCCGAGGCGGGAGCCCCGGAGTTCAAGACCATCCTGGTCAACACAGTGAGACCCTCATCTCTAAAAAAAAAAGAAATCATCCTGGCTAACACGGTGAAACCCCATCTCTACTAAAAATACAAAAAAAAAAAAAATAATTAGCTGGGTGTGGTGGCGGGCGCCTGTAGTCCCAGCTACTCAGGAGGCTGAGGCAGGAGAATGGCGTGAACCTGGGAGGCGGAGCTTGCAGTGAGCCGATATCGCACCACTACACTCCAGCCTGGGTGACAGAGCGAGACTCCATCTCAAAAAAAAAAAAAAAGAAAGAAAGAAAGAAACAAAGAAAGAAAGAATGTATAAATTTAAAAAGAGAGAGAAAAAAGGAATTCCACTCCCGAGGATGTTCATAAATACATATAGCCATATCTAAAATATAGAACCTGGTTCTGTCAAAGCCTGATCTCAAAATATGAAAGCCCTCATTCTCATAAACTAGTGAGCACCTGTTAAAAAGTTGTATTTAGTGCATTAATGAGGGAACCAGCAGGATGACAGTGCCGGTTTAATGAGATCATAAGAAACTGGGATTTTGGCCAGGTGTGATGGCTCACGCTTGTAATCCCAGCACTTTGGGAAGCCAAGGCAGGAGGAAAATCTGAGGTCAGGAGTTCGAGAGCAGCCTGGCCAACATGGTGAAACCGTGACTCTATTAACAATACAAAAATTAGCCAAGTGTGGTGGTGCGCGCCTGTAGTCCCACTATTTGGGAGGCTGAGGCAGGAGAATCGCTTGAACCCAGGAGATGGGGATCACGCCCCTGCACTCCAGTTTGGGTGACAGAGCGAGACTCCATCTCAAAAAAAAAGAAATTGGGATTTTGTAAAACACTGGGGAAAAAGAGAGGAATGCAGAGATACGCTTGTCACATTCATGTCCTAGAGGAGTTATCTTGTCTACTGGACAGAAAAGTAACCATCACACCGTCTCGGTTTTACACATTTTGGATAATTTTTCTTAACAGGTTAGAGAAAACTGGCACCAGGTATACACAGAAGTCATCTTTACTACTGTTTAAATCAACCGTTCTTTCTGCTCACCTAAAAACTTATTTTTCTCCACTTAGAGGGCTGCAAAGAGTTGAAAGGTCATATGATAAACATGAATTCTTGATTAATTTCCTCCCTCCTCCTCAGACTCACTCTGCCCCTAAGCACTCACTGCCAAGCCTTCCAGTTTTAGCTCCTGCCTGGAACAGCTTGATTCTTAAAAGAACAAAATTTTTTAACCTCCAAACATTGTGAACCTGTATGAACCTAAATAGTGTTTCTGAAAACAACACAGGGTTTGGCTGGGCTCGGTGGCTTATGCCTGTAATCACAACATTTTGGGAGACCCAGGCAGATGGATTGCTTGAGGTCAGGCATTCAAGACCAGCCTCGCCAACATGGTGAAACCCCATCTCTACTAAAAACACAAAAATTAGGCTGGGCGTGGTGGCTCACACCTGTAGTCTCAGCACTTTGGGAGGTGAAGGCGGAGGTGGAGGCAGGTGGATCACCTGAGGTCAGGTGTTTGTTCGAGACCAGCCTGGCCAACATGGTGAAACCCCATCTCTACTAAAAATACAAAAAAAAAAAAAAAAAAAATGAAGGGTGTGGTGGCGCATGCCTGTAATTCCAGCTACTTGGGAGGCTGAGGCAGGAGAATCACTTGAACCTGGGAGGTGGAGGTTGCAGTGAGCTGAGCTCGCACCACTACACTCCAGCCTGAGCGACAGAGTGAGACTCGGTCTCAAAAACAAAACAAAATGAAACAACAATACAGGGTTTCCTTCGGGTCAGACAACGTCTTTGTGCCAAAAACAAAAGTGAAGTACTGATCCCCAAGAAAGCATAGGAAGGAGGTGGCAAAGTGCAGGCCCACCTTAACGGAGGCGTTCAATCTGTAATGGAAAGGCGGGGTCAGCCTATTTGCAAACTCTGTCATGCACTGAATTCCTGATTTCTACCCCCAACATCCTGTGACCATCTCCATGGGTCACAGCAGCTGTGAAGCAGGTACTTGTGCCTCTGGGACCCCTCAGCATCCTCATAATCACTGGTTTTAATGATTTCAGCAACTTGAAGCGTGGGATTTGGATGACATCCTTCAGAGTCTGGCGGGACAAGAAGACAACCAGGGAAATCGTGCACCTGGAACTGTGTGGTGGGCAGCTGACCACCGCCAAGTTCAAGGTCTGACCTTGAACACTGGAGCCCACGTGAATCCCCACAAGCAGCACCTTCCTGGGCCCCTCAGACACAGAGGGCTGCAGGCTGGTCACAGACAGTCCTGCAGCCCACACAAGTCTTCCCTGCTGGCCCCGCCCTAAACACTCATGCTGCCAGTCCCCAAAAGACTTCATTCATTCAACATATATGTGACCGCCTGCTACGTGCCAGGCGTGGGCCAGGTCCTAGGGACAAAGGAGAGGCCTCCGCACCCCACCCCATGACCCATACCTCCTCTTCCCCACCTCCCTGGGCCAGCCTGCCTTCCTTCTCCCTCCTCCTCCTTCCTGGGGGAAGGAAGCCCCACCTTCTGTGCGCAGTCAGCTCCTAAGCACGCTCCCGCTTCCCCTGGCCTCCCCATTTAAAAAGGGAGGCAAAGGATGTCACCACTGTCACTACACTCATGGCTTTGCTCTGGGAAGTCCTGCAAATAAAATGAAAGTTCTCCAACCCCTCCCTATCCACTCGGGCCACAAAGGCGAGGGGAGGCAGGTCTGAGGCAGAGGAGCCAGGGCAGGTGCGGCGCTTCCGCCTCTGGTCCCAAAGCAAAGACTCCCCTGTGACTGACAGCCCGTGTTATGTTAAATACATTTTGTTGGTTTGTAATTCAAATCCCATAAAGCAGGAGGTAGAGAGCCAACCATTCTGGAGGACATGTGTGTGCATGTGTATGTGTGTGTGTAACTGGCACTCCCTTTGTGGAGGGGAGTAGGGCAGAATGTATTCTTTTTTTTTTTTTTTTTTTTTTTTGAGACAGAGTTTCACTCTTGTTGCCCAAACTGGAGTGCAATGGCACGATCTCGGTTCACTGCAACCTCCACCTCCCGGGTTCAAGCGATTCTCCTGCCTCAGCCTCCTGAGTTGCTGGGATTACAGGCACGTGCCACCACGCCTGGCTAATTTTTTTTGTATTTTTAGTAGAAACGGGATTTCACCATGTTAGCCAGGCTGGTCTCGAACTCCTGACCTCAGGATCCGCCTGCCTCAGCCTCCCAAAGTGCTGGGATTACAGGCGTGAGCCACCGCGCTTGGCCGAATGTATTCTCTGTTTTAAAGGCACATAACCCTTTAATCAAGCTATTGCAATTAGAAAATCTGTCTTACACTCTGACTCTAGTAGGTAAAGATGTGTGTTCAGAGCTGTTTGCTGCAGTGTTGTTTAAAAATCTGAAAAGCTGGAAACAACCCATATTCAGGAGGAGTCCAGCTAGATCGTTTTAGCACAGAATACACTGCGGCTCGATGAGGGGATCTCCGTAGGTTAACGTGGAAGCATGTAATATACAAAGTGAAAAAAGTGAAGTTGAAAAAAAACCTATAGAGGATGACCCTATTTTTTTTTTAAGTCAACACACAGAACTGTTCATTATGATCACCTGTGACAAGTGGGACCGGGGTGTGAGGAAGTGGGATAAACTTAAAAATACGTCACTCCTACTTCACCAAGCCCTTGTGCCACAGGCCCTGCTCATAAAGATTCTGCCCCCCTCAGCCCTGCTGAGCTAGAGGTGGAGTCCTCAGAGGGCTGAGTAGGGAGAGGGCTGGGCGGGGGCAGTGGAGGAGCCTGAGGTCCATTCACATGTGGAGACCCCAGGGGTCCTGAGGCTCCAGCTGCTGTAAGTCACAAGTGGGCCAAGTCCCCACTAATCAGCCTCTCCTTTGGCCATCCTCAGACCGCATGGTGCCGAGCGCCCACAACAGGCTCATGGAACAGCTGGCCCTCCTGTGCACCACGCAGTCCAAGGCCTCTGCTTGTGCCCGGAAGGTGCCTGCCGACACTCCCCAGGACACCAAAGAGGCAGATTCAGGAAGCAGGTGGGACTTGTAGCCAGGCCCGGCTCCTGTGGTCCTTTAGAATGGCCCCATGGTTTTGTAGCACTGACTGGGCCTACCAAGGGCGGGGCACTCCATGTGCATTTTCTCAGTCACTCTCAAGCATCTGATCAGGCAGTCGCTCCAGTCATCCCCATTTTAGAGATGGGGAAACCAAGGCTCAGAGAGGTTGACTCTCTCTGGCCATAAATGGCAGGGCTGGGACTCAAGCCCTCAAGTACCTGCTCTTTCCCCAAACCCAACGGGAACCCTCCTTTCAATGGGAGGCCATGAGGCCTCCCTGAGAGTAGGAAGGTTATCATGTGACCCTGCCCCTCTGGCCACAGCTGATTGGTCCAGCTCTGGGCATGTGACCCCAGCTGCGGGATTTTTCAATCTCTGTGTCTCTGTGTAGGGGTGGAAGGGCAACAGCCACCTGTCCTGCCACAGGGAGAAAGGCAAGCTGCAGTGAAGCTGGGAGAGGCAGAGGTGGAGGCAGGGCCCCAGGGTCCCGTAAGGCCCCTCTATATGCCTGCCCTCCCCACACTTTGGTTGCTCCGCACTTGAGGAATCTGAGAACCAGTGAATCCCTTTTCACCTGACCAGCAGTGGGTTTCTGTGTCTGGAAACCAAAAGTACCTAACAGAAGTGGCTACACCTGGCTGGGCGCGGTGGCTCATGCCTATAATCCCGGCACTTTGGAAGGCCGAGGCAGGCAGATCACCTGATGTCAGGAGTTCGAGACCAGCCTGGCCAACATGGTGAAACCCCATCTCTACTAAAAACACAAAAAAATTTTCCAGGCATGTTGGTGCATGCCTGTAATCCCAGCTACTTGGGAGGCTGAGGCAGGAGAAATCTCTTGAACCCAGGAGGCGGAGGTTGCAGTGACCAAGATCATGCCACTGCAGTCCAGCCTGGGCGACAGAGCAAGACTCTGTCTCAAAAAAAAAAAAAAAAAGAAAAAGAAAAAGAAATGGAGAGAACTGCAGTGTTAACCATGGCAGCCATTAGCCGTGTGTGGCTACTAAACACCTAACGTGGTGAATGTGACTGAGGAACTGAATGTTTTATGCATTGGATTTAAACTGGCTTAAATGTAAACTTAGCCACTTGTGCCAAGTGGCTACACTTACCACAGATAGAGAGCATGTCCATCATGAGGGACGTTCTGTTGGCCAGTGGTGGCCTAAATCTCGCATGCTGTTCTGAAGAGTAAAAGAGCAAATGTGTTTAATGTGCCCGTCTGTAGAGAGTGGGCACTCACTGGGTGGCAGCCACGAGCACTGTGACTGGACAAACCCAGCGCAGGTCACAGAGTTATCACAGAGAACTGACTCCACAACACCTGCTTTTCTCATTTCAGATGTGCCTCAAGGAAGCAGGGCTCCCAGGCTGGGCCAGGCCCGCAGCTGGCCCAGGGCATGAGGCTTAACGCAGAGTCCCCCACCATCTTTATTGACCTGCGGCAGATGGAGCTACCAGACCACCTGTCCCCAGAAAGGTCCGGAGGGCAGTGACTACCCCATACCAGCCTCTACTTTGCAGAGTTGCCTGTTGACCGCACAGAGCCTCTGGTGGATCCTGATGGGGAGGAACAGGGACTTCAAAAGGCTTGGATCAATTCTCAATTGAAAAGTGCTGGCCTACAGTCCCCCTGGGTCCCTGCAGGGAGGGAAGAGGGGCATGAGGCACACCTCCTCGGGCTGGGCTCTATGCAATAGAGCCCAACACGTCTAGGCTGGAGGGCATCACCCACACCTGTCCTCACCTCCTGGCAGGACGTCCACCGGCCTCCAGTGTGGCTGCTGACCTCTTGCATTGGGTCACCAGCAAAGCCCGAGTGCTTCAAGCCCCAACAAGAGTTGGAACACCAGGTGGAGTGGGCACATCCAGAAACCCATTTCTCTCCCTGCAGCTCCAGCCACAGCTCCTCTGACAGTGAGGAGGAGGAGGAGGAAGAGATGGCAGCTCTGGGAGACGCAGAGGGGGCATCTCCTTCCTCCCTGGGGCTACGGTAACCACCCAGGGGCCTCTCGCCACCTGCAGATGTCCCACCTCTGCTTTCTGCAGCAAGCCCTCCACCTGGCACATTTACCGCCTGTGGTGAGGTCTTGCTGCACCCACCGCACAGGGTGAGGGGGACGGCACAGCTTTCATCATCCTGCCCACGTCCACTGGGTCCCAGCAGTGGCAGCAGTGATGGGCTGCCTGAATTGCATTCTTGCTCTGAAATGGGAGCTGGGCTCATCTGCTTTTCTCCTGTTTCAGTAAGGAGGGCTGGGAGGGGCGGCCCCCACGGGGTTGAGTGAATTTGGTCTCATTGTGTCACAGGACCTGTACCGGGAAAAGCCAGCTTCTCCAGCAGCTCAGGGCCTTTCAGAAGGGGACAGCCCAGCCCGAGCTGCCTGCCAGCAAGGGGCCCGCGGGTGGGAGGGCTCAGGCCCCTGAAGACACAGCTGGATCACGAACTGGGAGGAAGCAACACATGAAGCTCTGTGCCAAGGGGCAGAGCGCCCAGGCTCGACTCCCAAGAGGCAGGCCCAGAGCCCTGGGGGATGTTCCTGAGCCAGGGGCAGCCAGGGAGGCCCTGATGCCTCCTCTGGAGCAACTATAGCTGCCTCAGGTAGTGGGATCCCAGGAGTGGGCAGGGGCGGGCTGACTTGCCATGGACCCTGGGCCCCGGTGTCCCCTTGTTGTTCCTGCATTTCCACTAGCAGGGGCATTCCAGAGGCAGGGACCCTCAGACTTTGGACTGTTGCCCACCCTGTTAGAGCTCAGTCACAGGTGCATGAACTTAGAGGAAGGATGCAGATACAAATCTGTATGTAACCTGTGACAACAGCTTTGGGATAAAGGGGCCTGGTCCTCTGAGGGAGATGGGCAGGGACAGCAGGAGGACGGGGTGCTGCTCTCTGCGGGACTCTGAGGCTCTTCATCTTTCTCCAGTTCTGCATTTTTTTAAACAGGCATCTATTATTTCCATCAATAAGGTCTTTTTAAAAACCAAGTAAAACGTATTTAGAGGATTTTAGGGTTGAAAGAGACCTAAGCCTTATTTTCTGGCTTCCTGCATACTTGCTATTTTGGGCACCTAAATTAACACACGACACACACATGCCTACCCACACAGATCTAATACACGTGGTTTTTTCTCTTTTCGAGACGCAGCAGCTGGGACTACAGGTGCACACCACCATGTCCAGCTAATTTTTTTTTTTTTTTTTTTTGTAGAGATGGGGTCTCACGGTGTTGCCCAGGTTGGTCTGGAACTCCTCTCAATCCTCCTGCCTAGGCCTTCCACAGTGCTGGGATTATAGCACTGTGAGCTGCCAGCCTGGCTTTTAATGAACTTTTTGAAAGAGGAGTAACGAGAATTTGCTTTCTCTTTCTCTTCTTTACCTAAGATAGAAAGGCACACATAGATTCTCAAGGCCTTTGACCTTTATGAATCTAGACAGAATACTGGAAACCCCTGGAAATGCTGTCCTGTGTAGAATGGAGCAGCGGCCTCACTTGTTGATCACCAGCAAAAACTGGGGACATCTGCTTGCCCCCTGCCAAGACCCGGCCCCTCCACAGGACAAGCCTGGTCTTCCTGGGTCCTGTTCCTTTGCCAGCACCGTCTTGCAGCCCCGTCTTCACGGGATGCTTTTGTAACTGCTGTGATCAGCCCTGACCTGGGCACCTGTTTGTCTCCCCAACCTTGTCTCCAGGATGTGTCCTGCTGTCTGCCCCGTGGGAAGAGCAGAGAAATCATCACCACCTTGGGCCCCACGGTGCCACGGGCTCAGGCAGCACAGTAGGGCGCCGGGCCTTTGGGACAGTGTCCCAGCTTCCCCTGGGGTTCACCCCTGGCTGCCAGGCCACTGAGGATGGGCAGGGGTCTCTTCTCATCAAGCCTTGTACCAGGCAAAAGACAGGCCCTGCTTGGCCGTGGTCACTGGCCGCCAAGATCAGGGCTACAGATGTCTGCTCTCTGGACCCCACGTGATCTGGCCACTGGGGACCCCCACCCGACCCCACTCCCAATGATGAGGGGCATTTTCATTGCAAGTCAAAGGCAAGACAGGCTTCCATAAAGTCCCAGGAGGTCCCTCCTGTAGGGCACAAGGCCAGGCTGCCTCCCAGCCCCCAGGCCCTCTCCCACCTACAGAGACCCTCCCCTGCCCCCTCCACTCCGGGGCCTGTGCCGCCAGAACCGGGCTCTGCCCCCATACGCTGCCCTCGCAGCCTGGCGGCCTCCGCTGTGGCTGCCTAGCTGTCAAGAGCAAAGGCTTTTTTTTTCTTCAACCCCATTTTCTTCCATTTCTCCCACCTTTTTAATGCCAGTAACCTCACTGAGAATGTTTTACAGTGATGGAAAATAAACTCTGTTCCAAGTTCAACTCTGAATTACTGTGTCTGTCAAGGCAAGGGGAGTGAGGTAGGAAGTCAGACCTGCGTCCAAAGCTGGCTCTGCCACCTGGGCAAGGTTTTCACGCTCCCAGTGCCCAGTTCCTCCACCCACAGAAGGAGAATCATGGCCGGGCGCGGTGGCTCACGCCTGTAATCCCAGCACTTTGGGAGGCCGAGGTGGGTGGATCACAAGGTCGGGAGTTCAAGACCAGCCTGACCAACATGGAGAAACCCCATCTCTACTAAAAATACAAAAATTAGCCAGGCGTAGTGGTGCGCACCTGTAATCCCAGCTACTCAGGAGGCTGAGGCAGGAGAATCACTTGAACCTGGGAGGTGGAGGTTGTGGTGAGCCAAGATCGTGCCTTGCACTCCAGCCTGGGTAATGAAGTGAGACTGTGTCTCAAAACAAAACAAAAAAAGGAGACTAATGGGAGTCCCCCCTCACTGGACTGCATGAGATAACATCACAGCACACGCAGGCACCTGGGACTCACAGCTCCTACAAAACTCTCCCATCACGTGAGTGCTGAGGATGACGCCCATGAGATGGGGCCAAGCAGCAGGCAGCGACCATGAGATGGGGCCAAGCAGCAGCCAGTGGGAGGCCACAGCCTCGGCAGGGGGAGGGAAGTGGGCAGACCCCAACCACACTCCCCCAGAGGCCGCCACCTCCAGCACAGGCCTGGATATGAGAGAGGGGCCTGGGGGCTCAGGCTGCGCTGGGGAGATGGGTGTCAGCAACGCTGGGTGCTTTGCTAGCTCCTGGAGTGTGGCCTGGCCACATCTAGCTGGGTACCTCATGCCCCATGAGAGATCCCAGAGCTAGTCTAGAAGGTAAAAGCCGTCCCTCAACCAGGCAGCCCCATTCTGCAGACACAGGACAGAGCACACAGGGGCCAGAAGCAATGACTTAAAAAAAAAATTGTTTATTTTATCTGAGACAGGATCTCACTCTGTCTTCCAGGATGAGTGCAGTGGCACAATCACAGCTCACTGCAGCCTCAACTTCCTGGGCTCAAGTGATCCTCCAGCCTCAGCCTCTCAAGTAGCTGGGACTACAGGCACACCCCATCATGCCTGGCTAATTTTTTTTTTTTTTGTGTGGAGTCTCGTTCTATCACCAGGCTGGAGTACAACGGTGCGACCTCGGCTCACTGCAACCTCCGCCTCCCTGGTTCAAGTGATTCTCTTGCCTCAGCTTCCCGAGTAGCTGGGACTACAGGCACGTGCCACGCCACCATGCCTAGCTAATTTTTGTGTTTTTAGTAGAGATGGGGTTTCACCATGTTGGCCAGGATGGTCTCGATCTCCTGACCTTGTGATCCACCTGCCTCGGCCTCCCAAAGTGCTGGGATTACAAGCGTGAGCCACTGCACCTGGCTTTTTTTTTTTTTTTTTTTTTTTGGTAGGGAAGAGGTCTTTCTATATTGCCCAGGCTGCTCTTGAACTCCTGGGCTCAAGCAATCCACCCGCGTTGGCCTCCCAAAGTGCTAGGATTATAGGTGGGAGCCACTGTGCTCGGCCTCTGACACTAAATAATGTCAGTTAAGGGAATGAGAAAAAGGGCAGGTCACGCACCTGGAACCTGGGCTGTGCCAAAAGGTCAAATGTGCACGTATATACAGTGACTAGGTGACAAATGCAATGGAGCATCCCAGGCTGGGATGAAGGCCAAGGCCACCTACCTATGAGGAACAACCACTGCCTGGCTGGAACGTTCCAGAACCCAGTGGTTTCCATAGCTGCCCTACGACTTCCGAGATGACTAAACCCACCAAGGACTCTATCACACTGCTTGTCTTGGCCACTCACCCACCGTGGATGTGCACAGACCAGTGGCTCCCACGCAGCACAGGCCAGACAAAAGCTGGAAGGTGAAGGCTTCTTACCTTAGAAAGACAAAGTGGGGCAACCGTGGAAGGCCACATTCCAGACACTAAGGGGCCAGGAGCAAACGCAGCCCTGGGCCCCGGCCCTGGGGAGATGTCAGGCCCGTCACATCCCAGGCAACATGTCAGGAAGATGGAACTCAGGGGTGCTTTCCCGCCCCAGGTGTCTTCCGCCCTGCAGAGCAGCTATGGATCTGCAAAGGGGACTGGAATGCTGCAGAGCCCCGGGCTCCATTTGGAAACTCTGGCAGGATGAAGAAGCTGGAGACCACGTCCTGGGAAGGCTGGGGTACAGCAGGGCTCCCTGCAGCAGACGAGGGGTCCCTCAAATTCATGTGCACCCAGACCTCAGAATGTGACCTTATTTGGAAACACGGGTTTTGATGATATAATTAGTTAAGATGAGGTCACAGTGTATTGGGGGACCCTAAACCCAGTGAGTGGTGGCCCTACCAAAAAAGAGACTGGGCATGGCGGCACACACCTGTAACCCCAGCTACTCAGGAGGATGAGGCAGGAGGAACACTTGAGCCCAGGGATTCGAGGCTGCAGTGAGCTATGATCATGGCACTGTATTCCCGCCTGGGGGACACAGCAAGGCCCCGTCTCAAAAAAAAAAGGGGGGGGGAGCAGGTGGGGGGTACACACAGAGACAGCGCACAGGGTCACAGACACACAGGAGAGGGGTTGGGACGTGGGGATGAGGCTGTATGCCAGCAGCCACTGGATGCTGGAGGCAGCTGATGGACCCTCCCAGGCCCTTCAGGAGCCAGCCCCACGAACACCTTGAGTGTCGGCTTCTGGCCTCCTGAGTGTGTCTCTGTGGCTGAAGCCCCTGCTCTGTGTCACCTGTTCTGGCTGCCACTGGACACTCAGAGCCTGTCCTTGCCCTTGTTCTGCACCCAGTGCCCAGCTTCCTCTGCGGCCTGGGCATCCCAAATGTCCCCTGCTGGCCTCATACTGGGCCATGGGAGGAAACGGGCAGCTGGCAATGCTTTCGGACCAGGCTGTCTAGCAGTTTCCTGAATTCTGTGCCCAGGGATGAGAGTCCTGGAAAGGGAGTTTCAGGCCTGGTGATCAGGCTTTGGCACCGGGGCCTCCAGGAGCCACCGGCTGGAGCGTCGGCAAGGAGCCTGCCCCCATGTGGGTCCGCTGGTGCTTGTGCAGGTCGGTGCCCCGGCGGAAGCCCCGGCCACAGGCCGGGCAGGTGTAGGGCTTCTCACCTGTGTGCGTCCGGCGGTGGGCGCTGAAGTGCGAGCTGTTGTTGAAGCGCTTCCCGCACTGGGTGCAGGCATAGGGCCGCTCCCCGCTGTGTGTCCTGCGGTGGATGACCAGGCTGGAGCTCTGGCTGAAGCGCTTCCCACACTCGGGGCACGGGTAGGGCTTCTCGCCTGTGTGCACCCTCTGGTGCGTGCTGAAGTTGGAGCGGTCGCTAAAGCCCTTCCCACAGACTAGGCACTTGTAAGGCCGCTCGCCCGTGTGTGTGCGCTGGTGCTTGGTCAAGTGGGACGTCTTGCTGAAGCCTTTGCCACATTCGGGGCAGGTGTACGGCTTGTCAGCCCCATGGGAAGCCCGTCTTCCTGGTGGGGGGCCGCCTCTTGGCTGATCAGGCCTGACCAAGCCCCTGACTGGGGCTGGCCTCTGACCTGGGAGCGGGTGGCCAGGCCCCTGGCATCGTGCCGAGAGCACTCGGTACCACTCCATTCTCAACGGGGCATCCTCCCTGCCATCACCGCCGTCCTCCAACTGGATCCCAGGTCCTGAGACAGAGAAAGCACGATCTCTAGGAACTCACAGCAAGAGGGCAAGGGAAATCCTTCTAATAGGAAAATGAAGGCCTCACAGGGCTCCTAAGGTTCCCCTACAAAACATTTAGCAGGGGCTGGGCACTGTGGCTCACGCCTATAATCCCAGCACTTTGGAAGGCTGAAGTGGGAGGATTGCTTGAGCCCAGGAGTTCAAGACCAGCTTGGGCAACGCAGTGAGATCTCGTCTCTACAGAAAATAAACAAAACTAGCTGGGCATGGTGGCGTGTGCCTGTAGTCCTAGCTACTCAGGAGGCTGAGGTCGGAGGATCACTTGAGTCTAGGAGGTCAAGGCTGCAGTGAGCTGTGATCGCGCCACTACATTCCAGCCCGGGTGACGGCATGAGACCCTGTTTCAAAAACTAAACAATCAATAAAACAAACAAAGAGGAACGCACTTGACCATCACAATAACCCAGTGGGTCAGTGCTGTTACCATCTCCATCCTGCAGATGGGGAAACCGAGGCACACAAGTGTTAAGAAACTTACCCAGAATCACCGGGCTGCTAAGTTACAGAGTGAGGGCCATCAAGCTCTGCACTCTGCTGTATCCTCTAAGCCAGGGGTTCCCACCCAGTGGCAAGGTCTGGAGACATTTTTGTTGTGTCTGGGGAGGGGGTTGTAAATGGCCTCTAGTGGGCAGGGGCCAGGGCTGCTGGAAAACCTCCCACCCAGCACAGGCAGCCCCACGTGGAGAGCCATCTGGCCCAAATGCCAGCAGCACCAAGGTGGAGAAGCCCTGCTCTGGGCTGTTCTGGCTGAGCAGAGCAGTCGTGGCTCCCAGCCACTGGACCTCCCTTGTCGTACTTGGTGTGGCCCCTGAGGCCCCTCTGCAGATCCAGGTTCTAGAGCCACCACCAACAGGACAGGAGAACAGGGAGAGGGGCCTGGAATGATCCAGGCTTTGCCCCTTTCAGGAAAAAGCCCTTGACTTCTCTGCTCTTCCTTTGCAGCATGAGGGTGACTGCAGCTGGGGACCTGGTAGCACAAAGTGCACTGGGGTGCCTGGGGGGCTGGGGGAGCAGCCGTCTTCATAGCAGTCCCGCAAGAGGCTCTGCGCATGGTAGGCACACGCCATGCTGACCTCACAGGGGAGGGACAGAACCACCCACTGCCCTTGGAAATGTCCACTTTAAGACACTCCCAGCCCCAGACCTCCTGGGCGAATCCTTCTTGCCCTCCCCTCCCATCTCCAGGACCAACTTCCAGATAGCCGAAGGTGGGTTTGGCACGTACTGAGCCTCAAATTCCACATCTAAAAAACTGAGAGGAGGCCGGGCATGGTGGCTCATGCCTGTAATCCAAGCACTTTGGGAGGCCGAGGAAGGCGGATCACTTGAGGTCAGGAGTTTGAGACCAGCCTGGCCAACATGGTGAAACCCCATTTTATTTTATTAAAAATAAAAAAATTAGTTGGGGGTAGTGGTGGGTGCCTGTAATCCCAGCTACTTGGGAGGCTGAGGCAGGAGAATCGCTTGAACTCGGGAGGCAGAAGTTGCAATGAGCCAAGATCGTGCCACTGCACTCCAGCCTGGGCGACAGAGCGAGACTCTGTCTCAAAAAAATAAAAAAAAAAAAAATAGAAAATAAATAAAACTGAGAGGAGGATTGGAACCACCTCATTGGCCTGCTATAATAATATTTTATTTATTTATTTTAAAGACAGGGTGATATGGTTTCGATCTATGTCCTCACCCAAATCTCATGTCAGACTGTAATCCCCAATGTGGAGGTGGGGCCTGGTGGGAGGTGAGTGGGTCATGGAGGCAGATTTCTCATGAATGGTTTGGCACCATCCTCTTGGTACTGTCCTGACAATGGTGAGTGAGTTCCCATGAGATGTGGTCGATTAAAAGTGAGCGGCACCTCCCCTCGCTCCTTTGCTCCTGCTCCAGCCATGTGAGACATGCCTGCTCCCTCTCTGCTTTCCACCATGACTGGAAGCTTCCTGAGGCCTCCCCAAAAGCTGAGCAGACACCAGCATCATGCTTTCTGTACAGCCAATTAAACCTTTTTTCTTTATAAATTACCAGGTCTCAGGTATTTCTTTACAGCAATGCGAGAATGACCTAATACACAGGGCCTCACTATATTGCCCAGGCTGGCCTCAAACTCCTGACCTCAAGTGATCCTCCCACCTCAGCCTCCCAAAGTGCTGAGATATAGGCGTGAGCCACAGCACCCAGCCTTGTTGTAAAAATATTTTTACTTATTTATTTATTTATTTTTGAGATGGAGTCTCGCTCTGTCTTCCAGGCTGGAGTGCAGTGGTGTGATCTCCGCTCACTGTAACCTCTGCCTCCCAGGTTCAAGCGATTCTCCTACCTCAGGCTCCCGAGTAGCTGGGATTACAGGAGTGAGCCACCACACCCAGCCAATTTTTGTATTTTTAGTAGAGAAAGAGTTTCACCATGTTGGCCAGGCTGGTCTCGAACTCCTGACCTCAGGTGACCCAACCGCCTTGGCCTCCCAAAGTGCTGAGATCACAGGGGTGAGCCACCATGCCTGGCCGTACAAATATTTTTAAAAGAGACTGAGTCTGGCAGCTCATCAAAAGGTAAACAAGAGTCATTATATGAGCCAATGACTTTACTCCTAGGTACACACCCAAGAAAACTGAAAACATGTCCTCAAACAGAAATGTGTACATAAATGTTCACGACAGCACTCTTCACAGTAGCCAAAAAATGGAAATCACCCAAATGTCCATCAACGAAAATGGATCAACAAAACGTGGTCTATCCATACAGTGGAATACTATTCAGCCATGAAAAGGAAGCACTGACACATGCTATACCACGGATGACCCAGGAACACATGACACTGAGCAAAAGAAGCCAGTCACCAAGGGACAGTCCCTGCACGATTCCCTTTACAGAAGACAACCAGAATAGGCACACCCAGAGACAGAGCAGACAGGTGGCTGCCAGAGGCTAGGGGAGGGGAAATGGGGAGAAACTGCTTGTTGGGTACGAGGTTTCCATTTAGCATGATAAAGAATGTTTTTGAGGGCCAGGCCTGATAGCTCACGCCTGTAATACCAGCACTCTGAAATGCCGATGCGGGCTGATCATTTGACGTCAGGAGTTCTCGCCAACATGGCAAAACACTGTCTCTACTAAAAATAGAAAAAATATTGGGAGGCCGAGGCGGGCAGATCACAAGATCAGGAGTTCAAGACCAGCCTGACCAACATGGTAAAATGCTGTCTCTACTAAAAATACAAAAATTAGCCAGGTGTGGTGATGCACACCTGTAATCCCAGCTGCTTGGGAGGCTAAGGCACGAGAATTGCTTGAACCCAGGAGATGGAGGTTGCAGTGAGCCGAGATCATGCCACTGCAATCCAACCTGGGTGACAGAGTGAAACTCCATCTCAATTAAGAAAAAAAAATGTTTTTGAGCCCGGGTAACACAGTGAGACTCCATCTCTATCAAAAAATTTTTGTCGCCCAGGCTGGTGTGTAATGGCGCGATCTCAGCTCACTGCAACCTCTGCCTCCTGGGTTCAAGCGATTCTCCTGCCTCAGCCTCTGAGTAGCTGGGACTATAGGTGCATGCCACCACACCCGGCTAATTTTTTTGTATTTTTAGTAGAGATGGGGTTTCACCATGCCGGCCAGGATGGTCTCGATCTCTTGACCTCGTGATCCACCCGCCTTGGCCTCCCAAAGTGCTGGGATTACAGACGTGAGACACCGTGCCCGGCCCAAAAATTTTTTCAAAATTAGCTGGGCATGGTGGCATTGACCTGTGGTACCAGCTACTCGGGAGGCTGAGGTGGTAGAATCACCTGAGCCTGGGGAGGTTGAAGCTGCAGTGAGTCAAAATTGTGCTACTGCACTCCAACCTGGGTGACAGAGTGAGATCCTGTCTCAAAAAAAGAAAAAAAAAGTTTTGGAACTATGTGTTACTGCACCCAACCTGGGTGACAGAGTGAGACCCTGTCTCAAAAAAGGGAAGAAAAAAGTTTTGGAACTAGATGAAGGTGATGATTGTACAACACTGTGAAGATACGAAACGCCACTGAACCGTTTACTGAAATATGGCTAATTTTATGTTATGTGAATTTCTTTTTCTTTGAGCAGCAGCAAGATTTATTACGAAGAGTGAAAGAACAAGTTTCCACAGTGTGGAAGGGGACCCGAACGGGTTGCCCGTGAATTTCATCTCATTAAAAAATGTAAAAACTTTGAGGCCAGGTACCAACCTAATTTGTTTTTTTGAGACAGAGTCTCACTCTGTTGCCCAGGCTGGAGTGCAGTGGTATGATCACAGCTTACTGCAGCCTTGACCCCCCAAGCTCAAGTGTTCCTCCCACCTCAGCCTCTCAAGCAGCTGGGACTACAGGCATGCACCACTTTTGTATTTTTTTGTAGAGACAAGGCTTCTCCATATTGCTCAGGCTGGTCTTGAACTCCTGGACTCGAGCAATCCACCCGCCTTGACCTCTCAAGGTGCTGGGATTACAGGCATGAGCCACCATGCCCGGCCCGTTTTTGTTTTTGTTTTTTGGAAACGGAGTCTTGCTCTGTTGCCCAGACTGGAGTGCAGTGGTGTGATCTCGGCTCACTGCAACCTCCGCCTCCCGGGTTCAAGCGATTCTCCTGCCTCAGCCTCCCGAGTACCTGGGACTACAGATGAGTACCACCACACCCAGCTAATTTTTGTATTTTTTAGGAGAGACAGGGTTTCATCATGTTGGCCAGGATGGACTCGATCTCCTGACCTCATGATCCACCCGCCTCAGCCTCTGGAAGTGCTGGGATTACAGGTGTGAGCCACCGCGCCAGCCAATTTTTTTTTTTTTTTTGACACAGAGTTTCGCTCTTGTTGCCCAGGCTGGAGTGCAATGGCGTGATCTTGGCTTACTGCAATCTCCGCCTCCTGGGTTCAAGCTATTCTCCTGCCTCAGCCTCCCAAGTAGCTGGGATTATAGGCACCCGCCATCACGCCTAATTTTTGTATTTTTAATAGAGACAGGGTTTCACCATGTTGGCCAGGCTGGACTCGAACTCCTGACCTCAGGTGATAAACACTCGCCTCGGCTTCCCAAAGTGCTGGGATCACAGGTGTGAGTCACCGTGCCTGGCCATTTTTTTTTTTAAGCAAGATCAAATAGATCCAATTTTCCTCGGCCCCACAGACCTTTTTTACCATAGGCTCTGGCGCCGGGTAAGTAAAACCCAAACACATGCCTGTGACCCTGAGAGGGAAGCTGTGTCTGGGCTCCAGGAGCTGGTGGACAGAGCTGGGCAGAATCTCATTCCTTCCCTTCTGAGGATTCCACGTAACCACTTGGGAGCCGGGAGGGCTGGCAAATTCTTTCCCTTTTGACTTCTGCCTTTTGCACAGGGAATGAACTGGACCACAGGTAATGTGCGCTCAGAGATCTTCAGATCAGGGTTCCTCAATCACGGTGCAGGTGGTGTCCATGGGACCTGGCCCGGGCTGTCTCTGATGCGGCCGCCCTGTGCACCGCAGGAGGTTGGGCAGCATCCCCACCTTCTGCTCAACAAATAATCACTTTCATCAGTGACAACCCCAGGGTCGTGACAACCAAAAATGTCTCCAACTCATGGACAGATGTCCTCTGGGGGACAAGATTGCCCCAGGTGGAGAACCCCTGCTCTGGATGCCTGTCACTAAAGCTACTGATGACCAACCAGAGCCCCATACAACATCATCTAAAACTCTTCATAGGCAACAAAAGAAAAAAACGATCAACTGGACACTAGAACCAAAAACTTTTGTGCATGAAAGGACGCTACCAACAAAATGAAAATGCAACACACAAAATAGGAGAAAATATTTCCAAATCAGGCCAGGTGCGGTAGCTCACGCCTGTAATCCCAGCACTTAGGGAGGCTGAGGCAGGCAGATCACTTGAGATCAGGAATTCGAGACCAGCTTGGCCAACATGGCAAAACCCAGCTCTACTAAAAATAGAAAAATTAGCCGGGTATGGTGGCACACACCTGTAATCCCAGCTACTTTGGGAGGCTGAGGCAGGAGAATCGCTTGAACCTGGAAGGCGGAGGTTGCAGTGAGCTGAGCTGAGATCGTGCCACTCCACTCCAGCCTGGGCAACAGAGCAAGACTTCATCTCAAAAAAAAAAAAAAACCCTGAAAATAACAACCATTGGTATGGATGTGGAGAAACTGGAACCCTTGTGCACTCTTGCTGGGTGCATGAGATGGTGCAGATGCTGTGGAAAACAGCATGGCGGCTCCTCAAAAAATTCAACACAGAATGACCACATATGCTCCAGCCATCCCACTGCTGGATACATCCACCCAGGAACGGAAAGCAGAGTTGATCAGAGATACACTTGTACACCCACGTTCACTGCAGCATTATTTACAATGGAATATTCTTCAGCCTTAAAAAGGAAAAAAATTCTGGAGGTTTCCCAAAGAAGGAAGTCTGCCTCAAGACCGTGGCACAGAAATCCTAAGCTTCCAGTCTGCTGGCCTGGCCTGCAGATTTCAGACTTGTCAACTTCTGTAAGCAACCAAGGGAGCTGTCTAAGTACCCATTCCTTAAAATAAATCTGTGTGTGTGTGTATCTTCTGTTGGTTCTGTTTCTCTGGAGAAGAACCCTAATACAAAGCGATATCTCACTGTCATTAGAAAAGGCTTCAGCATGGCCACGCACGGTGGCTCACACCTGTCATCCCAGCACTTTGGGAGGCCTAGGCCAGCGGATCACCTGAAGTCAGGACTTCGAGACCAGCCTGGCCAACATGGTGATGAAACCCATCTCTACTAATAAAACAAAAATTAGCCAGGCATGATGGCGAGTACCTGTAATCCCAGCTACTTGGGAGGCTGAGGTGGGAGCATCGCTTGAACCCAGGAGGTGGAGGTTGCAGTGAGCCAAGGTTGTGCCACTGCACTCCAGCCTGGGCAACAGAGCAAAAATCCATCTCAAAACAAACAAGCAAACAAAAAACCAGAAAAGGCTTCAGCAGCATCAGGAAAGGCAGGAAGAGACAAACGGACAGAGAAAGAGCTTAGGGGACGGTGCTGGGTAACAGGCAGGGCAGTGCTCAGTGTGATGGGGAGAGGCTGGAGAACCAGGTCCTGTGGGAGCAGCTCTGCCCTTGAGAGGAGGGCACAGGGAAGCTGAAGTGAAGTAGGACCAGCATGTAGGGGGCAGAGGCAGAAGAACAGGATGGCAAGGCAGTGCTGGGCATCTGCCTGAGTCACGGCCGAGTGGCTGTGCAGGCCCTGCAGGTGGGACTCTGCAGGGATACGGGTAGCCCTGTCCACGGAGGATCGCCCCAGGCCAACTGGACCAACAGAACCAAGCCCCGGAGCTGGTGCCTGACAGTTCCTATTTTTGGCAAGCCCCCTAGAGGACACAATCACTTGCAAGTTACCTTCATTCTCCAGCGGCGCGTCCCGCTGAGCTGGGTCCATGCATCTTGGCTCCTCCCCAGAAAGGTATACAGCCACGTCCTCCAAGTTCACGGGCACCTGCCAGAACGCACCCCACTCAGTCCTGGCCCCAAGCAAGCTGCCTCCTCCCCAACTAAGGCCACTGGCCCAGGGAGCTGCACCGCCACTGCCCCTCGAGGCTGGCGCCAAGCCTGGTGGTGCAGCTGGTCTTCTCCACTCTCGTTGCAGTGGTGAGTCCTGGTGTCTCCGCCCACTGCTCCCATGTGCCACTGCTGCAGAGCTGGGACACCACCGGAGAAGGGACAGATTCGCCACGAGGAGTGGTGGACCCACTGCACACTCAGCCACCGAGGCCCATGCTCCACAGGGAGACAAGAGCATCCCCTGGCTCCGTGGCTAGCCAGCCCCAGGACCCCATTGCGGCAGACGGGGGACTTCAGGATGCCTCTGGGCCAGTGGCTCCCAGATGTAGCACCAGATTGACCCGGAAGCATGATTAAAAAAACAAGCAAACTCTTTCCAGAACAGGCAAATTCACAGAGACAAGAAGGAGCTTTGTGGTTGCCAGAGGCTGAGGGAAAAACAGGTAGAGACTCTGGTAATGAGTCTAGGGGGTTTTCGGGGAGGGTCTAAAGGAAATGTTCGGCCGGGCGCGGTGGCTCACACCCGTAATCCCAGCACATTGGGAGGCCAAGGCAGGTGGATCATCTGAGGTCAGGAGCTCCAGACCAGCCTGGCCAACATGGTGAAACCCCATCTGTACTAAAAATACAAAAAAAATTAGCCAGGCATGGTGGTGGGTGCCTGTAATCCCAGCTACTCAGGAGGCTGACGCAGGAAAATCGCTTGAACCCGGGAGCCGGAGGTTGCAGTGAGCCGAGATCGCACCATTGCACTCCAGCCTGGGCAACAAGAGCAAAACTCTGTCTCAAAAAAACAAAAACAAAACAAAACAAATACACATACATACACACACACACACACACACACACACACACACACACACACACACACACATATAAAAATTATAAATAAATAAATAAAAATAAAACAGGCCAGGCATGGTGGCTTATGCCTGTAATCCCAGTGCTTTGGGAGACTTAGGCAAGAGGATCACTTGAGCCCAGGAGTTCAAGACCAGCCTAGGCAGCACAGCGAGACTGTGTCCCATTAAAAAAAAAACAAAAAAAAAACAACTAGCCGGGTGTGGTGGTGCATGCCTGTAGTCCCAACTAACTGAGGAGGCTGAGGCAGGAGGATCCCTTGAGCCTGGGAGGTCAAGGCTGCAGTGAGCTGTAATCACACTACTGCACTCCAGCGTGAGCACAGAGCCAGACTTTGGCTCAAAACAAACAAACAAACAAACAAACAAACAAAAACCCCAAAAAAACCAGCAAGCAAACAAAGGAGACTCCCATTCCAGCCCAGCGGTGTGGGAGGAAGCTGTGTTTTCCCCCAGAGTCCCAAGAGATTCCTGTGCCCAGCAGAGTAGGAGTCACCACCCTGTCTCACTGGTGGACCGCAGAATCTTCCGGGCACAGCCGAGTACTTAAATGGCCTCTGGAGAGAAGAAAAGACTTCCCAGGAGGCCAGGGGAAGTGACTCCAGGGTTGGGGCAAAGGGAGAAAACTCCAGGGAAGAGCTCCTCTGACATCCAAAACCTTGGCCCCCAGGAGAGGTGTCCCCTTAACAAGGAAGTGTGACACACAGGAGGTCGGGCCAGACCCCAGGATGCTGCAGACCAGGAGCATCCCACTCACCTGGGACCAGGCCGAAAGGAAGGGCGAGGCTGACGCCATCTCCTGATGCCGGGGAGCTGGAGGGCCTGGGAAGGAGCAGAGTCACCACCAGTCACACAGCTCACCCAGTACTGCCCCTGCCGTCCCCTGCACACCAAGGCCCCAACAGCCCGGCGGCTGCCCACCCAAGATCCACTCCTTGCTGGAGAGCCTGTGCACCCTGCATCCAGGCAGGCCTCTGCCCTGGCCACAGTCCACACCCCAGTCACCTTCACCTCCCTCCCCTGCACCACTTCTCATTCCTCCAAAGGGGTGCTACTCACCTCTCTCTGGCCACAACAGCGGGCCCCTCTGTGGCCTGTGGCTCAGCTGGGCTGGGGGCTGCTGGCTGGAGAATCGAGCCTCTTCCTCCAGGGACAGATCCTCTGGCTGAGCCTCTGCCTGGTGTTTTAAGAACTGTCCCCCTATCCCGAGGGGCACCTCGTCATCAGAAAGCAGCTCTGAGCCCTGCACACAGACAGTGATCTCCCCACCAGCTCCCAGAAGGCCAGAAGGAAAAATCCCCGCAGGGCCCCACACCCCTCATCTCAGGCACCCCAGCCGGCTGCCCACCCCCGGGCTGTCTGCAGCCTCCCTCCCTCTGCCCAGCCGTGTGGCAGTGTTCCCTGCAGCCAGCTCCCAGCCTGCTCTACTCCATGGTCTCTCCCTGTCACCACAATCGTTTCCCCATCACATTCTTACCCTCTATTCCTTGGTCCTCCTGATAGACCCTGGGATAGACCCTGGGCCAGAAGAGCCCTGAGTCAGCGCTGGACTAATTTCAGAAGTTCACAGAACTGCATTTGCTAGATTTTTTGAAATTATCTGGCCAGCTGCAATGGCTCACACCTGTAATTCCAGCACTTTGGGAGGCCGAGGTGGGTGGATCACCTGAGGCCAGGAGTTCGAGACCAGCCTAACCAACATGGTGAAACCCCATCTCTACTAAAAATACAAAAATTAGCCAGGCATGGTGGCAGCACGCTTGTAATCCCAGGTACTTGGGAGGCTGAGGCAGGAGAATCGCTTGAACTCGGGAAGTACAGGTTGCAGTGAGCCGAGATCGTGCCACTGCACTCCAGCCTGGGCAAAAGAGCGAGACTCCATCTCAGGGAAGAAAAAAAAAAAAAGAAAAAAAAAAGAAATTATCAACAGGTGCTCTGAGATGATCTATTTCCTAATTCCAGGAAAGGTGAGTTGAATGAAATTGGGTCTTAGAATTGAGCTCTGCAATAGCACTTGGACAAGAGACATCCCTAGGCAACTACAAACCCAGCGTCAGGGACCCATCTCAGGCTTCCTCTTATTCAACATTCCACACCTCTAAGGGAGCGTAGTCCCCTTGGGGAGCACAGCCTGCCCCTCTCAGCTCAGTGATGGCCATGAGGCATGTGTGCAGAGGTGTCGGTGCAGTGACAGAAGGAAGCCATGCCGGGAACCCCAAACACTGAAGCTGTGGTGGCCAGGAAAGAGGCTGGCCGGCTGGGAAGAAACCCCGATTTCTTGGCCACCCCGATGGCAGGATTTTCTGACTGCGGTCAGCTCACGCCGTGGTCAAGCATTAGGGGATGTGCCTCCTCTGTTGGCTGCAAAAGGCCAGCAGTGTGCAGCCAGCAGCACTGCCACAGGAAGAAAGGCAGCTGGTCAGCACTGCCCATGTGCCCCATCCACGCAAGGCCCTGAAAAATGAACTGAAACAGCAGGTGGCAGGACTTCTTTCTAATCTCAAGGAGTTCCACAACTGAAACTGAAGCAGCAGGAATGAGTAAGAGGCTTCCTCTACTCCTTCAAATGGGGCTGGAAGGAGGTGGAGAGGCACTGTCTATAGAGATTTCGGTGTGTCAGAAGGGTCCTGTCTGTGCCATCCAGTACAGTAGCCACTGGCCATGTGTGACGACTGAGCCCTTGAGAGGTGGTCAGTGTGACTGAGGAACTAATTTAACATTCTACACAGTGGCCGGGCACAGTGGCTCATGCCTGTAATCCCAGCACTTTGGGAGGCCAAGGCAGGCAGATCACTTGAGGCCAGGAGTTTGAGACCAGCCTAGCCAACATTGCAAAACCCTGTCTCTACTAAAAATACAAAAATCAGCCTGGCGTGGTGGCAGATCCCTGTAATGCCAGCTACTTGGGAGGCTGAGGCACGAGAATCACTCCAGCCTGGGCGACAGAGAGAGACTCTGTCTCACAAAAATAAAAGTAAAATAAATGGGCTAGGTGCGGTGGCTCACGCCTGTAATCCCAGCACTTTGGGAGGCCAAGGCAGGTGAATCACGAGGTCAGGAGATCCAGACCACCCTGGCTAACACGGTGAAACCCTGTCTCTACTAAAAATACAAAAAAATTAGCCGGGCGTGGTGGTGGGCGCCTGTAGTCCCAGCTGCTGAGGAGGCTGAGGCAGGAGAATGGCGTGAATCCGGGAGGCGGAGCTTGCAGTGAGCCGAGATTGCGCCACTGCTCTCCAGCCTGGGCGACAGGGCGAGACTCCATCTCAAAAAAAAAGAAAAAAAAAAAAAAAGTAAAATAAATGTACATAGCTATAATTTAAAAAGCTACATGTGGCTGGCAGCTACTGTTTTGCATGGCACAGCTCTAGAACCTCTGGGGGCTCTAACCAAAGTGCCCCCCATGCCCCTGGTCTTTCTTCCCAGTGTTCTCCCACTTTGGGGGTAGTTTCAACTCCCTGCCTTGGAAGGTGCCGGACCTCTCTCCCACCAAAACCTATGTTTGGGGCTGGCGTAGTGGCTCATGCCTGTAATCCCAGCACTTCGGGAGGCCAAGATGGGAGGATCACTTGAGGCCAGGAGTTCAAGACCAGTCTGGGCAACATAACGAAACCCTGTCTCTACAAAAAATACACAAAATTAGCAGGTGTAGTGGTGCATGCCTGTAGTCCCAGCTACTCAATAGGCTGAGGTGGGAGGATTGCTTGAAGCCTGGAGGTAGAGGCTGCAATGAGCGGTGATCACACCACCATAGCCTGGGCAACAGAGCGAGACTATGTCTCAAAAAAAAAAACATGTTTGGCCTACCCTAGGACAGTGTTCACAAACCATCTGCACTAGCTAATAAAGGGCTATTGGGGTAGGATGAGGTTAATCAAAGGGTGGACACCCATTAGCCAAGGCTGAGAAATCTTTTGCAGTTGCTTTCCTCAAAAGGGCTCAGGGGCCAGGCAGCCACACTTGGTCACCCAATGACCAAGGAATCTGCAGCTGCAGACCCCAGCAGCAGGGCCCCATTTCCTCACCTGAGGGTCAAAATGCCCCCACTCACCCGCTGCCTGTGTTTCCTGGGCTTCCGCTGCAGCCCTTCCACAAGGACCACGGCCTCCTCACCGCTCTCCGGCTGCTGCTCGCGTACCCGAGCCTGGATCTCCCCCGGCAGCACAGTCAGGAACTGCTCCAGCACCAGCAGCTCCAGGATCTGCTCCTTGGTGCGCAGCTCCGGCCGCAGCCAGCGGCAGCACAGCTCCCAGAGGCGGCTCAGGGCCTCCCGGGGCCCAGCCACCTCCTGGTAGCAGAAGAGCCGGAAGAGCTGGCGGAAAGTCTCAGGGCTGGGGTCCTCCGTCTCCACGGAGGGCTCCTCTTCCAAGCAGAAGTCCTCCTCCACCTTCACAATCAGGATCTCTTCCTGTTCCAGGTCCTGCTCCAAGGTTGGCAGGGGCTGGAGGCCAGGGACAGTGGCCATTGCTTCCGGTGGGCCTTGTTCCTTTTCAGGCCTTAGAGTTGAACCTGTCTCTCTCTATACCTCTGGCCAGACACAGGAAGAGAGTTTTTTTCAGGGCCCTGTGGAGAGACGATAAAACCATCTGAAGGGCAGCCCTGGGGCTGGATAAGCCCTTTGGCCTGGGAAGCCCCTGCCCTGGTTCCAAGGCCAGCTCACCCCACCATGGAAAAGGAAAAGGAAGTGGATGAATGTCATCTTTGTTATTAACCCCCTGTTAATTCCCGGGTAATTTACTGAAGGGCTCTGGGCTTTGCTTCCTCACTGGGCAAACAGAGATGATAACAGGACCTACACACACAGGTTGCTGACAGAACTAAAAGGGATGGCTGGGGGCAGTAGCTGACGCCTGTAATCCCCGCACTTTGGGAGGCAGAGGAGGGCAGATCACGTGAGTTCAGGAGTTGACCACCTGGTCAACGTGGTGGAACCCTGTCTCTACAAAAAATACAAAAATTAGCCCGACATGGTGGTAGCACATCTGTAATCCCAGCAACTCGGGAGGCTGAGACAGGAGAATCGCTTGAACCCGGGAGATGGAGGTTGCAGTGAACTGAGATAGCGCCACTGCACTCCAGCCTGGGCGACAGAGAGAGACTCAAACAAAAACAATCTAAAAGGGATGTTTGCGGTCAGAGCTCGAGAATCGTTATTTTCCATGATTAGAGTGGGTCCTATATGGAAGGGGTTCCTTTGGAAATCTGATGAAAAGTAGGGCCTTTCTGCAGACTCTGCCTCAACTTGATCCCCGGTGTCCAGGTCTGGCGAACCCTGAAGCCCCTACGCGGCCCCGTCAGGCACCCCCGCGTGGGTGGTCACGACAGCCCCCCAATTCCAGGGTCCTGGGAGAGCTGGGACCCCCAGGCCGGGCTGCTTTCCCGTCTCATCCCTCAGGTGGAGGGTGAGCGGTACCCGAGGCCGCGGCACAGACCCGGGTGCTGGCGCGGGCCGCGAAATCGAAGCTTCGGCCGGGACCCGCGTCCCCGCGCCCCCCGCACTCACTGGAAGCGCTGCCGGCCGTGGGCAGTTCGGGGCAGGACCGGAGCGGCGGGTCTCGGCGGGAGTAGGACTGCGGGCCTCAGGCTTGGCAGCCAGGGACGCCAGAGCCGGGGCCGAAGACCCTAAACCAGGGGTGCAAACCAGGCCGTGCGGGTGGGCCCGCAGGCGGCATTGTGGGTAACGTAGCCGTGGCACCATTGGCTAAGCCGGCCGTTGGGGGCGTGGCAACACGGCCGAGTGGGCGGGTCCGCGACGTGCACTGTGGTTAATGTGGTCCTCAAAGGCACGCATTGTGGGTAACGTAGTCCAGCACCTCGGTGACCGCGCGAGCGTGCGGCGACTCTGCAGCCTCTGGGCTACTTTCCCAGTCACTGTTCCACACCCGCTCCGCTCTCCTCTGGCCGCCTCCTCCATCTTTAAAGCCAGCAAAGTCGTCCGGGCACGGTGGCTCACACCTGTAATCCTAGCACTTTGGGAGGCCGACGCGGGCGGATCACCTGAGGTCGGGAGTTCGAGACCAGCCTGACTAACGTGGAGAAACCTGGGCGTGGTGGTTCATGCCTGTAATCCTAGCTACTCAGGAGGCTAAGGCGCAGGTTGCAGTGAGCCGACATCCTGCCATTGTCCTCCAGCCTGGGCAACAAGAGCGAAACTCCATCTCAAAAAATAAATAAATAAATAATAAATAAATAAAATAAATAAAGGCAGAAGTTGTTCAAGATAAAACTGGAAGAGATGCCAAGTGCTTGCGCCCACCCTCCCCCAAGAGGGCCCCCAACAACGTCCAACCCCAAATATCCCTTGTCCTGCCTGCTTCTTTCTGACAACATAATAATGGGCATCAATCTTTGTTGTTGTTGTTAGAGATGAAGTCCCACCATGGTGCCTAGGCTGGTCTCAAACTCCTGGGCCCAAGCAATCTTCCCGCCTCAGCTTCCCAAAGTGTCAGGATTACAGGTGTGCCCAGCCAGGTATCAATTCTTGTATGTATGTATTTATTTATTTAGAGACAGGGTCTCACTCTGTCGCCCAGGCTAGAGTGCAGTGGCTCGACCTTGGCTCACAGCAACCTCCGCCGCCCGGTTTTAAGCAATTCTCCTACCTAACCTCCCGAATAGTTGGGATTACAGGCACGAACCACCAGGTCCGGCTAATTTTTGTATTTTTAGTAGAGATGGGGTTTCCCCATGTTGCCCAGGCTGGTCTCCAACGGCCTCAAGCAATCCACCCACGTCAGCCTCCCAAAGTGCTGAGATTACAGGAGTAAGCCACCGCTCCCGGTCGCATCAATTCTTGAGCATCAAGCAAGCAAAACACATTTGTACTTCGTTTCTTCCTCATTTAGTAATAGAGGTACTATAACTAGACCTACCGGTTCAACAAAACAAAACAAAACCCTGAAGCTCTGAGAGTTTTAAGTATTGAACCCCCCAGAGAAGGTCAAACAGGAAGTACAGAAATGGGATTGGAACCCAAATCTTTGATTCCAGAACTTCAGCTCCTAACTACCAGGTTAACGTAGTTTGCCCCTAATCCTAACTTGGGCATCCTAAGGCCCGTCTCCTATGCTGGATTCTCGCTGCTTTTCCTCTTTGGTTGAACATGATCCGGAGTTTCCCTCTGCCTGGGGTGCCCAGGAAAGAGTCCCAGCACCGAGTTCGGGTGAGCAGCAACGCAGCATACACAGCAGGCGTACACTCAACGTACGCCCCGCCCCGCACAAGCTCCGCCCCGCATGCGCGCCCCGCCTCGCATCCCGGATCTACCCCCGGAATCTCGCGCGTCTTTCCCAAAGCATCGGCTAGGACTCAGCCCGCCGGAAACAAATTTGGGGACGCCGGATTCAGGAAGCTGGCAGGACTACATTTCCCAGAGCGCCCCGCGCCCTCCCCGGAGGCAGATTCCTGGGCGCTCTAGAGGGGGTGGGTTGGCGGCCTGGAGGGTCTCCTCAAGTGGCGGCACTGCCAGGGGCTCGGAGGAAGGGGCTGCAGTCTCCCGGTGGCAGCGTCCTTGTCGTCGAGACTGCGGGCGGTTCCCTTGCGCGCCCTGAACCTCAGTTTCCATATCTGTTAATGGGGGACATTAACCCTCAAGGTTGTAACTCATTCAAGACCATTCATCCAGGCATAATAAATGCATAAACGCTGCACGTTGAGTCCTCCCAACTGCCCCCTTAACTAGGCGCTCGGGTGATGGAGTGGTGGCAGGTGCCTGCTTTCATGGAGCTTGCCATGAGAGGCATACAGTGGACAAAATTACCATGAGAGGCATACAGTGGACAAAATTGCACGAAGAATTGTTTAATCACTTCTTTGGCAAATGTTAGCAAGCGGCGTAAAAGAGGGAACCTGATACCTTCAGGGTGGAAGTGACAGTTGAGCAGCCTAGGGTTAACCTGGGGAACCGGTGGGGAGGATTCCAGACAGCAGGAGTGAAAAGTGCAAAGGTCCTGGGGCCGGAGAGAACACGGTGCGTTTGAGGAACAGAATGGAGACCAGAGATTGGGAGATGTGGCTGGAGGGATGGGCAAGGCCTGACCATACTTGGAGACTCTGGTGAGGATTAAGGATTTTATCCTTGGAGTCAATAGAGTTTGGGGTTTTAAGTAGGATAGCATCGTGATCAGATAAGAAGCTTTGTGGAGTACAGATCTCAGAAAGACTGGAGAGGAGCAGTGAGACTAGCTGGAAGCTCCTGGAGTGGTCCAGAGTTGGGGTAACTAGTGATGGTGGTAGTCACTGACAAGGATCTGGCCAAGATTCCTGGAGCACATTCAACAGTGCTTGGTGGTTGATTAGCTTGGGGTGGAGGAGGGAGACAAGGATAACTCCTTTGTACAATGGGGATGGTAACATCACCTGCAGTAGGCACCATTATGGTAAAGAGACAGAACAGAACGTCAGACACATATAGGCTTAATATGTCCTAATTCTGTTAGTAATAAAGACTACCTCTGTGTTCAGGGCAGTGTTGTTTGTAATGGCAAAACCGAAAACAGTCTAAATGTTAGTCAACAGGAGAATGATGGATAAATCTCACGGAGGCTATGCCAAACAAAAAAAGGCAAGTGGCAATATGATACAATTTTCATAAATTTTGAAAATGCAAAACAATTCTACATATGATTTAGAGACATGTATGCGGTTCAAAGAAATGTTTGGGACTTGGATGAACACCAAATTCAGGATGGTGATGGGGCAAACGTTGAAGAGGGATGTGATGGGGGGAAGGTTCAGGGGGCAAAAACTGCAAGTTTTAATGTGCTTTTTATTTATTTTTAATTTATATATTTATATTTTTATATTTATTTATATTTTTTTATTTATTTTTACTTATTTTATTTTTTTTTGAGACAGACTCTCACTGTTGCCCAGGCTGGAGTGCAGTGGCGCAATCTGGGCTCACTGAGACCTCCGCCTCCTGAGTTCAAGCGATTCTCCTGCCTCAGCCTCCCAAGTACCTGGGATTACAGGCATGCACCACCACACCCAGCTAATTTTCGTATTTTCAGTAGAGACGGGTCTTCACCATGTTGGCCAGGCTGGTCTTGAACTCCTGATCTCAGGTGATCCACCCTCCTTGGCCTCCCAAAGTGCTGGAATTATCAGGTGTGAGCCACCGCGCCTGGCCATTAATGTGCTTTTTAAAAACAACAACAAAAGCCATTATTTTGAATTTGTATTCATGAAGTATTAAAACCTACCAAATGTTTTAATAAATAATCTTAAATAGGCCAGGTGCGGTGGCTCACGCCTGTAATCACAGCACTTTGGGAGGCCGAAGCAGGCAGATCACTTGAGGTCAGGAGTTCAAGACCAGCCTGGCCAACATGGCAAAACCCCGTCTCTATTAAAAATACAAAAAATTAGCCAGGCATAGTGGCACACACCTGTAATCCCAGCTACTAGGGAGGCTGAGGTAGAAGAACAGCTTGAACCAGGGAGGCGGAGGTTGCAGTGAGCCAAGATTGCACCACTGCACTCCAGCCTGGGCGACAGAGCCAGATTCCGTCTTAAAAAAAAAAAAAAAAAAAAAGCCGGGCACGGTGGCTCACACCTGTAATCCCAGCACTTTGGGAGGCTGAAGCAGGTGGGTCATGAGGTCAGGAGATCGAGGCCATCGTGGCTAACACGGTGAAACCCCGTCTCTACTAAAAATACAAAAAATTAGCCGGGCGTGGTGGCAGGCGCCTGTAGTCCCAGCTACTCGGGAGGCTGAGACAGGAGAATGGTGTGAACCCGGGAGACGGAGGTTGCAGCGAGCCAAGATCGCGCCACTGCACTCCAGCCTGGGTGACAAAGCGAGACTCCGTCTCAAAAAAAAGAAAAAAGAAAAAAGAAAAATTAGAAGGCCAGGTATGGTGGCTCACACTTGTAATCCTACCACTTTAGGAGGCCGAGGAGGGCAGATTGCTTGAGTCCAGGAGTTCAAGACCAGCCTGGGGCTGGGCGAAACCCCATCTCTACTAAAAATGCGAAAATTAGACAGGCAGGGTAGTACACGCCTCTAATCCCAGCTACTCGGGGGGCTGAGGCAGGAGGATTTCTTGAGCCTGGGAGGCGGAGGTTGTGATGAGCTGAGATTGTGCCACTGCACTCCAGCCTGGGTGACAAAGAGAGACCCTGTCTCAAAAATAAAATAATTAAATCTTCAAAAAGAGCCTCCAGAGGCTGCAGGGCTCTGTAGACACCTTGATTCTGGCCCAGTGATATTGATCTCATACTCCTGACCTCTGGAGCTATAGGAGGATACACGTGTGTTGTTTTAAGCCTCTGCATTTGTGCTAATTTGTTACAGCAGCCACAAGAAGTGAAAACATATGGAATGTAGTGCTCTGGGTGGCCAGGGAGGCTGTTTCCCCTCCTTTACAACACTGGACAGCCTTGGGGGATCCCCTAACACATGCGCATAACAGTTAGTGGTGCACAATGTGGGGGTGCTATGCTTCCCCCAGGGGACACGTGACTTGTCCTGGATAATTTTTTTTTTTTTTTTTTTTTGAGACAGAGTCTTGTTCTGTCACCCAGGCTGGAGTGCAATGGCACGATCTTGGCTCACTGCCACCTCTGCCTCCCGGGTTCAAGCAATTCTCCTGCCTCAGCCTCCCGAGTAGCTGGGATTACAGGCGCCTGCCACCACGTCTGGCTAATTTTTGTATTTTTAGTAGAGACGGGGTTTCACCGTTTTGGCCAGGCCAGTCTCAAATTCCTGACCTCAGGTGATCCACCTGCCTCGGCCTCCCAAAGTGCCAGGATTACAGACTTGAGCCACTGTGCCTGGCCCCAGGATAATTTTTAATTAGCAACAAAGTGAGAGTTGCTACTGGTGTCTGGTGGGTGGAGGCCAGGGATGCTACTAAACATCCTACAGTGTACAGGACAGTCCCCACCACAAAGAATGATCTAGACTGGGTGAGGTGGCTCGTGCCTGTAATCCCAGCACTTTGGGAAGCTGCAGCAGGAGGATCTCTTGAGCCCAGGAGTTCATGACCAGCATCGGCATCATAGTGAGATTCTATCTCTACAACACTAGATAAAAATTAGCTGAGGGGCCCAGTGCGGTGGCTCAAGCCTGTAATCCCAGCACTTTCAGAGGCTGAGGCGGGCAGATGGCTTGAGCTCAGGAGGTCGAGACCAGCCTGGGCAACATTGTAAAACCCTGTTTCTACCAAAAATCCAAAAAAAAAAAATTAGCTGGGCATGGTGGCATGCACCTGTGGTCCTAGCTACTTGGGAGGCTGAGGTGGGAGGATCGCTTGAGCCCAGGAGGCAGAGGTTGCAGTGAGCTGAGATCATGCCCACGGAATTCCAGGTTCAGTGACAGCTAGAACCCATCTCAAAAGAAGAAAAAAAAATCTTTGGCTGCTTTGCCTGTGGAGTAGTCATTCTTTTATTCCTTTGCTTTCGTTTTTTTTTTTGTTTTTTTTTTTTTGAGACAGAGTTTCGTTCTCTCGCCCAGGCTGGAGCGCAGTGGCGTGATCTCCACTCACTGCAAGCTCCGCCTCCCAGGTTCACGCCATTCTCCTGCCTCAGCCTCCTGAGTAGCTGGGACTACAGGCGCCCGCCACCATGCCTGGCTAATTTTTTGTATTTTTAGTAGAGACGGGGTTTCACCATGTTAGCCAGGATGGTCTCGATCTCCTGACCTCGTGATCCACCCACCTTGGCCTCCCAAAGTGCTAGGATGACAGGCATAAGCCACAGCACCCGGCCCCTTTGCTTTCTTAATAAACTTTTTTTGAGGCAGAGTCTCACTCTATTGGCCAGGCTGGAGTGCAGTGGTGCGATCTTGGCTCACTGTAACCTCCATCTCCCAGGTTCAAGCGATTCTCCCGCCTCAGCCTCCCTAGTAGCTAGGATCATGGGTGCGTGCCACCATGCCCGGCTAATTTTTGTATTTTTAGTAGAGACAGGGTTTCACCTTGTTGGCCAGGCTGGTCTTGAACTCCCGGCTTCAGGTGATCTGCCCACCTCAGCCTCCCAAAGTACTGGGATTACACAGGCATGACCCAGCCTTCTTGATTAACTTTCAAAAAAAAAAAAAAAAAAAGCCTGGCACTGTGGCTCATGCCTGTAATCCCAGCACTTTGGGAGGCCGGGACGGGCGGATCATGAGGTCAGGAGTTTGAGACCAGCCTACTCAACATGGTGAAACCCCGTCTCTACTAAAAATACAAAAATTAGCCGGGTGTGGTGGCGGGAGCCTGTAATCCCAGCTATTCGGGAGGCTGAGGTGGGCAGATCACCTGAAGCCGGGAGTTCAAGACCAGCCTGGCCAACATGGTGAAACCCTGTCTCTACTAAAAATACAAAAATTAGCCGGGCATGGTGGTACGCACCCATGATCCCAGCTAGTAGGGAGGCTGAGGCGGGAGAATCTCTTGAACCCGGGAGGCAGAGTTGCAGTGAGCCAATATTGTGCCATTGCATTCCAGCCTGGGTGACAAGAGCGAAACTCCATCTTAAAAAAAAAAAAAAAATTAGCTGGGTGTGGTGGCATGTGCCTGTAGTCCCAGCTACTCAGGAGGCTGAGGTGGGAGGATCACTTGGGCCTGAGACGTTGAGGCTGCAGTGAACTATGATTGAGCCACCGCATTCCAACCTGGGCAGTAGAGCAAGACCCTGTCTCAAAAAGAAGAAGAAGAAGAGGAAGAAGAGGAAGAAGAAGGAGAAGAAATAGAATGATCTAGCACAAGTGCTGGTGGTGCAGAGGTTGAGAAACCTGGTCTGTGAGATGTATTCCTAGAAATGCAACGGCTGAGCCAAAGGGTGTGTGCTTTTGAAATGCTGTAGATGTTTCCATATTGCCCAGGGCTAATCTTTTTTTTTTATTTATTTTTATTATTTTATTTTATTTTTTTATTGATCATTCTTGGGTGTTTCTCGCAGAGGGGGATTTGGCAGGGTCATGGGACAATAGTGGAGGGAAGGTCAGCAGATAAACAAGTGAACAAAGGTCTCTGGTTTTCCTAGGCAGAGGACCCTGCGGCCTTCCGCAGTGTTTGTGTCCCTGATTACTTGAGATTAGGGATTGGTGATGACTCTTAACGAGCATGCTGCCTTCAAGCATCTGTTTAACAAAGCACATCTTGCACCGCCCTTAATCCATTTAACCCTGAGTGGACACAGCACATGTTTCAGAGAGCACAGGGTTGGGGGTAAGGTCACAGATCAACAGGATCCCAAGGCAGAAGAATTTTTCTTAGTACAGAACAAAATGAAAAGTCTCCCATGTCTACCCCTTTCTACACAGACACGGCAACCATCCGATTTCTCAATCTTTTCCCCACCTTCCCCCCCTTTCTATTCCACAAAACCGCCATTGTCATCATGGCCCATTCTCAATGAGCTGTTGGGTACACCTCCCAGACGGGGTGGTGGCCAGGCAGAGGGGCTCCTCACTTCCCAGTAGGGGCGGCCGGGCAGAGGCGCCCCTCACCTCCCGGACGGGGCGGCTGGCCGGGCGGGGGGCTGACCCCCCCACCTCCCTCCCGGACGGGGCGGCTGGCCGGGCGGGGGGCTGACACCCCCACCTCCCTCCCGGACGGGCCCAGGGCTAATCTTAAACCTTGGGATGTGCTGTGACGTGGGCCAGTGTCTCAGCCAACTCAGATGTTGGTCGTGGGTGGTTTGAGTGCCCACGGGCTCTGGAAGCTCCCCAGTCCTGGAGTCAGCCTGCGGTGTGGGTGGAGAAGCTGGTTTGTGAATTCAACCAGCAGATCGCTGTAGGGCAGGCAATGCAGGGTCCGTTCTGTTCAGTCAGCAGCCCTGTTCTTACCACCTGCCATGCACTGGATGCAGGGATGAAACTGACATATCTCTGCCCTCACTATGTTTCCAGCCTAATGGGGGAGACTGACCAGGAAACAAACTAGGTGACACACACTCAGAGGGGGCAGTGAGTGGGTTGCCTGGGGAAGGCAAGGAGGGCTTCAGGGAGAAGGTGACTTTTAGTTGGAACAAAACTGCTACTCATTGTTGTCATTTGTTGAAGGCTCACCTTGCACCCAGCTTCCTAGATTAGAGGGGTAGCCCTTTCTTTTATTACCAAACTAATGACTAATGTAGCTTTGGCCCCCATGGTGTGGGATTCTGTGAAATCCATTTATTTTCTAGCTTTTTTGTTTTGTTTTGTTTTGTTTTTGAGATGGAGTCTCGCTCTGTTGCCCAGGCTGAAGTGCAACGGTGTGATCTCGGCTCACTGCAACCTCTACCTGCTGGGTTCAAGTGATTCTTCTGCCTCGGCCTCCTGAGTAGCTGGGATTACAGGTGCGTACCACCATGCCCGGCTAATTTTTTTTTTTTTTTTTTTTTTTTTTTGAGATGGAGTCTCGCTCTGTCGCCCAGGCTGGAATGCAGTGGCGGGATCTCGGCTCACTGCAAGCTCCGCCTCCCGGGTTCATGCCATTCTCCTGCCTCAGCCTCCCAAGTAGCTGGGACTACAGGCGCCCGCCACTACGCCCGGCTAATTTTTTGTATTTTTAGTAGAGATGGGGTTTCACCGTTTTAGCCGGGATGGTCTCGAACTCCTAACCTCAGGTGATCTGCCCGCCTCGGCCTCCCAAAGTGCTGGGATTTCAGGCGTGAGCACCGTGCCCGGCCTATTTTCTAGCTTTCTGGAGAGTCCCTGGGCTGTGGAGCTCACACATTCTGCAGCAGGTCCTCCACCCTGGACTGCTGCTCCATCTTGATCATGTAGCCTCTGTCTTCATGCCATTTCTCCAGGTTGTGGTCGGCACATCCTAGGGAGTATTTTATTTTGTCTGAACAACAGTGCTATGTGCTTGGTACCATGATCCCCATTTTACAGATGAGGAAAGTGAGGCAAGGGGAGCATAAGTAACTGACTTGCCTGCTGGGATTTTCACACTGGCATTGCCAGGCTCCACAGTGGGAGCTGTTTGCTGGCCATGCTGGCCCCTGGGGCAGGGGAATGAGGAAGGTGGGGGATGGTGGAACACAGAGATCAGGTAAGACAGCCAGAGATCAGGCCACAAAGATGGGGATTTTGAAAGTGTTCTTGGCCTGTGGGCCTAGCCCCGGGCCAGGAGTAAGGGGCTGGGACAGATGGGAGAGCTGATTTTGTCACTTGGGTCTGGCTCTGGGGCAGAGGGGGCTGGTTGTCCAAGGCATGCCTTCCCAGGCCTTCAAGATTCCTAGGGCCTTGGGTCTCACATTATTCAAAAAGAAACCTGGGTGCTGTGGCTCATGCCTGTAATCCCAGCACTTTGGGAGGCTGAGGCAGATGGATCACTTGAGGTCAGGAATTTGAGACTAGCCTGGCCAACGTGGTGAAACCCCGTCTCCACTAAAAACACAAAATTAGCTGGGCGTGGTGGTGGGCACCTGTAATCCCAGCTACGCGGGAGGCTGAGGCAGGAGAATTTCTTAAACCCGGGAAGCAGAGGTTGCAATGAGCCCAGATCATGCCACTGCATTTCAGCCAGTGCGACAGAGTGAAACTCCATCTCAGAGGCTGAGTGCAGTGGCTCATGCCTGTAATCCCAGCACTTTGGGAGGCCGAGGCCGGTGGATCACTTGAGGTCAGTTCAAGACCAGCCTGGCCAGCATGGTGAAACCCCATCTCTACTAAAAATACAAAAATTAGCCAGGCATGATGGTGTATGCCTGTAGTCCCCAGCTACCTGGGATGCTGAGGCAGGAGAATGACTTGAACCCGGGAGGCAGAGGTTGTAGCGAGCCGAGATCACGCCATCGCACTCCAGCCTGGGCAACAAGAGCGAAACTCCATCTCAAAAAACAAGACAAAACAAAAAAAAAAAAACCCCAGAAAACTCCATCTCAGAAACAACAACCAACAACCACCACAAAAACATACTTGGTTGGCAGCAGTGGTAATCCCAGTGTTTTGGAAGGCTGAGGCGGAAGGATCACCTGAGGTCAGCTAAAGACCAGCCTGAGCAACCTAGTGAGGCCTTATCTCTACAAAAAAAAATGGTAAAAATCAGCCCATCAAGGTGGTGTCATGCCCATAGTCTTGGCTACTTGAGAGGCTGAGGCAGGAGGATCACTTGAGCCCAGAAATTTGAGGCTGCAGTGAGTCATGATTGCGCCACTGTACTCCAGCCTGGGTAACAGAGTGACACCCAGCCTTTTTATTTGTGGATAGCTCAAAGAAGTCATTTACAAAATGCCTTTTGTTTTCAAAGCACAGCTTTTCATAAAAAGCAAGGCTCACATTTAATAGATGCTCTGGTACATAGGTGTGTGTTGAGAGCCGCTGGGGACTCAGGAAGCCCAGCAGCCCCGGGATCCGCCGGTGGTCAGAACTCATCATCAGAATCGTCATGGGCCCCCCTGCAGACCTTGAAGGTCCGGGGGGTGGTCAGCTGTCCTGGGGAGGCCGGGGCCAGGTTCACCCAGCCGGGCCCGCGGGGCAGCAGGTGGCTTTCATTGAGTCTGATGACGCGGTAGTTCTCATAGTGGATGTTGTGGGTTATGTCCTTCAGGTCTTGGAGGTGGGAGCTGGGGGACCGGAGACGGTCAGCCCCGATGGTGGTGTCCCCAGGGCCCCTCGCCAGCCCCCTAGCCCCAGGCTCCCCACACCCTCACCGGATAAGCAGGTCTCTCAGGAGAGGAAATTCACAGTGCGCCATGTTCTCCACTGCAAGACATGGGACTCAGTATGGGCGCTGCTTAGTGAGCACTGAGTAAGTGCCTACTGTATGCACCACCTGACACCATTTCCCTTAGCCCTTTTCCCACATTTCTCTTTACCCTATCCTGCCTTCCCTTTGTTGGTTCATTCATTCATTCACCCACTGTTGTGTTCCCAGTGCCTGGTACAGGCGGCTCCTACAAATAGCTGTAGAATGAATGAATCCACCAATCATTATTGTATTATATGTACACTCGGCCTCTGTATCCATGGGTGCCCACTGTAGGACTTGAGCATCTGCCGATTTTGGTATCCCTGGGGGTCCTGGAACCACCCTCTGCGGATAGCATGGGTGCTATATCATAGGCAATAGTATAGTATATTTCTGGCTGGGCGCGGTGGCTCACGCCTATAATCCCAGCAGTTTGGGAGGCTGAGTTGGGTGGATCACCTGAGGTCAGGAGTTTGAGACCAGCCTGGACGACATAGTGAAGCCCCGTCTCTACTAAAAATACAAAAATTAGCCGGGTGTGGTGGTATAATCTGTAGTCCCAGCTATTTGGGAGGCTGAGGCAGGAGAATCGCTTGAACCTGAGAGGCGGAAGTTGCAGTGAGCCAAGATCGCTCCACTGCACTCCAGCCTGAGTGACAAAGCAAGACTCTGTCTCAAAAAAATATATATATATAGTATAGAATATTTCTAATAATTATAATAATACATCACCTGACCGGGCGCGGTGGCACACGCCTGTAATCCCAGCACTTTGGGAGGCCGAGGCGGGCAGATCACGAGGTCAGGAGTTTGAGACCAGCCTGGCAACATAGTGAAACCCCGTCTCTCATAAACATACAAAAAATTAGCTGGGCGTGGTGGCAGGTGCCTGTAATCCCAGCTCTTTGGGAGGCTGAGACAGGAGAATCACTTGAACCCAGGAGGCGGAGGTTGCAGTGAGCCGAGATCACGCCACCGCACTCCAGCTCGGGTGACACTGCGAGACTCCATCTCAAAAAAATAAAAATAAAAAATAATAATAATACATCAGGGGCTACATCCTCGCTGCCCCTCCTGTGTCACTTTCCCTAGCTCCCTAAGGCAGTCTCCTCTCCCTCCCGCCACAATCGCCTTCACTGTGCCTCCCCGACCTGTCCTTGTCCTGTCAGCTCTATGGGGACAGGGACCCTGTCAGTCCTCCCTTTACCGTGCACTGCAGTAACTGCACATAGCGGTGCCTGATACACAGTAGGCCCATCGTAATTTCCGGCCAGCCACTAGGGCAGCCTTGGGTATTGGGCATTGTGCAAAATGGTGGTTCTCCCCGCTCCAACACCCTAGGAAGTTGATGCACTGTGATGCCCACTTTACTGTGAGGAAACTGAGGCCCAGAGGGTCCGGAAACTTGCCACAGCCTCCCAGCTGGAAAGAGGGACCATTCCCCAGGGCTCTTTGTCTAGTGGGCTTCACCTTTCTGTGCCCTGTGATGGGTGCGAAGGTTGCCCAAGGCTGCTCTGGTTTCCAAACTGACCCCACCTGCATCCTACCCAGGGGCCCCGCACTGACCTTCAATGATGCCCCACTTGGTCTTCCGGCCCAGGACACACCTCCCGTTCACCAGGTGCTCTTGGTCAGCCCCTACCACGGCAAAAGGGATTCGGTCCTGGGAAAGGAGAAGACACAGAGATGGGAGGATTGACTTCGCTGGGGAGAAGAGAAGAAAAGTCAAGGCACCCAGGCAGGAGAGGGGAGTCCTATCCTTTTCGAGGAGGGAACATGGTAGAAAGTGCACAGAATTCCCAAGTTCAAAGACATAAAGTCTAATTGGTGCCTCTGGCTGAGTGAGGTAGCTCTTGCCTGTAATTTCAGCACTTTAGGAGGCCGAGGTGGGAGGATCACTTGAGCCCTAGGAGTTTGAGACCAGCCTGGGCAACATGGTGAAAGGCCATCTCTGCAAAAACTAAAAAATTAGCTGAGCTTATAATCCCATTATATTATATAGCGTATTATATAGCTCACACCTATAATCCCATAGCTCACTGCAGCCTTGACCTCCTGGGCTCAAGTGATATCCCCGCCTCAGTCCCCTGAGGAGTGAGGACCATAGGTGTGCACCACCATGCCTGGCTACTTTTTAAACATTTTTAGTAGAGATGAGTTCTCTGTGTTGCCCAGGCTGGTCTCTAACTCCTGGGCTCAAGTGATCCTCCCGCCTCTGCCTTCCAAAGTGGTGGGATTATAGGAGTGAGCTACCACACCCAGCCTGCCTGTCTTCCTATATATAAAGTTTTATTGGCACATAGTTGAGCCTATGAGTCATTTTTGTCTATGGCTGCTCTTGAACCATGACATCAGAGTTGAATCATCACAACAGAGACCCTACGGCCCAGAAAGTCTAAAACATTTACTACCTGGCCCTTTGCAGAAAAGGTTGTTGAACCCTACCGTAAACTCCAGTTGTTTACTTGCTCATGGCCAGAAGCAGAAATTCAAACTTGCAAACTCCGAAGTGACATATATGGGTTTTTACTTCTGAATTCATCTGTGATGGGGAGTAATGTGGATGTTGATAATATTGGGCGTGGTGGCTCACACCTGTAATCCTAGCATTTTGGGAGGTGAAGGCAGGCAGATCACCTGAGGTCAGGACTTCAAGACCAGCCTGGTCAACATGGTGAAACCCTGTCTCTAGGAAAAATAAAAAATTAGCTGGGTGTGGTGGCGCATGCCTGTAATCCCAGCTACTCAGGAGGCTGAGGTGGGAGAATCACCTGAACCCAGGAGGTTGGAGGTTGCTGTGAACGGAGATCCTGCCACTGCACCCCAGCCTGGGCCACAGAACAAGACCCTGTCTCTGCTGGGCACGGTGGCTCACGCCTATAATCCCAGCACTTTGGGAGGCTGAGATGGGTGGATCACAAGGTCAGGAGATCGAGATCACCCTGGCTGAAATAGTGAAACCCCATCTCTACCAAAAAGACAATAATTAGCCAGGCGTGGTATTGTGCACCTATAGTCCCAGCTACTCAGGAGGCTGAGGCAGGAGAATCGCTTGAACCCAGGAGGCAGGGGTTGCAGTGAGCGGAGATCACGCCACTATACTCCAGCTTGGGTGACAGAGGGAGACTCCATCTAAAAAAAAAAAAAAGACCCTATCTCATAAAAAAAACAACATTAAAAACAAAACAAACAAAACATTGTACGGTACGGGGGTTTTTAGTATTTGACCAGGGTTATGCAACCATCATCGCAATCTAATTTCACAACGTTTTCATCACGTCCCCCCAAAAAAACCCCATACCTTTTAGCAATCACTCCCCATTTCTCCCTTCCCCACAGCCCCTGACTACCACCAATCTACTTTCTGTCTCTATAGATTTGCCTATGCCTATTTGGGACATTTCATATAAATGGAATCCCATAATACGTGACCTTTTGTGTCTGACTGATTTTTGTCTGAGAAACATGTTTACAAGGTTCCCCCACGCTGTAGCAGGCAGGTGACAGGGTGACAGTGCTTCATTTTTTTTTTTTTTTTTGAGACAGGGTCTCACTCCCTTGCCCAGGCTGGGGTGCAACGGTGTGATCTCAGCTCACTGCAATCTCCATCTCCTGGGTTCAAGTGATTCTCCTGCCTCAGCCTCCTAAGTAGCTGGGATTACAGGCATGCACCACCACACCCGGCTAATTTTGTATTTTTAGGAGAGACGGGATTTCTCCATGTCGGTCAGGCTGGTCTCGAACTCCCGACCTCAGGTAATCTGCCCACCTCAGCCGCCCAAAGTGCTGGGATTACAGGTGTGAGCCACCGTGCCCGGCCTTTTTTTTTTTTTTTTTTTTTTTTTGAGACAGGGTCTCACTCCCTTGCCCAGGCTGGAGTGCAGTGTCACAATCTCTGCTCACTGCAACCTTCACCTTCCAGGTTCAAGCAATTCTCCTGCCTCAGTCTCCCCAGTAGCTGGGATTACAGGTGCGTGCCACCACACGCAGCTAATTTTGTATTTTTAGTAGAGACAGAGTTTCACCATGTTAGCCAGGCTGGTCTCGAACCCCTGGCCGCAAGTGATCTGCCCACCTCAGCTTCCCAAAGTGCTGGGATTACAGGCATGAGCCACTGAGCCCAGCCTTGAACTGTACACTTTTAAAGGGTGAACTTCATTGCTTTTCATGGTTAAGGGATAGTCCATGGTAGGGAATAGGCCGCACTGTGTTTCCCCACTCATCTGTTGATGCATATTTGGGTTGCTTCCACTTTCGGGGCTAAAATAAATAATGCTGCTGTGAACATTCACGTACACATTTTTCTGTGAATGTACATTTTTGTTTCTTTTGGGTATACACGTAGGAGTTCAGTTGCTGGGTCATAGAGTAACTGCATGTTTAAGCATTTGAGGAACCACCAGACTGTTTTCCAAAGTGGCTGAGCCATTTTACTTTCCCTCCAGCAGTAGGTGAGGGTTTCAGTTCCTCCACATCTTCCACAGCACTTTTTTTTTTAAGCTGGAGTTTTGCTCTTGTTGCCCAGGCTGGGGTGCAGTGGCGCAATCTCGGCTCACCGTAACCTCCACCTCCAAGATTCAACCGATTCTCCTGCCTCAGCCTCCTGAGTAGCTGGGCTTACAGGCACCCACCACCACGCCCAGCTGATTTCTTGTATTTTTAGTAGAGACGGGGTTTCGTCATGTTGGCCAGGCTGGTCTCGAACTCCTGACCTCAGGTGATCCACCCACCTCGGCCTCCCAAAGTGCAGGGATTACAGGGCTGAGCCACTGCGCCCGGCCAACACATTTTTTTTTTCTGAGATGGAGTTTCACTCTTCTTGCCCAGGCTGGAGTGCAATGGCGCCATCTCAGCTCACTCACTGCAACCTCTGCCTCCCAGTTTCAAAATTCTCCCGCTTCAGCCTCCTGAGTAGCTGGGACTAAAGGCGTGCACCACCACACCCAGCCAATTTTTTGCATTTTTGGCAGAGACAAGGTTTCACCATGTTGGCCAGGCTGGTCTCCAACTCCTGACCTCAAGCGATCTGCCTGCCTCGGCCTCCCAAACTGCTGGGATTACAGGCGTGAGCCACTGTGCCCGGCCCAATGTTCTCTATATATTCAGGATACAAGCCCCTTATTGGGTATGTGATTCGCAGACATTTTCTCCGATTCTGTGGGTTGTTAGTGTGAGCTGTTATTTCTTGCTCACCTTGAGCTTGTGGATGAGTAGAGAATCATATCTGCTAGGAATATGTGCACATTTCCCTGAGATGTAGAGAAAGATGAGTCTTTGGATGGAAAGGATGTGTGGGAAGGAAATCACCTCGCCCGCCTCCCGCCCCACAGCCTCTCACCCGTAACTTGCTGTTGAGGATTTTGTCATTGATGTCCTCGTCAAAGCACATCTGGGGGTAGACGTCGATGCAGTGGGTCCTCAGGTTCTGCTGGATCTGGAGATCCCACACAGGTGACCTCAGCCCACCCTGCCCACTCTGCCCTCTGCCCCCGCTGACCCCAGCCCTGCCCGGGCATCCAGATCACCCTGCGCCTGAAGGCCTCTCGCTCCTCCATGGTCAGGCTGTCGGCCCTGGCAATCACGGGCACCACATTCACAGTCCGGCACAGCCGCTGCAGGAACTCAATGTCCAGGGGCCGCAGGCTGCCGGAGGCAGGGCAGTGATGGGGGTGGCGGTGGTGGTGAGTGTATAAACGACAGCAGCAGGGCACGGGGGTGGGGGCAGCCGGCAGCCCATGGTGGGGACCCCTTCTCCTCCTCCCTGCCCCGTGCAGGTGGTCCTCGCCTTGCAGGTGCAGCCCCCTCACCAGTGCCCAGTGGGTGGTACAAAGTACACGCAGCAGTGCACCCGGGTGTCTGGGATGTGGCGCTGGCGGGTGATGAGGATCTCCTCCTGCAGGTACTGCTCGTATTGCTCGTTGATGTAGCCCAGGATGGGGTCCCAGCTGAGGCGGGAGGTGGACCCTCCCCTCAGAACTGTGCTGTGCCCAGAGAGCCCCACCCCTCTCCTCTGTGTCCTCTGGGCGGTCCTCCCTTGGGACGACGAATCGTCCCGGTTGGCCCGGGACCTGTGGGTCACCCCGGTACTTTCCCCCACTTCCCTGCATCATCAGAGACACACAGGGAGACCTCCTGCCATTCTCGGCTTCACTGTCTGTAAAATGGAGACAATAGTAGCACCTACGTTGCAAGTAAGGGAGGGGTGAGCATTAACTGTATTAAAGGGCCACAGCTGGGCCCAAACCACCAAGGAATCGCGCCTGATGGTTGCAGGGGTCTCCCTCCTCCTCTTCGAGTCCCTTCCCCTCTTGGGTATTGTCAACACTGTAAGTAGCCAAACAGATCCTTTTAAAAACAGGTGTCAGGCCAGGCCCGATGGCTCATGCCTGTAATCCCAGCACTTTGGGAGGCGGAGGCAGGAGGATCGCTCGAGCCCAGGAATTCGAGGCTAGCCTGGGCAACATGGGGAAACGCCAACTCTACAAAAAATACACAAATTAGCTCGGTGGGGTGGCACGTGCCTGTGGTCACAGCTACTCAGGAGGCTGAGGCAGGAGGGTCCTTGAGCTTGGGGAGGTCAAGGCTGCAGTGAGCCATGATCTCGCCACTGCACTCCAGCCTGGGAAACAGACTGAGACACTGTCTCTAAATAAATAAATAAATAAATAAATAAATAAATAAATAAATAAATAAAATGAAACCAGGGCCAGGTGCGGTGGCTTATGCGTGTAATCCCAGTGCTTTGGGAGGCTGAAGCAAGTGGATCACCTGAGGTCAGTAGTTCGAGACCAGCCTGGCCAACATGGGGAAATCCCCGTCTCTACTAAAAATACAAAAATTGGGCCGGGTGCAGTGGCTCACACCTGTAATCCCAGCACTTTGGGAGACTGAGGTGGGCGGACCACCCGAGGTCAGGAGTTTGAGACCAGCCTGGCCAACGTGGTGAAACCCCGTCTCTACTAAATAAATTCAAAAAAGTAGCCGAGCGTGTTGGCGGATGTCTGTAATCCCAGCTACTTGGGAGGCTGAGGCAGGAGAATTGCTTGAACCCCGGGAGGCGGAGGTTGCAGTGAGCAGAGATTGTGCCACTGCACTCTGGCCTGGGTGACAAGAGCGAGTCTGTCTTAAAAAAAAAAAAAATTAGCCGGAAATTGCTTGAACCCAGGAGGCAGAGGTTGCAGTGAGCCGAGATTGTGTCACTGCACTCTGGCCTGGGCGACAAGAGCTAGATTCTGTCTCAAAAAAAAAAAAGATCACACAGCCTGGCTGTTCCAGGTCTGGGGTGTTTCCCAAAGGTTGAAGGGGGAGGGGCACGGACAGGAGGGGACAGCCATGGCTTGGCCCCCACCTTTGAGAACCCACCACTTGTTGCGGGCACAGTGGCTCATGCCTGTAATCCCAGCACTTTGGGAGGCCGAGGCGGGTGGATCATCTGAGGTCAGGAGTTCAAGACCAGCCTGGCCAACATGGTGAAACCCCATCTCAACTAAAAATACAAAAAAAATTAGCTGGGCGTGGTGGCGGGCGCCTGTAATCCCAGCTACTTCGGGAGGCTGAGGCAGGAGAATCACTTGAACCTGGGAGGTGGAGGTTGCAGTGAGCCGAGATCATGCCATTGCACTCCAGCCTGGGTGACAAGAGTGAAACTCTGCCTAAAAAAAAAAAAAAAGAGAGAGAACCTACCAGTTGTCATTGTTGATCTGGTCCCCGAAGCCGGGCGTGTCCGTCACCGTCAGCTTCAGCTTCACACCCTTCTCCTCTATGACTGTGGAGGGAGAGCAGAGTCGGGAGAGACTGGACCCAGGTGGGATGGGGTGGGGCAGGGTGGGGTGAGGTGTGGGCAGGGGCTCACTCACCATGGGTCAGTGAATGCAGCTGCAGCGTCTGGGGTGTGGGCACCCCCAAGCCCGGTGGGTTTGACTTCCACACTTTGGACTTGAACAGCGTGTTCACCATCGTGGACTTGCCCAGCCCGCTTTGCCCTGGGAGTGGCAACCGGATGACAGCAGTTAGGGTGGGCGTTTTAGGCAGTTTTTCTCTAACTCTTTACTTTTCTATTTTATTTTTGGAGACAGGTTCTCACTCTGTCACCCAGGCTGGAGTGCAATGATGCAATCCCCGTTCACTGCAGCCTCGACCTTCCCAGACTCTAGTGATTCTCGCACCTCGGCCTCCCTAGTAGCTGGGACTGTAGGCACACGCCACCATACCCAGCTGATTTTTGCACTGCTTTTTTTTTTTTTTTTTTTGAGACGCAGTCTCGCTCTGTCACCCAGGCTGGAGCGCGATGGTGGGATCTCGGTTCACTGCAAGCTCCGCCTCCCAGATTCACGCCATTCCCCTGTCTCAGCCTCCCAAGTAGCTGGGACTACAGGCGCCCGCCACCACGCCTGGCTAATTTTTTTGTATTTTTAGTAGAGACGGGGTTTCACCATGTTAGCCAGGATGGTCTTGATTTCCTGACCTCATGATCCGCCTGCCTCAGCCTCCCAAAGTGCTGGGATTACAGGCGTGAGCCACCACACCCGGCCTTGCACTGTTTTTTAATTTTTAAGACAGGGTCTCAATCTGTCACCCAGACTCAAGTGATCGCAGCTCACTGCAACCTCCACCCTCAGGTTCAAACGATCCTCCCACCTCAGCCCCCCAAGTAGCTGGGATTCAGGTGCATGTCACCATGCCTGGCTAATTTTTAAATTTTTTTTGTAGAGATGGGGTCTTGCTGTGTTGCCTAGGCTGGTCATGAACTCCTGGCCTCCAGGGATCCTTCTGCTTCAGTCTTGCTCTGTCACCCAGGCTGGAGTACAGTGGCGCAATCTCGGCTCACTACAACATCTGCCTCCCAGGTTCAAGCAATTCTCCTGCCTTAGCCTCCTAAGTAGCTCCTAAGTACAGGCGCCCACCACCACGCCTGGCAAATTTTTGTATTTTTAGTAGAGACGGAGTTTCCCCATGTTGGCCAGGCTGTTTTCGAACTCCTGACCTCAAGTGACCCTCCTGCCTTGGCCTTTCAAAGTGCTGGAATTACAGGCTTGAGCCACCATGCCCGGCCTCATTTTTGTACTTTTTGTAGACATTAGGTTTTGCTAGTCTCAAACTCCTGAGCTCAAGTGATCCACCCACCTCAGTCTCCCAAAACCCTGGATTATAGGTGTGAGCCACCGCTCCAGGCACATTTTTGTCTTTTAATGACTCAGCATTTCTCAAATTTTCAATGACAACATCCCTGTGAGGTGCTATTATCAGGCCCACCTAAGAGATGGGGAGGGGCGACAGGCTGCCAAAGGTGAGGCCACACGCCCAGGCACGCGTAGCACTGTGGGTCTGTCCTGCCGTGGGCCCTACCTCTCACTCACCCACCACCATGATGTTGAACTCAAACCCCATCTTCATAGCCTTGATCTTCAGCTGGTCCAGCACAGCCTCAATGCCCACAGGACCAAGCATCTCGCAGGGTGGGGTGCTGGGGCTGGAGGGCTGCGAGGACAGGCAGGGAGAGGGGGAGCGCCTCAGGGGGTCCATGGGGGCCAAGGGTTCGAGATGCCTGTCACCAGGTGGGTGGGGAGAAGGGGGTCACTGGGGCTCAGAGGAGCCCACATTGACCTCTCCTATCTGAACCCCTATTTGAGCTTGGCCGTTGGCCAACCCCCTCCACACTTCATGCCTCTGGTGTACCCTAAGTGCCTGTAGTCCCAGGGGTGTGGCAAGGGTGCCTGTGGGGAGCTGTTTCTGCAGGGTGCCTCAACACCCATCCAGAGAGGCTCCGCTGCCCAAGGGTCTGCCCTGTCCCCACCTACAGCCCAGGCAGGGGCCTCTCAGGTCGCTTCCCCCAGCAGAGCCTGGAGGGCCAGGCAAAGTCCAGGATGGGTGTTTGCAGCCAGGCTGGAGTCCTGGAGGGGCTTCAGGGAGTGTGTATGGGGTGAAGTGGCTCCCGTCCCAGCAGGAAACTTGGGCAGGGGGCTCAGGAGGAGGTGCCCCCACTTTCCCCAGGGGGACACACAGCAGAGTTGATAGAGAGCGAGAAAGACGGCACAGGCATGAAGGTGACGGAGACAGAGAGAGAGAGACCAAGGTCAGGCAGGGAAGATGGCTGGGAGGGAGCGGTGCGAAGAGCCCACGGGGGGCAGAGAGAGAGAGAAGCAGCCTGCTGTGACACCTGGTGGACGTGGGTCCTGGTGGAGCTTCCAGGAGCTGCCTTGTCCTGGCAGGGCCTGGTGTGTGTGATGGGGGAGGGGAGAGGGTGACAGTTAACCGAAGAATCTGAGCTCCATCTGCACTTGCTGTGACCCCCACCTGGAGGCTTCTCTGCAGCAGGAGCAGGAGCTGTTACCCTTCTAATCCCCACAATGACCCCAGCCTAATAATACAATAATCCCCAAGTAGAACCAGGGGCCCAAGGCCCCCTCGTCAGCTGGGCTCCCACCTCCAAGCTGACGCCCTCAACCACTCTGCTGGGGTGAGCAAACCCAGGCCCCACAGCTGGCTAGCGGGATATCCGTGTCCACGATTGGCGCCATGTGTTTTAAGTTGCAGCGTCAAAAACATGAAGAGATTGCTTTAGCAAATATTTACCCAGTCCTGACTCTGCACATGGCATCGTTCTAGGAGCCCAAAGATGTTAACTTGTTTAATAATCAAGCCCTGTGAAGTAAGTGCTGTTACTACCCCAAGCTGATAGATAAGAGAGGGTCAGGTGAGGAGGTGGCAGAGTCTCTGCCGCTCTGAGTCTGTGTGCTCACCCTCTACTGCCTTTTTCTGGTTTACAGAAACATCTAGATTTCCGGTGTATCTTAGAGGTTATCACCCTGACTTGAGATGCCCTCTTTAAATAGGCCATGTGCTTTCCAGACTGTGGTCCTCACCCCTGCCTTACTGTCTCTCTGATAAGCTGTTTCTTTTTTTGTTGTTTGTTTTTGAGACAGCCTCGCTCTGTTGCCCTTGCTGGAATGCAGTGGCGCGATCTCGGCTCACTGCAACCTCCGCCTCCTGGGTTCAAGCAATTCTCTTGCCTCAGCCTCCCAAGTAGCTGGATTACCGGTGTGCACCACCACGCTAATTTTGTATTTTTAGTAGAGAAGGGGTTTCACCACATTGGTCAGGCTAGTCACAAGCTTCTGACCTCAAGTGATCCACCAACCCTGGTCTCCCAAAGTGTTGGGATTAGTGAGCCACCATGCCTGGCCTTTTTTTTTCTTTTTTCCTTTTTTTCTTTTTTTTTTTGAGACGGAGTCTCGCTCTGTCACCCAGGCTGGAGTTTAGTGGCATGATCTCGGCTCACTGTAAGCTCTGCCTCCCGGGTTCACGCCGCTCTCCTGCCTCAGCCTCCCGAGTAGCTGGGACTACAGGCGCCTGCCACCACGCCCGGCTAATTTTTTCCTATTTTTAGTAGAGACTGGTTTTCCCTGTGTTAGCCAGGATGGTCTCGATCTCCTGATCTCGTGATCTGCCCTCCTCGGCCTCCCAAAGTGCTGGGATTACAGGCGTTAGCCCCTGCGCCCAGCCCTTTTTAAAATTTTTTTGAGACACGGTCTCACTATGTTGCCCATGCTGGTCTCAAACTCCTGGGTTCTAGTGATCCTCTCACCTCAGCCTCCCTAAATGCTGAGATTACAGACGTGAACCACCATGCCCAGCCTGATAAGCTGTTTCTTATACCAAGTCCATCTCACACAGTTAATTCTTTCTTGTTTCCTGGTACTTGACTTCACAAGGCTTAGGCATTCCTGTGTCCTTGCTATTGGCAAATGTTTTCTCTTTCTTTTTTCTTTCTTTTCTCCTTTCTTTTCTTTCTTTTTTTTTTTTCTTTTTTGGGACAGGGTCTCACTTTGTCACCCAAGTTGGAGTGCAGAGGCACAATGACAGCTCACTGCAGCCTCGACTTCCTGGGTTCAAGTGATCCTCCTGCCCCAGCCTCCCTAGTAGCTGGGACTTCAGGTACGTAGACCATGCTGGGCTAATTTTTTTACTTTTTGTAGAGATGAGGTCTCCCTATGTTGCCCAAGATTGTCTTGAACTCCTGGGGTCAAGGGGTCCAGCTGCCTCAGCCTCCCAAAGCGCCACCACACTCAGGCTGGCAAGTGTTTTCTGTAAAGGGCCAGATGGTCCCTATTTTAGGCTTTGCTGGTCCTAAGTTCTCTGTTGCAACTACTATGCAACTTTTCATTGCAGTGAGAAAGTCGCCACAGACAATAGGTAAACAGATGGGCGTGGCTGTGTCTAAGTAAAACCGTATTCACAGAAGAAAGGTGGCCGTGGTTCCAGCTTTCCTGAGCCCCAGGCCGACTTCTGCCCTTTGCTGTCCACTACCTTCTGCCAGTTCTTCCTTCTGGGGAACTCCCGCTCCTTCCTGGAGGCTTAACCTTAAAGGCTTAGAGGCTAGGGGTCAGCCAGGTGCGTTGACTCATGCTTGTAATCCCAGCACTTCAGGAGGCCAAGGTGGGCAGATCACTTGAGGTCCGGTTTGAGACCAGCCTGGCCAACATGGCGAAACCCCATCTCTACTAAAAATACAAGAATTAGCTGGGCTTGGTGGCGGGCACCTGTAGTCGCAGCTACTTGGGAGGCTGAGGCAGGGAGAATAGCTTGAACCGAGGAGGTGGAGGTTGCAGTGAGCCGAGATCGTGCCATTGCACTCCAGCCTGGGCGACAGAGTAAGACCCTAGCTCAGTAAATAAATAAATAAATAAATAAGTAAGTAAATAAATAAAGGCTTAGAGGTTAAGGGTGGGCCAGGCAGGGCCCAGGGTGGCAGGGACGATGGGGCACAGCCTGTCCTGGACCACAGTTTGTTGTCCAAGGTGAAATCTTGAAAACCACAATTCCACAGCCCTTGAGGGATTCAGCACGGGGGCCTCTCCCATAAGCAGCTGAGGATGTGGTTAGTGGATGAACAAATGGCTCTGGTGATGGTGACGTGTGGACTGCGTTTGAGCAGTAGACGTACCTCTGGGGATGTCCCCTAAGGAAATGCGCCTCTGTGCAGAGAAAACACTTTCTCCAGGAAAATCCTCCCATGTGAGCGATGGTCTAATTCTGAAAATCGTGGCGGTGAGGGGAGGAGCCTCACTGGGTGCCAGTAGGGACTGCACCATGTAAGTGCCGTCAAAGGAGTAGTTTGCAGAAAGCATGCTGTCATCTGGAAGGTGCTCCCGGTGGTGTTGACTGGCAAAAGCCAGGGAAAAAACGATCTATGCAGCGTGACTATGGTGGAAGAGGACAAAAGCCTGGATGGAATCACACGTCAACACGGCGATAATAGCACAGGGCATTCAGTGCACGTTTCTGTGAGCCTTCCATCATGCTTCGACGGCTCTGACATCGATGATCAGTTCATTTCATCCTCACGACACTGGGAGGAGGTGGATACTATTAACATACCCATTTTACAGATGAGTATACTGAGGCAGAAGGGCTCAGGGAACGTTACTCAAGCTCACACATTGGTGGGTCTTATGGCATGCAATCGAACCTGGGTCCAGAAGTCTGACTCACCGGAACCACTCCCTGCCACAGCCTCCTCCTCCTGTTACTGTCCTGCCTGGGACTGGGCGGGGCTCTGTGACTTTTGTCTTTTTTGTTTTCTGAGACACAGTCTCACTCTGTCACCCAGGCTGGAGTGCAGTGGCGAGATCTTGGCTCCCTGCAACCTCTGCCTCCCGGGTTCAAGTGATTCTCCTGCCTCAGCTTCCCGAGTAGCTGGGATTACTGGCACCAACCACCACGCCCGGCTAATTTTTGTATTTTTAGTAGAGACGGGTTTCGCCATGTTGGCCAGGATGGTCTCGAATTTCTAACCTCAGGTGATCTGCCCACCTCGGCCTCCCAAAGTGCTTGGATTACTGGTGTGAGCCACCGCGCCTGGCCTGACTTTGTCTTTTAACAACTTGGTGGTTTCCAGATCTTCTTTAAGAGATAGATACGACTTTCATAATAGTAACAACAAACATTAGAAACAAGGTACCCAGAGAGACAGGAAGACTGAGGGCCAGAGGGGAGAGGAGGGGACAGTGGGCCTCCTGCCCACCCAGCCAGGCCAAGAGCTGGAGCAGGGGCCACAGTTGTTCCCCTGCACTTTTCTTTTTTTTTGAGACAGAGTCTCGCTCTGTCGCCCAGGCTGGAGTGCAGTGGCGTGATCTCGGCTCACTGCAAGCTCCGCCTCCCGGGTTCATGCCATTCTCCTGCCTCAGCCTCCCGAGTAGCTGGGACTACAGGTGCCCGCCACCACGCCCGGCTAATTTTTTGTATTTTTAGTAGAGACGGGGTTTCACCGTGTTAGCCAGGATGGTCTCGATCTCCTGACCTCGTGATCTGCCCCCCTCGGCCTCCCAAAGTGCTGGGATTACAGGCATGAGCCACCGCGCCTAGCCTCCCCTGCACTTTTTAAATAGAAGTATGTCTGCTGGGCGCGGTGGATCATGCCTGTAATCCCAGCACTTTGGGAGGCTGAGGGGGGCGGATTGCTAGAGCTCAGGAGTTCAAGACCAGCCTGACCAACATGGTGAAACCCCGTCTCTACTGAAAACACAAAAATCAGCTGGGTGTGGTGGTGCACGCTTGAAATCCCAGTGATTCGGGAGGCCGAGGCAGGAGAATCTCTTGAACCCAGGAAGCGGAGGTTGCAGTGAGCCGACATCGTGCCATTGCACTCCAGCCTGCCAGCCTGGGTGACAGCAAGACTCCGTCTCAAAAAAAAAAAAAAAAAAAAGGCCAAGCATCGTGGCTCACACCTGTAATCCTAGCACTTTGGGAGGCCAAGGTGGGTGAATCACCTGAGGTCAGGAGTTTGAGACCAGCCTGGCCAACATGGTGAAACCCAGTCTCTACTAAAATACAAAAGTTAGCTGGGCGTGGTGGCAGGTGCCTGTAATCCCAGCTACTCAGGAGGCTGAGGCAGGAGAATCGCTCGAACCCGGGAGGCGGAGATTGCAGTGAGCCGAGATGGCGCCACTGCACTCTAGCCTCAGCAAAAAGAGCGAAACTCTGTCTCAAAAAAAAAAAAAAAAAAAAAGGGAGGGAGGAGGATTAGAGTCAGAGGAGGAGACGTGAGCCTGGAAGCAGAGGGTGGAGGGATGGGAGACCACAAGCCCAGGAATGCCACCACCCTCTAGAAGCTGGACAAGGCAAAAGATGGACTCTGCCCTAGAACCTTCAGGATGAACACAGCCTGGTCGACCCATTTTAGACTCTGACCTTCAGAACCATAGGGCAATACATTTGTGTTGTTTGAAGCCACAGAGTTTGTGGTAGTGTTACGGCAGCATTGGGACATGGATACATTAGGTGTGTGACGGGCTAATGGCTAAACTTCTCTAGGCCTCCGTTTCCTCATCTGTAAAATGGAAAAAGCAATAATACCCACTTTAGGATTGCTATGAGGAATAAACCAGGTGACACAGCACAGTGCTCGATGCAGAGCCCCACATTAGCTGATATTTTCAAGTAGTAAAATAGAGAAAATAAGGACAGTGAAGAGTCCTAGTACAGCTGGCCTTCCGTATCCACAGGTTCCACATCTGTGGCTTCAGCCAACCACAGACAGAAAATATTTGGAAACAAATCACATCTCTATTGGACATGTACAGACTTTTTTGCTTACTGTTCCCTATACAATGTAACAATTATTTACCTAGCATACATTATATTAAATAAATATATGTATACAATTTTTTCTTGAGATGGAGTCTTGCTCTGTCACCCACGCTAGAGTGCAGTGGTGCCATCTTGGCTCACTGCAGCCTCTGCCTCCTGGGTTCAAGCGATTCTCCTGCCTTGGCCTCCCGATTAGCTGGGATTACAGGAGTATGCCACCGCACCCAGCCAATTTATTTTTTTTGAGATAGTCTTGCTCTGTCACCCAGGCGGGTGTGCGGTGACATGATCTTGGCTCACTACAGGCTCCGCCTCCTGGGTTCAAGCGATTCTCCTGCCTCAGCCTCCCAAGTAGCTGGGATTACAGGTGCCCGCCACCACAGCGGGGTAATTTTTGTATTATTATTATTTTTTGAGATGGAGTCTTGCTCTGTCACCCAGGCTGGAGTGCAGTGGCGAGATCTCGGCTCACTGCAATCTCTGCCTCCAGGGTTCAAGCAATTCTCCTGCCTCAGCCTCCTGAGTAGTTGGGACTATAGGCGCGTGCCACCATGGCCGGCTAATTTTTTGTATTTTTAGTAGAGATGGGGTTTTACCGTGTTACCCAGGATGGTCTTGATCTCCTGACCTTGTGATCCGCCTGCCTCGGCCTCCCAAAGTGCTGGGATTACAGGCATGAGCCACCACACCCGACCAATTTTTGTATTTTTATCTTTTTTTTTTTTTGAGATGGAGTTTTGCTCTTGTTGCCCAGGCTGGAGTGCAATGGCGTGATCTCGGCTCACCACAACCTCTGCCTCCCGGGTTCAAGTGATTCTCCTGCCTCAGCCTCCCTAGTAGCTGGGATTACAGGAATGTGCCACCACGCCTGGCTAATTTTGTATTTTTAGTAGAGACATGGTTTCTCCACGTTGGTCAGTCAGGCTGGTCTCAAACTTCTGGCCTCAGCTGACCCGCCTCTGCCTCCCAAAGTGCTGGGATTACAGGCGTGAGCCACTGCGCCCGGCCCAATTTTTGTATTTTTAGTAGAGGTGGGGTTTCGCCATGTTGGCCAGGACGGTCTCAAGCTCCTGATCTAAGTAAGTGATCTGCCCAACTTGGCCTTCCAAAGTGGTGGGATTACAGGTGTGAGCCACCAGGCCAGGCCAAATATATTAAGTATTATAAGTAATCCAGAGATGATTTAAAGTATAGAGTATATGCACAGGTTATATGCAAATACTGCCTCATTTTATATCAGGGAGTTTATAGCATCTGTGGATTTTGGTACCCACGGAGGTGCTGGAACCAATCGTTGAGGATTCCAAGGACAACTCTATGATGCAGGCACACCTGTCCTAGCTGCTCAAGGGTCGTGGGATGCAGGTAGGTTTTCTCCCCCTTCCCCCTCCCTCCCACCCACCTTCTCTCCCATCTCTCTCTCTTTCATTCACGAAGTCAGCAGTGGCCAAGCACACAGGTGTTCCCAGCTGCATATCTGGGATACTGAGGAAAGGTAAGAAGTCTCAGGAGTGAAGAAGCCACAGGCCGGCGTCTTCCTCCCTGGGCCTCCAGCAGTGGGGAGCCAGGGAGCGCACCTGCTGGGCCTGGGCCCTCTCCCCTGGGCTGGGCGGCCTCTGCTGGCCCTGGGGAGGGCGGGGCTGGTTGCCAAGGCCTCAGGTGGTGTGGAGCCGGAAGCAGGAAGCAGCCTGTGCTCCCCAGGACCTGCCTGGTTGGGGGAATTGGAGGCTTCTAGGAGGTAGGTGGGGGCCTGGGGGCTGGGCTGCCAGGGGGAGAGAGAGGGGAGATGACAGTGGCTGGGGAGAAGGTTGTCAGGGTAAGGACCACAGGGCTGGGCAAGGAGAGAAGCTGGGCCTGGGGCCGAGGGAGAAGTGGAGTGGGAGGGGGTGGGGAAGCTGGCGCTGGGCCAGGAGCGGGCAGTGGCTGGGCTGTGGGAAGCCTGGATGTGGTCCCCGCTGAGCTGAGCCCAGGATCCTGATGCAGCCTCTGGGGGACCGGGGCAGGTGGCACGGTGCACGCCAAGATGGCTGTGTCCACAGAGGAGCTGGAGGCCACGGTTCAGGAAGTCCTGGGGAGACTGAAGAGCCACCAGTTTTTCCAGTCCACATGGGACACTGTTGCCTTCATTGTTTTCCTCACCTTCATGGGTAAGTGTGGCTGTGGCCTCTGGGTCCTCCCAGCCCCCTGCCCTGGGCTCCAGGTTGGGGCCACACCTGGACGCCTGTCCTGTCCCCAGGCACCGTGCTGCTCCTGCTGCTGCTGGTCGTCGCCCACTGCTGCTGCTGCAGCTCCCCCGGGCCCCGCAGGGAAAGCCCCAGGAAGGTGAGCCCCTGGAAGGTGAGCCCTGCCGGCCTCTGGGACCTGCACGGAACTGTACTGGGGGTGGAGGCGGAAGGTGAGGGGAGTGGCGGGAAGGGTGCTCATCCCCCTAGGGAACAACGAGCGAACCTGCTTGGTCCCGCTGTGCTTCTCGTGCAGGAAAGACCCAAGGGAGTGGATAACTTGGCCCTGGAACCCTGACCCTGTGTCTCCTGCCCGGTGGCAGTAACAAAGCCTTCTGTCTGCCCAGAGCCTGAGTCTGCAGTGTCTTCCAGTCCCCGTCTGGGTGGGTGACGCGGGACTCGCCGCCCCACTCAGGTGGCCACCTGGCCTCTCCAAGCCTTCAGTCAGCACGACTGTGCCAGGTCATCCTCAGTCACCTAGCTGGGAGGGGAGCTGGTCTCAGGCCGGGCGCGGTGGCTCACACCTATAATCCCAGCACTTTGGGAGGCCGAGGTGGGCGGATCACGAGGTCAGGAGATCGAGAACATCCTGGTTAACGTGGTGAATCCCCGTCTCTACTAAAAATACAAAAAATTAGCCGGGCGTGGTGGCGGGCACCTGTAGTCCCAGCTACTCGGGAGGCTGAGGCAGGAGAATCACTTGAACCCGGGAGGCGGAGCCTGCAGTGAGCCGAGATCGCGCCACTGCACTCCAGCTTGGGCGATAGAGCGAGACTCCGTCTCAAAAAAAAAAAAAAAGACTCGGTGGCCCAAAGTCCCAGGTAGAGCTCTTGTCGCCACCCCATGGGCTTCTTGGCAGCCCGAGGGTCCCCTCTCGACAGTAGGTTCTGTGCCCTGCCCTGGCATGGCACAGGGAACGCGGAAGCCAGGCTCCGGGAATAGGGGAGACGGCTGGCTCCTGAAGCTCATGGCCACTGACTACCAGAGACCCCCTGCCTGGGTTCCCACTCAGACAGACAGACAGGGGCTCCAGGTGGAGTCTGATGATCTTTATTTCTTAGACAGCCCTGGACTGGGGCTATGAAACACAGTCACCAGCACTATACTCACTCCTAGGGTGGCTCTGTCTGTGGCGTTCCTCACCATCCCCGGGACTCATAGCTCAGTGCCACCCCCCGACACCATGCCCTCCAGGGGGAGGGGACAGCGAAGGGGAGAGGAGGGAGAGCCCTGCGCCTGGCCCTGTCCTGAGTCCAAAGATTCCCATGGTGATCAGAGGGCGGTGTTGGGAATGTGGGACACCCTTGGCCCCGCCTCCCTGACCTCCCCACTACCCCACCAAACCAGCCTTCCTTCCTCCTGGCACTTCCAGTGTCCATTCCCGGCAGTGCAAATGTGTTAGGTGGGGTAGGGGGTGGGATAGGGAGATAAATAGCAGCCTGGCGTTGGCACTGGCTGGTGCTCTGTGGTGGGTATGAGTAGGGGACGGGGCCGCCTTCCTGGAGACAAGCTCCTGGGTGCTGTGATCAGAAGGGTCTGTAGCTCCAGTAGCTGGAGAACACGGAGATCTGCAAGGGGAGAGGGTGCTGTAGGTTGCTGAAGGGGGATGGGGTAGCCCAGGGGAGATGTCAAGGTCACCCAAGGACAATATGTCAGGACAGGGCATTGCTGCCTCGCAGTGCTGTGGGGTACACCAGACCCCAAGGTTGGGGCGCTCTGAGGGTGTGGCAAGGACCCTTAGAAGTCCTTCCCCTAATGAAGGCGCTCGGCCCGGGCCCACCTTGTCCTTGAGCTGCTGGCAGAGCTGCAGGGAGACGGTGAAGTAGACCAGGGCGTCGTTGAGCCAGGGGATCACGCACTCCACTTTGTGCACGTGGCTCACCTCCAGGCGCTGAGAGCCCCACTCGCTGTGGGCAGTGAGAGGGTCCCTGAGGAGGGTCCCGGCCCTCCAGGTGTGGAGGGATGGGGTGGGCGTGCCTGGACCCCCCGCCCCTGCCTACTTACAACATGGCCCCAGGGCTATGCAGCACCGCGCCCCCAGCTGGGCGGAAGTTCTAGGGAGAACAGCACCAGACCCGTCAGGCCTTGCAGGGCGTGTGCATGGCGGGCAGTGGGCCGGGCAGGGGTCCCTCCTCACCTTGGTGGAGTTGGGCTGCAGGGCATGCAGCTGGTACACCGTGAGGCAGAGCTTGTTGAGGTTGATGTAGACGTTGACCAGCAGGTCGGACGGCAGGGCAGGGGCGAACATCCGCTGCGGGAGGCAGGTGGGATGAGGCCCTCGCAAGCCCCCAGCCCAGGCTGGATGGAGCGGGGCTCTGCAGTCACTCATGGAGTCTGCAGGGGATCCCAGTCCCCACCCCAGAGATGCTCTTCTCATCAATGGGGGCTTCCAGACTTTTCCCAGGTGCCCCAAGTATCTCCTGTGCTGTCAGGTTTGGGAACCACTAACCCGAAACAGGGTTAACGTATTTTAGGGGCACAGGACGGAAGCCAAGGACCCCATCCCAGAAACCTGCCTAGACAGAATATTCCACCTATAATCTGGGAGTGGCACCCCTCCGCGTCCATCCTGAGGGCAAGCTGGGACCCACTGTGGGACCCCTCTCCTGCAGCAGGGGCTGGCAGGGGCACTGACCGTGAGGCCGCTGGCGGCGATCTCGGGGAGGGTGAGGGTGGCGGGGGTGGTGAGCCGGTTTCGGGCTCTGGTCAGCTGCAGCATCACTGCGTCCATCAGCTGCAGGGAGAGGCGGGGTTGGCTCTGCGTCCTCCCGTGTCCCCATGCATTAAGGAACAACAGACATGGTAGCTCCCACTCCCACCCAGCCCAGTGGCTACTGTTCCCAGGTCCCGAAACCCGGCAGCAGGGACCTGTTAAAGACAGGTAGTTGGGCTCCAGCTGGGTATGGAGGAGGGCAGGATGTCTGCACTAATGTCAGTCGGGATGGGGCTGATTCACTGCACGGGGATCCTGGGTGCTGGATCAATGGGGAATGGAAGGTCCTGGGAGGTCAGTCCCAGGGGCACAGGCTTTGTGGACAGGGGTACAGGCAACAAAGGTTGGTTGTAAAGGGCCAGAGAGGGCTTCCTGGAAGAGGCGATGGATGACTGGGTTGAGGTTTTCAGGGGGGTAAGCCAGGGTCACGGCTGATGGATGGTGGGACCACCTGGAGCCCATTCCTTCCCTTTGCCGTGGAGCAGAGCCCTGGCAGACTCCTCAGAGCCCCAGCTTTCGTGCCATTCAGCCGTGGCCATGAGTACCAGGGTGATGTGGCTCCCAGGAAACACGTAAGAGCTGACTGGGGGTATAGGGCCTGTAGCACCCTAGGGTGGTTACAGTTCTCGAAGGGATCTTAGTCTATCTGGTTCTAAGTGTGAGGAAACAGAGGTCCAGAGAGGGCAGGTGAACCACCGGAGGACACACAGCAAGTCAGGGGCAGAACTCAAGCATGAGGTCAGGTGCCCAGGTCAGCTCTTCACATGTGCCACGCGGTTAATGTGAAGGCTTTCACTGCTGCTACCGGCAGTGGTGTGTGCCGAGTGCTTACTGGGGGCCCCGTGACCTGAATTATTATGGTGAACAGTCACTCCAGCTTGCCCCTGACCCCACAGGTAGAAATGGAGACACAGAGTCGGCAGGTAAGTGCTTACAGGTTGCACAGCTCAACGTGGAGGCCCTGGGATTGGAACCCAGGTGTGATTCCGGATCAAGAACGTGGGACTAGGCCCAGGAGTCAGGCCCGGGGGCAGCTCACCTTGAGGACCTCAGCGCCCGTCTTGAACTGGTAGCTCTGGTCCCGGCTGGTAAGCAGGTAAATGGCTTGGCTCACATGGTTTCTGGCATCCTGGATCTGGAAGCAGGGGTCATCCAGAGGGGTCACGCCAGCTTCCATGCGGCCAGGAGGGGAGAGTGGGTGCTGCCTGCCTGCCCCACGTCATTCCACTCTCCACACTGTCATCCCTGTGCCCCAGAGGGCCAGGTCCACGCCAGGTGATGGGCATCTGGCATCACCTGGGGCAGGCCTGGTCTCTGCCCAAGCTGACTGCCCCCTCCTTTCTAAGGGATGGACACACAGTAATGCCCAAGACAAGAGTCTGTGCGAGTTGCGGAGGGAAGCAAACAGGGCGACAAGGCAGGGGCAAGGGTGCTGAGATGGAGACAGTCGGGGTGGAGGGGGCAGGGGAGGAGGCTGGGGCCCATTGGTACAGGAGCTGCCAGGGAGCATGGGCCTCATCCCCAGAGCCATGGCAAGTCCCTGGAGGCTCTGGGCAAGGGAGTGACTTTTCAGAGGGCTTCTGAACCATCTCATCCAGCCAGCTGCTGTGGGGACTCCACAGTCCCGATGTGGCCCTCGGGGCTCTCAGGCCAGGTTCTCTACCTCCCCACATGGCGCAGCCTCCAGGGCTTCAGGAAACGCCTGCCCCCAGCTTTGCTGTTAGGAAACACCCTCCCAGGCTTGCTGTGGCCACAGATCCCCAGGGCTAGTCCCTCTCCAGGGAGGCCCCGCGGCAGGCCTGCTGCCGCCTGTCCTTGTGGCTGAGCACTAGCCAGGAGGGGCGGGGTCACCTGCTGCAGCTTCCACTGCTTGTCCTCCCGGAAGGCGAAGTGCAGCAGCTGGTTGTTCCGGGGCATCTTCAGGTTCACATCCTGACAGGCAAGAGTGGGGTGAGCTGGGCAGTGGGGGGGCACCTCCTGCCACAGCCACTCTGAGCCCTTAAGCCCAGGGCAGAAATGGGGTGTGTGGTGGTTCAGGCCTTGGCCGCTGTATAGGGCAGAGGGTCTCCCAATGCCTTGGCCGTTTGGGGGTTGAACAGGGAGGTCAGGAAACAGGAAACCAGGCCCAAGAAGAGCCACAAAGAAGTGAAATGGAAAGAGGTGAAGAAAGGGGAAGGGGAAGAGGAAAGGCAGCCTCTGTGAGGCTCTGTGCGAACGGGGTGCATCTAGTGTCTACAAAGGGCAACAGATGGAGCCCAGGAGGGGGGCCTCCCCCCACGCCTTGGTGCCTGGCACAGAGTCGGGTGCAGACTGGAGTTCAGGCATTGGCTGATTCAACTGTGATGTGTGGCCAGCCTAATCCACCAATGCCCATGTTTCACTGGTCCGGACGCCAGGCCAGGCCGTGTGCAAAGAACCCCTCTCCTGCACCTCTTACTGAATCTGCACACCGATCCCGGGAGAAGGTGTGAGGGTTGCTGTCATTTTCCAAAGGAGAAAACTGAGGCCAGAGAGATCAAGGGTCCCGCCCAGAGTCGCAGGGCTTGTACAGAGAGAAAGTGGGAGCTCCCATGCTCTTCCCCATTGGCAGGATGGGAGGGGACAGGGCCGGGGGACTCACCGCCTGGCTGAGGGCATCCCCCTGCAGAGTCAGCACACCCTTCACCTGGTCTGTGCTGTAACATGTGGCGTCAGAGCGGTGCCTGTGGTCACCCCCCCACCACCCAGCCCTCCCTCCCGGCGGGCTGCCCCTCCTGTCCCATCGCACAACCAGCTGGTCTGCAGGACAGGGCTATGGCCATGCCTCCTACCCCCCAAGGTACCCATTTCCCCGGTTTCCGCCTAGCCCAGGCTCACCCACAGCTGCCTAGGATGAAGTTCTCTTGCTTGGCGGGCCCCTCAGTGCCGGAGCCCGGCAGAGTGAAGCGCAGAGAGGCCTCCTGTGGAACAGAGGGAAGGAGGGGAGCTGGTAGCGCCCACTCAGGCCCGGCCCAGTGCTCCTTCCAGAAGCCCCCCTCCCTCCAAGTCAGCGGGGGGAAGGAACAACGTGGCCTGGCCTCACCTGGGTTCAGCTGGGGTGGGAAGACCCTGCCCAAGCCCCCAGGGCACCTAACCGTGAGCCCGATCTCTGCTTATACCACATTCCCTGAACACCTCCTGTGTGCCCGCCTCGGGGAATACAAAACAGACAGGGGCAGCCTCCCAGCTTGGTTGAGGGGGAAAGGGGCAAGGGGCAGAGTCAGGGAACAAGGCAGTAGTTATGGTAACCCGCGGTCCTGGGCCACAGCAAGCACTACGCCGGTTACTTCTGTGAGCTGCCTGGCTCATTTATCTACACCCCAGCCTCGCGAAGCGGGTACTGTTATCTCCCTTTTGCCAATGAGAAAAGGGAGGCCCAGGGAGGTTCAGTGACTTGGCTGAAGTCACACTGCCAGGCAGAGGCAGAATTCTTCGGCTCCCAGATTGGATGCCGCTGCTCCCAAGGCGGCCTTCCCCGACCCGAGGCCGGGCGGGACTCAGGCCCTTGCTAGCACCCTCGTCGGGACCCGCCCCTGCCCGCACACAGGTACTTATATAATGAGGTCGGCTCGAGTTCGCGGAGGCGGGGCCCTGCCTGAAAGCCGCGGCAGCCGCACACTGTAGGCGCTCAGGACGCAGCCGCGCGGCCCCAGGTGGAGCCAGGGAAATGAGGAGGGAGGGCCGCCACGCCCGGCGGGGCAGGGCGCGGGTCGTTACCTTGAGGATGTCCTGCAGCTGCTTCAACACAGCGTGCACCTCGTCGTGCAGCAGCCAGCGGAACTCCTCCTCCTGCGGGACAGACCCGGCGGTCGCGCCCGGCCCCGCCGCCCCGCCGGCCCGCCCGCTGGCCCGCGCGCCTTACCAGCACCGCCCGCTCCGCCGCCGTCGCTGCCATCACGGTGGCCATGGCCGCAGGCCGCCGCCGAGCGCCCTCCCCACCGGCCGCTGCTCCTGTCCACCAATCTTTCTGTCCTCGGTCCTCCGGTCCTCCCGTCCGCCCCCGGCGTCTGGCTCCGCCCCCACCCGATTGGCGGAGCGGGTACCACCCCGCCCCCAGGCCGGCTCCGTGCTCGCGATTGGCTGGCGCCTGTCGGTCCGCCTCGGCCCCCGAAACCTGCGGGAGCCCTGGAACCAGACTGGCGGCTGCGGGAGTGAGGCTCGCTCCGCCTGGCCAGGGACGCGGCCGGCGGCTGCACGAGTCAGGCTTGCTCCGGCTGGCCAGGGACGCGGCCGGCACCAGCCTGGGGCGCCCGCTTGGGGGCGGAGCTCCCGGGGCGCCCCCAGGATATGATAGGGCGCTCTGCTCCACTCGCGCTCACTCATTGGCCGGCAGGACAGTCTGTCCCCGCTCCTCCTCCCTATTGGCCCGCTTGGCTCCATTGGTCGTGGTTCCAACCCTGCCGCGGACCTCGCCGCCACTCCCAAGTCCGTCTCACCCCGGACGCGGAGGTCCCGAAAACCCACCCCGGCCCCGCCGCTGCCTTCTCCTCCCACCCATCTCGCCGAGGACGAGGGAAGCAGGACTCCTGCGGCACAGCTGTGTTACCAAGAAGTGTTTTATTTTTCTTGCAGTAGCTTTGTTAATTGCACAAAATCATGTTTTGTTTTTGCCATTTAAACATTATCACACAATCCTATTCTGAAAGACAAATGTTCATTAAAAACAAAGCAAAAATAAAAATTCACAACCTTAATTACCTAGATTTGTCATTTAAAGGTTTAAAGAAAAAAGGGAGGGGCTTTCTTACAAGCTTTTTCACAAGTGTCACATTTTCTCCTTAAAAGGGAAGGATTTCAAAAGAAAGGTGAAATAGCTTAAACAGAAATATTCATAAAAAGGAACTTTACAGAATTGTCAACAATATTAAGACAAAATTGACTAACCGGTTTCATTACCGCATCTTCCCCCGCCCCCACCCCCAGTGTGTTCCGCCAGGACTAGAACAGGCTTTGTGTTCAGACAGAAATGCTTCAAAATCCCAGTGAAATGAACTGTGCTAAAAACCCGACAGGCATCTTCCCTGCCCTCCCCCCACTCGTCTTCTGCAATCCTCTAACCCAGTTTCTAATCTCTGAAAGGGGCCAAAGCTGTGAGGGGGGAAGGACCCCGCCCTAGTGTGGCCACCCTATATATAATTACATATTGCATCGTAAATGCTGGCCTTCCTTCTGCAAATTATGATTTTGGAAAATCCAACCCATGCAGAGGGATAAAAAACTGACATCCCTTGGGTAACTTTTTTTTTTGCAACATTCCAAGCCCCCCCCGGTCCCCTATCCAAGGACAAATGTAGGGCCTCTAGGATGTCCCAGACCCACCTCGGAGGGCCAGTCAGTTCAGGTAGGTCAGGCCCAGTTCTCTTCCCTCCCGACAGACCCCGGGCCCGGGAAGCACCGAAGACCATGATGCTGGCTGGAGTGAAGACACTCGTTTCCGTATCAAGAGCTGAGCCTAAGAAATGCTCATCGTTGGTCAGGCTGGGTCTGGGCCAAAGGGACAGACAGAAAGAAATACTGTCTCCACGGGAGGAAGAGGGAGAGGAGGGAGGATGGAGAGCGGTGGGCATGCAGGGGACTTGGCAGGGCAGGGTGGAGAAGGTGGGACCACTGGGAGGGGACCGAGGTAAGAGTGGCTCTTCAGAGCCAGGTGAAGAGTCTGTGGCCTAACGGAAACAGAAAGGAGCGCCCCCAACCCCCACTCCTCTTGGCTCATCACTAGTGGCCCTGAGGACTCCCTCCCAAGGGATGGAATGCAAATCCAAATACTAAAACAGCCTAGGGAGGAGCGAGCGCCCGCTGTGGCAGTGGCATCTGGGGCATGGCTTCGAGGCGGTGAGGGCCGGGCCTCCATGCTCACCTGCAGGCCGGCTGCTTGCTGCACTCCCTGGAAAGCCAGGGCCCCATCTTCTCGGGACTCTGCCAGTCTCTTTTCAGTTCACAAAGGCGTCTATGGAGCGCTGGGTGCACACTGGACGCTTAGACGTGAACATCTTTCTCAGCTCATCACCTGAGGTTGGAGGGCCCCAAGGGCCCCTCTGTCTGGAGTCTGTACTGGCTCATCTGGGCCCAAGGCCTCTCCTTGTAGGGAATCCAGTGGGGGATGGGGACATGACTACAGCCTCTTCGCTCTGGGGGAAGCTGTGGGAAGGCTTCCAACTCTCGTTGCTGATTCTAGTTCCTTGACTGGAAGGGGTTTGAGATAAGACAAGCTCGGAAGAAAAAAAGCCAGGCAGCAGTTTCTGGGCAGCTTCTATCCTGGGGCGAGAGCCTGTGTGTGTGTGTGTGTGTGTGTGTGTGTGTGTGTGTGAACACACAGCCACCTCGTCCGGGGGGCCAGTGCCCAGCTCAAGAGCTTTCCCACACGCCAATCCTGCTGACACTTGTCCCCTCCCCACCGGCCTCAGGGGAAGGGTGCTGCTGTGTGCTGTGCTGATGGCAAGTCTCAAAGTCTGTATAAAAGGAAATGGAGATAGGTGGGCTGGTCCAGAATGAACTCCCAGGCCCCCGACCCCATGTGAGGAAGAGGGGGTCAGAGGGGGGATTGGAGGGGTGAGGGCGGGGTGTCGACAGCTTAGTGTATGTAGGCTCGGTACACGGCGGACATATCGTTGTCAGACTGGTCCAGCGCCTTGGCTCTTTTGTACACCTGGAAAAAAAAGAGATGGCTCAGTCTCTGGCCCCAGAGCTGCCTTCAAGACCTAGACCTGATTCCTGGAGGCAGTGGTGGATGTGGCCAGCAGGCAGTGCTGGAGCCCAGGCTGTCCGGTTAGGAATCCTGTGTTGACCTTGCATGAAGCACCTCCGTTTCTCTGGACCTCAGCCACTGTGCTTCTTGCTCTGGGAGAAGGAACAGTACCCGGGGGATCTTGTGAGAATGAAATACACTATGGGATATAAAACATTCAGCATTGGCCGGGCACTGCGGCTCATGCCTGTAAGGCCGAGGTGGGTGGATCACCTGAAGTCAGGAGTTCGAGACCAGCCAGGCCAAAAAGGTGAAACCTCATCTCTACTAAAAATACAAAAATTAGGGCCAGGCGCAGTGGCTCATGCCTGTAATCCCAGCACTTTAGGAGGCCAAGGTGGGTGAATCACGAGGTCAGGAGATCAAGACCAGCCTGGTGACCGTCGTGAAACCCCTTCTTTAAAAAAAAAAAATACAAAAAATTAGCCGGGCATGGTGGCAGGTGCCTGTAATCCCAGCTACTCAGGAGGTTGAGGCAGGAGAATAGCTTGAACCTGGGAGGCGGAGGTTGCAGTGAGCTGAGATCACACCACTGCACTCCAGTCTGGGTGACAGAGCGAGACTCTGTCTCAAAAACAAAAAAAGAGCAAAACTGTCTCAAATAAATAAATAAATGAATAAAAAATAAAACAAGGGCAGATGAAACACCCAGGACACCTATACCTCAGAGTGAGAGTTCTCACACCTGTGGTGCTTCTGCCCCCAGGGGACATCTGGTAATATCTGGAGACATTTTCTGTCACCTGAGGAGGAGCTATGTCACTGGCGTCTGGTGGGTGGGCTACCCAACATCCTGCAGTGCTTGGATAGCCCCCCCACACAGAATGGCAGCAGTGCCGAGGTTGAGAAACCCTGCCTTAAAGGATGAGGGAGAGGAAGGGGGAAAGAAATGCTTCTGTGTGGTTGCAAAGTTTTTACATTTAATGGGAAATGGTACAAGATTAACTGTCTTTTTTTTTTTTCTTGAGACAGGGTCTTGCTCTGTTGCCCAGGCTGGAGTGCAGTGGTAGGATCATGGCTCATTGCAGCCTCGAACTCCTGGGCTCAAGCAATCCTCCTGCCTCACCTGCCTCAGCCTCCCAAGTAGCTAGGAATAGGGTGCTCGCCACCACGCCCAGCTAGTTTTTTATTTTTTTTTGTACAGATGGGGGTCTTGCTATGTTGCCCAGGCTGGTCTCAAACTCCTGGGCTTGCTTAAGCCTCGACCCTGCCTCGACCCTGCCTCGACCTCCCAAAGTGCTAGGATTACAAGGATCACAAGTATAAGCCACTGTGCCTGGCAAGATTAACTCTATCTTAAGGATTTATACCGCAATCTGTAGAGTAACCACTAAAAAAAGAATGCAGAGGCAAAGTAAAAAAGAAAATAGATAAATGAAACTGGAATTCTTTTTTCTTTTTTTTTTTTTTGAGATGGAGTCTTGCTCTGTCGCCCAGACTGGAGTGCAGTGGTGTGATCTCGGCTCACTGCCAGCTCTGCTCTGCCTCCCGGGTTCACGCCATTCTCCTGCTTCAGCCTCCCGAGTAGCTGGGACTACAGGCGCCCGCCACCACGCCTGGCTAATTTTTTGTATTTTTAGTAGAGACAGGGTTTCACCCTGTTAGCCAGGATGGTCTTGATCTCCTGACCTCGTGATCCACCCGCCTCGGCCTCCCAAAGTGCTGGGATTACAGGCGTGAGCCACTGCGCCTGGCCCCTTTTTTTTTTTTTTTTTTTTTTGAGACGGAGTCTTGGTCTGTCGCCCAGGCTGGAGTGCAATGGCACGATCTCGGCTCACTGCAACCTCCGCCTCCTGGGTTCAAGTGATTCTCCTGTCCCAGCCTCCGGAGTAGCTGGCATTAATAGTGCCCGCCACTATGCCCGGCTAATTTTTGGTATTTTTAGTAGAGACTGGGCTTCACTATATTGGCCAGGCTGATCTCGAACTCCTGACCTCAGGTGATCTGCCCGCCTCAGCCTCCCAAAGTGTTGAGATTATAGGTGTCAGCCACCGTGCCCAGCTGAAACTGGAATTCTAAAAAGAAAGTAAGAAAGGAGGAACAAACAAAAGACAAAGACAACGAACAGAAATCAAATGATAAAATGGCAGCCCCAAATTGAACCACATATCAATACAACTACTAAAGGTCAATGCACCAGTTAACCTTCAGAACCTAACCTCTGAACTCCTAACAGTATAGAGTCTAAGCTCATACCATCCAAACGACCTGAAAGCAGCGAGCTGCATTGAGAAATTAACCTAAAAACTCTGCTTCCAAGCCAATGAATCCTGTAGTCAGGGTGGAGGCAACTTGGAAGTCACTTCAAAGAGAAGCTTTCCCAGCCCAAGCCACATGAAACCCTTGGGAAATAACTATAGTCAGAAATGAGCTTTCATCAAAAAAGACTTATAAAATACACAACGAATTCTACTATCCAGAGAGAATCCACTGGTAGAATGAACAGGGGGGACTTGAAATAGTAATGTAATCTGAAAGAGTCATGAAATAAGTACTCTGAAATGTTGAAACAGACAAGAGACAGAAGACAGAATTTAGGAACAAGGCTGCATGCGGTGGCTCATGCCTGTAATCCCAGCACTTTGGGAGGCCAAGGCAGGCGGATTACTTGAGGCCAGGAGTTCGAGTCCAGCCTGGTCAAAATGGTAAAACCCTGTCTCTACTACAAATACAAAAATTAGCCAAGTGTGGCGGTGCATGCCTGCGGTTCCAGCTACTTGGGAGGCTGAGGCAGGAGAATCACTTTAACCCAAGAGGTGGGGGCTGCAGTGAACTGAGATCATGTCACTGCACTCCAGCCTGGGCAACAGAGTGAGACTCTGTCTCAAAAAAAAAAAAAAAAAAAAATACAATTCAGGAACAGAGAATTATACTATGAAAAGCCAGGTGTCAAAAGAACAGTACTGGCTGGGTGCCATGGCTCACGCCTGTAATCCCAGCACTTAGGTAGGCTGAGGTGGGTGGATCACCTGAGGTCAGGAGTTTGAGACCAACCTGGCCAACATGGTGAAACCGTATCTCTACTAAAAATACAAAAAGTTAGCCAGGAGTACTGGCAGGCACCTGTAATCCCAGCTACTGTGGAGGCTGAGGCAGGAGAATCACTTGAACCCAGGAGGCAGAGGTTGCAGTGAGCCGAGATTACACCATTGCACTCCAGCTTGGGCAACAAGGGTGAAACTCGGTCTCTAAAATAAAATAAAATAAAATAAAATAACATAAAATAAAAGTGTATCAGCTGATAGTACTTTAAAAATACAGCTGCTGTTTCACAAAGTGTCATTTTTATTATAATAATATGGTAAAGACAAATGTTTTTCAGTTGTTTTTTTTTTAGATTCAAATTCTATGAAGATGAGCTAAGAAAGCGGAACTTCTACCCTAAAAAGCTTTTCGAAAGTGTATGTGAAGTTGGATACAGTTGTGCACGCCTATAGTCCCAGCTACTCGGGAGGCTGAGGTGGGAGGATTGCTTGAGCCTAGGAAGTCAAGGCTGCAGTGAGCTATAATTGTGCCACTGCACTTTACCTGGGCAAGAGAGTGAGACTGTGTCTCAAATATAAAAAAAGTGCACGTGTTAAGTGCTTAAAACATCATTTGAAAAATGCTAATAGACATGCTAATTAAAAGGCAGATACTGTCAAAATGGATAAAAATCCAAACCCCAATTACATACTGTCTATCAAAGCCATAATTTAGACATAAATAAGAGAGGAAATGGATGGAAAAATATACATACCATGAAAACAATAAGCCTGAGAAGGCTGTAGCAGCTTTCGTTTTTTTTTTTTTTTTTTTGCGATGGAGTCTCACTCTGTTGCCCAGGCTGGAGTGCAGTGGTGCGATCTAGGCTCACTGCAACCTCCCGCCTCCCAGGTTCAAGCAATTCTCTGCCTCAGCCTCCTGAGTAGCTGAGATTAAAGGTGCCTGCCACCATGCCCAGCTAATTTTTTGTATTTTTAGTAGAGATAGGGGTTTCAACATCTTGGTCAGGAGAATGAGACCATCCTGGCTAACACAGTGGAACCCCGTCTTTACTAAAAATACAAAAAATTAGCCAGGCATGGTGGCAGGCGCCTGCAGTCCCAGCTACTCAGGAGGGTGAGGCAGGAGAATGGAGTGAACCCGGGAGACGAAGCTTGCAGTGAGCCGAGATCGTGCCACTGTACTCCAGCTTGGGTGACAGAGCGAAACTCCGTCTCAAAAAAAAAAAAAAAAAAAATCATACAGGCAGCTGGTTGTGGTGGTTCATGCCTGTCATCCCAGCACTTTGGGAGGCTGAGGTGGACGGATCACCTGAGGTCAGCAGTTCAAGCCCAGCCTGGCCAACATGGTGAAACCTCATCTCTACTAAAAATACAAAAATCAGTTGTGTATGGTGGTGTGTGCCTGTAATCCCAGCTACTCAAGAGGCTGAGGCATGAGAATCGCTTGAACTTGGGAGGCAGAGGTTGCGGTGAGCCGAGATCGCGACACTGCACTCCAGCCTGGGCGAAAGAGCAAAACTCTGTCTCCAAAAAAAACAAAAAAACAAAAAACAAAAAAACAAAAAAAACCCAATACAGGGCAGGGCATGTTCTTTGATCATAGAGCAGTAAGTTAAAAATCAATAATCATTAGATATCTAGGAAAACCCAAACACTAGATAAACTTTTAAGTAATTCATGGATCAAAGAAGAAATCAGAAAACAAATTAACACGGATTAGTGGACATTTAAAGATTTATATACTCATGTTATAAAGAAAGCAGGATTAAAATAAATGATTTAAGATTCCACTTTAAAGGGTTTGAAAAAGAACAAAGAGGCCAGACACAGTGGCTCACACCTGTAATCCCAGCACTTTGAGAGGCTGAGGCAGGTGGCTCTCCTGAGGTCAGGAGTTGGAGAACAGCCTAGCCAACATGGCAAAACCCCATCTCTACTAAAAATACAAAAATTAGCAGGGCGGGTTGGGGCACGCCTGTAATCCCAGGCTACTTGGGAGGCTACTTGGGAGGCAGAGGCACAAAAATCTATTGAACCCAGGAGGCAGAGGCTGCAGTGAGCTGAGATCACACCACTGCACTCCAGCCTGGGCGACAGAGTGAGACTCTGTCTCAAAAAAAAGAAAAAGAACAAAGAAAAGCTAAACTAAGTAGAGGGAAGGAAACGATAAAAGAAAAAGAAACTTGGCCAGGTGTAGTGGCTCACACCTGTAATCCCAGCACTTTGGGAGGCCGAGGCGGGCAGATCACGAGGTCAGGAGATCGAGACCATCCTGGCTAACATGGTGAAACCCTGTCTCTACTAAAAAAAAAAAAAAAAAAAAAAAAAAAAAAAAAATTAGCCGGGCGTGGTGGCAAGAGCCTGAGGCGACAGAGCAAGACTCTGTCTCAAAATAAAAGAAAAAGAAAAAGAAAAAGAAACTGAATGGCTGGGCGTGGTAGCTCATGCCTGTAATCCCAGCACTCTGGGAGGCAGAGGCGGGTGGATCACCTGAGGTCAGGAGTTCGAGACCAGCCTGAACAACAAGGAGAAACCCCATCTCTGCTAAAAATACAAAAATTAGCTAGGCATGGTGGTGGGCACCTATAATCCCAACTACTCAGGAGGCTGAGGCAGGAGAATTGCTTGAAACCAGGAGGCGGAGGTTGCATTGAGCTGAGATCGCACCAGTGCACTCTAGCCTGGGTGACAGAGTGAGACTCCGTTAAAAAAAAAAAAAAAAGAAAGAAAAAGAAACTGAAGGGCCTTGGGGCTTGGGCCACATCTACCCTACCTCATTTGCTGCAGCTGCCATGGGAGTCGGATGGTTGACCGCATCACCCAGCGCAATGGCTAAGCGGAGATCCTTCTGAATGTATTTCAGGTAGAAATCAGGCTTAAAGTTTCCTTGCAGGATATCTGAGGAGAAAAAGCCAGTATCAGACAAAAGCCAAGGACCTGAAACTAAAAACTACTTACGGTCCACCAGGTGTCAGTACCTAAAACATACTCAGGGCTCAGTTCCACATAGCCTAGGCCTCTTGGCTCCTCACTCACCCTTAGACACCTGAGGGCTGCAGCTCCCAGCCTATATCCCCAAATCCCGCCCACTGTGTTTCTGAACCTCCTCTGGCCAGGGTCAGGGACTGACTGGGGAGGGGCATCTTTCACGCTCACTAAATCCCTGACCTAGTACCCTGCTCTAATCAAACACCAAATGCAAGAAGAGGGGCCAAAAACAACTCACTTTGGCACTTCTGGTCCAGGAAGATGCTGGCCAACTGTCCCTGATTGAGGATGTCCAAGAGTGTCTGCTGGGACTGGCCTGTCACCTGGGCCAGGGTCAGCCCCTCGGCAATAGTGGCCATGAAGCTCCCTTGGACCATGTTCACGATCAGCATCATCTTGGCTGCATTGCCCACTTCACCTGCCCAGGGTAAAGACTCACGGTCACAGCCCAAGAATGCCACAGACAGGGCTTCTCTGTCCACCCTCACCTCTGCTCAGACCCACCTCTCTCCAGGGGAGGCCCCCTTCACCTGCCCCCGACAGACTGGCTCTTCCTCCTTCCACGCACTGACTATGCAGGTGAAAGGAAACCTTCCCCAGGGTCCCCGGCAGAAAGGCCGTGTGGGACTGACGCTGTCATCAGTGTGAAACAGAGGAGATGTGGCCCCAGGCTCCAGGCCTGACAGGTGCAGGCGTGTTACCTAGGAAGAAGGAGGTCTTCCCCATCGCCTGGAAGCAGCTGCTGCAGTCCTCATATAAGCCCCTGTCTCCAGCCGCTAAGATCACCAACATCCCGTCATTAGACAGCTGCTGATTCCCTGAGACGGGGGCTTCCAGAAAGCGCCCCCCCCTGGACACAATCACCTGGAAAGAAAAGTCACAGCTTCTGGAGGCCTCCCCTCTCCCAGCGCTCTCTGGGCAGGACTCAAGGAGTGTTGCTGAGTGGCCACGGCTGCTCATCACCTTCCAGAGCTGGAGGGGACGGCCACCCATACCAAGGTCCTTTAGCTGACACCTAAACTCAGGAGCTAACCATGTGCAGGTCACACAGGCCGAATCACAGCAGTGATGAGACGCTGGGGTCTCCACACAGGAACCCAACTGACTTGGAATTTTTTTTTTTTTTTTGAGGTGGAGTCTCGCTGTCGCCCAGGCTGGAGTGCAGTGGAGCGATCTCGGATCACTGCAAGCTCCGCCTCGCGGGTTCATGCCATTCTCCTGCCTCAGCCTCCCGAGTAACTGGGACTACAGGCGTCCACCACCACGCCTGGCTAATTTTTTGTATTTTTAGTAGAGACAGGTTTCACCATATTAGCCAGGATTGTCTTGATCTCCTGACCTTGTGATCCGCCCGCCTCGGCCTCCCAAAGTGCTTGGATTACAGGAGTGAGCCACCACGCCTGGCCGGAATTTTTTTGTTTTGTTTTTTTGAGACAGAGTCTTGCTCTGTTGCCCAGGCTGGAGTGCAGTGGCGCAATCTCAGCTCACTGCAAACTCTGCCTCCCGGGTTCATGCCATTCTCCTGCATCAGCCTCCTCAGTAGCTGGGACTACAGGCAACCGCCACCATGCCTGGCTAATTTTTTTTTTTTTTTTTGAGACGGAGTCTTGCTCTGTTGCCCAGGCTGGAGTGCAGTGGCACGATCACAGCTCACTGCAAGCTCCGCCTCCTGGGTTCATGCCGCTCTCCTGCCTCAGCCTCCCAAGTAGCTGGGACTACAGGTGCCCGCCACCGCGTCCGGCTAATTTTTTTGTATTTTTAGTAGAGATGGGGTTTCACCGTGTTAGCCAGGATGGTCTCGATCTCCTGACCTCGTGATCCGCCCACCTCGGCCTCCCAAAGTGCTGGGATTACAGGCGTGAGCCACCGCGCCCGGACTGGAATTTCTTAGAGACCAACAACTAGAACCAGATGTGACCATGTCAATGGCTCGGCTGAACACACACCTCCCCTGTGGATGCTGCCCTCCCCTCAGAACATATGTGGGTCCCAAAGTCCCCACTCCCTTATTTGGGCCAGATGCTCGGGGAGGAGGGATGCTTTGCCAGTGTCAAATGCAGACAGCTGCTCAAACCCCAATGCCAGGCGGGCGGCCTGGGTTGCTTCTCATCATAAGGCTGGCAGCTCCAGGACTTGATGCCCATCCCAGCCATGCAGCGACTGCCCATGGCTGTTCAGACTAGCTGCGGTTTGAAGGTGGAGCACGGGATAGGCTAGTCCCAAGGCTACTCGCCTCTCCTCTTCCCTCTCTGGCTTTGGCTCTAGAGTAACTTAACTGCCCACTCTTGTAAGCCTGGGTCTTGGGCTCTGATAGAAAAGATGCTGGAGAGCCAGCCCAAGGAAGGCTGCTACCTGGGCCAGCTCAGTGACGGTGTCAGCGTCCACTGTTGACATGTCCACGTAGCACTTCCCAGGGCGGATCCCTTGCAGCACACCACTGGGGCCCAGCACCAGCTGTGGGGACACAAGGGAGAAGCAATAGCCCAGGCTCCCGGGCAGATGCTCAGGAGCCCTACAGACCTCAGATCAGAATCCTGCTGCTGTTTTGGCTCATTTCCTGATTTCTATCAGCTGAAAAGGGAAGAACAATGAAATAAGCAAGGGATAGAAAAGTACTTCCCGCATGCTCCCATTTATCTTTAAAAAGAATCTATGTGAGTGTGTGCATTTCTTTTTATTTAAAAAAAAAAAAAAACAAACCCCATTTAAAAGAATAAACCTCAGCATTTACTTTGGGGACTTCTTTGGATTTACTTGGATTAGGCTAGTCACCAGTTTAATAAGATGACTACCACACTTGAACTTCTAAAATATACAAATACAGTGACAGCTAAACATAGAAGCTTGGCACCTGGACCAAAGGCACATTCAGTTCCAAAGCTTCTAGTTCAACAAGAACACATGAAGCCTGTTCAAGACACATTTCAGCACAGACTTCAAGGGCCCTAGTAGTGTTCATTCTTTGATCTGAATTAAAGGAAGTCTGTATTCAATTAATGCAAACACCCTTCACAATGGGAGATGGCCCCTGATGGGAAATTCAGCCCCCCACATGTGGACACTCACTTGGTGTGCAGGGGAGGAGGGGAAGAGGCCAGCCAGCAATCCTGGCTGTGACCCGGAGTTGCTGAGGGGAGGGAGGGGGTCCTTACGTCCTTGGCCGCCTTGGGATCCGACACGCAGGCGAAAGTGATGTCGCAGGTTGAGACGACTTCAGCGGGGGTTCTTCCCAGACGGGCCCCCTCCTGGATGAACAAATCACACTGCAAAAGTCACAGATCCTAACGTGAGCTGCAGGCAGTGCACAACAAACATGCCAGCCAGGCCAGAGAATTGCTGACCAGGCCTCCTGGCGGCCTACCAAGGCAGGAGGCTGAGGCCGGGAGCCTGGGTCATGGAGATAGGAGCCCAACTTTTGGGGAAGTGCACGGGGCCTTTTACTGGCCATCTTCAGTTTTTGCATGACGAGTGCCTAGGATGATGAACTGCTTCACAAGTGTCTGCTGAAGGTATGCTGTTTCAAGAATGGGGTATGAACAGTAGCACCTCTCCCCAGCCCCCGCTGTGCTGTCCTGGCTGTGGCCCTGAGCTATCAACACTCTGCTGGGAATGTGGGGATGTCGCTGGAAGCCTTCCACCTGGTGGCCATTCGTTTTTGGGTTGTTTCTCAACACTGTTGTCAGGTTAATAAGACTTCTGGAAGTGCCTAAAAACACTACCATTTTGGCTTTTTTTTTTTGAGACAAGGTTTTGCTCTGTCACCCAGGCTGGAGCACAGTGGTGCAATCATGGCTCACTGCAGCCTCAACCTCCTGGACTCAAGTGATCCTCCTGCCTCAGCCTCCTGAATAGCTGGGACTATAGGTGCATGCCCCATGTGTGATTTTTTTTTTTTTCTGTAGAGACAGGGTTTCACCATGTTGCCCAGGCTGGATGGGCCTACTATTTTCTATCAGACTTTTAATGTTGTTTATGATTCACATTTATCTATATTGTTGTCTTTCATAATTCTGGCATAATTATGGTTTATAGTGGTTGACTATGGAAAACTTCACTGAGAGATATACTGTGATTTACCTAATGGCTGACCTGTAGTTTGACACTTAGCCCACTTTCAATTGTAAAATCACATCACCAAACATCTTTACGTACAAAACTTCTCTATGTTTTAAATTCAGGTCTCCACAAATAGAATAAAACAGGTTCTAAAAGTTTTAAGGCTCTCAACAAATGTAGACAGATGACTTCCCAATGAGACTATGTCACTTCATAAAGATCACCAGCAAGCTCTCCTATTATGCCAGTACCAAGTATGTAATTTAAAAACTACAAATAAGTGCCCATAAATACATGTAAAATTCTTCCTACCTGATCATTTAACCAGTCAAAAAAGGCAACTGTTTCATTTTTTTTTTTTGAGACAGAGTCTCGCTGTCGCCCAGGATGGAGTGCAGTGGCACGATCTCAGCTCACTGCAAGCTCTGCCTCCCAGGTTCACGCCATTCTCCTGCCTCAGCCTCCCGAGTAGCTGGGACTACAGGCGCCCGCCACTGTGCCCGGCTAATTTTTCGTATTTTTAGTAGAGACGGGGTTTCACCGAGGTCTCGATCTCCTGACCTCGTTATCCCCCAGTCTCTGCCTTCCAAAGTGCTGGGATTATAGGCATGAGCCACCGCACCCGGCCTTGTTTGATATATTTTAATTACTCCTGATTACCGAATATTTTTTATGCCTTTGTTTCCTCTTTTGTGAGCCATTTTTTTGTCCTTTTTCTTTTCTGAGACAGGGTCTTGCTGCTGCCTAGGTGGGAATGCAGTGGTATGATCACAGCTCACTGCAGCCTCTACCTCCTGGGCCCAAGAGATCTTCTGGCCTCAGCCTCCCAAGTAGCTGGGACTATAGTAGGCAGGTGCCACCTCACTCAGCTAATATTTTATTTTTTGTAGAGATGGAGTCTCATGTTGTCCAGGCTGGTCTCAAATTCCTGGACTCAAGCAATCCTCTTCCCTCAGCCTCCCAAGGTGCTAGGATTATAGGTGTGAGCCTATTCTTAGATCTAAAATTATTAATTAGCACCCTACTAATTTTTTTGTCTTAATTATCAAACTATGTTTAATAAAAGCAACATATTACCCTTCTTACGTATTTGCTACAAGTACTTCTAGTTGGTATTCCTTTGAATTTTATTTTTTTGTTGTTGGGGAGTATTATCAAAAAAAATCAACTGATCTTCTTGTGTGATTTTTATTAGTTCTAGATTTACAAAGATCTATGTTAGTATTTATTTTCTTCTGGTTTTCTTTTAAAAAATTACTTGTGGGCCAGGCACAGTGGCTCACACCCGTAATCCCAGTATTTTGGGAGGCCAAGGCGGGTGGATCACCTGAGGTCAGAAGTTCGAGACCAGCCTGGCTAACATGGTGAAACCCCTTCTCTACTAAAAATACAAAAAATTAGCCAGGTGTGGTGGCGCGCGCCTGTAATCCCAGCTACTTGGGAGTCTGAGGCAGGAGAATCACTTGAACCTGGGAGGTGGAGGTTGCAGTGAGCCGAGATTGTGCCATTTTTTTTTTTTTTTGAGACGGAGTCTTGTTCTGTTGCCAGGCTGGAGTGCAGTGACACGATCTCAGCTCACTGCAACCTCTGCCTCCCACATTCAAGTTATTCTCCTGCCTCAGCCTCCTGAGTAACTGAGACTACAGGTGAACGCCACCATACCCAGCTAATTTTTGTATTTTCTATTTTTTTTTTTTGAGACGGAGTCTTGCTCTGTCGCCCAGGCTGGAGTGCAGTGGCGCGATCTCGGCTCACTGCAAGCTCTGCCTCCCGGGTTCATGCCATTCTCCTGCCTCAGCCTCTGGAGCAGCTGGGACTACAGGTGCCCGCCACCACGCCCGGCTAATTTTTTGTATTTTAAGTAGAGACGGGGTTTCACCGTGTTAGCCAGGATGGTCTCGATCTCCTGACCTCATGATCCGCCCGCCTCAGCCTCCCAAAGTGCTGGGATTACAGGAGTGAGCCACCGCGCCAGGCAAATGTTTAGGTTTTATAATAACATCCTAAGTTTAGGCATCTACATCTCTACCTGCCTGGACTAAAAGCTTGGCTTCTATTCTATTGCACGCAGAACGCTGAGACAACAGGGGGAGATGTCCACTCTTAGGGTTACCCCAGACTCCACCGATCCAACAGGCACCACCCCTGAATGCTTACTTTCTCTGCAGTGCGGTTCCAGACAGTCACTGTGTGACCCATTTTTAGCAAGTTGGAGACGATTCCACTTCCCATGAGACCAAGGCCCAAAAATCCTATCCTGAAACAGAGAGAGACTGATGAGTTCAGGGTGGAAAGGGAGGGTCACGGTGATGATGATTCCATGCAGCACAAGGCTCGCTCCCTTATACAGCTTGGGGTAGGGGAATTCAGACTGCCAGAAACAGCAGTGGCCAATCTACCTGCAGAGCCAGGGGCGTCATGCACATGGGTCTTCTCTTATGCCATGGTCTAAAGCTGTCCCAGGATGTAAACAGGCATTTTGAAACCCCTGACTGTCACAGAAAAAAGTATGATGTGTATGGTTCAGGGCCAGTCTCCCAGGGCAAAGTCCCCTTGCTGCCCTTTTTTTTTTTTTTGAGACAGTCTTGCTCTGTTCCAGGCTGGAGTGCAATGGCGCGAGCTCAGCTCACTGCAACCTCTGCATCCTGGGTTCAAGCGATTCTCCTGCCTCAGCTTTCTGAGTAGCTGGGATTACAGGCGCACGCCACCATGCCCAGCTAATTTTTGTATTTTTAGTAGAGACAGGGTTTCACCATGTTGGCCAGGCTGGTCTCAAACTCCTGACCTCGTGATCTGCCCACCTCGGCCTCCCAAAGTGCTCGGATTACAGGCGTGAGCCACCATGCCCGGCCTCACACTTTACTTATTTTTTGAGATAGTGTCTTGTTCTGTTGCCCAGGCTGCAGTGTAGTGGTGCAATCATGGCTCACTGCAGCCTCGACCTCCTGGGCTCAAGTAATCCTTCCCCCTCAGCCTCCTGGGTAGCTGAGACTACAGGCATCTGTCAGCACACCTAATTTTTTGTGGAGATGGGCTTTTGCCATGTTACCCAGGCTGGTCTTGGACTCCTGGGCTTAAGGGATCCGCCCACCTCAGCCTCCCAAAGTGCTGGGGTTGCAGGTGTGAACCACTGCACCCGGCTCTGGATACTACTTTAAAGCCCAACAGAATCCACCACAAGTCACTGAAGCACTGTGTTTAGAGCCAGGCAACTTCCTTGACTGCATGAACCAGGACGGCAATTTTCACCTCTCTTTCCCAACTTCAATTCTCTACCCACACCCTACCTTTCCCGTCTTCCCGTTATCAACAGAATGGGCCTTGCCTCTCCTCTCCAAAGCTAAGTCCTTCACCTGAGCTTGGAACCCAATCTTTCCCAGTCCACAAATCCTTCTCCCCATGCCTGCCTTCCCCCAAACCTCTCACTGTTCCCCCAGCCCTTCCTTCCACAGGTCCTTCCCAATCCTTGTGACAGAAGCACTCATTGGCCAGTCTCCTCCACACACATTCACATACTCCGCCTGCTCCTTCCTGCAACCCTGAGAGCTGGGGGCTGGATGCCACTGCTGCTATTTCAACATGCTTTTACGGATGACTTTTAGCTTGCCAAAGTGTCTTTTCTTGATTCTTGTACTTCTTCACCTCTCTTTGCAAGTGACAATGGTGCAAAAGAATGCCTTTCCTCATTTCTGATCATATCATGTTCTTGTTTTTATAGTTTTTAATTTTTATTTATTTATTTATTTAAAAAGAGAGATGGGGGGGTCTTGCTATGTTGGCTAGGCTGGTCTCGAACTTTTGGTATCAGGCAATCCTCTCACCTCAGCCTCCCAAAGTGTTAGGATTATGGGCGTGAGCCACTGCACCCAGCCTTTTTTCTTTTTTTAGTGACAGCATTATGCTGTCTCCCAGGCTGGAGTGCAGGGGGGTGATCATAGCTCACCGCAGCCTCAAACTCCTGGGCTCAAGTGATCCTTCCACCTCAGTCCACCTGAGCAGCTAGGACTATAGGTGCATGCCACCATGTCTGGCTAAGTTTTAAAATTTTTTTGTAGAGACGGGGTCTTGCTGTATTTCCTAGGCTGGTCATGAACTCCTGGCCTCAAGGGATCCTTCTGCTTTGGTCTCCCAAAGTGTGGGGATTACAAGGATGAGCTACTGCGCTTGGCCATGTTTTCAATTCAGAAATTCTCTGACTGCTGGATGTCCCCGGCAGCTCCTCCACTTTGACCCTGTCATTCTTTCCATAGTTTTGGTCTTCTGGAACCATCTCTACAAATGGACCCCTAATCTCAGCTGGAATATCAGCTGCTCACATTCTCCCTGTCCCAGCCTGTATTAAGTAATTTGAATCACATGTTGAAAATGGAACCCACCAACTTTCTCACCAAAATAGACCTCCTTGCTAACTGCTTCAAGTTGTGGCTTAAAAACAAGGAGGTACCTTTTTGTCACTCATTATTTGGGTAGTACAATATTCCCCCATGATTCTAAATCATGACAGGCGAATTCCCTTTCCTTTCTTGGTGTTCTAGGAAGTCCAGTAGACCTGGGATAAAGCTTCTGGATTTTTTTGAGACACAGTCTCGTTCTGTTGCCCAGGCTGGAGTGCAGTGGTGCGATCTTGGCTCACTGCAACCTCCACCTCCCGGGTTCAAGCGATTCTCCCACCTCAGCCTCCCAAGTAGCTGGGATTAAAGGCACCCACCATCATGCCTGGCTAATTTTTGTAGAGACAGGGTTTCACCATGTTGGCCAGGCTGGTCTTGAACTCCTGACCTCAGGTAATCCGCCCACCTTGGCCTCCCAAAGTGCTGGGATAACAGCCATGAGCCACCATGCCCAGGTCAAGGTTCTGGATTTTTAATATGGCAACTGAGAGTCCTTCACACTGTGTCTCAGACAAAATGGAAATGTGGATTAAGGTGGGTTGGGCAACAACAAAACTGGTTGGTTTTGATGCTGGCTTCATACTCTTTTATTAAAAGTTTGACTAATGGGCCAATAAATGTGTTGGGTAAAAACATCAGGACTCTGTCCTCACCCTATCCTGATCATTTTTTTATTTTTATTTTTTTAACACAATCCTCCTCCCCTTTGTTTGCACCTAATATGCCCTTATCTCCTCCACTCTACAGAGACAAGTTCACCAAAAATAACTGGTAGCATTAGTGATTTAAACAGTACAAAAATATCATGTAAAAGATGCACTGTTTTTAGTCTGGGGAAGACCATGTGAAAGGTACAAACTGGAAACTGACTTTAGCTAACTTGCTCCAGAGAACGTGTTTTCCTAGAAAAGGTATCTTTTTGCCAACAAGACTCTGCGGAGGAGACATGCCTACAGAGCAGGCACAGAGGCAAGGCTGGGCGCAAGTTGGGTCTGGGAGCATGTCCAGGATCGCCCCACCCACACCGGGCAGGGTGCAGGACAGCCAGCAAGTGCTCAGTGAGGATCCCCAAGCACTTTCATCTCCCTTCCCCCACCTGCCCCACCATGGCCAATTTTGGGGCCTCATCATGATTCTACTCAGCCAGTGGTTCTCACAGCGTAGCTCTGACCAGCAGCAGCAGTATACCTGGGAACTGGTTAAAAATACAAATTCTTGGGCCCCACCCGGACATATTGACTGAGAAGCCACCTTCCAGGTGACTGTCAGGCACAGGAAAGTCTGAGAACCACTGAGCCAAGTGCTCCTTGCTCTTGAGTTCTGGAGCCAAAAAAATCCCTCAGCTTATGCCCAAGGGAGACCCGACCACAGATTTACACAGCTTTTGACTCCTGTCTTTATCGATAAGAGTTACAACATCCCCCCACCTTTTCCATTCAATGCCAGCAATGGCTGGGACACAACCCTTAAAGAACCCCCCTGGGGTCACCTTCTCCCCACCCTCAGCAGAACCAGAGCCACTGGAGGCCTTTTCATCAAAGGTCCTACTTTTTGTCTGTGGGTGTGATGCTGCCATTCACGGCTGTGCTGTCAGCTGCCTGGATGGAGGTGGAGCCAGTTTCCTACGGACAGGAAGCACACATCATCAAGTCAGTCTGCCTGCAGTTTAAGGCCCCAGGTGAAAATTAAAATGGGGAGGCATGGAGCCTACATACCTCTTCACATATTTTCAACTTCTTCGTGATTGCCTGGTAACAGACAGCTGGCTAATGAAGGAGGAGGAAAGAGACTACTTGTGCTACTGCAGGCTTAACCAGTCTTCATAATAATCCCCTCAAAGGTTAGACCCAAAGTGGGAAGTTAACATCAACTATTTGTTTTATACTTTAGTGAACTCCAAATTTTACACTAGAAAGTTCATACACATTACCTCATTCAAGTCCCCATGCAATTCTACCAGGTCTTTTTGCTGACCATGGTGTTGAGAATAAGAGTCATAAGCTTGGAACCCACATCTATCCAACTCCAAAGCCACAAACTCTCATGAGATCCTAGCACGGCTCAGGCCACCCCATAACCTTGCAGACCTTGGGAGGACCTCCCTCTGCATCCGCAGGACTTGGAGACTACCTCTTGGAGTGAGCTTGAAGATGTGTCTGCCATGCAATTTCATGGGGTGCTGACAGCTTACGATGTTTGGTTTCTGCCCTAAACTCTAAAGGTCACTGTGACAGTCTCAACTACACAGCTGGCTGAGTTTTAAATGCTCTTCTGAGATAGAGTCTCGCTCTGTCGCCCAGGCTGGAGTGCAGTGGCACCATCTCGGCTTGCTGCAACCTTTACCTCCTGGGTTCAAGCGATTCTACTGCCTCAGACTCCCAAGTAGCTGGGATTACAGGAATGCACCACCATGCCCAGCTAATTTTTGTATTTTCAGTAGAGATGGGGTTTCACCATGTTGGCCAGGCTGGTCTTGAACTCCTGACCTCAGGTGATCCACCCGCCTTGGCCTCCCAAAGTGCTGGGATTATAGGCATGAGCCACCATGCCCGGCCTTTGGGTTTATTTATCTTTTTTGAGACAGAGTCTTACGCTGTTGCCCAGTCTGGAGTGCAGCGACGCAATCTTGGCTCACTGCAACCTCTGCCTCCCGGGTTCAAGCAATTCTCCTGCCTCAGCCTCCTGAGTAGCTGGGATTACAGGCACGCGCCACCATGCCCAGCTAATTTTTCTATTTTTAGTAGAGATGAGGTTTCACCATGTTGGTCAGACTGGTCTTGAATCCCTAACCTCATGATCCACCTGCCTCAGCCTCCCAAAGTACTGGGATGACAGGTGTGAGCCACCGCGCCCGGCCTGGATTTACTTTTAATCTTAACAATGCTTGGCTCATTAGCGGGCCCATATGGGGGCTTCTGGGCTAGTTGCTCTGGGCAATACACCGGCAGAGCCTAACTTTTCAGATGGCCAGGCCAGGACCCAGTGGAGGAGCACTCCTTGGCCAGCCCCTGACCAAGGGCCAAGAGCCTCAAAGGCAACTCACCTTCTCTGTTTGGCTTAGCAGGAAATGATGGAAATGAGGATCTGCATCTTTAACAGGCTGAAACCAGAAAACAGTGAAATAAAACCAGTTATCTGCCACCAAAGGTCACTTCCTTCTCCCTGGTAACTGGACTCTCCTCTGGCTGCAACACCTCTGGATTCTGGTCTCTTTTTCACAATTGTCTGGAAACTCTTTTCCCATTTTGGCCTAAGCCTTTTTATAAAAACAAGCCCCATTCCAGCTAGAGGAAAACTGGCTTTAAAGTGTAAAAGAATAGATGATTCTGCTAGGTTGGTACACAAATTATTCCAATGAGCCTGTGGGAAAATATTAACAAGCATACCTGTGCTTTATAAATTCGGTACTCATCAGGCACAGCAGATAACCCAGCAAACTAAGTCACATCTATTCTGGAATTTCAGGGTTTTGGCCTACTTGTGTCTGGTACCAAGCCCTTGGCGATCTCATCTTACTGAGCATATTAACAGAAACAGAGTAGCCACGACAGTGGACCTTCATGGGCTTTCCATAATTATGCCCAGCAACAGGTGTAGCCGCACCAAGGATAATAAAACTAAACATAAAAGTTGTATTTATGGACAATAAGAGGGTGTTTATAAAATATTAGGGGAAAAAAACTTGTGGAATCATCCCACTTTTGTGAAAAAGAACCCTGCCCAAAATAAAAAAAACTAGACATAGGTCTATAATCATGTAAATGAATGCTAAGTGGGCATCCCAAAGGACTGAAATCCGTCACCTCGAGCCTCACAGTGCTCACCCTAGAGGGAAATTTTTAATTTTTTATTTCATAGACTTCTGTACTGTTTTGTAATAATAAATTAAGCCTCACACACAAGAAAGGGACAAAAAAAAAAAAAAAAAGGATCACACAGGAACCTCGCCCTAAGCCACAGCTTGTCCTGCCTGCAGGAGAGCTCCTTACCTCGCTTGCGGTTGGCTGCCATTTAAACGCGGCCATCGGTCCGGCCATCATCCCCTTCACGGTACTAGACTCCGGGATGGTGAGATCCTATAGAGGGAGGGGCAGGGCATTTTAAAATCACATTCAAACCCCAACAAAACCCCTTGCAAGCTCCACAGTCTAAGGGAAAGTTCAAGCCAATCCCCAACCACTGTTCTGATGACCGTCCCTCGGGAGAAACAAGCCAGTTCTTCCCATTAACACAAAGTGAGTCTTTCTTCTCAATTCTGGAAATAATAAAATGTGTACTTATGTCTAAATTTCACAAAGATGGAGGTAATTAGAAAGCCCAAGTACGATCTGCAGTACTGTCTGCAAAGTTTCAGAGTAAATGCCTTATGGTGAATACCAAACATTAAGAAACAGTTGTGGTGGCTGGGCGTGGTGGCTCATGTCTGTAATCCCAGCACTTTGGGAGGCCGAGGCAGGCAGATCATGAGGTCAAGAGATCGAGACCAGCCTGGCCAACACGGTGAAACCCCGTCTCTACTAAAAAATACAAAAATTAGCTGCACCTGTACTCCCAGCTACTCCAGAGGTTGAGGCAGAAGAATCGCTTGAACCGGGGAGGTGGAAGTTGCAGTGAGCCGAGATTGCACCACCGCACTCCAGCCTGGAGACAGAGCAAGACTCCATCTCAAAAAAAAAAAAAAAAAGAAAAAAAAGAAACAGTAGTGGCTTCAGAAGGAATCCGCCATATTTCAAAGAAACGAATAAAACCACATGGGGCTGATGAGATCTGCCCACATTTTACAGCTATCATGACAAAGGCAGAATTAAACTCCAGGGTGGCCAGAGCCCAAGAGCCTGAGTTCTCCTGAGACGGACACAGGAGGACATGGTGAGATGAGAAGCTCCTCTTCATCGATGGCCCGGCTCACCTTCTTCCTGGGCAAAGGGTCCTCTTTCCAGTTTTAACACTGGTCTGGTCCCTCTCGACTGCTCTGATGTTACCTTGCACTCCCTTTCCCCAGTCACTCCCTTCCAGCCACAGTGGCCCTCTTGACACCCCCTGCCTAAACTACTCCTGAGGTTTTCTCAGTCTTAGAAAACGCCTGCTCCATTCTACTAGGCCGATATCTTTAGAGCCCTTCTTGACCCCTCTCTTCTCTAATCCACTGACAATGAATGGGGCTTTACAGTTGGCGATCTGCCCAACCCCTTCTTCTCACCATCCCTGCTACTAATACCTAAGCTCAGGCCACCTGGACAATTGCAAAAATAAATCTCCCTGCTTCCACTCACAGTCTAGTCTCTACACAGCAGCCAGAGTCAGCTACCAAAAGGGCCAATCAGATTATGATGCTTCTTTGCCTTAAACTGCCTTCCAGTCTCACATAGTAAAGCTACGGGCTTCATGAGCATGGTCTACAGGGAGGGTCTTGCAAGTTCTGCCGTCTCCCACCCATCCCACGCCAATCTCCAACCTCAAGTCCTATTTCTTCCCCCGTCACTGCTCTCTAGCTCGTTAGCACCCTGCTGGCTTTCCCCCCCGCACCAAACACACCAAGCATGTGCCTGCCCTGGCACCCTTGTGCTACTTGGAACGTTCTTCTGACAGTTATCTCCTTGGCTCAGGCTCGCTTTGGGACTCTGCTGAAATGTCACCTTATCAGAGTGGCTTCACCTGACCTCTTTTTATGTTTGCCCATAGAACATGATGCTGATGTGGATTATAATGAGAACAAATGCCTTCATAGGGCTTACTATGTGCTAGACATCACAATAAGTCCTATTTTATACATACATTCTCATGTAATTCTTGCCCCTTCATGAAACAGAATTATTATCATCTTCTTTTTTTTTTTTTGAGACGGAGTCTTGCTCTGTAGCCCAGGCTGCAGTGCAGTGGCACAATCTTGGCTCACTGCAACCTCTGTCTCCTGGGTTCCAGCGATTCTCCTGCCTCAGCCTCCTGAGTAGCTGGGACCACAGGCGCGCGGCCACCATGCCCAGCTAATTTTTTGTATTTTTAGTAGAGACGGGGTTTCACCATGTTAGCCAGGATGGTCTCGATCTCCTGACCTCGTGATCCGCCCGCCTCGGCCTCCCAAAGTGCTGGGATTACAGGCGTGAGCCACTGCACCCAGCCCTATTATAATCTTCTTTTACAGAATAGAAAACTAAGGCACACAGAGCTTAAGTAACCTTGCTTAAGGTCACCGAGTCAGTCACTGGTGTGGTAGACACAACTTATTTATTTATTTGGAGGCATAGTCTAGCTGTCACCCAGGCTGGAGTGCAGTGACTCAATTATGGCTCACTGCAGCCTCAACCACTTGAGCTCAAGTGATCTTCCCACCTCAGCCTCCTGGGTAGCTGGGACTACAGGTGTGTGCCACTACGCCCAGCTAATTTTTTATTTTTATTTTTTGTAGATGTATTATTTATTTGCAATTATTTGTTTTCTGTAATTTCTAATTTTTTGTTTTTATAGGGTCTTGCTATGTTGGCCAGACTGGTCTCTAACTTCTGGCCTCAAGTGGTCCTCCTACCTCGGCCTTCCAAAGTGCTGGGATTATGGGAGTGAGCCACTGTGCCTAGCAGACTGACAGAATTTGGCTCCAGGGTCTGTCATATTAGAAGCACATCCTAGAAAAGCAAGAACTCTGCCAGTCTGGCCTACTCTACAACCCATGCTGCCATACAGTCCAGGTTCAATTCTTACTGAAGGAGCCTCGTCTGACTTTTATGCTGCTTTCTCTCCAGGCATTTGGCCTATAGGAGAATTACTCAATAAACATTTGTTGAATGCAGAGGTTTTTGGGGGAAAAGAAAAGGCCCAGCCCAGAGCTGCCCAAAAGAATATTCTGCAATGATGGGCGTGTACTCCATCTGCACTGTGTGATAGAGCAGGCGCCAGTCAAGCGTCACTGTGGAGCATCTCACACAATAGGGTGATGGAGAAGCTGCATTTTAATGTGCATTTAATTTCAATTTAAATGGCCAATTGTGGCTGGGGCAGCACAGCTGTCTTGGGTGGTGCAGCCCTAGGACTCACCTAAGGCCACAATGACCCAATGGAAACAAGGAGGAGGCAGCTTGTAACTCTCAGTTTGGCACTAAGGAAGGGCCCCAACTCCTAAACTTCTGCTCCTCGTGTGAGTATGGGATTTTGGGAGAGTCACAGAACTAACAGCGCTACTTTGATCTGGGTGGGCTGTGCCCAGAGTTCATCCCCAGAAAGAGGGTAGGTGGGCGCTGCTGGGGTGCAGCTCTTACATGCAGGTCCAGACGCAAACCCAGCCTTTCCCTGCCTGCCTCCGCCATCAAGGTCAGCTTTTTCCATTAATCCTCACGGGGCAGGAGATTATGTCCCGGAATGGCACTCAGCTGGGCTTTGCCCAGTTATCAGCCTATGTGACTGCTCAGTGTTTCTGAGAGGAGCTCGCCAGCCAAATGACAATTACTATAGCAACACACACACAAACACCCTCCTCTGAGACTACGGGATGTATCGCATTTAAAACACACCAAAATTCCAAAGCCCAGGCACCGATTCCCTACCTGTCTGAAGGTGCTGAACTGAAACGGCTATCTGTCCTGTACCACATGCCAGCTCTGTCCTCTCCTGCTCATACGTCCTTTCACTATGGGCCAGGTGAAGCACAAAGAACAGGCAGGAAGGACACCTCGAAGGGTCAATAGCAGCTAGAGCTCCTGGACCACAGACACACCTCGTTTTATTATGCGTTGTTTTATTGTGCTTTGTAGGTGTTGCACTTAAAAAAACAAACAAACAAACAAACAAAAAAAACGGGCCAGGCACGGTGGCTCACGCCTGTCATCCCAGCACTTTGGGAGGCCGAGGCAGGTGGATCATGAGGTCAGGAGATCGACACCATCCTGGCTAACATGATGAAACCCCGTCTCTACTAAAAACACAAAAAATTAGCCGGGCGTGGTGGCGGGCACCTGTAGTCCCAGCTGCTCCAGAGGCTGAGGCAGGAGAATGGCATTAACCCAGGAGGCGGAGCTTGCAGTGAGCCGAGATTGCGCCACTGCACCGCAGCCTGGGCGACAGCACGAGACTCCGTCTCAAAAAAAACAAACCAAAAAACCAAAAAACCAAAAAACGAATTGAAGGTTTGTGGCAACCCAGTATCAATCAAATCTATGGGGGACATTTTCCCAACAGCATGTGTTCACTTTGTGTCTCTGTCAGCATTTTTTTTTTTAAGCAATGAAGTATTTTTAACTTAAGGCATGTATATATATATATTTTTTTGAGATGGAGTCTCGCTCTGTCACCCAGGCTGGGGTGCAGTGGCGTGATCTCGGCTCACTTCAAGCTCCGCCTCCCGGGTTCACGCCATTCTCCTACCTCAGCCTCCTGAGTAGCTGGGACTATAGGCGCCCACCACCATGCCCGGCTAATTTTTCGTATTTTTAGTAGAGACGGGGTTTCACCGTGTTAGCCAGGATGGTCTCCATCTCCTGACCTCATGATCCGCCCGCCTCGGCCTCCCAAAGCGCTGGGATTACAGGCGTGAGCCACCGCGCCCGGCAAAGGTATGTACATTTTAAAAAGACATATTGCTATTGTACCACTTAATAGACTACAGTATAAACCTAACTTTAACATGCAATGGGAAACCAAGACGTTTGTGTGACCTGCAATGATCTGGAATCGAACCTGCAGTATCTCCAACGTATGCTACACTACTCCCCAGATTAATAATTCAGACCCAAGGGCTGTCTGCAGTTTATTGGGAGCTCGTGAGACGAGTTCCTGTAAGCCTGGGCAGTGGCCTCTGGGGTTCTCACTGTACAAACGGCCAGTGTCTGCGAAACAAACCTAAAGAACTGATCAAATGCCTTGTACACAGGCACTGTTCTAAGTGCTGTGTCCATGTCACTCATTTAACTAACACAGTGAACCTAGGAGGCACGTACTGTTGTAATTCCTAACGATGAGACAAGGAAACTGGGGCAAAGGTGCTTTGCTAAGGTCCTATATACGTGATTCAAACTCCAGGCCCTCGTCATAACCTCTCCTTTGTACTTCCCTTTATCCAACGAGAAGGTATTTCTTTCCAGGGTGGCACAGGCACCGGTGAGATGCATGGCTTCACATACCAGACAATATCAATTTGGGAAATAGCATAAAATCTGACAGCCCAGATTCCTTTTGGATTCCAGGAAATAAACTCAGAAGTCACATTACATTTTTTGTGGGTCAATTTAGATCATGTTCCCTATAAAGTTCTCTCTGCACTGCAGCTGGCAGCTTTTCCAAACCTTGGGCTGACGGTATGCAGGGACAGCACTGCCACCCTTGCTCTCACCACTCCCTCAGCCTGAGGTCATCTAACAGTGAGAAGGGCTGTCTCTCACCAGAGGCCTCACACTGGCAGCCCACAGAGATGTTTCTATGGCCCCAAGACATATTTTTGAACTAAGCACATTTAAAATTGGGATATTTCACATAAAAACCTGTATTTCCAGCTTCTCTCTTTTTTTGGAGATAGGGTCTCACACTGTTGCCCAGGCTGGAGTGCAGTGGTGGAATTGTAGGTCACTACAGCCTTGACCTCCTGGGCTCAAGTGATCCTCCCACCCCAGCTTCCCAAGTAGGTGGGACTACAGGTGTGTACCACTATGCCCAACTAGTACTTTTTGTTTCTTTTTTTGTTGTTTTTTTTGAGACAGGGTCTCGCTGTGTCACCCAGACTAAAGTGCAGTGGCATAATCTTGGCTCACTGTAACCTCCACCTCCTGGGTTCAAGTGATCTTCTCATCTCAGCTTTCTGAGTAGGGGGGACTACAGGCACACACCACCAACCCCAGCTAATTTTTAATTCATTTATATTAAATTTTTTTTTTTCTTTGAGACGGAGTCTCACTCTGTCGCCCAGGCTGGAGTGCAGTGGCGCAATCTCGGCTCACTGCAACCTCTGCCTCCTGGGTTCACGTGATTCTCCTGCCTCATCCTCCCGAGTAGTTGGAATTACAGGAGCGTGCCACCACACTCGGGTAATTTTTGTATTTTTAGTAGAGACGGGGTTTCTCCATGTTGGTCAGGCTGGTCTCGAACTCCCGACCTGAGGTGAACCACCTGCCTCGGCCTCCCAAAGTGCTGGGATTACAGGTGTGAGCCACTGCACCCAGCAAAAAAAATTTTAATAGAGATGGGGTTTCCCTATGTTGCCCAGGCTGGTCTAGAACTCCTGGGCTCAGGGGATCCTCCTGCACTGGCCTCCCAAAGTGCTAGGATTACAGGTGTGAGCTACCATGCCTGGCCAATTTTTTAGTTTTTGTAGAGCTAGTCTTCAACTCCTAAGCTCAAGCAATCTGCTCACCTCAGCCTCCGAAAATGCTGGGATTACAGGCATAAGCCACTGCACCTGGCCAACTTTGTCTTTTTTTTTTTTTTTTTTTTAAGGGAAAGGCTCTTACTATGCTTCTCAGCCTGGTCTTGAACTCCTGGGCTCATGTGATCTTCCTGCCTCAGCCTCCCAAAGTGCTATGATTGCAGGTATGAGACACCACAACTGGCCTTCCCAGCTTCTCTTGAGAAAAAACAGACAATTTGGCAGAAGCTGGCTAGAACCCTGTGGACAGAGCATGACCTCCCCAGACTCCCTGACCATGGCCAGCCCTGCTGCTCTGAGCACCAAGGCAGGTCAGCTGGGGTGCCTGGCACCCGTGCCACTGCTTCTTAGGTCCAGTCAGCTACAGTTGCTTCCATTACCTGCCTGGGCTCGCTGGTGTCTGAATTTTTGAGCCTTGATCCAAGGTCTAATGTTCCATCATGGCCTCGTCACCCAACTGTTGCTGCCAGCCATCTGGCTTCTGTTCTCTTTATCCTGCTGTTGACAATCCTACCGCGTTCCTGACACAGTCCCCTTCACTTTGAAATTCTTCTCTGTGGCCTTGTAAGACCGGCCCCAAATCTTGTCAGCAAGAAGGCGAGAGAGGCACTCTCACTGCTTTATCTCATCTTGCTAGCTCCTCCTGCTCCTTCCTGCCCCAAGCACGGCATTCTTGTGGCAATGCAGGCCTCCGCGCTTCCCTCTTCTCCCTCTCTTCCTGAAACAAACCCATTCCACTGCCCGGACTCAACTACCCTTTTACAAATTCACCTCCCAAATCTACATTTCTAGTCCTGAGGTCACACCAAGCTCCCAGGCTGTCTAGGCCTTGCCTCAAGTTCTTGACATTCCAAACAGAACTGGTACTCTTTCTCCACAAGCCACCTCTACATCCCCAGTCCTCTACTTTTAAGAAAGTGATGACCACTTTCCCAGGAATGAAGATGGAAATCCTCTTTTCCTTTTTCTCATTCATCCTCTATATAACCAATTATGGAATCTTAAGAACTCTTCCTCTGAAGTGCCTCTCACCTCTTTGCTTGCAACATTTGCAATTACCCCCTTATGAATGCACGCCTAGACTTACCTCCTAATTGGCTCTGAGACTTTCCCCTCTGCACTCGGTGACTACTGGTGCACACACGGGAGGCACACACTGCCACTGGCTCAGTCACCTTCCCGGGCCCCCACTGACTCCAAGACGCTTTAGTACCACGCTGCTTCAGTAGACCTTCAGGCCCTCCACGATCCAGGGACAAGCTTCCTTTTTCTCGGCTTTCCTCACTATCCTCTCCCTGTTCGAGAGTATCTCCACCAGCACCGAGCCTCACACGGGCTGTGCCCTCCATCTTTGGAATGCCTACCCTTCTTTCTTGCTAAGCCCCTCCCAGGGCCAGCCCTTGTGCACCGGCTCAAGTGGACTGCTCTCCTGCCTCGCGCTCCTACTTTACACCTGCATCCAGGCCGTGTCTCTCACCTGGTCTATGGGATTCTTTATTTTTTAATTTTTTAAATAAGATTCGGGGTCTCACTCCATCACCCAGGCTAGAATGCAGTGGTGCAATCGGCTCAATGCAACTTTGAGCTCCAAGGCTCAAGCCATCTTCCTGACTCAGCCTCCTGAGTTGCTGGGATAAAGCATGAGCCACCGCACCTGCCCTGCAGGATTCTTGAGCACAGAATTCTGCTCCCACTCCATGAGCAGAGTATAGATAAGCATACTACATAAGCATACTGTAGAGCTTAACTCTACCTTGTACTAAAAGGACATCACTAATCCCGGAAGCTGCAGAGAGAAAACAAACCTTCTCATCCTTTGGGGGCCGACCCCGCTTCCGGGGACTTTGCTCTTGGGCTCTTTTCAGAGGGGATTTGGAGCCTCTCTCTGAAGAGCCTGAAGACACCCTCTTCTTTCCTTCTCCCATGTTCTTCTTCACCTTCCCTTCAGACAGGCTAAGTTTGCGCTTCTCATCACCTGAGTTTGGCCTACTTCTCTCCTCACTGGAATTACGTCGATTCTTGTCATCAGAAGAATTGTGGGATGACGTCTGAAAGTTTAATAATAATAATGATAACTACCACCACAGCTGCTGCCGCCATCGCCACCATCATTTACAGGTGCCATGTGCTGCTACAGGCACTCTGTGTGGTCTCCTCACAATGACCCTAGAAATAGATTCTGCTGTCGTCCCAGACATTGGGAGAAGCAGATTTAAAAAATATATATATCAAAAGTCACTTTCCCTATGTCCCAAAACTAGAAGAAAGGATTTAAATCTAGGCAGTATATGTATTTCAGAGGCTATGCTCCTAATCTGTGTGCTATGAAAGGAAGAAATGGCCTGTGCTAGACTCAAATGCTGAGATATTTCTCCTGGGTCCAAGCAATTTTCCTAAAAGCAACAACCTACTCCAGAAAGGTTAGCTGCATGGAGTTTCAAACTGATAAGCAAAACGCTGACACCTTAGAACTGAAGTAGCTTTCTCCAGTAGCATTTCAGAAGAACAAAGGTTTGCGTTTGGGTGACATTTAATCTGTTAGTTGCTATGCAAAAATCACCAGTCTGGCATTGGTAGAAAGTGAACATTGTGTCTCTCACCTGGTCTTTCCCTTTGGCTCTCCTGAGGAACTCTTCGACAGCATCTACCGCTTGCTGGAATCGTTTACCCTTGTTAATTTTTATCATTTCCTCTTTATGAGCATGATATGGCTTCAGCTGTTCCACTTTGATCCAGGCACTAGCAGAAAACAAACACAAAAAGGGTGTGAACCATATAGCATATGCCCTAAAGTATCAACAACCTCACTATGGCACGGTGTAAATATCCATTTGGTTTAACTGGACTTTGCAATAGGCCTTGCCATTTCTTTCAAAACATGCTATCAACCATCTCAGAGTCTTATGTCTAAAGTATATTTTCTTGAAACAAGTCAAGCAGAACAACCATCACCACCACTGCAGCAACCACAAATCAAGTTCCTCCAGTGAAAGCACTGTGTTGCAGATTATTTATTTCCACAATCGTCTATCAGCCTCCAATGCCCAACCACATATACGCTGCCACTTGCTCAGGGCAGAAAGAAATCTGGAGACCCTTTCCCATTCTCACCAGGCAGCACAAATGGCCACACACAGATCCCTGGGAATCAGGGTACCTGGAAATGTGATAGATGATAGCAGCATTACTATGCAGGAAAATGCCTGCTGCCTGTCAACAATGGGAACCAGATTTATGATCTGTTGATCCACAGAGAGTCAGGGATGTTACAGAGCTGAAGAAATGCAACATCTTCTAAAATTTGTGGTTCCTATGGATATTCACAGCCACTGAGCCTATATTTGTTCATAAATGATGGTAACCATGGCTACTAAACCACACAAAACACGGAACACATGGTTTGGAATAAGGGCAGCAGTTACAAAAGGAGGCATTTAAAAACAAGATGGCATGCTGTTTTATGATGTCTCAAAAAAAAAAAAAAATAGAAACAAGATGCTTGAGATTAAAGGTAGAAGAACATACACCTCCGATATGTAATTTTTAATTTCAACCATCAATGTGTAACACATGAAAGTGAAAGTAGTCAGCTGTCAATTCTGGGGTTTCTGATCTGTCACACTAACCTGAACAAATCTGCTGCAGCTGGCTTTCTATGGCTTCCCTGAATGGCATGCAGCTTATAGAATCCAAGCACAAAATAATTTTATAGGCTTTACAAGGTATCAGTTAGTTTACATGTTTTAGCCTGTGATACAGGTTTCACAGCATAACCTTCAGAAAAAGTAGGTCAGGTTAAGGATACAGAAACCCAGCTATCTCACAAGCTTCAGGTTGTTTTCTTCATAGAAAGCTAGAGAATATTCACTAACAGCAAGTGTTAACCTTTGCACATAAAAATAATGTTACTAACCCTCCACCAGCTACCTGGACTTTGAGTGTGCTGCTGGTAGTTGTGATAATGGGGTCTGTGCAAAAACACAGACCTGGGATCATCGGCCTGCAGATGTCAGGCAGCGAACCACTATCAGGCATGCCACCATGGCTAAGTGAGATGATGAATGGAGATACAGAAGCTGGTCTCCCTGGCACAGCTCCAACTAGAGGAGTTAGGCAAATTCCTTTTTTTTTTTTTTTTTTTTTTGAGACGGAGTTTCACTCTTGTTGCCCAGGCTGGAGTGCAATGGGGCGATGTTGGCTCACGGCAACCTCGCCTCCTAGGTTCAAGTGATTCTCCTGCCTCAGCCTCCCAAGTGCTGGGATTACAGGCGTGAGCCACCACACCTGGCCTTTTTTTTTTCCTTTTTGAGACAGAGTCTCATTTTGTCACCTAGGATGAAGTGCAGTGGCACGATCTTAGCTAACTGCGACCTCCGCCTCCACCTCCCAGGTTCAAGCAATTCTGCCTCTATCTCCCGAGTTGCTGGGACTACAGGTATGCACCACCACACCCAGCTAATTTTTATGTTTCTAGTAGAGACGGGGTTTCCCTGTGTTGGCCAGGCTGGTCTTGAACTTCTGGCCTCCAGTGATCCACCTGCCTTGGCCTCCCAAAGTGCTGGGATTACAGGTGTGAGCCAGCAAACTCCTTTCCAGTGACCAACTCATCTTAAAGTTTGAAATTCAACATGAGAGCGCCAATGAGTCCAATCTGCTGGGAGGAAAAGTGGAAGGAGATTTCGACCCCAGATTTTCTGGCAAGAATATCCCTGAACTGACTCCGTTCCCTCTCCTTACAGGGATGCTAATGACAGGCCAGAGCAATCAGATGCAAAGTCAGACCCAGCCCCAAAAGCCAGTGAAGCTACCATACTAACCCGTGGGTCTGAGATGACACAACCAGTATCAAGGATGAAGCTTAAGGAGTCGTGACCAGCCAGTTCTTCCTAGGAGCTTCTGGTCAGAAGCTGAGAACCACACAAGTTCCCAATATAGGACCAAAAAGGTGATTTTTATGGAACCCCTTGAGATGGGACAACAGACTCCGAGACTTGCTAATCCCACCCACGCCATCCTGCTACCTCCATCCCTGCCTCCCACTACCCAGCCTCACAGGAACCCGATTCTGAGGGAACAGAAAGGTGAGGATGTCTGTGAAGTGCCAAGGAATCAACCCCATTTTTTGTTGAAGCATCTTACAAGGTTTACTGATTTCTGCTAGAAGGAACTGTACAGTCAAAATTCCACTCACTTTAAAGCATTTGAGATACTAAAATTTTCCTCTTTACAACCATCTTCGAAACATTAAAATGGCTAAATGAACTGACAGTATGAATAGGATGGTAAATCCAAGAAATGTTAATCTATTTAAGGAATCAACTTATTGCTGGAGAAGCATCCTGTTACATCAAAAAACAGCCATAAAAAACCAGCTTGGCTGGGCACGGTGGCTCACACCTGTAATCCTAGCACTTTGGGAGGCCGAGGCAGGCAGATCACCTGAGGTTAGGAGTTTGAGACCAGCCTGGCCAACATGGTGAAATCTCGTCTCTACTGAAAATATAAAAATTAGCTGGGTGTAGTGGCACGCAGCTGTAATCCCAGCTACTCGGAAGGCTGAGACAGGAGAAACACTTGAACCCAGGAGGCGGAGGTTGCAGTGAGCCAGTATTGTGCCACTGCACTCCAGCCTGGGCAACAGAGTGAGACTCCACCTCAAAAACAGTAACAACAAAAAAACCCAGCTTACCAGAGCTCTATGGGGATTACCTCTTGAAAGCAAACCAAACTTAAATCACTTTGGCTATCTGAATACAATTTTTTCTCTAAAGGTTACACTTCTTTCATCTTTTTTAAATTTATTTTTTATAGAGATGGGGTTCACCATGTTGCCCAGGTTGGTCTCGAACTCCTGAACTCAAGTAATCTGCCCACTTCAGCCACCCAAAGTGCTGGGATTACAGGTATGAGCCACTGCAACTGGCCTACCTCTGTCTTTTTAATGAGAATATGCTTTTCAGTTGGCGCCTCAACAATGCACCACTGTCTAATTCACGGAGGCACATCAGCCGGGCCTGGCACACCACTGGTCCTCAATAAATAATCACTGGGTAAATGATTCCTTCCCAGATGTTCAGGAGGATGTACTGCTCACCAGTGAGTTAAAAGGTGCTACAATGCTCCAGTGCGTAAGGCTTTAGTGTTTTTGTTGTTGCTACTGTTGGTTTTTTAAGTGACTGTTTCTTTCCTTGATAGAAGCTGTAACTTTTGATTTTCCTATCATCCTCCCAAGACTTAGATGGAGCTATATCTTTCAGCCCAATTGTGGCTGGGAAGTCAGAAAAATCAAGCTTATTCAAGCTGTATTTAAAGTAGGAGACTTTGCTTTTTATGTACAGTAGAATGAATGACACATTGTGATAGTAAATAGCTGAAAACAGGCAAGGTCATTACAGAGAAGGAAAGCGGATGTCTCGTAAGATATCTGGCTACGTGGAGATGAGCAAGATAAAAAGCAATGCATGTTATGTGCTACCACTCGTGCAAAGACAAGGAAAATGGACTGACCACGCACTGATATCTCTGGAGGGACACATCATCAGAAACTGGTCTAACTGGGTGGCTGTGGGATGGGGATGAATGCAACTGTTTCAATGTTGACAAGTTTTTGTTTTTGAATGGTGAACACATATTATATTGGAAAAAAAAAAAAAAAACAAAACAAATCAATACTAAAGGCCTCTGCCCTAGAACACAGGCTATGCCGACTGCCCAGAGGGTTTCCTCCATGACTTCCTGGTTTGCAGGTTTGCTCTGGTGGGTTGCTGCTGCCTGGCTGCTGGCATAACTGCACCTGTAACACAGCCAATTTACCCTGGTGACCTGACACTCTTCCTATAAAAAGTCTCTTCATCTATGAATACAGAACCGCCACTAAGGCACTCTCAGATTACTCCAATCAAAATGAATTAAAATCTGGTATTTTCAAAAACTTGCACACTTCTGATTTGCTTTCCTCTTAAATGAAAATCATACATGTAGGGCCCGGTGCGGTGGCTCATGCCTGAATCCCAGCACCTTGGGAGACCGAGGCAGGTGGATTGAGGCCAGGAATTCGACACCAGCCTGGCCAACATGGCGAAACCCCATCTCTACCAGAAAACACAAAAATTAGCCAGTTGTGGTAGCACACGTCTGTAATCCCAGCTACTTAGGAGGCTGCGGCAGGAACTGCTTGAACCCGGGAGGTGGAGGTTGTAGTGAGTGCAGATCGTGCTACTGCACTCCAGCATGGGCGACAGAGCAAGACTTGGTCTTTAAAAAAAAAAAAAGAAAATCATACATGTAGATACTGTATATTAAAGATGTCAGCCTATGACTAATCTTGAACGCTGTCACATGTGTTTCAGCCTTCACATAGACAGGTGACCCGGGGTGAAGCCGTGAAGCTAAGAGAAAGAGAAAAGGAGAAAGGACGGGGAGAAGATGGCAGGGGGAGGGAGACAGACAGAGAAAAAGCACACACACACAAGCATAGAGTATAAAGGTGAGAACAAGCCGGCACGGTAGCTCACGCCTATAATCCTAGCACTTTGGGAGGCCGAGGTCAAGAGATTGAGACCACCCTGGCCAACACGGTGAAACCCTGTCTCTACTAAAAATACAAAATTAGCTAGGTGCGGTGGCATGCGCCTGTAATCCCAGCTACTCCGGAGGCTGAGGCAGGATAATCGCTTGAACCCAGGAGGCGGAGGTTGCAGTGAGCCAAGATCGTGCCACTGCATTCCAGCCTGGCGACAGAGCGAGACTCCATCTCAAAAAATAAATAAATAAATAAATAAATAAATAAATAAATAAATAAAGATAAGAATAAAAATACAGGTGAGAACAAAGATGGGGCCAGAAGGTGTGGGTTTGCTTCTCCATTTGGATTTGGTGAATACTTAGTAAACAATTTCTATGGGTGCCTTTTTAAAAAAAATCCATCCAAAGGGGCTGAAGATTACTGAGGTGTTACAGGCCAAGTTCTTCAGAAATAAAGGCACCAGAAAAAAACACACACAAATCAGGTGCCAGGTGAAACGAAAAAGGGATGCTTCCAAGCTGCTATGCTTCTAATTATTAACCACATATTCTTCTAGAGCAGCTACTTTCAGTACTGACTCAGACACCTCACATCCAGCGAGACCGGTCCACCTTAGATGTGGCTTGGTGGAAAAGGACCACTGGTCTCTCAGTTTCCTCATCTGTGAAAAAATAAGAACCAGAAAGATGACCCTGTGCACTTCCTGAAAGGGCTGCTGTGAGGACTGGAGGGGAAGACTGCTATGGAAACTCGCAGGTAGGCACTTGCAGCTTCTCCACTGTTTGTCCACAATCTGTTGAACCGGTTGGTTTCTGGTGGCTTCTAAGCACCTGTAATTTAAATGAACACTCCCTCCATTCCATCATCATCCACAGCCACTGATGAAACTTTTCTTTTTTTTTTTTTGAGACAGAGTCTCACTCTGTTGCCCAGGCTGGAGTGCAGTGGCGCGATCTCGACTTACGGCAAGCTCTGCCTCTGGGGTTCACGCCATTCTCCTGCCTCAGCCACCCGAGTAGCTGGGACTACAGGTGCCCGCCACCACGCCCAGCTAATTTTTTTGTATTTTTAGGAGAGACGGGGTTTCACCATGTTAGCCAGCATGGTCTTGATCTCCTGACCTCGTGATCCGCCTGACTTGCCCTTTGAAAGTTCTGGGATTACAGATGTGAGCCACCGTGCCTGGCCAAAACTCTTCTTTTTTAAAAGACAGGGTCCTGCTCTGTCACCCAGGCTGGAATACAGTGCCTCAATCACAGTTCACTGTAGCCTTGACCTCCCAGGCTCAAGCGATCCTTCTGCTTCAGTCTCCCAAGTAGCTGAGACTACAGGTACATGCTACTACGCATGAACCCTCTCACCTGTGTTTCAGCCTTCGGATAGACAGGTGACCTGGGCTGAAGCCGTGAAGCTAAGAGAAAGAGAAAAGGAGAAAGGGCGGGGAGAAGATGGCAGGGGGAGGGAGACAGACAGAGAAAAAGCACACACACACACACAAACACACACACAAGCATAGAGTATAAAGGTGAGAACAAGCCGGCATGGTAGCTTTAAATTTTTTATTTTTAAATTTTTTGTAGAGATGGGTCTTGCCATGTTACCCAGGCTGGCCTTGAACTCTTAGGCTTGAGTGATGCTTCTGCCTCTGCCTCTTGAAGTGTTGGGATTACGGGTGTGAGCCATCACGCCTGGCCCCGATGAAACTTTTAAACCGTGAGCTCTGTCTCTACTCTGATGGGGGGGTCACCACTAATCAGACCTGTCAGAGAGGGACCCTCGTGCACTTGACACATAATCTTTGGTTGTAGTCACCAAGTGAAGCTGGCAGGGTTTTGCTGAAATTATATCCCCTTCGTATTTCCATGAAAATACAAAAATTACGTGGGCAGTTTTGTCTTGGCCATCTCGCTCAGGGAGCCGAATCCGTATAAAGAAGTCCTCCTCTCACCAGGACACCTGATTAGGAAGGTCTGGCCCTCTCCTAACAGTGGGATGTCAACACAATTTGTTAGATATTTTGGCAGAGATGTGGAGAGAGAAAAATCAGGTTTCTAAAAGATTGTAATCACTGATTATCTTGTCATAAGGAGCCGTTCTTTCTGCTCTTTAATAAAAGACCTTGCAAATATTAAAAAAGTATAACTACACTTTTTTTTGCCTAAGTAGTGTGTCAATTTTGAAACTGAACATCTTTGACCAAATCCTGTATTTCTCAGGAACGGAGGACACTCCACTGGGTCAGACCCTATCCACCTGGGCCAGGGTCCAGTAACCAATGGTGCCCCCACCCAGGATGTGCCTGGACCACATGCCCCCTCCCTGATGTCAAGTGTTAAAGGCGAGGTGCAGTCCAGCTTCTACAGGAGCCACTTATGGCTTTGTCTTCACAAGTTAGTTCTCATCCCTAAAAAATCCCCTTGCAATACCTGTTTACACCACCTCTTAAACGCCCCTTTTATGCAGTGCTCCTCACCCTGGTCCTAACACAGTCATACCACAATCCACTTGCAGTGCCCATCGCCAAACTCCTCTAGGCCATTCGCTGTTTCCTACCTCCTGATCCCGTGATTCCTTCAGTCTTTGCTTTTCCACATTGAAGAGTCCTGCTCTTTTGTCTGACTCAGTTCCCTTTTCTGGATCTTGGCCAATTCTAAGAGATCCCTTTGAAAGCATGATCTGAAGTCCATAGAGTATTCCTGATGAGGCGCATACAGTTTTACATAAAGGTGGAATGATGCATGGTTTTGTACTCAAAGCCTTTTTGGTAAAAAGAGCAAACCTGGCTGACATCCTTTAGGAACTTCCAACTCTCATATTCCTTTCTTTTCAAACAAACACACACACACACACTCTCTCTCTCTCCCATAGGGAGAGTCTCCATCTCTCTCAGTTTTCCATACTTAAAGGCATCCTGGACCAATGTGTGCTAATACCTGCTGTATGGCAAGCCACACTCTACACAAGAGATACTACTTTTCCTTCCTAACTATGAGGTAGGGGGTATCATCCCCTTATGTAGAGGACACAGAGGCTCAGAAAGGTGAAATAGCTTGCCCAAATCAGGGAGCAAGGTGGAACCGGTACCTGAATGCACATTAGGCTGGTAACCAATCCAGAGCTCTTTCCCCAAAGTAATCTGCTGCCACCAGCCAATCTGGAGATCTTACCTTCATAGAAAAACACAAAATAAAATCTGCCCCAGCACTGATCACTAAGGAAGTGTTCCTTCTTTAGAGAAGTACTGTACATCTTTACCCTTTATTTCCTTTCTCTAAGTTAACTGCCTACCCACAAAAAGATAACACATTAGTACCACAGTGACTTCATTTTTATAGTTTAAAATGTAGAACTCTAGCAAAGGAGTTTAAAAAGTTAAAAATATTGCATTTAGCAGTTGCTTTGTATCCCACTTGTTTACAACCCTCCAAAGAACCTTCGTCAGTTAGAAATTATATCATCACCACCACCATCCAGGCTATTTTTGTCTTGAGCAAGCACATCACCACTGGCTTCACCTGTTTGCCTGGTTAAGCTCTGAAATTAACTCAACTCCAATTTTCTGTGTCCTATTTCTAGCACTTGTTATAAACAAGGATCACAGTTTATTAATCTAGTCTTTTAGCATTAAAAAAAAAATCGGGGCTCGGCGCTGTGGCTCATGCCCATAATGCCAGTACTTCGGGAGGCCGAGGTGGGAGGATCACTTGAGCCCAGGAGTTTGCGACCAGCCTGGGAAACATGGCGAGAACTTGTCTCTACAAAAAAAAAAAAAAAAAAAAAAAAAAAAAGTAAAAAATTTAGCAGGGCATGGTGGCACACAACTGTGGTCCCAGCTACTCGGACTGCTGAGGTGGGAGGATTACCTGAGCCTGGGAAGTCAAGGATGCAGTAAGCCATGTCCGTGATACTGCACTCCAACCCTTTCTCAAAAAAAAATCAAGAAACCAAACAAGAACAACAACAACAACAACAACAACAAAAAACATAAGGAAACAATGGCTTTCAGGCTCCTTATGAGACTGAGTTCCCATTTTTGTTTCAGACTTGTGTAATTATTCATTTAGCTAATGAAGTTTGGGCCAACCATATTGCCTCTGTTATTCCTAAGCACAAGTTACCTCAGGCAGGGAGCCTCTTCCTTTCCATAACACCCAGCTTAATGCCAATTGTTCATGGTATCCCCACTGTCTGAAATGCCCCTATAGTCCCCATCCATCCAGATTCTATGTATCTTCCAGAGCTGGATTCAAATCCCATCTCTGGCTGAGTGCGATGGCTCACGCCTGTAATCCCAGCACTTTGGGAGGCCGAGGCGGGCAGATCACGAGGTCAGGAGATCAAGACCATCTTGGCTAACATGGTGAAACCCTGCCTCTACTGAAAAATACAACAAAAATTAGCTGGGCATGGTGGTGTGCGCCTGTAGTCCCAGCTACTCGGGAGGCTGAGGCAGGAGAATGGCATGAACCCGGGAGGTGGAGCTTGTAGTGAGCCAAGATCGCGCCACTGCACTCCAGCCTGGGCGACAGAGCGAGACTCCGTTTCAAAAAAAAAAAAACAACAACAAAAAAAAACAAACAGAAAAACAAATCCCATCTCTTCAGTCAGTCTTCTTGGTTCTCATGGCTCTCCACTGAGCTCTCCCTCTTCTAGAATTCTTTTTCTTTTTAAGACAGGGTCTAGCTCTGTCACCCAGACTGGAGTGCAATATTGTGATCATGGCTCACTGCAGTTTTGACCTCCTGGGCTCAAGCAATCCTCCTGCCTTAGCCTTCTGCATACCTGGGACTACACTTGTGTGCCACCATGCCTGGCTATTGAAAAAAAAAATTTATTTTTTTAAGTAGAGACAAGGTCTTGCTATGTTGTCCAGGCTGGTCTCCGGCTCCTGGGCTCAAGCAATCCTCCTGTCTTGGCCTCCCAAAGTGCTGGGATTACAGGCATGAGCCACTGTGCCCAGCCTAGAATTAACAATTATCTGCCATCATTCATTCTGCACATAATCTTTATTTATTTTTTGAGACAGAGTCTCGCTCTGTCACCCAGACTGGAGTGCAGTGGCGCGATCTCAGCTCACTGCAACCTCCGCATCCCAGGTTCAACCAATTCTACTGCCTCAGCTTCCTGAGTAGCTGGGATTATAGGTGTGCACCACCACACCCGACTAATTTTTGTATTTTTAGTAGAGACAGGGTTTCACCATGTTGGCCAGGCTGTTCTCAAATTCCTGGCGTTAAGCAATCTGCCTGCCCCGGCCTCCCAAAGTGCTGGGGTTACAGGCATGAGCCACCATGCCCGACCATCATTGTGCACATCATCTTATCTGAAATGTTTACAACTTGTCACTTGACTGAGCATCTGGAAGGTGGGAACTATAATACTTGCTTTCTTATAAATTCCCTCAGTGTCAAGCAATTCAGAAAGTGGACACATAACACTGATGTTATGCATGAGGACAATCTTTCCTGTTTTTCTTTTTCTTTTCTGAGACATAGTCTCAGTCTGTCACCCATGCTGGAGTGCAGGGTCTCGAACAATCTCTGCCTCCTGGGTTCAGGCAATTCTCGAGCCTCAGCCTCCCAAGTAGCTGGGATTACAGGTAGACGCCAACACTCCTGGCTAATTTTTGTATTTTTTGTAGAGACGGGGTTTTGCCATGTTGGCCAGGATGGTCTCGAACTCATGACCTCCAGTGATCCACCCACCTTGGCCTCCCAAAGTACTGGGATTGCAGGCCTGAGGCACCATGCCCGGCCAAATCTTCTTTTTAAATCCATGGAGTTCTAAGAACATTCCCTCTTCCAGAAGCTCTGGCTCCACAGCTCCAGGCCAGCGATCTCCTTGAAATACTGCCACCACAGGCTGCTAAGCTGGCTTGTGATAGAGAAATGGGGCTGGGTCTATCTGTAAACATGAAACCAGGAAGAGCATCTGACATATAAACTCCTGGATGAGTGAAGAATACTGTTTATAATATATCGCTTTCTAAGTAGAAATACTTTAACCGTCAGAATTAGATTTACCAGAGAAGCCACAGACATTTTTTTCAAATCTAAGGCTGTATTTTCCTATAAGAATAATAAATAGAAATACAACTACTTAAAGAAATCAAACCGGCTGGGCATGGTGGCTCTTGCCTGTAATCCCAGCACTTTGGGAGGCTGAGGGGGTTGGGGGGGGGAGGGGCAGATGACTTGAGGTCAGGAGTTTGAGACCAGCCTGGCCAACATGGTGAAACCCCGTCTCTACTAAAAAATATAAAACAATTAGCCGGGTGTGGTGGTGTGCGCCTGTAGTCCCAGCTACTCGGGAGGCTCAGGCACCAGAATCACTTGTACCCGAGAGGTGGAGGTTGCAGTGAGCTGAGATCATGCCACTGCACTCCAGCCTGGGTGACAGAGTGAAACTCCATCTCAAAAAAAAAAAAAAAAAAAAATCAAACCATCTAGCTAGACCCAGGTAAGCCACTTGACATAGTGATAAAAAGCTAAACAAATCACTAGCAACTCAAGTTAATACAGGTTCTTCACGTTCTTCCCGTCACTGTAACATGTTATATGGTCAGAGTCTCAGATTAATGGTCCTGGTTTCCCCAACTTAGGACAGATCTGGTAAAAAGACTTACTATAACAATGTCAAAGCAAATCACTTAGTTTTACACATGAGAACATGATTGAACAATTACTTTTATTAACATAAATAAAAGTTTCCACTGTATACCCCAAGCATGAACCATAATGATATATGGCATTAAAAGAGAACTGAACATGGCTTTTATAAAAATAATTGCCAGCTGGGCGCAGTGGCTCACGCCTATAATCCAGCACTTTGGGAGGCCAAGGCAGGTGGATTGCTTGAGTCCAGGAGTTCAAGAACATCCTGGGCAACATGGTAAAACCCCCTCTACAAAAAATTAGCTGGGCATGGTGGTGCACACCTGTGGTCCCAGCTACTCGGGAGGCTGAGGTGAGAGAACCGCTTGAGTCAGTGAGGCAGAGGTTGCGGTGAACTGAGACTGCCTCTGCACTCCAGGCTGGGTGACAGACTAAGTCTCTGTCTCAAAAACAAACAAAAAGGAACTGCCTTTGGAGTTGGGTAAAGAAACATGTGAGAAACTGTTTCAATGTGATTGTTATAGTTAGAAGGTAAATGAACCTAGTTCTTGCCTGACTTAGTTATAGACCTAGGACAGTTGTCTAGGGCAATTTCTGCAAGAAATTGCACCTTTATTTAGGTATGAAGGCAGAATGAGATGCCAGTATTACACATTATAAGAAGACTGAACTAAGGATCCTTAGAATATTTTCAAAGCAGCTCAGACTCCAGGTAACACAGAAAGAAAGGCGAAGGGAGACTCCTGGTGAGTACTACTCACTGATCTTCTGTTCCAAAAAATTTCACAAAGAAGCATTTCTTTCCGCGAGGTTTCTTCAAGTCCTTTGGTGGATTAACAATCTGGAGGATAAAAGGGGGGAAAAAGGTTGGCTGGCAACACAGCAGCCCACTTTCTAGTGGCTCCACATTGCTCTACAGTTCTACGTTGCTAAGAAAAAAGTAAATTAAAAGGACTTACTTACAAATAAATTTATTTATATACAAAACAGAACCCAAGGCCTAGTACTTGTCTAAATCTCCCATTTTTCTATTGAGGTGTATGGAAATGTGTAGATATTCTAGAAGTTCCCAATATTTAACATGTAGCACAGTGCTCAGTAGACACAATATCCCTTTTACTGCAGTGGCCCTGTTTTACAAGCAGTTAAAACTAAGATCAACAGCATCCCCTGCCCCCCACCACCCCACCCCTGCTCCAATGTGACCCCATTATTACTGAAAAAATGCAGACGACACTCTTTGAAATACTTCCTGTGCAGGAAGGGTTGACACAGGACATAGTGAAAACAAAGGACAACCGAGGCACAGAAAACACCATATTGCAAAGAGACCATCTAAAGACACCTCCCGGGCTCCAAGCAAGAATATAAAAACACAACATTTGGAAAGCAATGATGGATCACCTCATGCAAAATCTGGAATGCCAACTTCTGCAAAGAGGCACTGGAGTAGCACATATGGTAACATGGAAAGAAGATTTAAACTTAGTTGGGACAAAAATACTTTGGCTTTTCACTAACCTACATTTAGACTTTCTTCCTGGATAATTTATATTTTCTTCTCCTTTTGTTACATTTAAGCATAAAGCTAAATTCAGACTAGAATTATTTCCGGGGTTAAAAAAGAAACTTCATAAACCTCCTCTAAATCCAGAAATAAGGGTTTAGAGAAGATTTAATGATCTGGTGTATACTGCATTGCCTTTTAAAAAATAACCGATACTAGGGGAAAAAAAATTCTAAGTGCCATCTGAATGAGCCCAATTTAACTCAATACTAGAAACTGAGAGGAATGCATCTTACATTCTCCACCTCTTCAAACCCAACTTCAGATCTCTTCCTTTAGTAGCAAGACACTCACCTTTCCTGGCCAAGGAGGATATCGGCCGAGTTTCCCCCTAGAGAAAACACAAAGAGTCAACACTTGCCCTGCAAAAGCCAGTCCATCTCCTTCAACCCACTCAATACGCAATTTATTTTCCTAAATCTCTGCTGGCATCCTCAAATGCCGAAACAAAAGCTTTCATAGCTGGGCCCAACACCCTCAGAAGTAAAATGCAAAATTGTATACTTATGTGCACAACGCATATCCATTCTTCTGTTGACAAGGAATACAGAACAACACAACTGTCAAAAGTCACTTGTCTAGAGCTTCTTAATGACGGGGGTGGGAGGACAGCTTCCTCTGTAAACACAGACTTTCCCTCCCTAAGTCTGGTTTAATTCAACAGGAGACCTGCCTGGCTTTGACAAATGCTAATGGAAGCCTTCCTCTGGGTGGAGAAACAAGCTACGCAGCTCGAGGGAGGCGGCGACAAAGTCTTGGTTCGGGCGGTTGTCTGGGACACAGAAGCAGACCGCGGGAGGCACCCAAGCGTGCACTGGTCACTGCCAAGCCATCGGTTGTAAAGGAGAAGTCCCCCCGCCGTTTCTTCGCGGGGCAACGCCAGCAGTCCGGTTTAGACAACCCCGGCTGAGCCGGCCGCACAGGTCGGCTGCATCGCAACCTGGGCTTTGACCGAATGGCACCGGCCAGATCTCGCAGGTCCGGTCCCCGGCGCTTCTGCTTTCTGGGAAGCCCCAACAAGACCCCGGGGACCGGTCGTCCGGGGAAGCCTCGCGGCACCGGCGGCTCCCTTCACGGGGGCCGCCAGTATCTGGGCCCCGAGTGCAGACCCCACCCGGCCGGCCTCGGGGATCAAAGCCGGTGCCCGACGTGGCCACCCTCGGCCTCGGTCCCCCGGGACTGGACTGCCCCTTCCGCCTGGCGCCGCTCGCAAGCGCCGGCACCTTCTCTTCCCCTCTCTCCGCGACCTGGAGCGCATAAAAAGGCAGCTCCAGGGCCGGCAGCGAACCCCGCGCCCAGGCGGGTAGCTCCCCGGCGCGTCTCGGTTGGCCCGGCCGCTCGGACTCACCACACCAAGTCGCCGAGCCGCAGACTCACAGCCGCCATCTTACCACCCAACCACCGCCGACGCACGGGCCGCCGGGAACAGCAAGTCGCCCCGGCGCCGCCCATTGGAGTGGGCCCGACCACGTGACGGGGGCCGGCTGTCACTGGCCACGCCGCTACTCTGACGTCACCGCGCCCGCCGGGGATCATTGGTCGACCGAGGGGCACGTGACGCGAGCGCCGCGGTCTCCGCGCGCCGGAGCGCAGAGACTCCCGGCTCCTTCCCCCTCCCTTCGGCTCGTGACAACGAAGCGCCCGCGGTCTGAGGCGGCGGCGGCGGCGACGGTGCGACCGGCTGAGCGCGAGAGGGAGCCGGCCTCGCGGCTCGCCCCGCCCCCGGGTCTTGGACTCCGCGCCCCTCCCCTCTCGGCGCTTCCGTTACGCCCGTTGGTCCGGCGCGGGCCCCGGGGCCATTCCCGAGCCCGAGGCGCTGGTCGGCCCCGTCGCAGCGCCAGTGAGCTACCCTGACGGAGCTCGGCGCGGCCTGGAACTCAGCCTCCGCCGGGTCTGGGCTCCCGCGCCCGGCAACTCTGCTTGGCCGCAGGCCGGGAGGCCCCGGTGTCCGCGCCCGTCCGCTCCCGCCGCCCGTGTTCTTTGGAGCGCTCCTCCCGACGGCCGCTTTCGGAGGCGCCGTCTGAGCGCGGGGTCCCGCGCCGCAAGTTCTCCTGGGGCGACCGGAGGCTGCTCCCCCGACCCCCTGGTGTCCCCGGAGTGGCTGCGCGGACGTCGAGTTGGCATTTCTTCGCTTCCTCCTGGGCCGGCGCGCGGCGCGGCACACCAGGCTCCCCTGGGCTCGGGGACCCGGCCATGGGCCGAGGCGCGGGCCGCCCGCCCGCTGGGAGCCACGGCTTAGCAGCCGACCGCTAGCTGCGCCGCCGCCCGGGGACCGGCATGAGGACCGCCGCGGGGGGACGTCTGCGGCCCGCGTCGGCGCTGGGGACAAAGGTGCGTGTCGTTGTCGGGTCCGGGCTCTCTCGTTAGCCTTGCCCTAGTTTTGCACTTTTGAAAAAGTTGTGACAACAGGAAGACAGATGCCGGGCGTAGTTTGGACACTTTAAAACTGAACCATGAACTGGGAAGTGTTAACTGCAGTTGAGCGCAGCGTCGGCCCAAACTTCAGCAGACCAGGTAGAATCACAATTTTGCAAAAGATCCCAGTCCCGATCACAGACTCCACAGTGTTAAGGATTGACTTAGACTTGGTGTCGGGCTCTTGTTGAGTCACTGCCAGCTGGCAAAGGTGGCGAGTCGACACGCATTTCCCCAAGGCATTGTGGTGGTTAGAGATTTCGGTTGCAAGTCGGTGTTTAGCGTACTGGGTCGTCCCGCAGCCTGATTTTTCTTGGGAGATCAGTTTCCCTGAAGTACCAAGAATTAGCTGCACGGACTGTCATTTACTGCGTGTGTATTTTTAAGACAAAGTGATCTTTAAAGCGTATTTAAGATTCCAGGGAATAATTTGATAAAAATTTAACATAAGTTCCTGTTTAAAAATTCTGAATTTGTGAGGAATTGAATGAGATTTTAATAACTTAAATAAAAACATGAATCTTGGCCGGGCAGGGTGGTATAAGCCTGTAATCCCAGCATTTTGGGATGCCGAGGCGGGTGGACCACCTGAGATCAGGAGTTCGAGACCAGCCTGGCCAACACGGTCAAACCCAGTACTCTACTAAAAATACAAAATTAGCCGGGCGTGGTGGCGCATGCCTGTAGTCCCAGCTACTTGGGAGGCTGAGGCAGGAGAATCGCTTAACCCGGGAAGCGGAGGTTGCCGTGAGCCGAGATTATGTCACTGCACTCCAGCTAGGCGACAGAGCGAGCGAGACTCGTCCCCCCGCCAAAAAGAAAAAAGAAAAAAAAATCTCAAATGAACATTGCACCAAAACCTAGAGGCATTCCCCTTAACATCAGAAACATGGTACATTTCTACCACTATTAGATAATAAGAATATATTGCCTAAAACCTGAAAGTTCTAGCCAGTGCAGTAAGACAGGAAACAAAAATAAGAAATGCAATTTTTGGAAAAGGGAAGACAGAATTCTCATTTCCGTGGATGATAGGTCTGCCTATTTTGAAAACAAAAACAAAAACCAAAAAACCCATTAAAATAAGAATTCAGGAAGGGTACTCATTATAAGTTGGAATGCACAATTTAGTTTTTCTGTTTCATCAATAACCAGTTTGAAAATACAATGTTTAGAAGGAGATATATATATATATAGTAAGAAAAAATTAAAAATTGCTGAGGATAACCAAGGGACAAGGAAGGCTAGTATTTTCTCAGTAACACCAACTGAGGTTTTTAAAGGGGGATCTTTGTTTTTTTCTTTTTTTTGTTTGAGACGGAGTTTCACTCTTGTCGCCCAGGCTGGAGTGCAGTGGCAGGATCACGGCTCACTGCAGCCTGGACCTTCCCAGTCTAAAGCCATCCTCCCACCTCAGCCTCCTTAGTAGCCAAGACTACAGGGGTGTGCCACCATACCTGGCTAATTTAAAAAAAATTTTTTTGTGCAGATGAAGTCTCATCATGTTGTCCAGGCTGGTCTTAAACTCCTAGGCTCCAGCGATCATCCTGCCTTAGCCTCCCAAAGTGCTGGGTCCGGGAAGTTGAGGCTGCAGTGAGCTCTCATGGTGCCACTGCACTCCAGCCTGGGCAACAGGAGTGAGGCAACTGTCTCACAAAAAAAAAAAAAAAAACCACAAAAAAAGCTAAAATCTTTCCAAGGACTTAGGCAACTCTCGTAAGTCTAATAGATAAATGTAAGTTTTTTTTAAGCATTCAAACATGTTTGAACTTAATTATATTTTCTTAAGCATTTTGAATTATGATTGTAAGTCTAACGTACCATTGTTAAATATATTGGATTCTCTTAAATGTTTCAAATGGCTTAGTAACAGCAGAACATTATAATGATTATAAAACAACCCCAAATCTAAGTGGTAATAGAGTACAGATTTGACTCACTTTATCCTGTAGTCCTATTTTTTACCTTCTTGGGCCTGGAGAGTCACTTAAGCAACTGAAAGGAGCAGTTTTGCCATCTAGGATTGAAGCTGCAGTCTCTCAGACTTGGACTGAGATAAGGTTATGTGTTTACTGCCTGGACAGGGGGAGTAGGACCTGGTTGCCAATTCAAGGATGACCTTCCTGCATCCCATTGGTTAACTTGCTGATTCCCTTCTTATAGTGAGACTGTTCCGGTTCTATCAGTGGGGGAATCTGTAAGCCTTCAGCTGGGATTTATTTCCACAACCCAGCGCATCACAAATATCCTGAGGGCCTTGGAGATTTCTTTTAGGGAAATCTCCTTTAACATCTTAGTACGTGTTGGGAGATGGTCTTTTGCAGCGCCAGCCTGTTACACTGCTAATCGTTTTGCCGCCTGATTAGAATTATTTTAACTCTTCATTTGTAGATATTTTGTTCCCTTATGTGATGTTATAAGTTGATTTTGTGATCATAATTCGACAAATGAATATTGGATATATACAAATACGTCTACATGTATGTGGATATATACGATATATGCTAATTTTCCTGAATTAACTCACATTTGTGATTGATTTACAACCAAAATACAGTGAGTTTTTTTGAAACCTGCCAAAATAATACATAGGCTGGAATGGCAAAGTATTATTTATAAAGAAGGATAATAAACATGAGCTTTAACTTTGCAACATTAAAGTATGAAACTTTACAAAACAGTGCAATACTGATTAAAGAATCTCTAAATACCGTATTAATATGACACATGGACTTCAGAAACAGGCCTTAGATATCTGTGATGTTGCTTTGCAATATATGCCAAATCAGCAGAGGAAGGAAGGATTGTTTAGTGATTGATGCTGGAAGAAACCAAGTTACAGCCTCTCCTCATACTTTATAGCATAGCAAATTCATCTGGGGTTAATGAAGTAAATGTGAAAAAATATCTATAAATGACCATATAGGCTGGGCTCAGTGGCTCACACCTGTAATCCCAGCAGGAGTTCAAAACCAGTCTGGGCAACATGGCAAAACAACGTCCCTACAAAAAATACAAAAATTAGCACGCCTGTAGTTCCAACTACTAGGGAGGCTGAGGTAGGAGGATCGCTTTAGCTTGGGAGGTTGAGGCCTCAGTGAGCTGAGATTGAGTCACTTTATTCCAGCCTGGGCAACAGAGTGAGACCTTGTCTCAAAAAACAAAAAACCTATATACACAAGTTCTTCTATAAGATCTGGTTGGAGACGAACATTCTAGGCATAAAAGAAATGGGAGGAGTCTCAAAGGAAAAGAGCCTAGTTTTAACTGCATACAAAGTTATAATTTCCTTGGAAGGAGGGTCGCTTGAGGTTGTGAGCTTAAGACCAGCCTGGGCAACATAGTGGGTCAGCATCTCTACAAAAAATAGAAAAAATTAGCCAGGCATGGTGGGATATACCTGTAGTCTCAGCTCCTCGAGAGGTTGAAGTGGTGAGAGGTTTGCTTGAGCCTGGGAGGTTGAGGCTGAAGTGGCTGTGATTGGGCCACTGCTCTCTAGCCTGGATATAACAGCGAGACCCTAGCTCAAAAAAAAAAGAAAAAAGTTAACATTTCTTTCATCATACCTCACTCTAAGCAACACTAAACAGCAAATAACAAAACAAGAAGAAGTACTTATAAGAGATATGACAGATTTTGTATATCTATAATGTATAATAATTTATGTATAATATCAAGAGCGCTTACAAGTCAATAAGAAAGTCACAATTTATTCAACCATTCCCTGATTGATTGTCATTTGATTGTCATTTTGGTTGCTTCCATCATTTTTCTTGTATAAACAAGGCTGCAATGAATATCTTTATTTATTGGTATGGTAGAAAGTTCACACTAGAATATGAACTCTTTTAAAAAGCAGGACACAAAATTGTATACGAAGTAAGCAGAAAACATGTATGGCATGTATTAGCATATTCATATTCTGTGAACATTTGGAATTCTGTATTCAAAATCTATTTTGACCATTCCCAAGTGATTTTGAAGGTCTTTGGCATGTCATAATTTGTTATTTTGTCAAGGCCAGTGTTTGGGTGTGAGAGTGGTGCACAGGGCAGGAGTGTGTAACTTTGTTAGGAAGTGAGCCTAGCCACACCCTCCTGAGTCACTGGTTCTTTACTATCCTGGGGTAGGCAATATCTTTTGTTCAGCTGATAAAAGCTTTGTCATTGTGAAGATTGGCTCCCAATGATAGGAAACTGCTGGTGATGAAAATAAAGGGGTCTTAAAGATTATTCTCAGCCAGAAAAAATAAGTGTTAGACAAATTAAATGGAAAATAATTAATATTTTAGTAGTCTTTACAATTTGGAGGTCTAAGGCTCTGTCAGCATGGGTTCTTTAAGGTCAAGGATCTAGGATACACATGCACAGGAAAAAAGACTGGAAGTATGCTAAGCAGTGACTATCTCTGAATGATTGTGAAAAAATTTTAGGATGAATAAGCAGAAAAAAACAATAAATGACAAAATATAACAATGGAGTTTTCTTGACAATGAAATTCTCTTAAACTTAAATCTCTTTAATTAGGCAGGTAAACTATTTTATCATCTTCGTTTGACCTGGCCCTTCTTTTCAATGTTAACAGAAGCCATGCAGTGACACCCGCTAAGACTTGTTGGTAGCCATGTCGGAGCCCCACAGGGTCCAGTTCACCTCTCTCCCAGGTTCCCTGAATCCTGCGTTTTTGAAGAAGTCCCGGAAGGAGGAGGCTGGGGCAGGAGAACAGCATCAGGACTGTGAGCCGGCTGCAGCAGCTGTTCGGATTACACTCACCCTCTTTGAACCAGATCACAAACGCTGCCCAGAGTTCTTCTACCCAGAGCTGGTGAAGAATATCCGAGGGAAGGTAAAAGGCCTTCAGCCTGGAGATAAGGTACACCCCTTTGTTCCCAGAGGCGCTGCAGGTTTAACGCACAGGGGTCAGTGCATGCATGTGGGGCTTCCGTAGCGGGGAAGCAAGACTTAACTGAGGTTTTGGCTGCCCCAAGATCCTGTCACTCACTCAAGGCAAGCACAAGATTTGCTTCTCTTACCTCTGTGCGCAAAGGGAGAGGCCAATTTGAATTATGACTAATTAACATAAATTTTAAAAACAATACATTTTTCTCTGCCAAGGTTATAAACGTTATGTGTAAATGAAACCAGTCCCTGACAGTTCCAGTGTTAGAATTTCATGCTGGACATTTTCCTCTTCCAACAGAATCTTGCTGTCTACCTAGTATAGGGGCAGACAAAAAAACACGTAGACTGCCTTTTTTTTTTTCTTTCTTTTTTTTTTTTTCGAGACCGAGTCTCGCCCTGTCGTCCAGGCTGGAATGCAATGGGGCGATCTCGGCTCACTGTAACCTCCGCCTCCCGAGTTCAAGTGATTCTCCTGCCTCAACCTCCCGAGTACCTGGGACTGACTACAGGTGCACGCCACCACACCCAGCTAATTTCTGTGTTTTTAGTAGAGATGGCGTTTCACTGTGTTGGCCAGGCTGGTCTCAAACTCCTGGCCTCAAGTGATCTGCCTGCCTTGGCTTCCCAAAGTGCTGGGATTACAAACATGAGCCACTGCACCTAGCCACAACTTGATGGATTTTCATGAACTCAGTACCCCCATGTAACCTGCACGTAGGTCACAAAATATATTTATCAGGACCCCAGAAACCCTCCTTCTGCCCTGCCAGAAGACTACCTCAATACTTATGGGCAACCACTGCCCTGATTTCTAACAGCTTAGATCTGCTTAGATTTGTGGGGTTTTTTTGTTTTTGAGGCAGAGTCTTACTCTGTCGCCCAGGCTGGAGTGCAGTGGCACCATCTTGTCTCAGTGCAACCTCTGCCTCCCGGGTTCACGCCATTCTCCTGCCTCAGCCTCCCGAGTAGCTGGGAGTGCAGGCGTCCGCCACCACGCCCGGCAAATTTTTTGTATTTTTAGTAGAGACAGCGTTTCAATGTGTTAGTCAGGGTGGTCTCGATCTCCTGACCTTGTGATCCACCCACCTTGGCCTCTCAAAGTGCTGGGATTACAGGCATGAGCCACAGCACCTGGCCTCTCTTTTTTGTTGTTGTTGTTGTTTTTTGAGACCAAGTCTCACTCTGTCACCCAGGCTGGAGTGCGGTGATGCAATCTTGGCTCACTGCAACTTCCGCCTCCCAGGTTCAAATGTTTCTCCTGCCTCAGCCTCCCGAGTAGCTAGGATTACGGGTGCCAGCCACCACGCCTGGCTAATTTTTTTTTTTTTTTTTTGTATTTTTAGTAGAGATGGGGTTTTACCATTTTAACCATGTAGGCCATGCTGGTCTCCAACTCCTGACCTCAAGTGATCCACCCACCTCCGCCTCCCAAAGTGTTAGGATTATAGGCGTGAGTCACCGCACCTGGCCGTGTTTTTGTATTTTATGTAGATGGAATTGTATGGTATTTGAGTACCGCCTAGGTGAAAAGCTGTTTTTTTTTTTGAGACAGAGTCTCGCTCTGTCGCCCAGGCTGGCATGCAGTGGTGCAATCTTGGCTCACTGCAAGCTCCGCCTCCTCGGTTCATGCCGTTTTCCTGTCTCAGCCTCTCGAGTAGCTGGGACTACAGGCGCCCGCCACCACGTCTGGTTAATTTTTTGTATTTTTAGTAGAGACAGGGTTCCACCGTGTTAGCCAGGATGGTCTCGATCTCCTGACCTCGTGATCCGCCCGTCTCTGCCTCCCAAAGTGCTGGGATTACAGGCGTGAGCCACCGTGCCTGGCCCGTGAAAAGCATTTTTAAGCACCTGTGTCTGCCTTTGCACTGTGCTAGGCTCTGAGGAAAAGGTAAGTGGGCCCCACACTCGCAGCATTGTGGTCTCTAGCATGTCTCTTAGTGAAATGGGGATGAGGCTGGTAATTGGTTCACAGTTGTCTGAGTGTGGAACGAGAATGAAATCATGTTGTGAATTTTCTAGCAGTATGCCTCAGTGCCAAGTGATCAGTCGGTCTTATTCACAGGTGTGCTGTTCGGAGGGTATTTTTGGTTAGAAGGATTAATCTTTTTTTCCTGAGATTAAAAAAATGTGTTTTCTTGGCCTGGCATAGTGGCTCACACCTGTAATCCCAGCACTTTGGGAGTCTGAGACATGAGGATCACTTGACCACAGGAGTTCAAGACTAGCCTGGGCAACATAGTGAAACTCCATCTGTGCAAAATAATACAGAAATTAGCTGGGCATGATGGTGCATGCCTGAAGTTCCAGCTACTCAGAAAGCTGAGGTGGGAGGATTGCTTGAGCCTGGGAGGTCAAGGTTGCAGTGAGCCGTGATCACACCACCGCACTGGGTGAAAGCAAGACCCTGTGTCAAAAAAAAAAAAAAAAAAAAAAGGCTGGAAGGCCTGGCGCAGTGACTCATGCCTGTAATCCCCACACTTTGGGTGGCCGAGGCAGGCGGATCACTTGATGTCAGGAGTTTGATACCAGCCTGATCAACATGGCAAAAACCCATCTCTACTAAAAATACAAAAATTAGCCGGGTGTGGTAGTGCATGCATGTAATCCCAGCTACTCGGTAGGCTGAGGCAGGATAATTGCTTGAACCCAGGAGGCAGAGATTGCAGTGAGCTGAGATCATGCCACTGTACTCCAGCCTGGGTGATGGCGACTCCATCTCCCCCTACCAAAAAACACCAAACCAAAAAAGAAAAAGTGTTTCCTTGATTGAGATCTGATTGCCTGATTGCCAGAATGGAGGCCTGTGAGTCTGTACCAAGGGTCAGCCTGTTGCATGAGCACCACTGGGCAGAATGACAGAAAGTAATTTCAAATCCCTTTATAATTCCTGTTTCAGGAAAATGGTATCTTCTTCCTTTAGAGGAAGAGACAGGAGCAGGAGTTGGTTAATGTGTTTATTCATGGGTTCAAACCAAATCAGCAGGTCAACTGAAATTAGAACTCCAGTGCTCTGATGTCACCTTTTTGGGGACTACAGATGCCCTTCACCATTGCAGAAAAATGCATGGAGGATACACAGAGAATTTTGATCCAATTCAGAGGATTCAGTCCTGGACTTCGGGTTCAGAACTCCTAAATCGTCGTGGGTCTACTCTGCAGTGTTAAAAATACAATAAAATCAGGCACATTTGTGCAGCAGTTCTTTTAGTGTATAGTCCTTAATAGTATGAAGGCATTGTGCTAGACTCAGAGGACTATAGAAAGTTAGAGAAAACACTGTACCAGCCTCAAAACAAACATCCTATAGATGTTTTGAGAGAATGGTACCACCGCAGGTAACAGAAATTACAATATGGTCATTGTTTAAGTCTGGTACGACACAGGCCCTGGAGGTCTTAGAAAGAAGAGAGCTTATTTCCTGATTAGTGTTGGGACAGAGCTGGACCTTCCGTCATACAGTCAGGAAATGGTAGTTATTGGAAGACTGCTGTTGGCAAGGCGTTCAGTAGTATACATAGAATCCAGTGCTGCTCAAGGTTGGTGGGATTTCTTACAGTTACATAACCACTCAAGTTATATGCGATCATTGTAGAAAAATTAGAAGATCCAGATAAGCATGTTTGAAAGACTCCCCATTTGAGGTATGATCGTTAGATGTATGCTCTATAATATCCCATTGTATGTGTACACCACAAATCATTTAACTGATCCTTTGCAGGTGGTATTTCAGTAGGCAGAGATGGGAGGGTGAGATAAGAAAGTTTGTTTGAAACAGGCATACAGTCTTTAGTGTTTTCTGTCTACCTTGAAGTCTTAAACATACTTCGTACAGGAGTCTTATTAAAATTAGGATTCCTGGCTCCTGGCTGGGTGTGGTGGCTCTCGCCTGTAATCCCAGCACTTTGGGAGGCTGAGATGGGCAGATCATTTGAGCCCAGGAGCTTGAGACCAGCCTGGGCAACATGATGAAACCCTATCTATACAAAAAACTTAAAAAAAAAAAATTTAGCTAGGCATAGTGTTGTATGCCTATAGTCCCAGCTATTCAGGAGGCTGAGGCAGGAGGATCACCCGAGCCTGGGGAGGTTGAGGCTACAGTGAGTCATGATTGTGCCACTGCACTGCAGCCTGAGTGACAGAGTGAGACTCTTATCTCAAAAAAAAAAAAAAAAAATTTTTTTTTTTGGATTCCTTGCTCACAAAGCTTAAGGCTTATCTGTGGAAAATTTGCTTGATGAGAAAAGAATAAGCTTATAAAATGGAAATAAGCCTTGGAAGCCTGAGTTTAACTTTGGTAGCACCGAGAGAAGTGCAAATTCAGACCTTTCTAAACAGTATGGCAGAACGGCTCTCAAGAACTTGCACCACATTCAGTGGGATTTTCACGTTTTTGAGCCCTTGACTATTTTGGAAGTCAATGGACTCTTTCTTAGAATGTTTTTAAATGCCTGAAGAAAATTTTAAGAGTTACAAAGGAAGTCCACTTTATTGAACGTGGTTGTGTAGCGACTGGGCATCTCCTTCTAAAGGCCCTTTGCTGTCTTTGAGTCCTGCAGCCCCTCATGCTGTGGTGGATGATTGTAGGCATTCAATCAAGTTTTATTAACCTACATTAAGGGAAATTTTACTTTCTTAATTAAGATAAACATTGATGAGATGGTAGCATGTTTTCTACCTTGCCCTTTTCTGGAAAACATTGTTTTTATAGAGGTATTGAGTAATCAGTGAAGTTTCTATGAATAAGAACATGGGAATATTTTCTGACTTATTTTTTGTGGAACGATCTCTTTACAGAAGAAAGATCTGTCAGATCCTTTCAATGACGAAGAAAAGGAAAGGCATAAAGTAGAGGCCCTTGCCCGAAAATTTGAAGAAAAATACGTAAGATTTCTCTCTTGAATAACAAAACAACCTCATTGGGTGGGAGACGTTTCCACACTGTATTCCTTTAGTGGATCATCATGTAATAAACACTGATCTGGAAGTAAGCCTTAAGCATGGAGAGAAGAGAAGCAGTTATTAAACCTAACGCATTAAGGTACAGAAAAGGGGCATGGCAGAGCTAGTGTGAAGAGCTAACTGGACAAATAACCGAGAAGGGCCTGTGGTCGCCTTAGAAGAAATATTTTGGTACAAAGCATAAGAAGCCATTTAGTTCATTTTTCTGTCCTAGGACATTTTATACAGGTACAAATATGTTCTATGTTAAAAGGTTTTCAGGAAAGGAGGTTTTGGGGTTTGTGTGTATGTGAGAGAGTGACTGTTTTAGTTAGTGCATTACCTCTTTGAGTCATAGCTGATGAAGTTCAAGGCCACAGTTAATTCTGTGTGTTTATTCAAAAAGCATGTAATCTATTGCTTTCACATTTTAGGGTGGAAAGAAACGTAGAAAAGACCGAATACAGGACTTGATCGATATGGGGTATGGTTATGATGAATCCGACTCCTTCATCGATAACTCTGAGGCGGTAAGTAGTTACTGAAAATGCCGTGTCAGACCCACTGTACCTGTAGCTCCTCCTGATACTGACCAGGAAGCTGGGGGTGGGGTCAGAGCAGTCGTGCCCTCTTCCCAGCATGAGGCAGTAGCAGCACTGATGAGAGACGAAATGACATTCTTTATCCGGGTCTTAGTTCCCTCTTCAGAAAGTGATGACCAGATCTGTCCAAAACACCTTGTAGCTCAGACATTCATGTTTGACCAGAGGATGTTTTAGCATGCTCTTGGAAGTGGCAGAGGAGCACAGTCACATCTCTCTCGAGACCCACTTTGCACCTTCGGACTGCAGAAGCAGAACTTGGAGCTGACAGTTTGTTTCCCATCTTCAGTATGATGAGCTTGTTCCTGCTTCTTTGACTACGAAGTATGGAGGATTTTACATTAACTCGGGAACCCTGCAGTTTAGACAAGCATCAGAGTCTGAAGATGACTTCATTAAAGAAAAGAAGAAAAAATCTCCAAAGGTTAGAATGTGCTTGCTTTTGGATTTCAGAAATGCTTTTTGACGTGACCCTATCAGATCAGTAGGTGACTTGCCAGAATACGTGGCGCTTGGCCGGCTCAGGAGGATGGTGGAAAGGCAGAGCCGTGCCAGGTTGATGGCTCGCCTCTTACACGTGTGCCCTAATGAGGACACGTGCCCGTGGGGGCTCTGTTCAGCACTTGGTCATTATGTCCATGTCACATGACATCCCAGCAGGCTCAGCAGGGGTCGTTTCTGGAGGTGGCCTCAGGGTGGGAAGGCTGTGGAATGAGGGAATGTGTACCACTCTTGCTGACCCTCTTCTGTGGACATGTAGAGGACTTCAGTTTCAGGGCTGCCATCCCACTGAAAACCAGTCAGCCTTAGGATCAGTGTGTTTAAAAACCTGTCTACCACTGCCTATGTGTTTAAGATGAGAGGTAGGGCCCACTTGTAACTTTCAAACTACAAAGGTTTCAGGCTCCAGAATGGTCACTGTTGTCTCAGCCCTGGGTGTTTCCAGGAGACACCGTCGGTGGGAATGCTGTGGGTTTGTGGTCCAGGGACTGATCTGAGAGCTTTTGTTCATGAAGGAAATGAGACAGGTCTCAGGATGTGCCCCGGGCGGAGCAAGGCCAGTGCCGTGTAGTGCACTTGCTCCCTGAGTTAGGGAGCCGTGTAACTGTGCCTTGTCTTTAATTCTCAGAAGCGGAAGTTGAAGGAAGGTGGTGAGAAGATAAAGAAGAAGAAAAAAGATGACACTTATGACAAGGAGAAGAAATCGAAAAAGTCCAAGTTTTCCAAAGCCGGGTGAGAGGCAGCAGCTTCTTTGCTAGGATAAAGCCTGAACTGTTAGGGCAGGACGACTGGGAGCTGACTCACCTCCTCCCCACAGCTTCGGAAGAGGCAGCAGGGCCTGGCCTTCCTGTCCTCCCGCACGCCTCCCGCAGTGCCATTCTGGGCATAGACGCTCACCTCTCAGTGTGTCAGATAGTTCCACTGTCAGTGTTGGCAGCTATTGTTGTCACTGTGTGACTGCTGATGTTTCTCGTCCTCTGGGGTGCTCCTCTCTGCCCCAGTTCTCCTTCTGTCTCCGCTGTTTTCCCTTGTTGTCTATGGTCATGCTTCCTTCTCCTCACTTGGTCTCACCCCAGCTTCTCTTCAAGTTGCTGCTGTTCTCTGCTGCTCCTGCTTTCTCCCTCTAAATACTTTTCTTGCTCTCCCTGCCCCTTTTTGCAACCTTTTATTTCAGCCTGGCAGTGGTTTCTAAAAACCCGTCGGAAATTTAGCATATGTGACACTGTGTTGCTAACCTGTATTAACTCTCAAGCTTTGGTCTCAGCAAGAACGAGCTCCATATGCCAAGAGGAGGGAGGAGGAATGACAGGGTGGACTGTGACAGGTTCTCCTGGAGACCATGACCCTGGGAGCAGGGGTGAAGGCCTCTGGAGTTCCCTTTGGAGGTGTCCTATAGTCTGAGTGACCAGTTTCCCTCTTGCTTGCAGCTTCACAGCCCTCAATGCCAGTAAGGAGAAGAAGAAGAAGAAATATTCTGGGGCTTTAAGCGTTAAAGAGATGCTAAAGAAATTTCAGAAAGAGAAAGAGGCTCAGAAAAAAAGGGAGGAGGAGCATAAGCCTGTTGCGGTCCCATCAGCGGAAGCTCAGGGCCTGCGGGAACTGGAGGGTGCCTCTGACCCCTTGCTCTCACTCTTTGGCTCTACTTCTGACAACGACTTGCTCCAGGCGGCCACTGCCATGGACTCGCTGACGGATTTGGACTTGGAGCATCTGCTCAGTGAGTCTCCAGAAGGAAGTCCCTTCCGAGATATGGATGATGGAAGTGATTCCCTTGGGGTGGGATTGGACCAGGAATTCAGGCAGCCCTCTTCTCTCCCCGAAGGCCTGCCAGCACCCCTGGAGAAGCGCGTTAAGGAGCTGGCTCAGGTATGGTGGCACAGTGCGGCTGGGCTTTCCTGGAAGCAGTTTGGGCAGATTGCTGTTGGTTCTGCACTGCGTGAAGCTTGCCCAGAGAAACTCTTAGTGAGTTGGCAGTTAAGGTGTCAGCTTTTTCCAAACCCTATTCTCATCCTGAGGGAGAAAACAGTGTAAGCCTTGCCCGTCAGGCATCATTTTAGGCCTTTCTTGGTTTCTTCATTTCTGGAAAATTTGCTTTCTTCTGGGGAGATTGTTCTCTTTCTGTTTTCTGTCAGTTTGTTTTCCACACGGCATCTTTTCCTTCATGTGATAGACGGATGATGTTGGCAGCAGGCAGCTGAGGCAGAGATTAATCTTAGAATTCTTACGAAGGTTTTGCAAATTCACAAAAGTTTGTAAACATACAAGTTACACGTAGAGTAGATGCTTCGTTGCCACTAGGTTTCAGTCGCTCCCTTGCGTTGTGTATCCAGTGTTAGGTAGTGATTACAGGAATGCCTCAAATGTGATGAATGAAAAGCAGCTTAATTTTAAATGCTGTCCATGTCCCATTAAAACCCACCATCGGCAGGGTGCAGTGGCTCACGCCTGTAATCCCAGCACTTTGGGAGGCCGAGGTGGGCGGATCACCTGAGGTCAGGAGTTCGAGACCAGCCTGGCCAACATGGTGAAACCCTGTTTCTACTAAAAATACAAAAAATTAGCTGGGCCTGGTGGCGCTCGCCGTAATCCCGGCTACTTGGGAGGCTGAGGCAGCAGAATCGCTTGAACCCAGGAGGCGGAGGTTGTGGTGAGTGGAGATTGCGCCAGTGCACTCTAGCCTGGGCCACAGAGCAAGATTCCATTAAAAAACAAACCAACCACCATTACCACCTTTAGGATCTAGCAGCTCTTGCTGTTTTACTCCAGTGATTGGGAATTAAGCACTGAGAATTGTCTGTTCAAGTAACACATTTCTAACTGTAAACTAGGCATGGATCATTGGTTGTAATATCATTTACCTTTAAGTTAAAATAACATTTTACCTTAAGCATCAGGACTTGTGATGCAGCTCTAGTGGCAGTCATAATCTACAGCTGTAGGTTTTAAATCAGTGATTCTTACAGTATTTCAGAAGCATTGTTACCTATAATATCCTTTGTGTTTTAGGGCAGGGTAAATTGTCAGCTACTGCTAAAATGATTTTCTCACTTCCAAAAAATATTTGAACACCATATACAAAGCAAATAAAGTATCTATTCAAAGCTCTACCTCATCTTTGTCAGCTTGTGTCCAGCATTGGAAATTCAAGTATTGTATTTGAATGTAATGATTTAAGTGAATTGTACCATGTTGGGGTTTGGAGTATCTCTTAGTATGACATTGAGGTGGAAGTAGCTGAATCTGAACTTGGTGTTTTTGAGCCTGCTGTCCTATATTTGCTCTCAGAATTCATGTTAACCAAACATTACTCCTTGTTCTTTTTAATCCTCTGGTTCGTAATCAAATTGTTTCTTAGCTTCTGAAAGTCTTGTTAAATCATTTAAGGTCTATGTGACGATAGATGGTCGTTAGAGAAAAGTCAAAACCAGATTCTTGGCTGTGTCCCCACTCGTGCCATAGGTTGTGTTCTAGTGTGAAAACTTACTGTTTCACTTTCTTGGGAAAGATGGGGACAGATTTAGTGGCAACAGAATGACATAACCGGAAACAATGTTGGGCTGTGGTGCAAGAAAGCGGAGCTGAGTAAACACCTTGTTAGGCAAGCTGCCCCTCCTCAGTGATTGCCAAGTGTCAGTTAGCTCTTGGGCATAACAAACACAGGGTTCAGGATCCCATAGTCAAGGTGGGCCTGGGTCCCAGTGGGGAGCTGGTGACCAGGAGAGGCTGATGTTCTGGTTGGAAAATACAGTATTCAAGTGTGAAGTTGATATTCGAGTCTTCACATTGCCCTTCTCCTATAACAGCATTAAGAAACTTTGAAAAATGGGGTGGAAGGTGTATGGAAATTATCCATCCGGCCAATATAAAAACAATTTCTAGTTGGATATTCTTTTCTAGCCTCTGTGTATATGTTTTTATGCAGCTGTAATTATAGTTGTGAATAACTGTTTTCTGCCTTTTTACGTAATATTATAAAGCCCTCATGACTTTTTATGGTTGCATTAAAAAGGTGGCTTATTTTAAAAAGATGCTTAATGCTACTCCGAAGGGTCCTCAGGTGCGCTCTTCTGACCAGGGCCCTGCACTTGGGGCACTTGGAGTCCCTGCATGTGTGTGCAAATGCTCAGGACCCCTGATCCCACTGAGAATCTGCTGGGAAAGATAGTCTTCCCAGGGAAGGAATGCACTGGTATACTCAAATTGCTTATGATTCCAAAAGCCACATGTGGATATTTGATATTTGGATCCTTAATAAGGGGTCCATCCTAGATCTTGAAATGGACATCGCATTTTTAAAATTTAAAGTAAACCTGATGTATGTAACTGGGACATTAGCAGTGTTACGTGTTTCTCACTTTATTTTTTATACCCCTAATTTTCCCCCCCTTTTCCCTCTATTATAAGATTGGGTAGACTTTACATCTTGGCCCTAGGTGACACACAAATCAGTTTCTATCACTGTCTGCAAAACACCCCCCAAAATTTGCCTTGTCATAGCAGTTCGTTTCTCCTGACTCTGGGCCAACGCTCATGGCTGCATTCAGCTGGCAAGTTGGCCAGGTGCTGGCAGGGCTTTTCTTTCCTGGCCTTTCATCCTGCCTTCTTCAGGGCTTGGTGGTCTCAGGGCAACATCTCAAGAGGGGAAAGGTGGAAGCTGCAGGGCCCTTGAGAGCTAGCCTTAGAGGCTATGTGTATCACATGACTTCCAGCACACTTTTGGTCAGAGCAAATCACAAGAGCCGCCCAGATCCAAGGATTAGGGAGCTAGGGTGCACCTCTTTGGGAGGAGAATTTCTTTGTGGGAGGAATCTGTGATCCTGGTTTGTTGTTGTTGTTGCCTTTTTTTTTTTTTTTTTTTTTTTGAGACAGAGTCTGACTCCATCACCCAGGCTGGAGTGCAGTGGTGCAATCTCAGCTCACTGCAACATCCACCTCCGCCTTCTGGGTTCAAGTGATTCTTGTGCCTCAGCCTCCCGAGTAGCTGGGATTACAGGCGTGAGCCACTGCGCCTGGCCTGTGTTCCTGTTTTGTATTCTGCCACAGTACATAGCAGATTCTTATCCCATGTGTATTGATCCCTTAGGGGAAAAAACTCTGGGAAGCAAAATTAGATATATCTTCTAACTAAATATGGTACTTAAAACTTTAAAAAATGTCTTTGAAAACTTGTGTATGTTAAAGAGGTCCTCTGAGAGGGAACCTTGGTGATGCCTCTGCCACGTTCACTACATTCTCACATCAGCCTGTTTTTTGTTACTGATTTGTATTGTACATTTGTATAGGCCCCAGGGAATCCAGTGATTTGATGGCCTTACCCTGCCCTCTGTTAATATGCATTGATGGTGTCTTTTGTCTTGGTTGTTGGCAGGTACAGGTGCTGACAAAGCTCAGGTTTGATGCTCCTTTGGGTTATTGTCTTGAGGTAGTTTGACAGCTACTCAGCCTTGGGCTGGACAAATAACCCAGATCTATTTTGGTTCTCTTTAGTCAAGCATAACATAGAGACAATACTAAGAGCAGGAATCAAAGAGACCCCATGTCACCCATTCTGCTCTGCCCTCTATAGAATTAGAACCCCTCATCACAAGAAGTGCAGGGAGAGATGGATCCAAAGAGAATAACGTAGGGGGAAAAAAAACGAAAACAACTTGTTTGATCTTTTTAAAAAAAATCATGCCCGATTTTCTCCTACTCAGCAAAAACAGATACAGTATATAAGATTTTGAGCTGGGTGCTAAAAGGCTACAGGTGACTTTTCTTAGAATAAATAAAACAGCTCATTAAAAGGCTGTTGGAACTCTTATAAATCAGCATGATTGGGATGTTTAACCTCATTTACTAGTTAACTTAGGATTGATTAATTCACACAACTTCTGGGGTAAGAGTGTCTCTTTTTAGGGGTGAGGGACCCCATTTATTTTTGGAAGACTATCAGATATATATCCAATTGCTCTTTTAATTAGATTTACTTTAAAATGCCGCAGTCGACTCTTCAGTATAAAGCCAGACCCTCAGAGATATTGTCTATGCAATTCAAAAGGTTTACAGAAAAGTACTTTCTAAAATTACATAATATTATTTAAAATATTTTTAAAGATTGCGTAAAGATTACATAGAAAGCTTCTGAAATATTGTACAAGTGGCTATCTAAACAGAAAATTTGGCAGGGCGCGGTGGCTCATGCCTGTAATCGCAGTACTTTGGGAGGCCGAGGTGGGAGGATCACCTGAGCCCAGGAGTTCCAGACCAGCCTGGGTAACAGAGTGAGAAAAAAAAATCTAAAAATTAGTCAGGCGTGGTTGCGTGCAGCTGTAGTCCCAGCTGCTTGGGAAGCTGAGGCGGGAGGATTATTTGAGCCTGGGAGGTCAAGGCTGTATGAGCTGCGATCACGTCACTGCACTCCAGAATGGGTGACAGAGTGAGACCATCTCAATAAAATAAGATGCTGGGCATGGTGGCTCAGCCTGTAATCCCAGCATTTTGGGTGGCTGAGGCGGGCGGATCACTTGGGGTCAGATGTTTGAGACCAGCCTGGCCAACATGGTGAAACCCCATCTCTACTAAAAATACAAAAAATTAGCCGAACATGGGGGTGGGTGCCTGTAATCCCAGCTACTCAGGAGGCTGAGGCAGGAGAATCACTTGAACCCGGGAGGTGGAGGTTGCAGTGAGCTGAGATCACGCCATTGCACTCCAGCCTGGGCAACAGAACAAGACTCCGTCTCAAAAACTAAACTAAAATAAAAAAATAAAAAATAATAAGATAAAATTTGATTGGAAGTTTAAGCTGTAGATGGGTCTGAAAGTGTGGCATGTGAAATACATGTTAATTAGTTTGAATTAATGTAAGGGTGCTTCTCGATCTTAAAACTAGCAGTGTAAGCTTAAGCAAAAAAAGTTCAGTTTTATTTTTTCCCAGACTAATATAATTCTAGTACCTTCCAAGTGCTAAGGTAGAATTCTGAATGTTTCCAAGAGTGTAAGAAATTGGCACATGGCTGGGTGAAAAGTCATGCCCTTTTTTTCCATTATTCGTCTGTGGATTTCACCCCTCTGGGCTTTCACCTAGCCAAGGGATCTGTAGAAGCTTGAGTTTTGCGCATTTTCTTCTGACTTAGTTTTGGTTGTTTGGTGTTAAGCTTTTCTTCCTGTGGCGTGCCGTTTTACAGTAGTATCTTCATTTGTTGATTCATTCACTCAGTCAACATTTAGTAAATATTATGTGACAGGCAGCCATGGGAAATATACTGATGAATAAGACTCAGTTCTATATTTTATTTTATTATTATTTTTTAAGACAGGGTCTTGCTCTGTCACCCAGGCTGGAGTGCAGTGGCACGATCTTGCCTTACTGCAACCTCCACGCCCAGGGCTCAAGTGATCCTGCCACCTCAGCCTCCAGAGTAGTTGGGACCACAGGCATGCACCACCATGCCCAGCTTTTTTTTGTATTTTTAGTAGAGACAGGGTCTCATCATGTGCCCAAGCTGGTCTGAAACTCCTGAGCTCGCGTGTTCCGCCCACCTTGGCCTCCCAATGTGTTAGGATTACAGGTGTGAGCCACCGCGCCGGGCCAAGGTTCCATTCTTGTCTTTCATGAGCTCGTTACATAAATGGACCCGATAGATACGCAGACAATGGACTGTAGTACAGAGCAGAATGAAGTAAGCTTTGTGATGTGTGGACGGCCAGATAGCCGGACTTAAGGGGTTAAAGAGAGGCTCTTGGGGGGCATATAGGAAGCAGACTGGAGGCAACAGGCTTCGCCGGCCTCCTGGGGAAGATGCCCTAAGAGAAGGCAGGGAGCAGAGCTGAAGATGGGCGAGTTGGTGGATGGCTGGGCCAGATCGTGGAGGACCCCAAATGCCATGTGAAGGAGTTTGGGTTTGATACCAGGCTTGGAAAGAGCTGCTGAAGGGTTCTGAAGAAGGGAGTGGCGGTCTTAAGGTTGGAGTGCAATTATTAGAAGTGGGGAACACAGGGGAAGAGCAGAAGCCAGTGGGTCTGGTGTAAGTTGAGTTTGCAAACCAGAGGGTCATCCATCCACAGAAGTGCAGTTGACCCTTGAACAACACAGGGTTTAACTGCGTGGATCCACTTACACGCAGATGTTTTCTAACCAAATGTGGGTTGATTTGAGGGATGCTAAATCTGTGTATAGAGGGCTAACTTTTTGTATAGGCAGGTTCCTCAGGGCTGACTGTGCAGTTGGATTTTGGTATATACGGGGGTCCTGTAACCAATCCCCTGCCTATACCAGGCGTTGACTGTAATTGGGAAATTTCTCAGAGATAACTGGAAATTCTGGTCCAGAGCTTAGATGAGAGGATTTAGGGCTTAGTTTAGATTTGAGTGTACAATTGTCTGTGTTATTTTGAAGCCCTGAGGGGGAAAGAAGTTATTGGGAGAAGTGGGTTCTAGTGAGAATCCTGGGGTCCGCCTATGGAAAGGAGCTGGTGGAGGAGGCAGATGGAGCAGTTAGAGTGGTTGGAAGGGGCCCCAGAGGATGCAGTGAGAGGAAGGTGAGTGGGGGAGATGATGGTGAGGGGTTAGCAGTGTCTGCAATTTCAGAGGGGTTGATCCCTTCATTCTAGATAGTCACCTTATCACCCTTGTTTGCTGTCGTTACTGTATATCATGTCTGATTTCAGAAATTTTATTTCACCCAAAGCCTTCAGACCAGCAGCTCTTGGGTTGAGAGGAATGGTTCCCAGCCCTTTTTGCACATCAGTGTTCCCAGGGTTGCTTTGAAAGAGTACTTGGGCCACTTTTGAGAGTGTGCATTCCTGAATCTCCTTTCCAGAGACTGTGATTTGAATGGCCTGAGTTGCTCCAAGCTGCCCAGGGAATTCCAATATGCAACCAAGTGTGAGAACCCTGATGCAGACTTCCACAGGGTCTGCTTTTTTGTGTTCCCGCTGTGTCGTGGCTGCCTGCCGTGGTTGCTTCAGGGGTCTCTGAGCTTGCCATCCAGGGTGTGTGTTAACTGTGTTCTTTTCGAAAGCAAACTAAGACTGTACTGAAACTCCTATAATCTGGTGTTAATAGGTAATATGGTGGGTTAATTATTCACATGGTCTGGCTAATAGAGAGCTCGTGGTATACCATAAGTAGATTAGGAATTGTCAAAGAGTTTTAATGTCCTTAAGTGTTAGAGCTACACATTATTATTATTTTTGTAGATAAAAAGGCCTTTAAATCCTATAGACTGGTTGAAGTTCTTGAATATTTTTGTACTGTAGATACATGGAAATCCCAACTAATGGTGTAGTTGATGGTGTATGGGTGCAGGGGTTAGTTGGCCTTATTGGCCTCTGGCTAAGTGCATTGTGATGGCTTTGACTCTGATTTTCTTTTCTGTGACTGTTTTAAGTCCCAGGAAGAACTGGCAGCCCACAGATGCTGCAGCAGCATTTGAAAAGAGAATATTGATCGCAGGCGAACTTAACCTGGGACTAGGGTGGAGTTGGAAAGGTGGCGGTGTGACTGTATTGACAGGTGCTCTTTATGGAGCGATGACTCCTGTGCCTGTGGGTGAGCGTAAGGGACATGTGGGGAAAGTGCACTAACGGCTGTTACTGTCTGCTGTGCACCAGGCTGCCAGAGCTGCTGAGGGGGAGAGCAGACAGAAGTTCTTCACCCAGGATATTAATGGAATCCTATTAGAGTGAGTATCGTCTGTCTGTCTGTCTGTCTGTCTGTTTCTGCTATTACTGAGCTTGGGGCAAGCCAGCTAGGGGACAGTGGGAGTACAATTGAACTGCATAAAGGTGACCACCAAGGAGATAAAAGAAGAATTGGATTAACATGGTTTCATTGTTATTTTTCTTTTAAAAATCAAAACACAACAGGGACACCAAGTACTTGTCTCCAGAAGCGATAGACCTCCTTGATCTTAGGCAGCAGGCATTAATAACATGTGATAATCATGGCCTGTTAGAAGAGGATTTCTTGGCAGGTATGAGATGAGGAGAGAGAGAAGGTGTTGCCTGACTGTCTCTGAGAATCCTGAAGAATGAGAGACAGCCTGGTGGCCTCGGGCCTGCTCTGCCTTGGGTGTTGCTTGGCGTCCCTGGCTGTTCCGCTCGCTGGCACTCCTGTTCCTAGTGCCACGTGCATCATCCCTAATGCTGTTCCCACATGCCTGAGCCTCTGAGACACCACGCTGTGTGAATCGGGTTAAAAAACAGATGAGCAAACATTTGTAAATCCAGACTGGGAAAAGTGAATCCTTGTGGCCTGGCCTGCAGTGTTGCCGCTTTTCTCCTGGTTGCAGTTTGTGGCAGGGGAAGCTTGTTGCTCAACAGCTGAGGAGTTTGTGTGTGTAAGAACAGTTGTCAAAATGTGGGTGTTCTACCACATGGCCTCGCCTGGCCGGGACCTGGATTGGCCCCTTGGGTCAGGAAGTGTGAGCTGCAGAGAGCACCTGAGCATTGGTGCGGACGATAGGATTGTGTCAACAAGGAACCTGCTTGAGCGTGCCAAATGTGGACAGCTCAAGGCATTGAAGAGAAATATTTTTTTGCTTATCTAGATGGAGAAACTGGAGGGGTGAGGCTTTCCCTGACCTCATAATGGTTGATAAACGTGGGGACTGGGGGAAAAAAAAGAAATGCTGCCGGGAAGTGTCTCCTTTGAACCCCAAGTAACTCATGACTTTCCACTTTGAAAGCTTTCATGTTTTCTCTATGAAATTTAGTGCTTCAGAGCTTGTTCTCCTGGGCTCTGTTTTCCTGGTATTGTGACCTAAGAGCCTTGGCCCACATTACCTAGCCATGTTCATCAGGCTTGGGAGTTGTTGTTGTTTGTTGATTGCTGAGGATGTGTTTCCTTGGGCATTCAGTTACATTGTGTGACCAACAAGACAGGGTTTGACTGCCGTTGGCTCCTAGCTTTCCTCTCCACGTACGGTGAGCTGATGAAGACAGGAGTTGCAGTGAGCTGCAGCCGGTGGTGACTGTGTTTTGTTCTTCAGCATAGAGGCGCAGACTCGGGAGCTGAGCAGTCAGGTCCGCTCTGGGGTGTATGCCTATCTTGCGTCATTCCTGCCCTGCAGCAAGGATGCCCTGCTCAAGCGTGCTCGGAAACTTCACCTCTATGAACAGGTGGGTGACTCTAGAGTGAAGCCCTTTGGCTTTGGGGTCCTGGCGGAGGGGTGACTGAGTCTTAAGCAATGATGCGTCTGCTGCCCCACTGCCTCCTTGTGATCACCCCATCATGCGTCCTGAGCGTAAGAGCGATGTGTAAACCTGCCTTGAATTGTGTCCCGCTCTTCGCAGGGGGGCCGTCTGAAGGAGCCTCTCCAGAAGCTCAAGGAAGCCATTGGCAGGGCGATGCCAGAGCAGATGGCCAAGTACCAGGACGAATGCCAGGCACACACGCAGGCAAAGGTTGCCAAGTAAGTTTGTCCTGGCGCTTGCAGGTGCAACCCTCCCGTCTTGCCTCTTCCCCTCCCGTTTCTCGGTGTGTACTGCCGTTTCCCAAGGAGCCTCTTGGCTCTTCTTTGGCCTTTTCTCCTTCTCTGTGAAGTCCCAGTAGTGCAGAGTGAGGGGAGAGGCGGTGGGCAGGAGCACCTTGGGGCCCCATGTAATTCTATTCACCCCGTAGGATGCTGGAAGAGGAGAAAGACAAGGAGCAGAGGGACCGGATTTGTTCGGATGAGGAAGAAGATGAAGAAAAAGGGGGCAGGAGGATAATGGGACCTCGGAAGAAGTTCCAATGGAATGATGAGATCAGGTGTGCCCACACTGGGACTTGGCCTCTTTGGAGGGTTGGTGGGGCAGTGTCTGAGCACGTCCCCTATTGCTGACAAAGGTTAGGCTCATTTACTTTCATCAGGGCTGCTGAAAGCACATGATTGGAACCTTGGAGCAGCATCTGAAGTAGTTTGGAGTTTCTGATTTCTGCCTCCTTCTCAGGGAGCTACTGTGCCAGGTGGTGAAGATCAAACTGGAGAGCCAGGACCTGGAGAGGAACAACAAAGCCCAGGCTTGGGAGGACTGTGTGAAGGGCTTTCTGGATGCGGAAGTCAAGCCCCTCTGGCCCAAAGGCTGGATGCAGGCCAGGTGAGGGCCGTGTGCTGAGATGGGCATCTGTGCAGTCAAGACACGTTTGAACGCTGCTTTTGTGCCAGGCCAACAGGATCCTTGCTCACAGGGAGTCACTGTCTAGCTGCCTCAACTCTGATCTCACCTGAGTAACTGGGGGACATGCAGGTAGCTGGGAAAGGGTCTTCTGGATCTTCCCTGGAGGAAGGGAAGTTGCCTCCAGGGTTTTGTTTTTGTCATTTTTTGTCCCACTTCAGTTGATGTTTGGCCTCCCATCTCAATATGCACTTTCCTTTTTTTTTTTTTTTTTTTTTTTTTTTTGAGATGGAGTCTCGCTCTGTTGCCTGGGCTGGAGTGCAGTGGTATGATCTCAGCTCACTGCAAGCTCCACCTCCCAGGTTCACGCCGTTCTCCTGCCTCAACCTCCCGAGTAGCTGGGACTACAGGTGCCTGCCACCATGCCCGGCTAATTTTTTGTATTTTTAGTAGAAATGGGGTTTCACCGTGTTAGCCAGGATGGTCTCAATCTCCTGACCTTGTGATCTGCCCACCTTGGCCTCCCTAAGTGCTGGGATTACAGGCGTGAGCCACCACACCCGGCCACACTTCCTGTTTTAACATACAGGCTGCTATGAGCATTTGAGAGATGGGTTCATCTTGGGTCTTTCCTGATGTTCCTGAAGAAGTGTCATTTGCAGGTAGCAGGGCTGACTCCTTATTGGAACTAAGTGCCAGGCTTCCATCTCAGAGGCTACCTTGTACGAAGTCACTTCCTGCGAATGAAGTATTTGTGTCATACATGGGACAGAGAAAGTTAGCTGGAGTGATTTTCTTGATTGGACTCGAATCATCTGTTGTGCGGATAGATCTTGGAACCTTTGAAATTGCTGTCCTCTCTACGTAGGCTGGACTCATACGAAGAACGTTTTTGTTGAGTTTCTCTGGACAAAGACATGCTGGGTCACTCCACATTTTATTCCTGGAATGGAGGGACTAGGCAATAAGGAAAGTGCTGTGCCCTTTAGGGAAGCATCACCATGAGAGGTTTGAGGCAGAGCCATACATTTTCTTGGTAAAGGCCAGACTCAGCCTTTGGGCAGCCAGTGTGTCCCATTGAGATCCTCTCACCAGGAATTTGGCTCCCCAATCCATTGACCTTTTTTTTTGTGTGTGTGGGGGGTGGGTGGGCATGGTGGGGGGGCGGGGACAAAGTCTCACTCTGTTGCCCAGACTGGAGTGCAATGGCACGATCTCGGCTCACTGCAACCTCCGCCTCCCCGGTTTGAGCGAATCTCCTGCCTCAGCCTCCCGAGTAGCTGGGATTACAGGCGTGCGCCACCACGCCTGGCTAATTTTAGTATTTTTAGTAGAGACGGGGTTTCACCATGTTGGCCAGGCTGGTCTCGAACTCCTGACCTCAGGTGATCCACCTGCCTTGGCCTCCAAAAGTGCTGGGATTACAGGCGTGAGCCACTGCGCCTGGCCAGTTGACATTTAATGAGGGATAGCTACTGAGGACCAGGGACACTAGCAAAGTTCTGGAAGCAGAGTCCCAGCTTTCTGGGGCATGTACAGATGCCTGGTGTTCTGTGTCTTTCAGAACTCTGTTTAAGGAGAGCAGACGAGGCCATGGGCACCTGACTTCAATCCTGTGAGTGTCTTGGTATTTTCACATCTCGGGACAAGTGTTGTTTTTGGTCTCCTCTGGATATTCTCTAAACTTTTCTGTGCTCATTCCTTTGAACAGGGCCAAGAAGAAAGTTATGGCCCCTTCTAAAATCAAGGTGAAGGTGAGTCAGTTTGCTCGGGTCACATGTCAGCTATGCCCATCTCCCTACAACTATGCTCTGGAAACAGTCAAGTGACTGTGGAAGCTCATTGATCTTTGCTCGTCTGGGGACAGCTGCTCAGGATGACATTCTTGAAGTCATAACAGGACAGAGACCCAAGCCACTTAACCCCCCTCTAGCCTTGGTTCTACAAACAGTACCCAGCTGGCCCAGTTCCTGGGGTTCATGTGGGATTAAGTGGGATCTTCTTGGCAGCCCTCTGAGGAGTCAGTAGTCCCTGAAGGTGTGAACGTGTTACACTGTGATCTTTGTATGGAAGAAATACACTCTAGCCAAGTGCAGTTTAGCTTGGAGCCACAGCAGAAAGAAAAGGCGACTTTACTGAGCTACCAGGCAGAAATGGAGGGCAATATAGTGGCTGGAGAATAGACACTGTGAAAATTACCTTAGATGTTGCAGAAACCTCTCAATGTAGTAAAAATTGCTGTTTATCAACATTTTTCCCAGTTCTTAGTGTGGTGCCCTTAGCCATCCCTAAGCAGACCGTGAGAATGAGATGTGCAAATCATTTACTCCTAAGTATCTGTTGAGCTCCCACAATGTCCCAGACACACTGTATTAAGCACCAGGGATGCAGGAGTGAAGGATTAGACCCCATTCCTGTTCCCATGAAAAGCTCACTCTTCTTTGAACCCAGTCTGAGGAGATGGGTGCTGGGAAAAATCAAGAAGGGAAAAATAGCTGCTTTAAGGCAATTCTCATGCCATGCCTTGGTCTGATTGCAGCTAGGAGTGCGCTGAGACAGTGGGAATGCCAGTAGGCAGAGTATCTCTTCACGAGAGTCTTAACGCTTTTCAAAACAGAAGAAAGTTTCTCCTGGCGGCTTGTTTGTACTTAGCAACGAAGCATGCCGGGGTAAACCCAGCCCTGGCCAACCAGATACTCACCAGGGGTGATGAAGTCATGGCATCTAAAGTCAAGGCGGGCACAGCTCCTGCTCTGTCCCACCACTTGTCTTGTAATTATACAGGAAGGCCCAGTTTTTTTGACTCGAGTTCACATGTTTGTATCCTCACAACAGGCCAATGTTGGCATCTTTGGACCTTTCTAAACATCAACATTTCTGTTTTCCTTTAGGAATCGTCTACGAAGCCTGATAAAAAGGTTTCTGTCCCATCAGGACAGATTGGTGGCCCCATTGCTTTGCCCTCAGATCACCAAACAGGAGGCCTGAGTATTGGGGCCTCGAGCAGGGAGCTCCCATCCCAGGCATCGGGCGGCCTTGCTAACCCTCCTCCTGTCAACCTGGAGGACTCATTGGATGAAGACTTGATCCGCAATCCAGCCTCCTCGGTGGAAGCCGTGTCCAAGGAATTGGCTGCATTGAATAGCAGAGCAGCTGGGAACTCTGAATTCACACTGCCTGCACCCTCAAAAGCACCTGCAGAAAAAGTTGGAGGCGTTTTATGTACAGAAGAAAAAAGGAACTTTGCGAAGCCTAGTCCTTCTGCTCCACCACCAGCTAGCTCTCTGCAGTCACCCCTCAATTTTCTGGCAGAACAGGCTCTGGCACTGGGGCAGTCCTCTCAGGAGAAAAAACCAGAGAGTTCTGGCTACAAAGAGCTGTCCTGCCAGGCTCCCCTCAATAAGGGCCTGCCAGAAGTACATCAGTCCAAAGCTAAGCACCACAGCTTGCCACGGACGTCTCACGGGCCCCAAGTGGCAGTTCCTGTGCCTGGCCCCCAGGTCAAAGTCTTTCATGCCGGCACTCAGCAGCAGAAAAACTTCACGCCCCCATCTCCATTTGCCAATAAGCTCCAAGGCCCAAAGGCTTCTCCCACACAGTGTCATCGTTCCCTCCTGCAGTTAGTGAAGACAGCGGCCAAAGGCCAGGGCTTCCATCCCTCTGCACCAGCCACCTCAGGAGGCCTGTCAGCCTCCAGCAGCAGCTCTCACAAGACCCCAGCCTCGTCCTCTTCTGCCCTGAGCCATCCAGCAAAGCCACATTCAGTCAGCTCTGCAGGCTCATCTTACAAGAATAATCCCTTTGCCAGCTCAATCTCCAAACATGGGGTTTCTTCTGGCAGCTCTTCCTCGGGAGGAACACCAGTCCAGAGTTCTGTTTCTGGGAGCCTGGTCCCTGGCATACAGCCTCCCTCCGTGGGACAGGCCACCAGCCGACCCGTCCCAAGTTCAGCAGGGAAAAAAATGCCTGTTTCCCAGAAGTTGACTCTGGTAGCCCCTCCAGGCGGTCCAAACGGAGATTCCAGTGGTGGGACCCAGGGAGTGGCAAAGTTGCTGACCTCGCCGTCCCTAAAGCCCTCTGCAGTTAGTAGTGTGACATCGTCTACCTCCTTGTCAGTGAGTATCTGTCATAGCAGCCTGCCCTGCCCCACTCACAGGGGCCTTGGGGATGAGGTTGCTTGCCTTGCCCCGGGTGGAGAGTGAGATCTAAAACCACAGGTCAGGTAGGAACAGTGGGCTCAGACGTAGGAAGGGAGACTGGGCTCCCTGTTCTCAGGTATTCACTTTTCTGGTGACAGGAAGCCCAGGATGGCCTAAAGCTTCTTCTGAGGAGGGCAGAGGGACCTAAAGGATGGCCAGCACCAAGCACCATGCCTCTTCGGAGGCTGTCTGTGTGGCACAGAATGAGCAACAGCCCTTGCCTTCCGTGACCCCTTGCCTCTCCATCTCTCTAAAGGGGGCTGGAAATGCTGTCTTCTATCAGTTGAGTCATGTGGAGGTGTTCATGGACCAGGAATAGCAGGACCTTCTAAGAGTGATTCTGTTGGTTTTTGAAGGACAGAGTCCAATAATTAATGCATCTCGCTTGTGTGTAATCACAGCAGGTTCGGGAAGAGGGAGTGAGCATTTTCTTTTCTTTTTTTCTTTTTTTTTTTTTTGAGACGAAGTCTTGCTCTTTCACCAAGGCTGGAGTGCAGTGGCGCTATCTCGGCTCAGCGCAAGCTCCACCTCCCGGGTTCACGCCATTCTCCTGCCTCAGCTTCTTGAGTAGCTGGGACTACAGGCGTCCGCCACCACGCCCAGCTAATTTTTTGTGTTTTTAGTAGAGATGGAGTTTCACCATGTTAGCCAGGATAGTCTCGATCTCCTGACCTCGTGATCTGCCCGCCTCGGCCTCCCAAAGTGCTGGGATTGCAGGTGTGAGCCACTGCACCCGGCCTCTTTTTCTAATATATAAATGAAGTGGTTGCAAAGACAAAACCATAGAAAGGTCTGTTGGAGGTCTCACCTCCTTTCCTGCACCCACCACCTCTGTAAGGTAACTAAGCTCTTTAGTTTCTGGTTTATTTTCCTCTTTTTAAACAAAAGATTAATAAATATAAATAAAGGTATATATGTATGTGTGTGTATGTATGTATATAAATATATATACACATATAAATATCCATGAACATTTATGGATATCTATATTACATTTTTCCCTTCACAAAGGAGGCTTTTTTTTTTTGAGACAGAGTCTGGCTCTGTCACCTAGGCTGGACTGCAGTAGCGCGATCACAGCTCACTGCAACCTCTGTAGGAGACATATTTAATATCCTGCTTTTAAAAAAATTATGTTCCCTGGAATCCATTCCATGTTGGTTCATAAAGACTGTCCTGGATCCTGTCTTTGGGGCTGCAGGGTCGGAGGGTGCCTCCCAGGGCCATCTGACATGGATGTGTATGTCCTCCTTTGTGGACACACAAGGAGGATCCTTTGTGTTGCCAGGTTTGGTGTGAGTGAGCCACGAACAGGACTGGAGTTCTTACCGCTTGCTGTGTTTCTTCCCTAGAAAGGAGCGAGTGGGACTGTGCTGCTGGCCGGCTCCTCTTTGATGGCTTCACCCTACAAATCCAGCAGCCCAAAGCTGTCTGGGGCCATGAGCTCGAACTCCTTGGGAATTATAACCCCTGTCCCTATTCCTGTCCATGTGCTCTCCTTCAGCGCTGACTCCTCTGCCAAAGCAGGGGTCTCCAAGGATGCCATCGTCACAGGCCCTGCCCCCGGGTCCTTCCACCATGGCCTTGGCCACAGTAAGTGCTTCTTTGCTGCCTCTGGTCACTCAGGAACCTCTAGATTGTGGCCAGGGGTCCTGCTGTTGTGTACTCTGGTTCCTGTGTTTGAGTCTGGTGTGTGACTGTGGGGAACATCTCCGGGAACTGTGCCAAGCCCCCACTGCCCCTTTGGGTGTGGTGCCCAGACTGGCCTGGCAGGTTATCGGGGGCTTTTGGCTGCTGGAGCTGCTTTCCTGTTCCTGTCTTCAATGTGTGTGTTTTGTTCTTTTCTCCCCTCCTGTTTTCTCTCAGGTCTTCTGGCTGGCTTGCACTCCAGCCCGCCCCATGCAGCGCCTCTCCCACACGCTGCGGTGCCCACCCATATCCCGCAGAGTCTGCCAGGTAATCACCCGACGGTCAGTGTGCCACGCGCACCGTGTGCCTTTGCCCTCTCCACCCCTAGGTGCTTTGCCGCTGCCAAGGGTCTTGGTGTCTTTGCCTTGACGCTGTTGTTGTTTTGGTTTGTCCTTTGAGGCTGTGCTTTGTCAGTACTCAGGGTGACACGCACTTCTACTCTTGGGGTTTCCTCTGGTCCCCACTTGGAGCTGCCGCCAGGTCAGCCTCAGCCTGTGTGATCACAGGGAAAGTTGCGGGGGGCAGGGTGGTGCGCTTTTGTGTGCGGTGGAGGAGTTCCTAACCCTCGGCTTGTTTTTTTCTCTTCAGTTTAAAAAAAAAAAAAAAGGGAAGGTAATGGTGCATCTTCTCCAAGGGCTAATTGGGTACAACAAGGTCTTGGAATGCAAGCTGCTCCACTGTCAGATGTGATTGCTTAACAGAAGGCTCTCTAAACTTTGTTTCCATTAAAGGGAAAATCCAGGTAGCAGCCAGAGGCCACAGTGCAAGACTTTGAGAGGAGCAGCTTTAAATCTGTCCAAGTGTGAAAACTCCATCAGAACAGATTTGTGGGAGCACAGCAGGCATGTGGTCGGTGCTCCCCTTAGCATCTTCTGAAATAGGGAACTTCTAAAAGCCTCAGGCTTGAGGCTGCTCTGGTAGCACCTGAGAACTGGGCTCAGGTGCCCCGGGTTGGTACCTTTGCATTGAGTGCGTCTGCCTCACCCTATCCCGAGTCTGCGATTCTTGGGTACGCCTCCTGGAATTCTGGCATGGGAAGTCTCATGGTGTCTCAGCTTTGACCTAGCATTGTTCCTACTGTAGACCCGCTTCAGACATGACCAGGGTGCTACTTGGATAAGGGGAGAGCCGCTCGTATGGAAGCCAGCCGAGGTAACCCTGGCGAACTGGTGCCAGGTGGAAGTAAGGACCCTCTGTGCTGCACGTCTCCCAAGTTACATCTGCCTCATGATGTGCTGTGGCTCCCTGGCACCATGGCGCATTATAGTAAACACCAGAGGCCATATGGGGCAAGACTAAATCTGTAAATCTCCACAATGGAAACTGTGCTTCTTTGAGGGGCTAAGCCTATAGCACTAGTGACTCCTCCTTTCCTTGGGAGGAGAAGTAAAGTGCAGTGACTTCTCTACAGACTAGAGGCTGCAGAGCCACCTTGGTGAGAGCAGGGGTCTTTCCAAAGTCAGGCTGCCCTGCCTTTGCTTACTCTCAGGAATGTTACTCTCAGAAAAGCAAAGTAATTGAGGCCGGACGCGGTGGCTATCACCTGTAATCCCAGCACTTTGGGAGGCCAAGGCAGGAGGATTGCCTGAGTCCAGGAGTTCAAGACCAGCCTGGGCAACATGGCAAGACCCTATCTCTACATTTAAAGAAAAAAATTAGTCAGGTGTGGTGGCATGTGCCTGTAGTCCCAGCTCTTTAGGAAGCTGAGGCAGAAGGATCACTTGAGCCGAGGAGGTCGAGGCTGCAGCGAGCCGTGGTCATGCTACTGCACTCCAGCCTGGGCAAGAGTGAGACCCTGTCTCAAAAGATTGCTTTCTGCTATATTTTCATTTTTCCTCTGGGTATGAAAAGGCTATCAGAATAGGAAGAATAAGTGCTAGTGTTCTATACCACTGTAGGGTGACTGTAGTTAACAGTAGTATGTAGTTTCAGTTAGGAGGAGGATATTGAACGTCGCCAGCAAAAGGAGATGAAAAACGTTTGAGATGATGGATATGCTAATAACTCTAACGTGACACTACACATTTTAGATGTTGAAACATCACTATGTACCCCATAAAATATGTGTCATTATTATGAGTCAGTTTTTAAAACTGTTTAAGGCTCTCAGAGGCTGGATGTGGTGGCATTGAGAGGCAGGAGGATTGCTTGAACCCAGGAATCAGAGGGTATAGTGTGCTGTGATCATGCTTGTGAATAGCTGCTGTACTCCAGCCTGGGCAACATAGTGAGACCTCATCTCTAAAAAAATTTTTTTTAATCAGTTTAAAAGTTCGAGGAAAAAGAAAATCAATCAGAAAAGCAACTATACCAAAACAGGGTTATCCAAGTGAGCTTCTCTCACTTCCTTAGATGGACTTCAGCTTATAGGATGACACGAGATGCGAGTAAGAAGCTATTTGCGCATTTCAGCTGCGTGACTTGTGTCTGCGTTGCTTTCCTTTCTTTCTTCTGTGGACTGAGAATGCTAGTGCCTTTGAATTTGTCTTTACAGGACCTGAGGGTCTTTTGATGGTAAGAGAATGAATGATCATTGCTGCCTTGAGTTCTGTGTGATCGTCAGGCCTCGCCTCAGGATGGCAATTGTAGCCTGAGATGACGTAGCCCAAGTTGCACAGCAGAGTTGCTGTTCTGGAAACACTGTGCTGAGTGACCACCGACCTTCACAGTGCTAGTGTGCTTGCAGGCTGTGGCCAGGAGTAGTGTACACGAATAACTGCTGGCTGGTGTCTCATGGCTTGTTTGAGCTCTAGAACACTCAGCATTTGGGGACTTTTGCTATTTAGGTGTCTCCCTTGAAGTTTGGTTACTACTGCCTTAAGGAAATCAGAGAGCATGAAAAACTTGCGTTCTAATTTTTCTTACTCTTTTCCAGGTGCTTCTCAGCTTCACGGGAAAGGGCCTGCTGTACCACGGAAATTGTGACCGCTTCAGAGGCAAGGCTTGCCACTTGGGTCTGGGTGGAATCAGAACGTGCAGGTCTCCCAGGATGTACACTCACTGCGCCCTTTCTGCTGCTTGGTGTTCTTCTGGAGGAGCGTGAGTTCTCAGCGGAGCGCTTCTCGGCACTTCTGATGTGCCTCCCATGGAGGGAGCCGGGCCCTTGCTGCTCAGGAGGTGCAGACTGCCCCGTGCTCTGGGCCTTGCAGCTCTGTCGCTAGACGGTTGTTAGAGGGGCAGCTCTAGGCTGGGGCTTGCGCTGGGCCGTGGTGGGAGGCACAGTGTTTACAGGCTCTGGTGGCAGAGCAGTTGGCACACCTGTGGGTGAATCTGCCTGATCCCCTGGCATTTGGTCAGAGTACCTCAGAGCACCCCACTGCTCAGGGGCTCCTTCTGGCTGCAGTAAGCTCCCTGGATGGTCACAGTGCCGCCCCATCCCCAGGCTGTGTGCTCAAAGCGGACAAAACTCAGGCCAGAGCCACAGCTGGGAGACCTGCACTGTCCCTGCGAAATACTAAGAACACCTAGGGTGTGCTCACTGTGGGGGCCAGTTTCTCCTCGGAACATGACAATGAAGCTCTTTTAGAGAAAAGACCTTTGTAGATTCAACAATTATGATAGGATTTTTACAGACACCTATTTTGGGCTCAGTTTTCATCATTACCATTAAATGCATTGGATAGAAGGGGACTGTTCTTCACACATCATATTATAGGAAGACATAATTCCAGTGCCTTTATGGTGGAGCAGAATTCGACAACACATGTCCATTCAGCCCTCTGAATGGATCTGAGACGAAGACCTTTTTAAAGATATGTCTGTATTGAAGAGAAAGCCAGTTTTGAGTTTTTTACACTTGCACATCATTATCTGTGCCGTCCTGACTAGAAGGTTGTCTGGGCCCCCAAATTCCAAGTCCCAGTATAGCCAGGGCTCCCATTTTGTTTTTCCAGAGTTCGTGGAGGTGGACTGCAGAGCCCAGAGCCCTTCATCTCTCTGAGGGTCAAGGATACCAGGGGTCCCAAGTCACAGATAGACATTCCAGTTTGTATTCTTAGGAATCATTCTTAGGCAGTGCGGCAGAAGCAGGCCTCTGTGAAGTGTCTGCCGGGTAGAAATAGGCCTTGAAGTCCTGGGGCTCTCCAGGCAGTGGGGTTATGTGTCGACTGAAGGGTGATGTGCAGAAGAGCTTGGAGAGTGGATCAGAGAGACTAGGACAGTTACTGCAGAGCTCCTAAGTCACCACTCAACCAGTGGCTGTTTCACAAGGATTTGAGGGCACTTGCCTGTCTTGTGAGGTCTGTGCCACAAGGTGAGTCTGAACTGACTGCTCCAGCTAAGTGATCAGGCACGTTGAGAGTATACGGTGTCCTCAGCACATACACCTGTGGGAAAACGGACCGCTCTTGGCTCCTGACTCCCAGGGTACAGCGCCCAGTAACTCATCCTTCATTCAGAGGTTTGCTGGCCTTCCCGGTTTCCCAAGGAGCAAGACCTCTGTCCGCCCTTTGGCCCGGCCTCTGCTCTGTCTCCTTTTTTTACATAAGAACCAATCCGTGTTTCACATTGGGCTAAGTGGATTCCTTATCCCTTTGTTATATATATTTTTTGCAACTTGGATTTCCAGTTTGTTTACAGAGTAGTCTTAGGTAGTAGCAAAAGAGCCAAAGAAGAGATTTGTATTGCTGAGCTCAAAGCCAAGCAGAGGCCGGCAGTGGAGGCTGAGCAGGGACTCTCCAGGCTTCTCTGCCCATAAACACCCGGGTCCCAGGCCCTCCTTCCTTTCCCTTTGGTGCTCCCTCCTCCCCACGTACCATTGCGCGTGCAGCTGGAGCAGAATACCCTCATTTTTAGGAATCTAGTGATGCCTCTTGCCTCAGGGAAACGTTTCTTTGATGGGGAGTTTGAGATTTCTTTTCCTTGTTTATGCTTTATTTGTGGTAATGAAAGAGCGAATGACTGAACAGCCATGGCAAGGCAGACCTACAGGCGAGGCCGCAGCAGAGGGTGGGGCAGAGCAGCCTCGGGGTCTGGGGGCTGCAGGGGTTTCCCTGGCGCAGCGAAAGTCTCTGAGCACTTACCGGGCGTGACCGTTTCTTAGGTGTGAGAGGGGCTGTGGCTTTTGTGCAGCGACTATGTTGGTGTTAGGGGTGGTGTGGAGATTGTTAATCTTGTATAAAGCAATTCAATAAATTGTTTCAAGGTTTCCAAAACATTTTTTCTCACTCTTTTCTTTCTACCATGTGGAAGTAAGTAGTTCTTCCTGTAGGAGCTGTTACAGATGGAATATCCATTTTGGCTGAAAGCCAAGGGGGGGGGGCGGGGGAGTAAGCCTTGCATGCAAAAGAAGAAACATGTGGACCGTACAAGCAGACTCCAGCCACCAGGTTTATTTTCATGCTATAAATAAATTTCCCTATTAGTTCCCATTTTCTTATGTTCTACATGAGATACAGAGACCCAGATATTGGCGTGGTGAATAATCAACTGTTTTGTATACCTAAATACCAGTGAGATAATAAGCGAGACTTGTAAAGCACTGAAACTAAGGCTAACAGCAGCACAATCCACTATCAAAGGATTTAAATGCCAGAACTGTGAAACATTCTCTGTAGGTGCCGGGACAGTCTGGTGGCTGACAATTAACGTCCACTCCAGCACCGAGGGCTGGACACTTGTGGTTTCTGTTCACCTTTCCTGGCTTGGAGCCCAGATCTGTCTCATGAGCAGAGTAACTACTGAGGAGGCTTCTCGGATGGAAAGTTGGTTTTAAGCCAGAAATCTGGAGAGATGTCATGCCAGGCAGCAGCCCCCACGGGCCCAGGCCTTTGTGGGGCAGTGTCACTGTCTGGTGTGCCACCAGTACCCATGCTGCAAGGAGTGGGCTTGGCTGCTGTGGTTGGCTTGTCCTTCAGTGGTTTTCAGATTGTGTGCAGTTATCATGAGGAGTTTGTTGCTGGGAGTGTACAGGAAAAGGGAGGAAAAGGCATCGCAGTTGTCCAGTCATTGGAGGATGAAGTACGTCACTCAGGGTGAATGATGGTTGGGACGAGAGTTGCCTGTCTTCAGCCAGTGCCTGTCTCATATGTGGGCGGGACTCTGAGCAGCCTGGCAGCGAGGGTATGTATAAAATGCTTGGCCTGCACCAGGGCAAGGGAGAGGACGACACCAAGGAGGTCACTGCGTCGTAGGAGAGGGCCAGCGTCTGCCGTTACGAAGAGTTGCAAGAGCTGTGCCTACTTCTGCCCAGATACCAAGACCGCCAGCTCCTGGATGGACATATCCTTGTTGACATAGCGGTCATACTGAGCAGGGGTCAGCCTGCCACTCTGCAGGGCCTCTTCGATGGAGAACTTCTTGCCAGACTTCCTGTCGTGTATCACTGAGGACTCCCCATTGGGACCCTTCACTGAGATCTCCTCCCAGTCGCACTCCTGGCTTCTGAGTTTCACGAACATGTTCCAGTCAATGAGCCCGGCACGGTGGGCTTCCTCCGGGGACAGCTCGCGGCCTGTGTCAGGGTGGATGACTACGATGGAGCGCCGCAGGTGGTTCTCCCGCTGCTCCCGCTTGACGGCCACGGAGCCCAGGCGCTTCTGCAGCTCGTCGATCTCGAGGTCTTTGTCCTTGGAGAGCCTCTTGAGGTCATCCAGTTCCCTCTCCAGGGACCACAGTCTGGAGTCATGGTTGGTCCCAGAGTCCGCCACGGTCATGTTCCGCAGGTCTCGTGTTTCCGTCGCTGCCATGTTGATTTCCGATTGGAGCCTTCGGGTCTCCAGCTGCAGGTTTTGCCTCTCCAGCTGTAATTTGTGGTTCTCTTCCCTCAGAAAGTCTAGTTCCTTGGATGACTTGGAGTTATGGAATTCCAGCTCCGAAAGCCTGGCTTCCAGCCGGCTCACCTCGACGTCCAGCTCGCGCTTGCTGCGGCTCTCCTCCTCCAGGCTGCTCTTGAGCCTCTGGATCTCTTGCTCGGTGTCGCCCTTCTCCACCTGGACACTCTCGGAGAGCACCACCTTCTCCTTGACCTCCGCCTTCTCCAGTGCAGCCAGTTTCCTCCGGAGGGTCTCGAGCTCCCCCTCCAGGAGCTGCCGCCGGTGCTGCTCTTCTTCCAGCTGGAGTCGGAGCAGGGCATGCTCTCGCGCCTGCTGCGGGTCCTGCTGCAGCACCACCTTCTGCGTATGGGTTACCTTCTCACGGGCCTCAGCTTCTTCCTGCTCCAGCGCTGCCAGCCGCTGCTGCAACCGCTGTACCTCGCGCTCGGCCTCCCTGCGGGCCTGCCGCTCGCGCTCTAGCTCCTCCAGCTGCCGCTCAAGCTCGGTGCGCCGGCGCTGCAGCCGCCGCAGCTCTGCCCGCAGCTTGTCAATCTGCCGCAGCTCCACATCGATGCTCTCGGCAAAGGCGCTCGCCTCGGCCCGCAGGCCTGGCTCCTCCTCATACCTGACCACCTCCTGCTGCACCACCCTTTCCTTCACCCGCGAGAGCTCCTCCTCTTTCCGGGCGATCTGCTCTTCCTGGGAAGCTCTTTCCCTCTCCAGATCCACTTGTTTCTTCTGCTCCTCTGAGAGCTTTGCCCTCAGAGACGCCACCTCCTCCTTGGTTTGAGGGTCTTCTTGGAATTGGAGGATCTCCTGGACCACCTCTTTGGTCTGGACCTGGGGTTTGGTGTCTTTCAGGGCCTGGATTTCCTTTTTCAGCTGGTAGATCTCTAAATCACACCTTTCGATCAGTCTGGTCTTGTCCACGATCTCCTCCCTGAGCCGCTGAAGCTCCTTCTCCATCTCAGGGTCAGTCTTGTACTTAATGACTTCCTTAGTCACCTCTTTGACTTCCACCTGGGGGCCTCGCCTCCTGAGGGCCTCCAGCTCACTCTGGTAGCTCCGGAGCTGCTCCTCGGCACCCCGGTACTTTCGCTCCTGCTCCACAAGCTCCAGGCGGAGGTTCGCCACTTCACTTTCCGCCTTGGGGTCTGGCCGCACGATCTCCCGCACCTTCTCCTGCACCACCACTTTGGCGTTCTCCTCCTCCAAGGCCCATATCTTTCGGAGCAGCTCCGTCTTCTCCCTCTGGCTAGCGCGAGCCTTGGCAGCCTCGTCCTCATATTGGCGGGTGAGATCGCTGACCTCCCTCTCGGTGGCCGCGTCCTTCTCCACCTTGAGCACCTCCTTGACGGTGATCTTGCCCTCGGCCATGGCCCGCTCCTTCTCTAGCCTCTTGAGCTTGTCCTGGAGGAAGCTCAGCTCCTCCTCCTGCTTCTCCCTGAGCTGGTCCTGGCGCTGGTGGTCCTCCTGCAGCTGCTGGTACTCTGCCTCCAGCTGGGGGTCATTCTGCAGTTTCACCACCTCTTTCTCTGTGACCTTCTCCTGCGCCCGGCTCTTCTCTTCAGCCAGGGCGGCCACACGCTGCTGCAGGAGGAGCACCTCTGCCTCCCGGGCGCCCTTCTGCCGCCTCAGTGCCTCCAGCTCCTCCCGCAGCTGCAAGACCTCATCCGCCTGGGCCCTGTCAGGCTCGATGCGCAGGACCTCCTTGACCACGTACTCCTGCCCCCCGTCTCTGGTCTCCTGCTCCAGGGCACGCAGCTGCAGCTGCAGTGCCTCCAGCTCCTCCTGCAGCAGCTGGTTCTTGTGCTGCTCCTCTGCCAGCGTCCGCTGCAGCTGCTGGAAGCTCTCCTCCAGCACGGGATCCGGCACCTTCTTGAGCACCTCCTTCCTCACCACCGATTCCTGAGGCCCCTGATTCCTCAAGGTCCAGATTTCTTCCTGGGTGCTCTTGACCTCGTTCTCCAGCTGCCGCCTCCGCTCAGTCTCCTCATCCAGTTCCTTCCTGATCTTCCACGCCTCCTCCACTCCAGAGTCCGGCCTATTCCTTTGCAGGGTCTCATGGGTCACTTCTACTTCCGGCTGCTGTGATGGAGAAGACAAGACAAGGTTAAAGCCAGGCTCTGGCAGCACATGTAGGGCCTGTCCCCACCTGGTCAGAGTGGCTGTCCTGTGGTCCCCAAGGGACTCCCTCAGTGCCAGTTCATGTTAGTTGTAGAGTTCTAGGGTTACTTTCAAAAAGGATCAAACAACTAGTTTGGGGTTTTTTTTAATCAGGTAAAACATTTTTGAGCTGTGGAAGAGTTTAAAATGAAACCACGGTCTCCCACCTCTGGTCCCCGTCCTAGGGCGTGTCTGTCAGCCTTGCAGATGCTATCTGTGCTCACACAAGAATATCTGTCTGTAGTATGTACCATGTGTTTATCTCTCCTGCACAAATGGTATTCCTGCTGCTCACTGCACTTACAGAGCTCATTCCAGCTCAGCACAGAGAGTGCTGCTTCAGGATTTACCAGCAGCATTGTTTCCGCTCTCTGGACAGACCGCAGTTTAGCCCATTGCTGATGAAGAGTGAACTGCTTCCAGTGTCTTGCTATTAAAAAACAATGCTGTCATCAACATCATGGACTTCAGAAAATAACATTCACTTTCTTTTGTTTCTTTCTTTTTTTCTGAGACAGAGTCTCGCTCTGTTGCCCAGGCTGGAGTGCAGTGGCACAGTCTCAGCTCCCTGCAACCTCCACCTCCTGGGTTCAAGCAATTCTCCTGCCTCAGTCTCCTGAGTAGCTGGGATTACAAGCATGCGCCACGACGCCCAGCTAATTTTTGTATTTTTAGTAGAGACGGAGTTTTACCATGTTGGCCAGGCTGGTCTCGAACTCCTGACCTCAGGTGATCCGCCTGCCTCGGCCTCCCAAAGTGCTGGGATTACAAGCGTGAGCCACCATGCCCAGCTGAAAATAGCATTCACTTTCAGCAGATGTTTACTGAGTTGAATAAGTTCTCATGTCAGTAGAAGCATTGGCTCGGGCCAGTCTTTGCATTGGCCCTGCCCAGAAACGTTAGCAAGGGGACACTTCCATCAATTCACAAACCATTTCTCTAAGACAGAGTCTGTATTTGTCACCTGTTAGAACAGCCTGAAGTAGAATTTCTTACTAAGATCAGTTACCTGTCTGAGGAGATTCAGAGCAAACTCCAGATTCTGCAGCCTCTGTCTGTTGATGGCATAAACTTCAGTGAACTTGGCGGCAAGTGCTGCTTCCTGCAGAGAAGAGGATTAGGAGAGCGGTCAACAAACAGGTGTCAACAGGGTAAGCAACAGAGAGCTAGACAGCGTGGACGTGGTTCTTGAGAAGTGTGGAATTTGGGGGTAGAGGCATAGCTCTTGCCCACTCCTGCCTGGAGTTAGACTGTAGCCTCACCGGTGGAGAGAAAAATGGATCTCGAGGCAGAAGATCCAGGCCAGGGTCTTGGCCACACTGACTTTGAGCAAGTCTTTCTGCCTCTTAGAGCACCAGTGTTCTCTCTTGTGTGTACAGGAGACTAATATCAGCCCTCCACTGTACTTACTGAGGTGAGCAAAACAGGAACTTCCCAGATCCATGGTTCTGACCCTGACACTTCTGTTCAGCTGCATTTTCAAAAATTTTTATTTCTTAAAGACAGAATCTCTTTCACTCAGACTGAAGTGCCATGGTGTGATTGTAGCTCACTGCAGCCTTGAACTCCTGGGCCCAAGTGATCCTCCCTCCTCAACCTCCCAAGTAGCTGGGACTACAGGTTTGCACCACCACGCCTGGCTAATATTTTTGTAGATATGGGGTCCTGCTTTGTTGCCCAGGCTGGTCTCCAACCCCTGGGCTCAAGCAGTTCTCCCACCTCGGCCTCCCAAAGTGCTAGGATTACAGGTGTGAGCCACTGCGCCCGGCCTTGCTGTCTTTCTAGGCATATTGATGTCACTGCCCTAGAACAAGTTCCTCATCTCTTACCAAACCTGTTTGCATGCAGGAGGGCTCTCAGTGGCTTCCCTGTTGTGTGTGCATCTCTGAGGCCAGCGTGTGACACCATGCTCCCTGGGGAGCAGGGCAGCTTGGCCTCCACCTCAGTCCCGAGGCCGCCTGGCCCATGGAACTCACCTCTTCCTTCACTTTGGTGGCAGGAGATTGGAGCCTGGCTCTCTTGCTCACGTGGCTTCTCCTTCCATTCTCCAAGTCGAGAAGAGACCTTAGTTTTTCTGCTTCTAACTCATAGTCCTGCATGAGGGAGAGACATGGCAGAGGGGAGATTAAAACAGCTGAGAAGAGACAGACATGTTCCTGTACCCCTTCAGGCTGACCCAGACCTGCCCTGTGCCATGTGCTGGTTTTATAATCTGCGTGGGTCTTCCTCACAGCTGCACCCTGCAGTGATTTCCAGGAGGTTTTGAGAATTACTGATATCTCAGCAGTACATAGCTCCATCACTCAGTAACATATGAGACAAGAAGTGCCCCCTGAATTCCCCTCCCAGCCTTTCTACATGCCTAGAGATTTTCACATTCTGCTGCTGCTTTTAACATCGTACCATAACCCTGTCTCACCTTGCCACCACCTCTTCTCATGTTTACCAGCTTGCTGACTTTATAATCCATCAGGTGGATGTGTGCTGATTCACGCAGCTTTCCCCTTCCACTGGACACCAGTCCTTTCCAGCGTACTAGTTTTGCTATTGTAAATAGTGCTGTTGCAACAATGTTGTTTATCCTGCATTTTTTTTTTTGTACTTTTTCCTTAAGGATAAATTCCCCCAAAGTGTTTACTGCTTCAGAGTATAAAACCCTTTTACAGCATTCCATGTCTAGTACCATGCTGTTTTCCCAAAAGCCTGTGCCAGTTTGCACAGCAGCCGGCAGTGCCTCGGATGGCCAGCTCCACCCCCATGTGCCAGGGCCGGTGCTTGCTGCTTCTCTGACCAGGGCACGGTGGAATAAGACCCCTGCTGTTTGTGCTTTGGGCGGAAGTTTCCCGGCTCACCTTTACAGCTTGCTGGTACTGCTGGGAATTGGCACAGATCTTCTGTACTTCCTGCTCCCTACTTGCTATCTCATCTAGCAGGTTCTGTAAGACAGAGTTTAAAAATCAAAACTAACCAGAAAAAAAATTTAAAAAAGCAACCATGGATGCAGTAGCTGGAAATCTCAGAATCTGAATTTATTCTTCTCTAGCACAAAGTATGATGAATGGCTCCCTTGTATACATTTTTATTCATTGCAAAAGGCAGTTTTTTTGTTGTTGTTGTTTTTTTTTTTTTTTTTTTTTTTTTTTTTTTTTGAGACAGTCTCACTGCATCGCCCAGGCTGGAGTACAGTGGCGCGATCTCAGCTCACTGCAGCCTTAGCCTCCTGGGTTCAAGCAATTCTCCTGCCTCAGCCTCCCAAGTAGCTGGGACTACAGGCTCCTGCCACCATACCCAGCTAATTTTTTTTTGTATTTTTAGTAGAGATTTGGTTTCATTATGTTGGCCAGGCTGGTCTTGAACTCCTGAACTTGTGATCCTCCTGCCTCAGCCTCCCAAAATGCCGGGATTACAGGTGTGAGCCACCGCGCCCAGCCACAAAAGGCAGTTCTAAGGCTCTGTGAAGAAGGGCCAAGATCATTATCTCTGCTAGGAAACAAATGTTTACTGATGATTTGGACCACCAGACACTGTTCTGCTGTCTGACTTAGATTATCTCATTTAATCTTCAAACGATGCCAGGAGGTAAGCATCGTGACCTCCAGCTTATGAGTGAGGAAAGCTTCTGAGGTGGGGATGTGGCTGATGGGGTGGACCCGGGATTTGCATCTCAGCCATTGGCTTCCCGTGTTCCTCCCTCACCCCAAGGCACTGCGTTGGGCATGGGGGAGGCAGGAGTCCCAACTTTGAAAATGGGATTTCCCCCACAAAGGCGGCTCCTCATTCTGTAGCTGTTCACTCACATAGCCAACCCACGCCAAGTGTCCATTCTGCACCAGGCCCTGTGCGGGGCACTGAGCTGGGAGAGGTGAGCGACACACTCGGTTCTTGTTCTCAGAGGGTTGGGTGTTGGGAGCTTGAGCTGAGGCCCAGGGAGGACACAGCTGTGGCAGGCCTCTGCCCTGCTCCACCTCCCAAAGGCTTGGCTCCCCAGAAAGGGGCTTGTTGACCTCTGACCCTCCCTTGCCAGTGTGTGCCTGGGGCTGCGGAAACGGCCATCTCACCTTCTGGTTCTTCAGCTTGGTCTCCATCTGGCTGAGGCTGTCTGTCTCCTGGGGCTCGTAACTGGGGATGCTGACTAGGAACTGCAGCACGTGGTCATGGCCGCGGTGGAAGTGCTCGTAGGCTGCCTTGGCGCTCTGTAGGCTCTGCGCCCTGTCAAGGCAAAGCGTTCAGGCCTCAGCCACAGCAAACAGATGCCTCACCGAGCCCTCATTTTTTTTTTTAAAGTGGGAAACAACCAAATGTAACAACCAGAAATACCCCAAGTATCTCCCACACAGGGTGGGTGGTCATTAGGGAACGTCAGGTTGGACTGTGGAGAACCAGGTGGGTCCATATACATTGACTTGCAGAGATGCCCATTGTGGATTACAGGACCCAGGTAAGCATGACTCAAAAGAGAGACCACAGGGCCGTCAGAGAATCTGACGAACTCACCAAAAAGAAAAACAGCAAAATCTGTGGGACACGGCTAAAGCATTGCTTAGAGGGAATTAGATCGCATTCTCAGAAAACAAAAATGGCCACCACCCACCGCACCCTCACCTGCGTTCCACCTGCTGGCGCAGGTTGTTGAAACGCTGGCCCAGCTTGTGCACCTCGGCCTCCTGGCGCTCCAGGTCCGGACAGTGCTCCTGGAAGCGGCTGGCCAGTGTGCTCGAGCACTGCTTGGCCGCCTGCAAGTTCTGCTCCACCTCACCCAGGAGGGACTTCTGGGCCTGTAACTCACAGGCCATGGCCTGGCGGGGCAGAGGAGGAGACGGCGGTGCTACGGCCAGAGCTCCCAGAGCCAGGCGATGACACCCACTGAAGCCCCTGGGCCACTGACTGTAGGAGGGTGGGCAAGGCCACAGGTAGGAAGGACCGGAGCCTTGCTCTGTACATCCCAAACCTGGGTCACTTCTGCCATCTTCTGTTTTTTAACAATGAACAAAGCCCTGAAAAGCTAACTTCTAAAAACCCTGCAGCAGGCAGCTCGTGCCCTGCGCGAGAACAGCCTGCCACTGTCTGGTCATGAGGCTGTGGCAAAAGCAAGTCGTGAGATGGGAGTGTGAATAAGGGGCCTCAGGTCACAGACTTGAATGTTTCCTGTGCTCAGGCAGTGTGGGAAGGGGGCCCGTGGCAACTGCGAGGTAAGCAGGCCGAGAAGGCAGCTGCTCCTCTGCCCACTGACTTGCCCTCTGAGCTGCAGCCCAGGATGCCAGCTCTGCTCAGCAAGAGATACTGGGAACATGGATTGTTATGTGCTTTATGCTTTTTTTTTTTTTTTTTTTTTTTTAAGAGATAGGGTCTTGCAACGTTGTCCAGGCGGCTGGACTTAAACTCCAAGGCTCAAGCAATCCTGCCCCAGCCTCCTGAATGGCTGGTGTTACAGGCATGTGCCACTACACTGGCTATTGCAGATATTTGATCTTAAAATGCTGGCACCCGAAATCCCGTAAGTCACACAGATCCCGTGAATAGCTTGGATTTGTGCTGTGGGCCTCCATTTGCAGTTCCCAATTTGGGCATTCCAAACCTGGGGAGACTGGATGCTGGTGTCCTCATCTATCCAGACGGGCGGGTGGATGTGCCAGATGCTCTCACCTGCTCAGAGAAGGACTCCCAGGACTTGGGCCCTAGACTCACCGCCAGCTCCTGCCCCTTGCTGTCCAGGACACGGCTGCTCTCAGGCACTGTGTCATCCTGATTCAGATGGTTCTCGTGTGTGGCCAGCAACTCCCAGCTCTGCTGCAGGCTCTTCTCCAGGCGGTTGGCCACATCAACCCTGAGAGCACCAATCAGGCGTCGGGGGATGCCCACCTGGCCCCCTGACCCCACCCCAACCTCCATGCTGCCTGTCTGCCACCCACTTCTCCTGGGCCAAGTCCAGCAGCTGCAGGAGGTGCTCGTATTTCCGGTTGGTGTCCTCCACCCGGGTCCTCAGCAGGGGTGTGGTGCCACTGCCTGGGAGGGCCTGGATGAAGGCTTCGCCCTCAGCCGTGCTCCGCGTCTTCTCAGGTTCAATCCGCAGTAGCTCGTTGGTGATGTTCTGTGGGAACCAGGGCCCCTCAGTTTTGGACACAGCCAGGCAGCCCCTTCCCCTGAGGATGTGCCCAGGGTGAGCACAGATTCCCACATCAGGCACAGTGGAAGCAGCTGGAGAGGCCTGGCACATTCTGGGGCTCTGACCCGGCATCTGGACCCCAGCCTGAGGGCTGTATTTTTCACGAGCATCCCAGGGAACCGCTGAGGTGGAATGGACTAGTGACACCAGAAGCACCCAGGCAGCTGCCGGGCCTGTGCTGTCCTCAGCACTGCACGCGGACGCTTCTGTTTAATCTTTGCGGCAACCCCGGGAGGTGAGTACTACGACTCCACCCAGTCACGGGTGGGGGTGTGACGACTCCCAGCAGCTTAGGAAGGGACTTGTGGGGTCAGGCTACACCCGAGACCGGCATCCTCTCGCCCTGACTTGGCTCTCACTCTGAGGCCCCATCAGGGGCTATGGCACTTCTCCAATCCCAGATCCTCTTCTGTAAAATTGGAGTGCTACTCACTGCCTCAGAGGGCTGCCTTGAGGATGTGGGAGACTTTGTATAGGAAAGGAGGTGGGGGGAGGTGGCCCCTCCACGTCCCCCCTGGCATCAGCTCACCCTGTCCTCGCCACTGCCCTGTGAGCAGGGCCAACCCATCCTACTGAAGACACTGAGGCCTGGAGTTTATAAATACAAACGCTAACGTGTTTGCAGTCAAGCCAGCCGGTGACCCAGTCCTGCGGAATTCCACAGCCCATGTGCCATGCCAGGCGTCAGATCGACAAGCCGTGCAGGAACAATGCAAGTCCTGCCAGCTCTTTCTCCTGGGGAGGTAATGACAGCAGCCCTGCCACCTCCATGACTTGGGACCCTTTTACATGCAGCAGGCTGTCCCTGACAGACAGCTGCAGTGAATATCCCAAGACTCCATGGGGAAAAGACCTCAAATAGGGGCCCCAGGGGGCCAGTGCAGGGCTCCCCCGGCCCCACCTGTGCTCCTGACCCGCAGGTACCTTGAGGTCCTTGGCCCGCTCGGCACTGTCCTGCACAGCCCGGCCTTGCTCCAGTGGTGGCCGCAGGATCCCTGTGATGGCCTTCTCCTGCCGGTCCAGGTCGCTGGCCACCTTGTCCAAGCCAGCCAGCAGCTGCCGCCCCTGTAGGTCAGAGGCATCTGTGGAGGGAGGGAGGACACAGGCAGGTGTGACAACGGGCCAGGGGTGTGAGGCCCAGGGATGGACCTAGGCAGCCAGCCCCCCGCCGTCTCATCCACAGCACAGACCCTGGTCCAGCCCCTCCTCCCCGGTACCCCCAGAGCCTCAGGCGAGTGGCCCTGGCACCCACCTCCGGGATTCTCGGTCTTCAGCACCTCATACCGCTGCTGCAGCGTGCGTTTGCTCCCAGCTGCCTTCTGCCGCACGCTCCGGTACTGGCTGCCCAGGCTGTGAGGACAGAAATGAGCTGGGAACCTGGGCAGCCCACCACCCCCTGCACCCACAGAGGCGGGACTGCGGACTCTGGCTGGGCAGACACCCCAGAGGAGCCTGACAGCTCCTTAGATGCGGACAGCAAGTGCTCACTGTGGCACTGGCCTTTCTGTGCTCCTGGGCTCAGAGCTCTTCTCCCTCCTTCCCTCCTCTTTCGTAGGAAGTCTCACTACCTAAAATTGTCTGTCCAATAATCACCACCAAGATGTTACTTCTGAGGGAGCATACACAGTAGGTGCTCAATAAATACTTAATAAATGAAGGCATTCCTTGAATGATCCACTCATTCAGCAAGGAGTTCCTGGGCACCTACTTTGTACCAGGTACTTAACTAGGCCCTGGAGAGAGGAAATTCAAGGAGCCCAGGCCCAATGAGACTGACGCATACGCTAGTCACTTAATAAAAAGCGGTGCGTGCAGTGGAAGAAGGTGCCTGGGAGCAAAGAGGAGGCAGCCCTTATCCCAGCTGAGTCCTCCAGCCAAGGGGCTGGGGTCTGCAAGTACAGGGAGCAGTGCGTGCGGGAGTCAGGGGCCCTTAGAAACTGCTTAGAAACTCGTGAGGGGGCCAGGACGAAGCCCAGAGCTAGACATTCATGTTTAGCAAGTCAGCTGGCCCACAATCTGCCCCTCTCCTGCATGAACTTCCAAGGGGGTGCAGATGGAGAGTGTCAGCGACCCCGCGCTCCCCACAGGCTGAGTCCAAATCCCCGGGGCTATGAATGGGGCCTGAGAAGCCCTGGGGGTGGGACTGGTCCATGCAGACTCCCGCCTTTGCCCTTGTACCTGTCAGCCAGAGCCAGGGCCTCAGGGTCTGTGGGGGGGATCACAAAACACACGGCCGGAGCAATCAGCTTGTTCCCAGCGCTGTCCATGAGCTCCCAGCTCTCCCCGTTGTTCTTCTGCAGGGTGTAGCTGTAGCCCCGCGAGATCAGGCCCTGGCGGGGGCAGGCTGGACAGTCAGGATCCCGGCAGGGCCTGAGGGCCTGGGAGCCCGGTTGCCATCTCAGCCCCCGACTCTTGGACCTGGGGAGCCCCGGCTCATCACTTGGACCCTCCCCGTAGAGTGGGGAGGGGCATGCAGGAGAAGCACATGTGTTGAGGCTGCCGGCCCAGCAACCCACCTCCATTTCCCTTTGGGGAACCTTCCCTCCCAATTCCCAGTCCCTGTGGTCTCTCCTTCTCCATTCCCAAGCTCCAGATGGACATGTGACTTGGACCTGGCCAATGACTGGCATTCGCCAGCCACAGTCATTGGTATAGGGTGGACCCTGGCATTCCCTGGCCACAGTGATTGGTGTAGGATGGACACGTGACTCACAGTGAGCCAATGAGAACCTGGCCTGGGACTTCTGAGGAGGGACTGGGGTTGCTAAGCTGGTGGAACACAAGGCCAGGGCAGCCGAGGTGGGGGCGGCATAGGGGTGCCAGTTGGCCTGCACCAGGGGAAGGGTTGGCAGAGTGACACCAACCACGGAGACAGGCACAGGCTCCTGAGAACGGCGCCTGAGGCCCGGGATCCAACCATGTTACCCCAAAAACTTTGTAGTGATGTGAACAGAGGAGCTGGCCCCACGCACCTGCTCCCCCTCAAAGTCACAGAGTGCCTCCACGGGGATGGGCTTGAGCGGAGTCTCCCGGCGGTACTTGAGGGGCACCACCTGCTGGCCTCGCTTCTGCAGCCCCTGCACCACGTCCTCATACTTGTCCAGCACCTTCTCCTGGTCCTGGAGAGAACGGGGTCAGGGGCCCAGGTGAGACCAACAGCCTTCCCCCTGGTGGGAGGACGCAGAGCAGGGGCTGGATTCAGCAGGTGGGGTGCTGTGGAGGGGCCTGTACAGGGCTGAGGGCAGGCATGGTGTAGAGGGGTCCCCCGCCCCCCGGGCCAGCAGGGGTCCTGGGCCATCGCTCACATCCAGCTCCCGCAGCAGCAGCTCAATCTGGTACCGGTCCTTGAAGTCAGGGCCATACTTCTGGTTCAGGTCCGAGTCCACCTTGCGCAGCAGCTCCTGAGCGTCCTTCACGTCTTCGTGAAACTAGGGGAGAAGGTGGCTCTGTTACAGCCAGGAAACCACTAGAAGCACCTGGGCTTCTGTCGGAGGCTTCAAGCTCATCCCTCAGGCGGGGCTGGGCCTCCGGTTCACCTGGAGTCCAGCATGGGACCCTGTGCTGAGCCTGAGGCTCCTCTGCGTGGAGACAGCCCCACCCTCCCTGAGCTGGCTCCTTAGGGGCCTCACTGGGAAAAGCCAGGTCCCTTCCCACCCATCCATGAGATGCCACCTCTGTGACATGTTTTCTTGGATGTATCAGTAAGTCTTGAGGTGTCTTTGATTCAGTTCCTCTCTCTGTACTAGGAACATCCAGACTTAATACTATAGCTTCTTTCTAGGTTTTGATAATAGCCTCCCCTTTTTGTTCTCGAAAATTCTCTTGCCCATTCTTCAGTCTATCAACTCTTGGTTCACTGTCAGCTATCCCCTGGGCTGAGCACCTGGGCTGCAGCCATAAACAGGACCTGAAGCCCCCACTGTGCGGCTCAGACAGGGAATGAGGAGTGACACGGCGTCGCCCACATCCAGCTTTCCCCAGACACCTCAATCCTAAGAATTACCCGCAGCTTCTTAAGAACTCTCATTCCTCTGGAAACAGACAAGTGTCCAGCCACAGATGAGTGGATAAACACAGTGGTCTAGCCATACAATAGGATATGATTCAGCCATAAAAAGGGGTGAAGCACTGAAAATGCTACAACACGGATGAACCCGGAAAACATGATGCTCAGTGAGAGAAGCCAGACACAAAAGGGCAGAGATTGCATGATCCCACTGATTCTTCATATTCGTTCTAGGTGTGACACTTCTGGAACAGGCAAGTCCATAGAGACAGCAAGAAGACCAAAGGTGACCTGGGGCTGGGGGAGTGGGAATGGAAAACTTACTGCCTAATGAGTACGGGGTTGTTTTTTTTTTTTTTTTTTGAGGCGGAGACTCACTCTGTCGCCCAGGCTGGAGTGCAATGGCGCGATCTCAGCTCACTGCAACCTCTGCCTCCTGGGTTCAAGCAGTTCTCCTGCCTCAGCCTCCCATCTGGGACTACAGATATGGGCCACCACACCTGGCTAACTTTTGTATTTTAGTAGAGATGGGGTTTCATCATGTTGGCCAGGCTGGTCTTGAACTCCTGACCTCAGGTGATCCAGTCGCCTCGGCTTCCCAGAGTGCTGGAATTACAGACATGAGCTACCGTGCCCAGCCAGGGTATAGGGTTTCTGTTTGGGGTGATGGAAAGTTTTGCAAGTAGATGGTGGTGATGGTTGCATAACATTGCGAATGCAATGAATGCCACTGAATTGTACACTTAAAAATGCAAACTGGCCGGGTGTGGTGGCTCACACCTGTAATCCCAACACTTTAGGAGGCCGAGGCGGGAGGATCACCTGAGGTCAGGAGTTCGAGACCAGCCTGACCAACATGGCGAAACCCCATCTTTACTGAAAATACAAAAATTAGCTGGGTGTGGTGGTGGGCACTTGTAATCCCAGCTGTTCAGGAGGCTGAGGCAGGAGAATCACTTGAACCCAGGAGGTGGAGGTTGTAGTGAGCCGAGATGGCACGACTGCACTCCAGCCTGGGTGACAGGGCAAGACTCTCTCAAAAAAAAAAAAAAAAAAAAAAAAGGCAAATTTTGTTTTATGTATCTGCATGTATATTATAGATTTTACCAAAATTAAAACCCTACACACTCACCCTGGGCCCCATGTGACCTGGGGAATCAGACTCTGGCCCTGGTCCCCAGGGAAGTTGGACAGGGGCCGGCAAGCTTGGGACATGTCTGCACACGCCATCAGAAGCATGGGTGCTGGGGGCCTGGGATGGCTGCCCCGCAAGGCTCCTGGACCAAGGAGCACGAGGCCACACATGAGCCAGGTAGGCACTGAGCGCTCTCAGAGAGTAGCACCCCCGGTGCTGGGGGGACTCCCAGGAAAGGTAAGTACCTGGTGGTAGTCCTCCATGTACTTGAGGTGGCTCTCCTCGCAGATGAGCAGGTTCAGGTACTCCTTCCAGTCTGCGTGCACAGCCTCCATGTGCGCCTGCCAGGAAGAGAAGGGGCCGGTCACCACTGGGCAGGTACTGCAGACACCAAGGGAGGGACTGCTGGGATATTGGGCTGGGGCATGGCGGGGGAGGGAGGCATCTGGCATCTGTCTGGGTGTGGCTACCACAGGGGTAGCCAGCTTCTGCTCAGGAGTGGGAGGAGGAGAGAGGGGTCACGTCAAGGAGCCAAACAGGGATGCCACATACGGATGCCCAGGCTGTGCAGTGCACAAAGGGCAAGTGGGGGCTGTGGTGCCTTCGGCAAATCTGTACAAAGGCACTGTCATGGACCGAACAGTGTCCCACCAAATCCATGACCCTGGCCAGGCATGGTGGCTCACACCTGTAATCGCAGCACTTTGGGAGGCCGAGGCGGGTGGATCACCTGAGGTCAGGAGTTTGAGACTAGCCTGGCCCACATGATGAGACCCTGTCTCTACTAAAAATACAAAAATTAGCTGGGCATGATGGTGTGCGCCTGTAGTCCCAGCTACTTGGGAGGCTGAGGCAGGAGAATTGCTTGAACCCGGGAGGTGGAGGTTGCAGTGAGCCAAGATTACACCATCGCACTCCAGCCTGGGCAACAACAGCGAAACTCCATCTCAGGCGGGGTTGGTGGCATTGTGGGGGTTGGGAAGAATGCGACCTTATTTGGGAATAAGATCTTTGCAGATGTCATTAGTTAAGGATCCTGAAATTAGGGTGAGCCCTAAATCCACTGACTGATATCCTTATAAGAAGAGAGGATACAGAGAGACATGGGGAGAGAAGGCCATGTGAAGACGGAGGAAGGGACTGGAATGATGCAGCCACAAGCCAAGGGCTGTTGGCAACCCCCAGAAGCCGGAAGAGCAAGGAAGGCACATGTCCTGGAGCTTCCAGAGGGAATGAGGCCCTAAGACACCTTGATTTCAGACTTACAGCCCACAGACCTCTGAGAGAATGAATTTCTGTTGTTTAAAGCCACTAAGTTTGTTTTAACTTGTTGCAGCAACTCTAGGAAACTAATACAGACCCCACAGGGGCTTCAGAAGTCCAGGGGCTGAGGGCAGAAGTGTCAACGGATCAGGATAAATGGAGGAGGCAGAGTCAGACACAGCAAGAAAGAGACAGACAGACACAAGATGCAGCTTGCAGGACCCCCAGCTCCGGGGTCTGCCCGAGCTCCAGGCGGCCCACAGGCAGCGGCCAACCAGAAGCCACCCTGGGGGAGGTGTCTGGTCTCGGGGTGCATGAACCTCAATGGAGTTCCTCCCGGGGTGCTCGGCCGCCAGCAGCTGGTCGCCCTCGCTGTGCAGTTTGTTGATTCTCTCCTCTTTGGCCTCCAGGTTCCGGTTGATGAAATTCTGCAGTGGGGGGCAGTGGAGGGGCCTCAGTGCCCAGCCTGGCGGTCCCGTGCTCCTTCCAGGGCTGCCTCCTCCCTGATGCCCCAGGCCCCCAGAACCCACCTCATACTGGCGCCGGCGGCTGGGGTAGTCGAGGTTGCGGTCACTCCAGTCGTACTGCATGCGGCCCTTGGCCTGCTGGTCCAGCCAGTACAGCTCATTGGTGCAGCGCTGCATGTAGTCCTGCAGCGAACTCAGGTGCTGCTGCCGGGCCTGTGATGCTGCCTGAAGGGGCCGGGGCAAGGAAAGGGCTGCGTCCTCAGCCCGCTGCCACTGCTCGCTTCCTTCCCTACCTCCTGCAGGGCCCAGCTATGGCTGGCCTGAGGACAAGCCCAGCTATGGGTGGCCTGAGGACAAGCCCAGCTTAGCCACGTCCAGGCCAGTCCCCCTTAGACAAGTCACCTGAACCCCTGAAACTCATTCATTCATTCATTCATTCATTCAGTAAATGTTTACTGAGCATCTACTACATGCTGGACATGGCTCCAGACACTGGGGATACAGCAAACGAAACACACAAAACCCTTACGGAACTGACATTTTTGTGAAGGCTTAGTTCGCCCATCTGTAAATGGGGAAGATGACAGTCCTGACCTCACAGCGTACAGAGACTGGCATATAGTTGGTGCTCAACAAATATCAGTAACTATAGCTTCTACTTTTATCTGTATCATGATCGTCTTATAGAGGGCTGGAAGGAAAGCACCACTGTACGTCTGAGAAGCGGGTGTGCAAGGGAAAGGAGGGATGTTTGCATTTTGGTACGTGGGGCCCTCCACGCCTGATGAACTTCTGCAACATTGACTCATTTCATCCTCAAAGCGACCCTATGAGACAGGAACATGTAGGAGCTCCATTTCTCAGATGAGGAAACTGAGGCTCCCGGAGGCTAAGTAACTCGCTCAAGGTGTCACCACTAACACTAAGGAGCAGAGGAAGCATGGCTCCTTATAGCGACACAATGCTGCCTCTGTATTCTCTGTCTGAAACATTGGCAACAAGGAAGCGTTTGCATAACACTTATGCAATTTTTAAAAGAATGCATTCTTTAAAGGTTTGGGAAGGAAAATGGAAAGCTTTTGTATAGAAAGCAAGTGGCATCATACTTGGCACACAGCAGATAATAAAGAAATGAGCAGGACAGGCTGTACCCCTGGGGCCTGTTAGGGTTTTCCCTGAACAACCAGGGCAGACCTTGCAGCCGCTCAGGAAAAGGCTGGGGCACCTCTCTTCCCGCCTCAACCCCTCTCCTGATTGAAACGTTTACTGCACGCCTTTTTTTTTTTTTTTTTTTTTTAAAGGCAGGGTTTTGCTCTGTTTCCCAGGCTGGAGTGGAGTGGCACGATCACAGCTCATTGCAGCCTCCACCTCCTGGGCTCAAGCGATCCTCCCACTTCAGCCTCCCAAGTAGCTGGGACCACAGGCATGCCACCAAGCCCAGCTAATTTTTAAATGTTTTGTAGAGCTGGAGTCTCACTATGTTGCCCAGGTTGGTCTCAAACTCGTGGGCTCAAGTGATCCTCCTGCCTCTGCCTCCCAAAGTGCTAGGCGTGAGCCACCATGCCCAGCTGCCTATGTCATTTTTAAAACAATACATCCTTGTCCCCCCGACTCCAAGCTTCCCATCCTCTCCTCTCCCCATGAGGCCTTTCCCCCAGGGAGCTCCTCACCAGCAGTTTCTGGTACTTGGCCCGGAGTTCGCTGTTCTGCTCCTGAGGACAGAGCCGAGGGCATGGGTCAGGGCCAGGAAGCAGGCGCGGCCCCCTCCATCCCTGGGTCCCCACCACACCAGCACACGCCCCACCTTGTCCCCGTCCTTGGCCAGGTGGGGCCCGATGGCCTTGACCTCATTGTGGAAGATGTTATGCTCCTCCACTTGGTGGTCCACCAGCGGCAGGTCAGTCCCAAAGCTCTGGTTGTTCAGCTTGTCCTGGCCAGGAGGGCAGAGAAGCAATAAGGAGAGGGTGGGCTGAGGGCTGGGGACGTGTGGCCACCCCAGGAGCCTCGGGGGTGGGCATGATGGTGCTCTCTTTTTCACGGGGCCCTGCAGAGCCACAAGGAGATGCTGGCCACACCTTCAACCCTGAGGTTCTGTTTGCTGAGCACTGACCTATATCATCTTTCATCTCACAGAGCCTCAGGGGTCCACATGGTTACTGTCCCATCTCTCAGATGAGGACACAGAGGCTGAGGCTGAATGAGGGCCAGTCACCTGCCCAGGGTCACGCCAGTAACATTGGGAAAGCTGGCCAGGCATGGTGACTGATGCCTGTCATCCAGGCACTTTGGGAGGCCAATGGGGTCGGATCGCTTGAGCCCAGGAGTTTGAGACCAGCCTGGCCAATGTAGCAAAGCCCCATCTCTACAAAAATACAAAAAATTAGCCAGGTGTGGTGGCATGCACCTGTAATCCCAGCTACTTGAGAGGCTGAGGTGGGAGGATCACCTAAGCCTGGGAAGTTGAGGCTGCAGTGAGCCGTGATCATGCCACTGCATTCCAGCCTGGGAGACAGAGTGAGACCTTGTGTCAAAAATAAATAAATAAATAAATAATAAAACTGGGGAAGCTCAGGAGTTTGAGACCAGCCTGGCCAATGTGGCAAAGCCCCGTCTCTATAAAAATACAAAATATTAGCCAGGTATGATGGCGTGCACCTGTAATTCCAGCTACTTGGGAGGCTGAGGTGGGAGGATCACCTAAGCCTGGGAAGTTGACGCTGCAGTGAGCCATGATCATGCCACTGCACTCTAGTCTGCGCGACAGAGTGAGACCTTGTCTCAAAAATAAATAAATAAATAAATAAATAAATAAATAAATAAAACTGGGGAAGCTAAGGCTTGAACCCGGGACACCTAGCTGCAGTGGCTGTGTGCTTCTCTGTGGTGAGCACCCAGGAAAGGGAGCGACAGGCCAGAAGCCTGGCCGCTTCCGCCCCAGCCTGCCCACAAAATGTCACCAAGACCCCAACATGCCAGGGTTGGAAAGTGGGACCCAGGAGCAGCAGCGAGGTGTGGCTGACAGGGGACAGAGTCCGAATCTCCACCGCTTGAGCTGTGTGACCCTGACTTCGTGCTGCACTTCTCTGAGCCTCACTCTTCTCATGGGCACACTGGAAAACCATCAGGACCACGACTGTCTCCCTGGTAAGACCCGGGATGCCCATTACATGGGTAGGCTCTCCCTGCACACGCACAGCCCCCTCCCCAGCTGAAACCCTGGAGCCAGCGGCCCCGTCCAGGCCATACCAGCTTCTCCTCCACCAGTGCCGCCCAGTTGACCTGTGGATCCACTTCCTTCACCGCCAGCCTGTAGATCTGCTTGTGTTTCCCGCGCAGGTTGGTCACACGCTCCTTCAGCTGGCGGATACTGATGGGAGAGAGGCTCCCACTTAGTGGGGCTGGTTGGCACTGCCTGCACCCCAGGAGGGGCCCCCCACCCAGACCCCGGCCTCAGTGTCCTGGAAGGACACAGTGACCATATGGCCTTGGGTTCCAGACAATCACAGCATCCTCTCACCCCTCCTCCCATGCACTTTTTTTTTTTTTTTGAGACAGAGTCTTGCTCTGTCACCCAGGCTGGAGTACAGTGACGTCATCTCAGCTCATGGCAGCCTCCGCCTCCCAGGTTCAAGCAATTCTCCTGCCTCAACCTCCCGAGTAGCTGGGATTACAGGCATGTGCCACCTCGCCTGGGTAATTTTGTATTTTCAGTAGAGACGGGGTTTCACCATGTTGGTCAGGCTGGTCTCGAACTCCTGACCTCAGGTGATCCGTCCGCTTCGGCCTCCCGAAGTGCTGGGATCACAGGCGTGAGCCACCGTGCCTGGCCCCACCCACTTTCCCTCAACCTTCCTTCCCCCATCAGTTTCCTGAGGGCCTACTATGTGCCAGAATGATAGAAAGTTCTGGAATAAGCAGGAAAGATCTTGTTTTCTGGAGTCTGCCATCCAGCAGGGCCCACAGTGTGGTGCATGCCATGCCAAGGACAAGTGCCAAGGGTCGTGGGGCACCGAGAGAGCCCTGCCCTTGCCGGGGTGGAGATAGGGCATGGGACAAGGCAGGAGTCAGGGGGGCTGATTCATCCACGATAAAATGAACTGGGAGTCGTGAGCCAAGGAAGCCAGGGACAGGGCACCAGGCAGCGGAAGAGCTCGCTCAAAAGCTCACAGGTCAGGCTGGTGGCTCCAGAACAAGGGATATCAACTCCCTAAGCCTCCATTTCCCCAACTGCAAAATAGGGTCATCAAGAGGATCATGTGAGGCTGGGCGCGGTGGCTCACATGTGTAATCCCAGCACTTTGTGTAATCCCAGCACTTTGGGAGGTCGAGGCAGGCGGATCACCTAAGGTCTGGAGTTTGAGACCAGCCTGGCCAACATGGAGAAACCCTGTCTCTACTAAAAATACAAAAATTAGCCGGGCATGGTGGTGCATGCCTGTAATTCCAGCTACTTGGGAGGCTGAGGCATGAGAATAGCTTGAACTGGGGAGGCAGAGATTGCGCTGAGCCAAGATCATGCCATTGCACTCCAGCCTGGGCAACAAGAGCAAAACTACGTCTCAAAAAAAAAAAAAAGAAAGGATCATGTGAAGCCTTTGGCACGTGCCTGGCACCTAATTAGCCCTTGATAACCCCTGACTCGGGCTCCCAAATGCTGAACAGGACCCCCCGCCCTGGCCCATAGCCCCCAATGGCTCCCCTGGGGTAAGAAGCAGAAGGGACCTACTCCTCGGCGATCATGTCCCCCTGTGGGTGCTTCATGTGCTTGGCAATGGCCGCATCCGCCTCTAGCACATAGAGCAGCTTCTCAGAGTCCAACACCTTCTGCAGGGTCACGTCCCGGTGCTCAGGCTGCCGACCCTCCTGCAGCCGAGCCAGGTCCTGTGAGGGTCACAAGAGAGGGGACAATGAACAGGAGCCGAGAGCGGGCACGGTGGCAATGGGAGGGGTGGGAGGAAAGGGGTCAGCAGGGTGCTCCCCTTCTTTCCCTTTGAATAACGTCTTCCAGGCTTGTCCATATGGAGCGCAGTCGGTAGTTCCATCTCTTTGCTGCTACGTGGTATTTCTCAAGTTCACTTTGCAAAGCAGGTATTTCTCTTATGCCCCCTCCAGCCTGTCCTCCAGCCACTCAGCAAACAGAGCTCAAGTACCTACTGTATGCAAGGAGTTGGGACACAGCTGTGAACAGAAGAGACATGGCCTCCCTGCCTGGCACTCACAACCCAGTCTGCAAGGCCACCAGGAAGGCCAGTCAAAGGATGAGCCTCATGGAGGTGACTGCAAGTCCCTCCAAGTCAGTGTTTATGAAAGAAATGCTCCAGAGGTGGAACGAGGGGACCTACTTCAGCTCTGGTGGTCAGGGAAGCCTCTTCGTGGTGGAGACACAAGCTAAGAACAAAGGATGAAAGGGACAGTGTTCCAGCCACAGGAACAGCCTGTGCAAAGGTCCTGAGGCAGGAGAGAGCGAGCTACGACTGGGCCATAGTGAAAAGGTCTCTGTGGATAGGGAGGAAACAGGGCAGGCGGGGGGCGGGGAGGGTGAGCAGCTAGAACACACAATGGCTGCAAGGAGGGATCCTGCACAGCTCCATTTGTGCTTAAAGGCGATGCCTCCAGGGGCTCTGCAGAGAGGACAGCAAGGGTGTGGGCTGGGAGGGCAGGCAGTGGTCTGTGGCAGCAGCCAGGTGACAGCGAGGTGGCACCAGCAAGAAGGAACAGAGCCGGGGGGATATCTGGAAGGGGCCGTCGATGGTTGCTGATGAGTACAGGGCTTCTGTTCGTTTAGGGAAGAGCAATGAATGGCAGCCGGGACAGTAGGTTTCTAATCACAGCGGGTTAATTCACTGTGTCAATATTCAAGAAGTCTGGCTGTGAGTCTACACCATGCTAGGTCCTGGGGATGAATCCCTGAGGGATCCCCAGTCCCGCAGGGGAGGCAGTGACATGTCACTGAGGGGAATGAGTGCAGGTTGGCTGACGCTGGGGCACTCAGAGCCGGCCGCCGGTCCCTTCCCCTAGCTGGGTCTCAGCATTCCCATCTCTATAATGGGCATAAGGAAAATACCCGCTTATGAAGTGAACTGAGAAATACCACTTAGCAACAAAGAGCAGGAACTACGGACCGTGCTCCATCTGAACAAGCCTGGAAGACGTTATTCAAAGGCAAAGAAGCCAGACAGAGCCCACATGGTGTGGGATCCATTGATGTGAAGTGTCCCGAACAGGCAAGTCCAGAGAGATGGAAAGTCACTGTCTCTTAAGTGGTTGCCTGGGGCAGGGCTGGGAAGAGGCATTAACAGTAAATAGGCACAAGAGATCTTGCACGGGATGAAAATATTCTGAAACTGATTCATGGGCGTGGTTCTGCCCCTTGCTAAAGTTACTCAAAATCATTGACTTGTACACTTGCAGTGGGAGCCTTTTTTAAGTGAAATATGTCTCCATACAGTTGTTTTTTAAAAAGAAAAAGCAAAAGGAAGAAAAACGAGAAATACACAGGGGTGACGTGGTGCCTGGTACGAAGTAAAGACTTGGCTTCTTCTTGGAGGAAGAAAATGTGTCAAGAGTGCCTTTGCCTGGCTAAGTCTGGAAGGGCTGAAGGGTGAACAGGCCTGACTCCCCAGGGGGTTGGAGATGAGGCTGATGTCCCGAAAAGCCGCTGGAGGCCAGGCACAGTGGCTCATATCTGTAATCTTAACACTTTGGGGGGCTGTGGCAGGAGGATGGCTTGAGCCCAGGAGTGCAAGACCAGCCTGGGCAATATAGTGAGACCCCATTTATTAAAAAATATTTTTAAAAGGTAGCTGGGTGTGATGGCATGCACCTATAGTCCTAGCTACTCAGGACGCTGGGGCAGGAGAATCATTTGAGTCCAGGAGTTCAAGGCTGCAATGAGCTAAGATTGCACCACTGCACTCCAGCCTTGGCGACAGAGCGAGACCCTACCTCAAACCAACCAATCCAAAAAGCCAATGGAACCAGGCATCCCCCAACCCTGGGGTAGGCTGGCCCGTTAATTACAACAAAACATCAGCTTCTTGACTTGGAGTGGAATTTTTAAATTTTTTTTGTTTTTTTATTTTTGAGATGGAGTCTCACTCTGTTGCCCAGGCTGGAGTGCAGTGGCACGATCTCGGCTCACTGCAAGCTCTGCCTCCCGGATTCACACCATTATCCTGCCTCAGCCTCCCAAGTAACTGGGACTGCAGGCGCCCACCACCATGCCTGGATAATTTTTTTGTATTTTTAGTAGAGACGGGGTTTCACCGTGTTAGCCAGGATGGTCTCGATCTCCTGACCTCGTGATCCACCCGCCTCGGCCTCCCAAAGTTCTGGGATTACAGGCGTGAGCCACCGCGCCCGGCCTGCTTGGAGTAGAATTTTATTCACTCCATTATCACCAGCTTCCCTGAGCTGCAGATCAAAGATTAATTTTGCAAAAGGAGGAAGTCCATTAATCATTGCCTAATTCGTGAAGGTGCCCGGTGGGAATGCAAGTTCTCTCAAAACACTGGCTGAGAGAGAAAGAGAACATCTAGCTGAGGGAGGCTAGTGTTCGAAAGTTCAAAGTCGGGCAGAACTGATCGATGGTGAGAGAGATCAGCATAGGGTTGACCCCTGAGGGATATCAACTAGGGAGATGGCCCGGGAGCTTTCTAGACAGTTACCCATCTTGCCACAGACAGTGGTTATCTGGGTACCTATTGATGCAAAAATTCACCCAGGTGAAGTCTGCGAATGTAGACACTTCTCTAGAGTTTATATAAGTTATACCTTGATAAAAAAGTTTTTTAAAGTCACAGGGGCCAGGTGCAGTGGCTCACGCCTATAATCCCAGCACTCTGCGAGGCCCAGGCGGGAGGATTGCTTGAGCTCAGGAGTTGGAGACCAGCCCGGGCAATATAGTGAGACCCTATCTCTAAAAAAAAAAAAAAAAAAAAAAAAATACAAAAATGAGCCAGGCATAGTAGCATGCGCCTGTAGTCCCAGCTACTTGGGAGGTTGAGGTGGGAGGATTGCTTGAGCCCAGGAGGTTGAGGCTTCAGTGAGTCGTGATTGCGCCACTGCACTCCAGCCTGGGTGACAGAGCAAGACCCTGTCTCAATAAAAAATAAAAATAAAAAATTATAGGGACTGATATATCTAATCTCACACACACACACACACACACACACACACACACACACACACACACACGGACAGATACATGATAAAGCCAATTCAGCAGACGTTCCTTGTAGGATCAGGTGGTGGGATATGGGTGTTCGCTGTACGGTTTTCTGCATGTTTAGCATTTGAATAAATGTGTGATGCAGTGTATGATTCTGTTTATGTGAAATATCCAGAATAAATAAATCCACAGAGAGAAAGCAGATTAGTTGCTGCCAGGGGGAAAGGGGAGGTGGGGAGTAACTGTTAAGGGTGTGGGGTTTGGCTCTGGGGTAAGGGAAATGTTTGGGAACTAGATCGAGGAGATGGTTGTGTAACATTGTGAATGTATGAAATGCCACTGACTTGTACACATTACATGGTTAATTTTATGTTATGTGAATCTCCCCTCAATTAAAAAAAATGGAAAATTCAACAGAACTGGGAAATGAAATAAATAGTAGTATCTTTAGCAAAAAGAACATAAGAAAAAGATTGTGTGATCCATGTAGTCTTCAAAGCCTAGCTTCTTTTTTCAAGTGGGTTCAGTTGAAGTTAAAAAAATAGGCCGGGTGCAGTGGCTCACACCTGTAATCCCAGCACTTTGGGAGGCCGAGGTGGGCAGATCACAAGGTCAGGAGTTTGAGACCAGCCTGGCCAATGTGATGAAACCCCATCTCTACTGAAAATAAATAAATAAATAAATTAGCTGGGCGTGGTGGTGCCTGCCTGTGGTCCCAGCTACTTGGGAGGCTGAGGCAGAAGAATCACTTGAACCCGGGAGGTGGAGGTTGCAGTGAGCCGAGATAGCACCACTGCACTCCAGCCTGGACAACAGAGTGAGAGACTGTCTCCAAAAAAAAAAAAAAAAAAAGAAAGAAAGAAAGAAAAAATTGTTCAGGCCAAGCACACAGTGGCTCATGCCTGTAAATCCCAGCACTTTGGGAAGCTGAGGCAGGAGGATGGCTTGAGGCCAGGAGTTCAAGACCAGCCTGGACAACATAGCAAGGACCTCTGTCTCTGCAAAAAAATAAAATAAAAATGGTTCAAAATTACCTATTTTGAGTCAATACTTCAGGGAAATAAAATGAGAAGGTTAAACCCTCTTCCTTCTTTCTCTCTCTCTCTCTCTCTCTCTCACACACATACACAAAGGTCAAACAGATATACACCAATATGTTAATAGTCAGTAGATACCTCTGGTGGTGGAATTCTACATGACTGACTTTATTGATTGATTGATTGATTGAGGCAGGGTGTCCCTCTGCTGCCCAGGCTGGAGTGCAGTGGTGTCATCTCTGCTCACTGCAGCCTCAACCTTCCGGGCTTAAGCGAGCCTCCCACCTCAGCCTCCCAAGGAGCTGGGATTACAGGCACACACACCACCACACCTGGCAAATTTTTCATATTTTTTGTAGAGACGAGGTTTCACCATGTTGCTCAGGCTTGTCTGAAACTCCTGGGCTCAGGTGATCTGCCTGCCTAGGCCTCCCAAAGTGCTGAGATTACAGGCGCGAGCCACCGCACCCGGCTCATGATTTTAATTCACTTTGTTATGCTTGTTTATCCATCGTGAAATGTGTGTGATGAACACATATTATTTTTGTTATGAGGAAAAAAGAGACACACCCCCAAAAGATGTTTTCCATTTAAGAAGGAAAGAAATCCACCACCACAGGGGGCCTCAGATGGCAGAGGATGTAACTGCAAATGACAAGGGGAGCTGATGGGAGGGAACAGGTGTGGGGTGGCCAGGCAGAGGCCAGGGAGGCAGGAGGTGGAGGCCCAGGGGGGCATGGAGGCGGGGGCCCCAGGCAGGAGGCCAGGGCAAGGCCCACTCCTGGGGCCCCTGCAGGGGATAGCTGGTGGCAGAGAACAGAGTCTCCACTTATCTGCCCCCTACACCCCCGTGGACTGTGCCCACCCCAGCCCACCTACCCGCTTGGGTCTCTTGGCTGCTGTGGACAGGCCTTCAGAGGGTGGGCAACTGGGCCATCAGGAGCAGCCAAGGGGGTTGGATACCTATGGCTGGGCCTGGGGACAGCAGCTTGGCCGGGTAGACCTTGACCTCCCTCCTGACCTCCCCACCCTCAGCCTCCCACTCCTCTGGTCCCACCTTTTTTTTTTTTTTTTTTTTTTGAGACAGTCTTACTCTGTTGCCCAGGCTGGAGCGCAGTGGCACGATCTTGGCTCACTGCAACCTCCGCCTCCCGGGTTCAAGCGATTCTCCTGCCTCAGCCTCCTGAGTAGCTGGGATTATAGGTGTGCACCACCACGCCCAGCTAATTGTTGTATTTTTAGTAGAGATGAGGTTTCACCACATTGGCCAGTCTGGTCTCAAACTCCCGACCTCAAGTGATCTACCCACCTCGGCCTCCCAAAGTACTGGGATTACGGCCGTGTGAGCCATTACGCACCTGGCCTGGTCCCACTTCTTAGTCGCCCCTGCATAGGGATGCCAGATGAAATACAGATCACCACTTACACTTGATTTTCAGATAAACAATAAATAATGTTTTAGCATAAGCCTTTCCCTAATAACACATGGGCTTTCCTGCTACTAAAACATGATTTGTGTTCTGAAATTCAAATGTAACTGGGCATCTCATATTTTATTTGCTAAATCTGGTAACTCCACCTGCAGGCCGATGCTGGCACCATCTCTGTCACTGACTCATCATCCCAGCCCCTTCTAAACCTCAGTTGCTCCAGGGTACAAAACAGGCATCAACCCAATCGCACCGGGCTGGCGCTGGTGGAAGGTTTAAAGAGAAGGTGACCATTCCAGCGGCTCGTGAGTCCCTCAGGGTACAGAGGCTTCATGCCGTTGAGTCCACTGGGCAGTTGTTATCCCCATGTTACAGAAAGGGAAACTGAGGCACAGATAGGGGAAAGTGATTTGCCCAGCTATTTTATCTCTCTTCTCCAAAAAAGGTGGAGAAAGACCTGCACCCTGAGTGCTGGCAGCAGTAGGATGAGCAGTGAGAATGATATTGACGATAATAGCCCTGTCCTATACCTGCATAATCTCATTTAATCTTTACAACCACCCCGCCAAATGGGAACCATCACTCCTGCCTGCTTAGAGAGAATCTCGTTCATGGGGAGGTGGGATGGCTCACTTGTCCAAGGTCACCCAGCAAGGACAAGGCTGGGCTGTTTCCATAGAGCCTGACCCCATGGCACTCCTCCAGGCAGGAGACGCTTTCCACAGGGCCCAGGAAGAGGGAGGAACTTAGTATCCGGGAGGTACTAGTATTAACGACAATGGCCAGGTTCCTCTCACAGAGCAGGGCTTCCTGACCTTGGCACCCCTGCCCTACAGTGCACGGTAGGGTGTTCAGCAGCATCCCTGTCTCCCCTCCCCAACTGGACGCCAGGAGGACCTTCCTTCCAAGCAGTGACAACCAAAATGTCTCTGCATGTTCCCTCGGGGCCACAATCACCCCTGGGTGAGAATCACCGATTCCAAACAGATCCTGGTCCTGAACAGGGCTGGCAGCACGGGGCACCCAGGTGGGAGTGGGAGTGGGGGCACTCACACTCTGCATCTTGGCCTCTGTGTCCACGATGTTCTTCTCCACCTGGTCGGCATTCTTCTGCAGCTGCTCGATCAGCTCCGAGAGCTCCTTGTTAGAGATGCTGCGGGCAGAAGCCGAGGGGAGATGGGCGGGGTGCCTGGTGGGTGGGGGCTATGTCCCCACCAGCACCCCATCCTCTGGCTGGCCCCGGCCCCACGCTCTGAGCAGGAGCTGCCCACAGAGCCTTTGAGGTAGTTGGGCTGTTCCCATAGGGCAACATCACTAAAGCCACAGAGACAAGGCAGCGCCTGGCAGGCGGTCAGCCTCCTTTTTTTTTTTTTTTTTTTTTTTGAGATGGAGTCTTGCTCTGTCACCCAGGCTAAAGTGCAGTGGCGTGATCTCAGCTTACTGCAACCTCCACTTCCTGGGTTCAAATGATTCTCATGCCTCAGCCTCCCCAGTAGCTGAGATTACAAGCATGCACCACCAAGCCTGGCTAATTTTTGTATTTTTAGTGGAGATGGGGTTCCACCATGTTGGCCAGGCTGGTCTTGAACTCCTGACCTCAAGTGATCCACCTATCTTGGCCTCCCAAAGTGCTGGGATTACAGGCGTGAGCCACCGCGCCCGCCCAGCCTCCACTTTGATCATTCTCTCTAATGCTTCTATTTTTTATTTTTATTCATTCATTCGTTCATTCATTCATTCATTCATTCATTTTATTGAGACGGAGTCTCACACTCTTGCCCAGGCTGGGGTGTAGCGGCACAGTCATGGCTCACTGCAGCCTCTATCTCCCAGGCTCAAGCAATCCTCCTAGCCCAGCCTCCCAAGTAGCTGGGACTACAGGCACATGCCACCACTCCTGCATAACTTTTACATTTCTTTTGGTAGAGAAGGGGTTTCACCATGTCACCCAGGCTGGTCTCGAACTCCTGAGCTCAAGCAATTCGTCCACCTTGGACTCCCAAAGTGCTGGGATTACAGATGTCAGCCACCAGGCCCCGACTACATATTTTTTTGTGAGAGATAGGGTCTCACTCTGTCACCCAGACTGGAGTGCAGTGGCGTGATCATAGTTCACTATAGCCTCGAACTCCTGAGCTCAAGCAATCCTCCTACCTCCACCTCCTGAGTAGCTGGGACCACTGGCACCACCAGCACACCCAGCTTCTAATGCTTCTATTTTGCCATGTTGGCAAAACGCACCATATTTGAAAAATTGGGAGATAACTCACATACCGTAAAATTCACCTGTTTAAAATACACAGTCACTGGCTTTTAGTACTACACATTCAGAATCGTGCAACCATCACCACTATCTCATTCCAGACATTTTTATCACCCCAAAGCTCCACACCCACAAGCTGTCACTCCCTATTCCCCACCCGCTCCAGCCCCTGGCAACCAGGAATTTACTTTTTCTCTCTATGGATTTGCCTATTCTGGACATTTCATATAAATAGAATCACACAACACGTGGCCTTTTGCGTCTGCCTTCTCTCAGCATAATGTTTTCAAGCTTTGTGCATATTGCAGCATCTATTAGAACTTCATTCTTTTTATGGCTGAATAATATTCCATCACGTGGCTACTTCACATTTTGCTTATTCATTCAACAGCTGACAACCATCTGGGCCGTTTCCACCTTTGGGCCATCGTGAGAATCACGCTGCTATGAACGTTCGGGAACAAGCTTTTGTGTGAGCAGTCTTATTTTTAATTACCTGATATTTTTCTTTCAACCTACTCGTTTTATTTTAGAGTTAAATGTGTTTACAAAGGTAACTTCTCTCCCCATTTTAATCAGAAATCAGAAGCCCTCACCATGAGTGAATTAGCTGCCAAAATAAATTTCATGGGAACGCAGTGGCACTGGGTTCCGTGGTGACACTGGGCTGCCCGCTGTTACAAGTCAGGAGGTGTGACAGCCGTGGTGGCGTCAGGCCCAGCCTTTCTCCTGATCTTCTCAGAGCGCCTGAAAGAGACTTGAGGCCCGGTGTGGTGGCTCATACCTGTAATCCCAGCACTTTGGGAGGCCAAGGCGGGCGAATCACCTGAGATCAGGAGTTTGAGACCAGCCTGGCCAACATGGTGAAACCCCATCTCTACTAAAAATACAAAAATTAGCTAGGTGTGGTGGCATGCGCCTGTAGTCCCAGCTACTCGGGAGGCTGAGGCAGGAGAACTGCTTGAACCTGGGAGGTGGAGGTGGCAGTGAGCTGAGATTGCACCACTGCACTCCAGCCTGGGTAACAGAGCGAGACTCCATCTCGAAAAAAAAAAACAAGAAAAGAAAAAAAAGTCTTGAAAGCAGACTGGCCCTCTCCCTCACTGTCTCTGTGTCCCCTCCTGTCACATTTGTCTACTGCCCCCCGTCCCCCAGAACCACAGACAGACCACTCTGGAAAATGCTCTAATGGGAGTTAGTTAAGACTTTGGCCCTGGGGTTAGCTGTGGGTTCAGATCTTGGCTCCCATCAGCCACTTAGTGGCTGTGTGACTTGGCCCAGCTCCCTTGCCTATCTGTGCCTCTGTCTCCCAATCCGATGGACTAGAGTAACAGTCCTTTCCCGGGGCCAGGGTGGCAGGGGTTATGAATGGAAGTGAGGTTACACTACCAAAGGACTGTGCATAGAGCCGGGCACAGAATAAGTCTGAACAAAGGTTTGTGATTTTAGTTGTCAAGGAGCCTTAGAGATCACCCAGCTCTGCCTCTGTGGTTTTGAGACCGAGTCTCACTCTGTCACCCAGGCTGGAAGTGCAGTGGTATCATCTTGGCTCGCTGCAACCTCCACTTCTTGGGGTCAAGTGATTCGGCTGCCTCAGCCTTTTGAGTAGCTGGGATTACAGGTGTGAGCCACCATGCCCAGCCTCCTTCTGTTGTTTTCTTTAAACAAAGAAAGAAAGGGAAACCAACTTGGCCATTGTCACCCAGTTAGCCAGCGATGATAGCTCCCCTGTCTCCACTGAAGACCCACAGTGGGGCCTGAGTGGCTAGGCACGCAGAAGTTGCCTTCTACTCACACTCATTAAGCACCTGCTGTGTGCGGGCCCTGCACCTCACAAAGACAAGCCTCTCCCTCCCTGATCCACCCCACAGACCAGGAGGAAATCAGTATTTATAGAAACAGTCACGAGACTGAGGCAGGCCTGGAGGCTGGGGATGCCCAGGGGAACCTCTGGACTGGCTGGGTGGGGACAGCGGTGGTCACTGAAGGCTTCCTGGAGGAGGTGGTGTCGGCTGGGTGCTAAAGCAAAAGGAAGAATTTGGTGTTCCTGTGCAGAAGGCTCCAATGAGGACACGCCATAGAGAGAGGCAGGTCCTGGCACGTCCCGTGGGGTGGGCCAGGGCGGGGTTCTTGACCGTCAAGGCAGAGGGGACCACCAGCCCTTTCGAGTGATGCTCCCCAGATCAAGGTTCTGGGGCCTAGCATGAAAAATTCAGATTCCCGGCCACTAACCCAGACCTGCTGAACCCAGGTCTCCAGAGCTGGGCCCAGGAAGCTGTATTATTATTACTATTTTTGCAGGTTCCCCAGGGTACCTGGACACCTACCGGAGTCATGGACCAGCAATGCAGGTGCTGTTGATGTTGGGGGCATTGGGGGCAGAAATGGCAGCAGCCAACATGCTGGGGATCCATCCGTCTAGGTTCCACACCTTGCTTAAGGGCCAGCTTTGTGGCAGACCTGGATACACCGGAGCTGGGGGATCTTGAGGGAACAGGACCCAAGCCATACCTTCTGCAAGGTCAACTGGGGGCAGCCTGTCCCAAAGTGGGGTCCCAGGAACCCAACTCTTACAAGTCTTATTCTTCCTTGGTCAAGGCACTTAGGAAAACCCCATCCTTGATATGTTCATGAGCCAGCAAAGGCACTGACAAGTCCTGCAGTGGAGAAAGCCAGTGTTTGGCGGGGTGGCCAGGAAGGCTTAGCAGTGGGGGGCTTTGGATGGAGGATCTCGGTAAGAAGGGATAAGGTGGGCTTCTAGAACAGCCAGGTCAGGGGTCCACCCGACTCCTCCCTCATTCCCTAACCCCCCACTTCCTGGTTGGGCAGGCCACATGGAGAATGTGAGTTTCTGGGCCCCCACACTCCCACCCCAGTCACTGACCATCTGCCAGGCCAGCTGCACCTAGAGGCGGTGAGTCTCACCCCAAATATTTAACCCCTGACTCTGCAGTGCATCGTTAGGGTCTGTACTGTGGCTCAAGTGGGGGCCTTTGTCTCTCTTGGGCCCAGTCCCACCTCAGGCACAGGGCCAGCTCCCAAACCAGCCCTTTCATGGATTGTGGCAGATGCAAGAAAAGCCACCTTCTGGACTCTATCCTGGCTGGGCCTGTTGTTCCAGCCGAAGCCCCCCAGAGGACATGGGAGTTGTGGGGCAATGACCACTGCCTCAGGGACCTTGGACTCCTGATGGGACAAAGCTGTGAGCGGTAGCAGGAAGCTATGAGCAGACAGGCCAGGCCCAAGGCCCACTGGGCTGCTTGCTGCTTAGACAGCCTCAGGCAAGTGCCCTACCCTCGTACAGCCTCCGCTTCTCCATCTGTCCTCTGGCGATGACCACAAAGGCATCCTGGGCATTTGCCACTTGCTGTGGGCTTTGCCAGACCTCAGACATATTCACAGGCACCAGCTCAATATCATCCTTGCCCTAAGTCCCCGGGGAGGTTGGTGTGCCCCTTTGAAGAAGGGGATGAAGAAACCAAGACTCTGAGACATCAAAGCACTTGCTCAGGGTCACACAGCTGGTGAACCGCGATTCTCCCCGCAAGCAATCTCACTCCAGAGGCATGTGATCGACTGGGCTAGAAGTTACTCATGGGGATGCTAGGAAAATCACACCAATAACAATCTCCACCATCGTAATATGAGCTAATACTTACTCTCTACGTGCCAGGCTCCTCACTGTTTCTGACTCAATCTTCATGACAACCCTGAGAGCTGGGTGTTAGCATGGTAGGTAATTGTATTATTATCCCCGTTTATGGGTGTGGAAACTGAGGATCAGAGAGGTTAAATAACTCTCCCAAAGTCACCCAGCAATTAGATGGCAGAGCCAGGACTCTAGGCCCTTAACAATTCCATGTGACGATCTTACAGGGCTCCCAGCACACAGTAGGTACTTCACAGATTAATTTAAAATGCCAAGAGCCCAAAACCACACCGGGATGCCACTTTTCATCCACTACAATGGCTATAATAAAAAAGACAATAACAAGTGTTGGCAAAAATGTGGAGAAATTGGAACCCTCGTGCCTTGCTAGTGGGGATGCAAAATGGTGTACAGTTGTGGAAAACAGTCTAGAAATTCCACAAAAAGTTAAGCAGTCACCATAAGACCCAGCAAGTCCACCCCTACGTATTTTTTTTATTTTTATTACTTATTTATTTTTTTGAGACAGGGTCTCACCCTGTTGCCCAGGCTGGAGTGCACTGGCATGATCTCGGCTCACTCAGCCTCCGCTTCCCAGACTCAAATGATTCTCCTACCTCAGCCTCCCGAGTAGCTAGGATTACAGGTGTGTGCCACCACACCCGGCTAACTTTTGTACTTTTAGTAGAGACGGGGTTTTGCCATGTTGGCCAGGCTGGTCTCGAACTCCTGACCTCAGGTGATGCACTTGCCTTGGCCTCCCAAAGTGCTGGGATTACAGGTGTGAGCCATTGCGCCCAGCCTTATTATTTTTTGAGACAGGGTCTCACTCTGTTGCCCAGGCTGGACTGCAGTGGTGCAATCTTAGCTCACTGCAGCCTTGACCTCCCAGTCTCAAGCAATCTTTGTACCTCAGCCTCCGAGTAACTGCGACTACAGGCGCCTGGCACCGTGCCCAGCTAATTTTTTTTTTTTTTCAGAGAGGGAGGTTTCGCCATGTTGCCCCAGCTGGTCTTGAACCCCTGGGCTCAAGCAATCTATCTGCCTCGGCCTCCCAAAATATTAGGATTACAGGCGTGAGCCACTGCACCCAGCCCACCCCTACATATCTATCCAAGAGAAATGAAAACCTATGTCTGGGCTGGATGCGGTGACTCACGCCTGCAATCCCAGCACTTTGGGAGGCCGAGGCAGGTGGATCACCTGAGGTCAGGAGTTCGAGACCAGCCTGGCCAACATGGTGAAACCCCATCTCTACTAAAAGTACAAAAAAATTAGCTGGGCGTGGTGGTATGTGCCTGTAATCCCATCTATTCGGGAAGCTGAGACAAGAGAATCGCTTGAACCTGGGAGGCGGAGGTTGCAATGAGCTGAGATGGCGCCACTGCACTCCAGCCTGGGTGATGGAGCAAGACTCCATCTCAGAAAATAAAAAACAAAAAAACAAAAACAAAAAAACAAAAAAATCTATGCCTGCACAGAAACTTGTACATAGATGAATCACAGCAGCATGATTCATAATAGCCTTTTGGCCTCCACTTTTTAGTGGAAACAACTCAAATATTCATCAACTGATGAAAATATAAACCAAACGTGGTCTATCTCTATTATTCGGCCAAAGAATGAAGGCAGGACTGACAGCTGCTACAGCCTCAGGAACCTCGAGAATGTTATGCTCAGTGAGAGAAGCCAGACACAAAAGCTCACATATTATTCCATTGATAAGAAACGTCCAGAATGCAGAAATCTACAGGAGCAGAAAGTGGATGAGTGGTTGCCATGGCCCAGGAGGATGTAAAATGGACAGTGATTGCTAAGGGGTATCAGATTTCTTTTTGGGGTGATAAAAATGTTCTAAAATCAATCGTGGGGATGGCTGTACAACTCTGTGACTATATTAATATCCACTGGGCTGGGCGTGGTGGCTCGCACCTATAATCCCAGCACTTTGGGAGGCCGAGGTGGGCAGATCGCTTGAGACCAGGAGTTTGAGAGCAGCCCGGGCAACATGGTGAAACCCCATGTCTACTGAAAATACAAAAAATTAGCTGGGCATGGTGATGCACACCTGTAGTCCTGGATACTCGGGAGGCTGAGGTAGGAGGATTACTTGAGCCCAGGGGGTTGAGGCTGCAGTGAGCCGAGATTTCGCCACTGCATTCCAGCCTGGGCAATGAGAGTGAGACCCTGTCTCAAAACAAAAACAAAAACACTGAACTGAACACTTTAAATGAGTGAACTGGATGATATATGAATTACATCACAGTAAAGCTGCTACAAAAAAAAAAAACACAAAAAAGGCAGCTGGGCATGGTGGTTCAGGCCTGTAATCCCAGCACTTTGGGAGGCTGAGTCGGGCAGATCACCTGAGGTCAGGAGTTCAAGACCAGCCTGGCCAACATGGTGAAACCTCGTCTCTACTAAAAACACAAAAATTAGCCAGGCATGATGGCAGGTACCTGTAATCCCAGCTACTTGGGAGGCTAAGGTGGAAGAATTGCTTGAACCCGGGAGGTGGAGGTTGCAGTGAGCCGAGATTGCACCACTACACTCCAGCCTGGGCGACAGAGCAAGACTCCATTTCAAAAAAAAAAAAAAGGCAAGTGCCATTTAGAAATGACAGGGGTTTGTTTCTTCTCTCCTGAGTCAGGTCCTGCCTCTTGTCTCATTCTCCAGGGAAGCTGGCCAGCTGCAGGTAATCCCCCAGCAGCCTGGAAGATGCTAGTTAACTCCTAGAGAGCTATTTGTCCTGCCCACTGCGAAGCAAGTCACATATATATTAGCTCATCAATCCTACCAGCCTCTAAGTAAGTACCATTATTCTCAAAAGTTGGAGGATTACAACTTTAAGTGAGTGAATTGCATGGAATTCATATACCATGCAATTCACTCAGTTACAGATGGGGAAATTGAGGTACAAAGAAATTCCATCATTTGGCCACAGTTCCACTGCCAGCAAGCAAGGCAGAGCTGGGATTCGAATCCAGGCCTCCGGAAGCACAGTCTCAGCGTTTTTGCCCTGTAGCTTTGCGGTCCTGTGTTCCCCCCACCATCCAGCTGGCCGCAGGAATCAACCATGTGTGCCCCTTGGAGAGCTATGGAGCCCCATGCTAGGAAGCCAGCAGGAATGTGGGTGGGGCAGGAACCTGCAGGAAAGGGGACAGGTCCCAGGAGTGCTGGGAAACCGGCTAGGCTGGTCCAGCTTTTCATCTCGGTAATGAGCCGCATCGGGGCAGCCAGACGTGGCACCCCTGGGCCATCAGCCCCACTGATGGAGGCCGAGACACAGCCCTGTCCTGCCCATGCAGACACAGACAGCAGCCACCTGCCTGAGCCAGGAACACAAAGATATCCCCCCTCCCCACACACACACCGGAAAAGGGAAAGGGCCTGAGTGACAGCCGAGGGTACACGCCCAGCCCTCCCTTTTCTTACTCAGAGGGTAACACGGACACACGTGCTGAGGGCAGTGGCCGCTGGCCCTCGAAGGGGCCTCAGAAGCCATCCAGCCCCACCTGCTCATTACCCAGATGAGCAAACCAAGGTCCCGGACGTGAAGTCACTACCCAGGATCACTTGGGAGGGCAGCCTGTGTAGGAGAAAGACTTCAGGTCTGGAGTCAGATAGGGTTCAGATCCTGACTGCACCAACCAGCAATGTGACCCTGTGACAGTGTGACAGAGGAGCTACACTGTATTTCTTTTTTAATCTTTTTATATTTTCTTCAAATTTTTAAATAGAGATGGTTTCTCACTATGTTGACCAGGCTAGTCCCGAACTCCTGGCCTCAAGTGATCCTCCCATCTCGGCCTCCCAAAGTGCTAGGATTACAGGTATGAGCCACAATATGCCTGGCCAGCCACTCTGTATTTCTGAGTCTCAGTTTCATCATCTGTGAAATGTGAGCAAGAAATCCTCTCTAGTTATGTTCATGTATGGGCCCAGGCACAGGAGTGCACACCTGTAATCCCACCACTTTGGGAGGCTGAGGCAGGAGCATCTCTTGAGCCTAGGAGTTCGAGACCAAATTGGGCAAATAGGAAGACCTTGTCTCTACAAAAAATACAAAAATTAGCCAGATGTGGTAGTGTGCACCTGTAGTCCCAGTTCCTTGAGAAGCTTAGGTGGGAGAATCGCTTGAGCCCAGGAGGTCAAGGCTGCAGTGAGCTGAGTGAGATCGCACCACTGCATTCCAGCCTGGGAGATGGAGAAAGACCCTGTCTCAAATTAAAACCAAAAAAAGTGTATTTGTGGGGTGGGGGTAATCAGGGTCACTTTTAGAAACACCTCAGTCAGGCCAGGCACGGTGGCTCACGCCTGTAATCCTAGCACTTTGGGAGGCCGAGGCAGGTGGATCACGAGGTCAGGAGATCGAGATCATCCTGGCCAACCTGGTGAAACTCCGTCTCTACTAAAATACAAAAAATTAGCTGGGCATGGTGGCACACACCTGTAGTCCCAGCTACTTGGGAGGCCGAGGCCGGGGAATTGCTTGAACCTGGGAGGTGGAGGTTGCAGTGAGCTGAGATTGAGTCACTGCACTCCAGTCTGGCAACAGAACAAGACTCTGTCTCAAAAAAAGAAAGAAAGAAAGAAGGAAAGAAGGAAAGAAAAGAAAGAAAGAAAGAGAGAGAGAGAGAAAGAAAGAAAGAAAGAAAGAAAGGACACCTCGGTCAAATTTCAAAGACACCTTTGTGGTTCAAGGACTGAACTGGAGGTTCAGAGCAGCGTCCCTGAAACAGACTTGAGATCATTTATACTCTTTTTAAAATTTTGAAACAGTCTTGCTCTGTTGTCCAGGCTGCAGTGCAGTGGCAAAATCTTGGCTCACTGCAACCTCCGTCTCTGGATTCAAGTGATTCTACTGCCTCAGCCTCCCGAGTAGCTGGGATTACAGGCGCACGCCACCATGCCTGGCTAATTTTTGTATTTTTAGTAGAGACAGGGTTTCGCCATGTTAGCCGGGGTGGTCTTGAACTCCTGATCAGGTGATCTGCCTGCTTCGGCCTCCCAAAGTGCTGGAATTACAGGTGTCAACCACCATACTCGGCCTCAACTAATTTTTTAATTTTTTTGTAGACATGGAGTCTCTCTCTGTTGCCCAGGCTGGTCTTAAACTCCTGAGCTCAAGGGATGCTCCTGACTTGGCCTCCTAAAGTACAGGGATTACAGGCATGAGCCCACTGTGCCTGGCTCATTTACATTGTTTATACAATTCGGGCCTTGCTGGCTGTTTCACCAGTGGGCCTGAATGAGGACCCAGAACTTGGTTGGCAGCAGAAACAGCCCCCTCAGCCTTGTTGACGCTGTGGGTCAGGGGCTGCCTGCTAGATGGGTTTTGCAAGCCTCTACGAGTCACCTCGAGTCGACTGAGGCTGTTTTTCCCTAGCTTTTTCCTTCTGGGCTGGGGATGCCAGAGTCTGGGACAATCCTGAGCAGTCTCACAGAGCCCCATTTTCTTGGCCTGGTCTGCATATGAGGCTCTTGATGCAAGCAAGGAAAAATGGAACCAGCAGGTCAGGAGGCTGCCCGGTTCCTCCTCGGAGTTCCAGGGCTGTGTTTGAGGGTACTCCCAGGGACCAGACAAGGGCTTCCTGGGTCTGAGCCCGCAGGCTTGAGCCTGAACAGCCATCTTCTTGTGTCCCAGGACATACTCAGAGCAGAGGAACCACTAGGGAGGGGGCCTGGGGGCCTCAGATGGCATCAGGTCTCCTGGCTCTGTCGCCAGGAGTCAGAGCCTCAGTAGACACAGCCCGACCTGCTTTATTGATTGATTGAGACTGAGTCTCACTCTGTCACCCAGGCTGGAGTGCAGTGGCATGATCTTGGCTCACTGCAACCTCTGCCTCCTGGGTTCAAGCAATTCTCGTGCCTCAGCCTCCCGAGCAGCTGGAATTACAGACATGCACCACCACGCCCGGCTAATGTTTGTATTTTTAGTAGAGATGGGGTTTCACCGTGTTGGCCAGGCTGGTCTCGAACTCCTGGCCTCAAGTGATCTGCCCGCCTCGGCCTCCCAAAATGCTGGGATTACAGGTGTGTACCACTGTGCCTGGCCCCAGCCTGCATTAGAGGTGGCAACTCGAGGCTGAGGACCCAGTGGCTCAGTAAGCCCAGCTGCAAAGTGGAGAGCTGGGACTCGAACCTAGGACTGTGTGCTGTCCTGGCCGCCAGGACAGCACACAGTCCTCAGAGGGCCAGCAGGGATGCCCGTGAGAGGAGCTGGGACAGAGGTAGCACCCTGGCCTTGACACACCACCGATGCTCCACGTGGGCAGAGAAAGATAACACAGGTGTCTCGGGGGACCCTCGCTCTCCACCTCCTGGGTCTCTCTTCCTGCTTTAATTTTGTGCGGGTGCCACTGGCACTTTCTTTCAGCTGGAAGGGCAGTGTGGCCCAGTGGTTAAGCACCCAGACCAAAGCCAGACAGCCCGGGGTCAAATCCTGCCTCTGCTCTTAATAAACTGTAAATTACTTAGCCTCTCTGAGCCTCAGTTTCCCCAGCTGTAAAATGAGAGTCATCACAGTATGCATGCCACAGGGCTGTGGTGGGGGTGACTGAGAGAACAGATATGGGGTGCTGCCTCTGAGGAGCCCGGCTCTGCCTTGACCTGGGTCCACCATCCAGGGATTTAGGCTCCTTTTAAGGAGCTGATAAAAGCCAGAAGCCAGCTGGGCGTGGTGGCTCATGCCTGTAATCCCAGCACTTTGGGAGGCTGAGGTGGGCAGATCACCTGAGGTCAGGAGTTCCAGACCAGCCTGGCCAACATAGTGAAACCCTGTCTCTACTAAAAATACAAAAATTAGCCGGGAATGGTGGTGGGCACCTATAATCCTAGCTACTGGAGAGACTGAGACAGGAGAATCGCTTGAGCCTGGGAGGCGGAGGTTGTAGTGAGCCGAGACTGTGCCACTGCACTCCAGCCTGGGTGACAGAGCAAGACTCCATCTCAAAACAAAACAAAACAAAAAAACCCTAGAAACAAACAAAAAGCCAGAAGCCAAGGCCTGAAGTTAGAATCCTCCAGCACCTGGGAGATGAAAGCAGACCCCCGGCCGTCCACACTGTTCACGCTGATCCTGGTGCAAGCCCAGACGTGCTTTGCTTCTGCCCTGTGAATGTTGCCTTGCCGGGGCACGTGGAATTCACAACTAACCTCAGAATTTGGAACCATCTCCTCCAACATCTGCGAGGAGAGGCTGGTGCCCATATATGGGTAATGAGGTGTCGGGAGGACAGGAGATCCTGCGTCCCAGATGCCCACTCCCTGGGCCTAGCTGGGGGACAAACGCACAGCCCGCTTCAGCTGTCTTGGGTTTGGGCTAAGGATCAGAGTCAGTAGGTTTGGGGATTTGAAGGGTACAGGGTGTTCCCACTGCTCTGAGAACGTTCTTCCGTCCGCATAAGGGAAACTGCAGAAGGGGAGGGTGGGGAGGACCTGTCTACCCGGTTATGCCAACAGATCCCTGAGACCTGTCCCTGCTTCTCCCTCCACTGGTTCTACCTGGGAACGCGTCTCCTGCGCATCCTCCTCCATCTGCCCCTCTGGCCTCACCTTGATCAAAGTCACCACTTCTTACCTGGCCCAATGCAACAGCCACCCACTCTCTTTTCTGAGAGCATTTGGGAGCACAGGTAAGTTTTAGTTTGGATGATGGGATGATCTGGTTGCATCATACAAAGACCTAAGAGTTGGGGAGATATGCTTCCCGGCCTCCTGCCCCCAGGAGAGACGTGGACCCTCCAAGGACACCATGAATGGCAACCTTCCAGCCATCAGCGACCTGGAAGGGGGCTCCCTGGGTGGGGGTGGCTTCAAGAGCCACCCTTGATGTCTTCAGCTGTACCTGTTCAAGTCACATGGCACCAACTGGCCCATTCTTTCTACCCTGCCTGCAGGGGAGGAAACTGAGGCAGCCTGGCCAGGGCAGGGAACGTAGCCTGTGTTGTGGCTCTAACCCAGGTGTGGGCTCGGGCAGATTCCTTAGTCTCTCTGTGCCTCAGTTTCCTCATCTCTGAGACAGGGATAGGAATTGATCCCACTGCAGAGGGTTGAGATAATTCAAGGAGATAACCCTTATAAATGAAAGCGCTTTGGGTGTGGCCGCACCATGATTAGGATAACTGGGTTTCATCCTCTTCCTCCGTGTCACTGGTGGGGGCCTTGCCAGGGCAGGGCTCTTTGTCTGTTGTTCACTGCCATGTCCGTAGCGCCCATCAGACTGAATGAACTATGCTGGCTTTTGGAATAACAGCATGTATTACTCCACCTGTCTCAGCCTTAATTTCTTTCAACATAAATGGGGTTATCATGCCTGCTTGTCACGGAACAAGCAGAAAGACACTCAACAGCTGGAAAACATTCCCACAGGAGTTCAGGTATTAAGTTGCTTTGTATGCAAGGCCAGCACTGTTCAACAGAAACTGAACCTGAGCCACACAGAATTTACATTTTTCTAGTAGCCACGTGAAAAGAGTAAGAAGAAATGAGCGAATTTTTTTCTATTTTATTTAACCTAATATATCCAAAATATGATCAATTTGACAGGTGGTCAACAGAACATTATTAACGGATATTTTACATTCTCTTTTTCACACTAAGTCTTCAAACCCTGGCACACAGACATACGTGCACAGCCCATGTCACGGGGCCAGTAATTACTGAATAGGACTGCGAGATTCTAGGTGATTCTGGGGCACCCGGACCTGCTTTGCTCTAAGCCCGCAGTGACCACAGTCTCTCAGTTCTGCTGTAGGAAAGCTGATGGGCGCTCAGAGCATCTTCCAGTCTCACTCGGTGCCTGGTACCCAGGGACACCTAATAAATGCTCATTCTCTTTGAACCCCGTGACTCCTCCTGCCCACACTCACTGATTAGATGTCTGCCCCAGGACAGGGTCTCCTCTGTGGGTCCCTCCCTGGCTGCCTGACTCCAAAACAACCTGGGGCTCCCCACTGTGCCCACTGGAGCCTGGTGCCTGGGTGTGGAGGACCCTGGCACGAAGACCGCAGCAAGACACCCTTCCCCAGGTCCCCAGAGCCCCTGCAACCCTGTCCATAGGCCATGGGGCTGTGCTGGAGGCACCTGGCCTGCTCACAGCCATCCCCTTCTCCAGGCTGCGAGAGCAGCCACCCCGGTAACAGATCATACTTTAGCAACATCGGAGGGGCCACGTTCCTGCCATCACCTCCACCCCAGCTGTCCCTGTCGCCCAGAACTGCTGTGTCCCCTGCTGGCTCACAGCCCAGCCTGCACTCTCCTCCCATGTGTGGACACAGGTCCCTGCAGGCTCAGCACTCCCTGCCTGGCCAGGGCCACTGGCCTTTGATCACATCTGCAGTTCCTTCCTCTGGGGGTTAATTCTGTCTCAGTGGGTGTGTATTGGGGTTGCATTGCTGCTGGAATGTCTGGAACGCACAGGAGGGTACACCCCTCCCTGGAACCAGCCTCACCTGTCCCAGAGCCCAGAGAAGGGGCTGGGCCTCCTGCCACCACGGTCATCCTCTTCTGGCGTCCTGCCTGCCTGGAGGGCCAGCTTGGGGGAGGTGCACCTCCGGTGCCGAGTAGCCCTCTGCCCCTACCTTCTTTAAACACTGCCTGGCTCCTGAAACATCTGCCCTGGCTCTGACACAAAGGCAACCACCGTGGACACTCAGGAAATAACTGATGAATAGTAACAACACTGAGGGCACCTACTGGGTGCCCAGCGACCGCTCAGTCCTTTTGTGCATCACCCATTGACGTCTCATAGCCCTAGGAAGTAGCCACCCTTAGTGTTACTGGGGCTCTTAATCCTACCTATTAGGCTATTAAATTTTTGGACAAAAAGAACTTACTCACCTTTTTGGGGGCCCTTCTATAACCTTAATTCCACACCTTGCGTAGGGCTGGGCTCAATAAATAGGTGTTGAACTGAGCAGATGTTTTAATGCAATTCGGTAACTCTTATGTCTCTGTGTTCTAGGTGAAGATAACTGAGGCTCACAGAAGTTAAGAAACTGGTCCGAGTTTACACAGCTGGGAAGTGGTGGTGCCAAGATTCGAACCCATGAAGACGGGCTTCAAAAAGCCACCTTCTCAGTACAAAGGGGACATCAGTATCAATCCACACCCACCCCTTACAGACAAAGGGACAAGAGACATCGGAGAGACAGGATGATGGGACCAGGCATTCACCACCCAGGGAAGCAGAGTGATTTACAGTTTGTTGTCATTTTCATCAGTACAATTAATCCCAGTGGTTGGTTGGGTAAGGATTAGTGATGGTAAACGGAGACTGAGTCATTCTCCTAAGTTGTCCCCACAAGGGACTCCCAGCCTGTCCCTCCAAACAGACCTTTCAGGCGGAAGCAACTGCCATTGAGTGAGCACCTTCCTGGCCCACACCCTACCCTAGCACCGGAAGCAGGTTTCATCTCTGATCCTTATAACAACTAGTTGAGGTACGTGCTATCATAGCTCCATTGCAGATGAGGAAACTGAGCCTCAGGAAGACCACTTGCTCAGGGTCAATAGGTTAGTAAGAGGTCTATGCTTGTAACTGCTGCAGCCCCAACTGGGCACTTTCTAGATATTCAGTAATTGCCAAATAAATTTTCGACCCCACCCCACCAACTCTTTGTCATCTCTCTGCCCCTTACAGGCCCTGGCAACAGGCCCTTCACCATTAACAAGCCCCCAGAGATATGAATTGTCCACATGCTATAAAATACCTGCTCAATTTCACACCTATTTATGGAGCCCCAAGCTTATGTAAGGCCTGGAATTAAGGACAACAGAAGGCCCTCTCCCAAAAGATGAGTAAATCCCAACTATTCAAAAGCTTGTAAGCTAGTAGGTAGGTTAAGGAAAAACACCCCAATGGGTATAATTACAAAGATTTGGCTTGGCGCGGTGACTCATGCCTGTAATCCCAGCACTTTGGGAGGCCGAGGCGGGCAGATCACGAGGTCAGGAGATTGAGACCATCCTGGCTAACATGGTGAAACCCCATCTCTACGATAAATACAAAAACAAAAATAGCCGGGCGTGGTGGCAGGCGTCTGTAGTCCCAGCTACTTGGGAGGCTGAGGCGGGAGAATGGCGTGAACCTGGGAGGCAGAACTTGCAGTGAGCTGAGATTGTGCCACTGCACTCCAGCCTGGGCAACAGAGCAAGACTCTGTCTCAAAAAAAAAAAAAACAAAAAAAAACCAAAAACAAAGATTTTAGATCACTTACACCAGGGTATTTTCATCCACTGTGTTCCATTTAGGCCTTATAATCTAACTTTAATGATGAAAATATACTCAATCCAGTAAAAACCAGGAAAAGAGCAAAATGGAAACAAAGGGAAAGCATGATAAATAGGGCACTATGGTGGAGTAGGTTCAAACACATTAGTCATTACAATAAATGTAAATGAGTTAATTTTGCCTATTAAAAGATAAAAGACTCTCCGGTGAGATTACAAAACACACACCTTCCCCAAGCTATATGCCATTTTATAAGACACACACACTTGAAACTAAATGATACAGGAAGGTTGAGAATAAAGAATGGAGAGTGACATACCAGGCAACTGATACTGAAGAGAGAAAGCACTGTCCATATATCTCAAAGACAAGAGGGAGCGAGGCAATCCATGTAACTATGTGGTTCCCAACAGCTGCACATCAAAAGAATGATGTCTGGACCCATGTCCATGGAGATTTTGACTTAACTGGTCTTGGAAAGGGCTCTGACATGCTGTTCAAAACTCCTCAGGTGATTCTAATGTACAGCCAGGGATGAGAACAAGGAACTGAACCACAGCAAGGTTTAAAAGAAGCAAGATGCCGAAGAATCCTAGATCTCTATAGGAAGGAAGCCCTGTGAGAAAGCAGTACACAGAATGTGCCCAATGAATACCAGATTGATTGGTCAATTGACTGATTCTCTCACTACTAGAAACTCCTGTGCTAATTAGACAGTAAATGTCCTCACACCCAGCTATTAATCCTGTGGAAATATATCCTAAGATGAGAAGGTTGCTGGTGTAGTAATTCCAGGTCTGTTTTTAAGGCCTAATCTGTTTCTGCCCAGGGAAGGCCGCCCTGCCTCCAGGCCTCTGATGGGGCCTAGGGTTCTGTGTCAGGTGAGTGCTTTTGGGCTCCTTTTACAAACATACAGAAGTTCAAGCTGCTTCAGGTAACACCAAGGCAGGTCTTGAAGACAGGGCAACACAGCAAGACCCTATTTCTACCAAAAATAAATAAATAAATAAAATTAGCTGGGCATGGTTGTGCATGCCTCTAGTCCTGGCTGCTCAGGAGGCTGAGGTGGGAGGATTCATAGCTCACTGCAGCTTTGAATTCCTAGACTCGGGGGATAAACAGGGCTCAAGCCAACTTTGGTGCCCCAAGGCATCAGGATGTCACTCTGGGTTCAGGACCACTGGAGAAAGAGCACCAGCCTCCTTTTTCATTTTTTGAGACAGAGTCTTGCTCTGTTATTCAGGCTGAAGTGCATTGCTGCACTTCACTCACTGCAGCCTTCAACTCTTGGGCTCAAACACAAAATATATTTTGTATTTTTAGTAGGGACAGGGTTTCACCATGTTGGCCAGGCTGGTCTCCAACACCTGACCTTAGGCCTCCCAGAGTGTTGGGATTACAGGCATGGGCCACTGTGCCCGGCCATCTCAGCAGTTCTTACCCAGACACTTTGAGAGGGCTGGCAGGGTGTCCTGGCCGCCCCGCCCATCCTTTCCTAGGCAGAGGGTTTTTGTCATGCTTTGTAAGATAAAACACACCAGAGCTGCTGGCTGAGCCTGCAAGGCCGCAGGGCTGTGGGAGAAATAGAACTTGCAGAATTTTTTGCTGCCCCCACTGCCTGGGCTAGGATTTCAGGCTGATACCTTTTAGGGTTTCAAATTCTCTGCCTTCGCCATGGCGATGGTTTGTTTCCCATCGAAGGGTGGGAAAGGATTCCAAGTTTGTACCACAAAGAAGAGACAGGGCTTCAACCCTGCTTCAATCTCAGATAAGAAACTCTATTTGGCTGGGAGCAGTGGCTCATGCCTGTAATCCCAGCACTTTAGGAAGCCGAGGCAGGTGGATCACCTGAGGTCAGGTGTTTGCGACCAGCCTGGCCAACATGGTGAAACCCCGTCTCTACTAAAAATACAAAATATAGCCAGGCGTGGTGGTGGGCGCCTGTAATCCCAGCTACTTGGGAGGCTGAGGCAGGAGAATCACTTGAACCCAGGAGGCAGAGAGGTTGCAGTGAGCTGAGATTGTGTCACTTCACTCCAGCCTGGGCAACAAAAGTGAAACTCTACCTTAAAAAAAAAAAAAAAAAAAAAAAAAAAAAAGATCTGCCGAGAGTCCTGGAGCGAGTCACTCAAACTCTCTGAGCCTCACTTGGAACGAGAGCTGAGGGTAGAATTTATCTCAGACAATGTAATAATCATAATTTAGGGTGATGGTTTTAAGCTAGCACCCAACCTCAAGGCCTTTCTGTGTTCATACCTTTCCCAGTTCTGGTCCCCTCCCCTCTCACTTCCTTGCAGAGACTCTCCATTTTTGTCTCCCCATCCAGAACCTGCCTGCTTGCCTTCCAGGACTGGGCCCCCTTTGCTTCCTGAGGTCCCTCTTCTTCCTCTCCCAGACCTTTTATTTTGCTATGGACTGGACTCTGAGACCCAGGACTCAGGGCTTGCCTGCAGGCTCTTCCCACGCTGTGCCCCCCGCCAGCTGTGCCCCACGCCAGCTCGCCTTCTCTACTCCACCCTTCACCTAAACTGGAAAACTCGTGATCTACTCAGACATGCAGAAAAGTACTGAAAAGAATCAGCCACGCATGTCCCCACCACCACGGTTTGGTTGATGTTTTCACAGTACCATCTTTGCTGCAGATTTTTCTAAAAAGGAAGAGAAATGTTATTGTTCATTATCCTTTCAGGCCCCTTCTTAGGAGTAGCAGAATTTTAGATTTACTGGTTCTTCCTAAGCCTGTTTTATTTTATTTATTTAGAGACAGGGTCTTGCTCTGTTGCCCAGGCTGGAGTGCAGTGGCACAATCACAGCTCACTGCAGCCTTGAATTCCTGGACTCAGGGATCCTCCCCTCTCAGCCTCCTGAGTAGCTAAGACTAGAGGCATGCACCACCATGCCCAGCTAATTTTTTTTTTTTTTTGGTAGAAATAGGGTCTCACTATGTTGCCCAGGCTCGTCTTCAACTCCTGGCCTCAAGTCATCCTCCCGCCTTGGCCTCCCAAAGCGCTAGGACAAGTGCGAACCACTGCACCTGGTTCCCTAAGCTTTCCAATACATAGACACATCTGCATTCAGGAAGAGTAAGTGGAATTGCTCTGTGTATGTTTCTAAAAATGTATATATGCAAGCATCATCTTTGCATCCTTCATCAACTTGCTTTGCTTGCTCACTGTCATGCCTTTTCGGGTCGTGGATACACACATCCCCGTCACCTTCTGTCAACTGCACTCTCTTTATCCTCTCATCTCCAACTGATCCCCGGGTTCGGCGTGGAGGACCTCTCCTGAAGAAGCCTGTGTGGCTGGGTCAGGGCCCTCCTTTATCTCACTATCACTCCGCATTGCTGCCAGCTGTGTACTCAGCCAACTCTCTGCTCACCGTCCTGCACGCAGGAGGTGACTGGATGGGGACAGGGCAGGGGGCAGCCTGCTCAGGCCTCGCACTCCTTTCCACTAGCTGGAACCCCTGCCCCATTCATCCCCACCTCCGGGCTCTGCTGGTCCTGGGGTGTGAAGCGCAGGGCAATGTATGCTCTCTTGAAATGCTGAGGGAAGGGGAGAATCTTAGCAGTCCCCCATGGCTTACTCTCATTCATTCATTCATTCAGCACGCGTGTAGCACCAGTGTCTGGGGGAAGGCAGCCACACAGCCACATGTGGCTACCCCGGAGTCACATAGCTGCTGAGATAAGAGCTACCAAGGAGAAGGGGAGTCCATAGAATAGGTGGATCTACCCCAGCAGAGAGGTTGGGGAAGGCTTCCCTGAGGAACAGAAGGTAAACCTGGAAGTGGAAGAGAAGCAGTGAAAAGGGGTGGGAGGGGCATTCTGGGCAACAGGAATGGCAGAGGGAAAGGCCTTGTGGCCGGGCACAGCGTGGAAACAAGACGGTGACAGGCACATGTTGATGTGCAGGGCACCAGCTCCCAGGGCCTAAGAGCAAAGAGAGGTCTGGGGCAGGGGTTAAGCAGCTGGAGGTATGGTCAGATTTATGTCGTAAGGAGCTCCCTGGCTGCCATGGGGAGAAGGGACTGGAGCGCTGGAGTGGAAGAAGGAACAGTGAAGAGGGACTGGAGGCCTGCTGGGCTGCTGGCTCTGCAGGCAGGGAGAAGTGGGGATCCATTTAAAGGGAAAGGGCCTGCGTGCAGTGGCTCATGGCTGTAATCTCAGTGCTTTGGGAGGCTAAGGCAAGAGGCTCACTTGAGCCCAGGAGTTCAGGACCAGAGTGGGCAATATAGTGAGACCCCATCTCTACAAATATTAAAAATTAGCGGGGCACGGTGGTGTGCACACCTGTAGTCCCAGCTTCTTGGGAGGCTGAGGCATGAGGATTGCTTGAGCCCAGCAGTTCAAGGCTACAGTGAGCTATGATCGCACCACTGCACTCCAATCTGGGTGATACAGTGACAGCCTGTCTCTAAAGAATAAAGAAAGAACACTTAAAAAAAATAGGTTGGGGTAGGGAAGGGCAGGGCTGGGACCTGAAGAGAGCTTTGTCCCACCCGGAGGCAGAAAGGGGCACCAGGTGGCCTCCCGGGCTCCAGAGGCTGCAGCACAGCAACCCATCAGAAGCCGGGAGAACAAAGACCAGAGGCCGTTTCCCCATTCGCTCCCAAGACAGGCCGGGGCAGGCAGGCTGGGAGGATGCAAGGTGGTGCCGGTAACACCGGCACAGACCTGCCGGGAGCAGAGAGCAGCTGCACGCTGGGAAGCCAGGGTTCTCTTCCCCAGACGAGGAGCTTTGGAAGCTCTCTAAAGCAGCTTCTCCCCCAGGTCCCCTACTTCCAGGGCCTCCCCCAACCACACCCTTAGGGTATTGCTTAAAGGGTGTGGACGGAGCTGAGTCTCTCCCCCAAAATACCCTTTCCCAACATGATCCGCCCGACAGTGCCTGAAATGCTACCATTAGCAGCTGTTCCTCCAGGTAAGCTCAGCTCTGTCCTGAATCGAATTTATCCAGTCTCATTCCTTCTTCCAAGAGAACTGGGCAAGGGATGGAGGGGCAAAGCTAGAGAGAAGAGAGGTAGAGGGGGTTGCTGGGGGTAGAGGCAGTGAGCACAAACACCAATGACTCTACCATTTGGCCTGGAGCAGTCCCCAGGCACAGTTGCTGCCAGATCCAGGTACGAGTGGGGAGGCCTCATTTGCTTCCCCAGGCCCCCCTGGACTTCCAGCATCAGCCATTTGTGAGCTGTGAGCTCAAGGTGAATGTGAGCCCTCTGTGAAACAGGACACTTCCACCTGCATGGCAGGCCCGCTGTCAGAATGAGATGTAACATCCATGGCCTTGCTGGGCTCACAGTATGTGCCTGAGAAATGGCGGGGCGGCTCTCTCTAAGCTGTTACCCACATGGGTCCCCTCCCATATCGATCAGGCGTTCCTACCAACACTGATCGATGGGTGCATGTGCGTGTCTGCTTGAGTCAGCTCCCTGGTCAGCTCTGGGCTTGGCTCAGTCATGAATCTTTTTTTTTTTTTTTTGAGACGGAGTCTCGCTCTGTCTCCCAGGCTGGAGTGCAGTGGTGTGATCTCGGCTCACTGCAATCTCTGCCTCCCAGGTTCAAGTGATTCTCCTGCCTCAGCCTCCCCAGTATCTGGCTGGGATTACAGGTTTCCGCCACCACACCCAGCTAATTTTTAATATTTATTTTTGTAGAGATGGGATTTCACCATGTTGGCCAGGCTGGTCTTGAACTCCTGACCTCAAGTGATCCGTCCGCCTTACCCTCTCAGAGTGCTGGGATTACAGGCGTGAGCTACCGCGCCCAGCCCGTCATGACTCTTAATAGCAGTGTGTGCTTCCTAGTATTGGCTGCTATGATTTGCCGGGCACTCGCTCTGAACCAGGTCATGGGCTGGACCCATCATGTGCATCCCCTCATTTGATCTACCCAGCAGCCTCACCAACTGGGGGTTGCTGTTGTCACCCCACCTCATAGATGAAGAAACTGAGGCTCGGAGACATTAAGTGACTTGCCCAAGATCAAACAGCTTAAGAGACCCAGAGCTGCGGCCTGAACTCATGCCCAGCTAGCATCAAACACTGTGTTCTTGCTTTTTTTTTTTTCTTTTTGAGACAGAGTCTCACTCTTTTACCCAGGCTGGAGTGCAGTAGCACAATCTCAGCTCACTGCAACCTCTGCCTCCCAGGTTCAAGGGATTCTCCTGCTTCAGCCTCCTGAGTAGCTGGGACTACAGGCACCCACCCCCATGCCCAGCTAATAAAACACTGTGTTCTTAACCACTAAGAGGCTCAGGGTACCCCAGGTGCCTCCCAGTAGAGCATGCTTCCCTTTTGCCAGCTCTCCCCTCAAAGCCTGGGGTCCTGCCTCCCATGCAGGAGCGCTCCATCAGGGCGGCCCCAGTGTTGCAAGACCCGTCTAGGCAAGGCCAGGCTGCTGGGTGTTTACTGGGACCCAGGTCTGGGTGGAGGGGCAAGATTAATCCCATTCAACAAATTCAGAAGCGCTGGGGCTCAGGGATGCTATGTTTCTTTTCAAGCAGAGGCAGAATTGAGCCTGACTGCAGAGCTGGGTCTTGGCCACTCCATCCCACCCCGTGACAGGTCAGATGCCTCCTCTGTGAAGTCCTCCCTCACCTCCCAGCATCTGTGCTCTGACTGTGACAACTCTCACTTGAGGCCTGTCACAAAGTATGTGAGTGGCCAGGGTGGAGACCTCATCTGTCCGGCTCTATGCTCCATTGCTCCTGCCTGGCCCCATCAGTCCGACGCTCATGTAACCATACATGTACTGAAGCTTAACTCCATCTTATCTCTGTGATGTGACTGCCAGCGACTCAAGTGCAGGGAGGTTGTCCACGTCTCCTCCACGACCACGTGCTAAAACCCAGCAACAGTGCCTATGGAATTGTGCAGTGCACAGCCTGTCCACCATGATATCAAGTTTAACCCTGGGTACACCACAGCTAGCTTGCCCGCATTTGCTTAATAACTGTAATCGTCACAGATGCTATTACCTGCGGCCGCTTATCATTCACAACCTTTCCCCTGCATTATTTCATTTAATCCTGAGCCAACATCGCCAGGCAGGCACCGTGCTTATTCCCATCCCACAGGTGAGAAAACAGGCTCAGAGAAGCCAAGCAGCTCCTCTGAGGTCGCACAGCCAGGAGGGTGGCAGCGGGTCTCCTCCAGGGCCTCTCTACTAGGCTGGAGGCTGTCCTCGGTCACCTGCACCATCTGGCCTGACTCTGTCATTAGCTCAGGTGTGAACATCAACTCCCACACCTGTCATTAGGAACCCGGGCAACGGGAGCAACGGGGTTCACACCCTGTCCCGGCCCTCCCCAGCTTCAGCTGCTAAAAGGCAGACAAACTGGAAGGGGTGGCTTTCTCGGTGGGGTGTTCCGTTCACTAATCCACACTTTGTAGTCCAAAGGCCTGACTACCTTGGGTATGAAAGTCACCACTTGGGGCTCCTGGGTCCCCTGGGCTCGGAAAGGGCTGCTACCCTCATCCGGGCACCTCCTGTGTGCTACAGCACTGCTCCTCCCAGCAGCCCTATGCATGAGACACTCAGTATTACCACCCGTGCTGTGCAGAAAGGGAAAACAAGGCTTCGAGAGGCTCCAGGGTGGAGATGCCAGGATCAACAGTGAGGCATTCTGCTCTCAGTGCTGGAGCTCCTACTGCCCCCCATGCTGAATCTCACCAGCAATTTTGTCCTCCCCCAGACAATGGAGCGGGCCCCTGGAAAACTCAGAGTGAAGGAATAACTTGGGGATCCACTCCCTGTGACCAGCGACCACAGCCTAGAGCCGCAAGTCTGTCCCCTCCACCCCCCCACCAAGACACTTGCTATGGGGCTGGCTGGGCATCAGGCAATGTTCAAGAGATGCGTTTGAGAGGATGGGGTACAGGGCTACCCCCACCCCACAATCCAGTCTGCGAACTAGTCCCCACTAAGGGGAGGGGGCAGAGGGATGCACTGGGCTTGGAGACCACCCGGGGAGGCATCTGACATCTGCTCAGGGCTGTGGCTGTGCTCATTCTGTGCTGGGGTGGCAAGGCTCAAAGGAATGGTCTTGCACCCCAGGCTGGGGAGAGAATCAGGAGGGCTTCCTGGAGAAAGAGACGTCTAAATGGAGATCTGGGACCAATGGCTATCAGCCTAGGACAGACCGTGGCTGCCTTGGGCCAGATATACAGAGAGTGGCAGGACCCCAAATCTTTGCCACCCCAGACCCTCCCAGTCCCTGCAGCTATAAAGGATGGGATGCCTTTCATCCTCATGCTTCTGGGAAAGCCCGCACCCCTCCCAGCTTGTCTGGGTTCATTAGAACCTTTTGTTAGGTCCAAGCTGGGGCCTTCAGGATGGAGAGCTGCACGAAGGAGGGAGGCTGGGAGGAGGCAGAGGGCGGGGCGAGGCCTGGCCCCACCACTGGTATGTGGGTGTCTGCATGTGTGAAGGACTGGATGGGTCTAGTCTCTGGGGTGGAGAGGACAGAACGGTTCTCCACGGCTGGCACGGAGCATCCAATTGTGCAATGCCCCAGGGAACAGTGCAGGGACTGGACGGGCCTCTGGTTGGGTCTGAGTGCCAGCTGGACGCAGCCATGGAGGAGGGGTGTGCAGGCCCTGCCCAGTCTCTGGGGTTGTGAAAGATAGGGGAGGGGTGGGGAAATCTCTAAAGGCGGGTAATGCCTCTGAGCTTGAAAGAGCCCAAACGGAGATACGGGTGGGTGGGATCACAGGGCAGGGGGGTTTCTGAAAGGGCTGGAAGGCCCCGGAATGGAGTGTCGCACTCCAGCGTGCTAGGGCCCCGCCGCCTGCACCTGTCCGACTGGTCGGCCTAGGCCGGACTGCAGGGGTTGAGTGGGAGCCCTGGGCCCAGAGGCCTCTCCTTGCCTAGGGAAGAAGTGAGGAGCTGCTTGAGGGCACAGTGGGGGCTCCCAGTGAGAGCAGCTTGGGGGCAGAACTCCCAGACAGGAGAGCCATGTAATGTGCGGGCCCCTCACCTGCCTGAAGCCTCTTGTCCGAGAAGCTGGCAAAATGGTCCTTGCTAGCCCAGAGCCCCCACTCTATTTTCCGAAGTGGGGATATAAGGCAGGGGCTGGATTCCCACCCCCTCCGTCAATCTCAGCATCTCCACCAGGCTCCCCTAAACCGGTTATTAAGTGAACACATTAGGCTTATCAAAAGGGACGTGGGCTGCTTCTCCCTGCAAACACATCAAGACATGCCATTCCCCTCCCAGGCCGCCCTGGGAACCCGCGGCTCAGAGACGCCGCCAGTTTCGGGGCTGGGGTGGGGGCAGGGAGCCACACCCCTGCGAAACCGAGCTTCGAAGAGGAGGCCCCGAAGCCGCCCAACCTCCGCTCAGAACCCAGAGGGTGGGGAGGTAAGGGGGTGCCTCCCCCTGTGCCCCTCGACCCGACCCCACACCCCCCAGGGCCTCCGGGCGCGGCTCTGGCGCGCAGGGTGGCAGGTGCCGGGAAGTGCAGCGGCGGGTGGCCCGCCCCCTCCGGACACCCATCCCTCGCCTCCCCGACGCCAGGAACACTTGCGCGGTCTCAGAGGCGCTGGAGAGCGCCCCCCGACGCCAGCTCAGTTTCCCTGCCTCAGGGCGCCCCCTGGACGGAGCTTCCTGGGTCGCCCGCAGCGACCCCGCCTTGAGTGCCCGGTCCTCCAAAAACTCCGCCCCCTCATCCAGGTGACTATTCCCGGTCCTGTGCGACCCTCTGCGCAAGAGCGACCCTGGGACACGGGGGTGCCCTGTACCCCCAGCTCAGCTGCCCGTGCCCTAGGCCCTCAAGGCAATGCTCCCTGGGCTCCCGGAGTCCCCTGTGTTATGCTCCCCCTCGGGGACCCCAGCCAGTCCCTTCCCACCTGGCGGCGCTTCCCAGCTTCAGGGTGGCCTCGGTCCCGCGTTCCCGAGAGTCCCGCACTCCGGGTTCAGTTCCCGGTTCCTGGACCCCCGTACCCCCCATTCCTACACTGCCCGGGAGGTCTTCCAGGTCCTGTGCGCCCACAGGGGCAAGAGCGTCCCGGAGCGGAGCTGTGGGCGCCTCCTCACCTCCGGGTCTGCACAGTGGGGCTGTATTTGCCTTTGTTTCTCTTCCTGAAGAGCGAGTTCATGGTGGCGCTCGGGGTGCGGGCGGCGGCGGCTGGCGGGCCGGGCGCGCACCGAGGGGCGGGCGGGAGCGCAGGTGAGCGAGCGGCGGCGCGGGGAGCCCGGACTGCGGCGCGGCAGTGGCTCCGGGTCCCTACTCGCTGGGGGCGGGGCGCCCGCCGGCCACTGGCTCTGCGGGCCGCTCCCCGAGAAGGTGGTGCTTACCTTCCCGAGGAGGGGCCACCGCGCGGGCGGGGCTTGGACGCGGGGGTGGGGACACTGGGTCTTGGCCGGACGCCGCCCACCCCCAGCCGGGGGACTCCGGAGGCCGGGCAGGCACTGGGGCGCAAAGGCCGCCGGGGCGAGCGCTCGCAGCCCCACCCTCCTCGGGCCCGGCGCGCCTCTGGCCGAGGCCTTCACCTGGTTCTGCGCTACCGCGGAACTCGGCGCTCCTGGTGCTTTGGCGGACACCCAGCTGGGCCCCGCAAGACAGGTGCGGCAGAGACCCGCACGGATTCATGTGCCCTAGTAGCTAGCGAATTGCACTCAGATGGTGGCAATTGAGGGAAGGGGGCTGAACTGCCGAGGGCGCCGGCCTGAGTTCAAGCCCTGCCACCCCCAGGTTGGCTGACACTCCTGGGCAAGGTGTTTTACTGCTCCCAGCCACAGTTTACTTCTTTGTCAAACGGTGATAACCACCACCCCATCCGAAAGGCCTGTGGGGATGTCCCTGCAGGTAATGCACGCAAAGCGCTGAGCGCAGTGCCCTGGCCTGAATCTGCTCTCCGCTTGCCATCTCGGGTGGACAAAAACTCCTTTGAAACTTCAATAACTCCAGGCCCTGGCACTAGAAGAGCGCTTCATAGCTGGTCATAAAAGCTGCTCGATTGCGGCTCAGAACAACGACGTTGCACAATTCTGCCAGCATGTCCTGGCCCAGACTGTGTGCCAGTGGAGGAGGCTGCCCTTAGACAGAAACCTAATCTGACCTGAAGCCCGGATGGCACACACCACCACACCTGGCTAATTTTTAAAAATTTTTGTAGAGGCAGAGTTTCACCATGTTGCCCAGGCTGGTCTTGAACTCCTGTGCTCAAGTGATCTGCCGGCCTACAGCCTCCCAAAGTGCTGGGATTACAGATATTAGCCACCGTGCCCAGCCAACCTTATTCTTAATGGGGCTTCTATGGGTGGGCTTAACCCATTTATGCCTGAGGTTGCAATTTTTTGAATTGATAAATCATACCTTGGCAGTGACCTTGAGCAGTAGGAGATAACTCCCACAGGCGTCACGTTCCAATAATGGACCACTAGGCGTAAATAGAGGTGTGATTCCTCCTAAAGTTGTGCCTGCCTGCCTGCCTTCCTTCTTTCCTTCCTCTCTCTTTCCTTTCTTGCTTTCTTGCTTTCTTTCTTCTTTCTTCTTTGAGACTCAGTTGCCCAGGCTGGAGTGCATTGGCACAATCATAGCTCACTGCAGCCTTGACTTTTGGGGCTCAAGCAATCCTCCCACCTCAGCTTCCCGAGTAGCTGGATCCACAGGTGTCCACCACCACGCCTGGCTAATTTTTAAAACCTTTATATTTATATATGTTTTTTGTAGAGATGGGGTCTCGCTGTGTTGCCCAAGCTGGTCTTGAATTCCTGGGCTCAAGCAGTCCTCCCACCTTGGCCTCCCAAAGTGCTGGGATTTCAGGTGTGAGCCACTGCACCCAGCCCTAAAGTTGCTTTCAAAATGTGTGTGTCCAAATGTGCATTTTTCTGGGGGAGGATGTATTGCTCAGTGGAGTCATTTACTCATTCAACACATGTTTCCCATCACTCTCACAGCCTCAGTGTGCCTGGCTCTGCTTGTTGTACACGGATGAGAAAAGGGAAAAGAACAACACAAAAGGGGCTTTCTCTTTGGGAGCTTTCAGGTCCCGGGGCAGGGGACACATATTAAAAATGTTAACTTGGATGGGCGCGGTGGCTCACTCCTGTAATCCCAGTACTTTGAGAGGTCGAGGCAGGGGGATCACCTGAGGTCAGGAGTTCAAGACCAGCCTGACCAACATGGTGAAACCCCGTCTCTCCTAAAAATAAAAAATTAGCTGGGCGTGGTGGCGCCTGCCTGTAGTCCCAGCTACTTGGGAAGCTGAGGCAGGAGAATCTCTTGAAACTGGGAAGGGGAGGTTGCAGTGAGCTCATATCACGCCACTGCACTCCAGCCTGGGAGGTCACAGTGAGCTGAGATCGTGCCACTGCACTCCAGCCTGGGCGACAGAGTGAGACTTCGTCAAAAAACAAAAACAAAAACAAAAACACGTTAACTTTTCTTTTTCTTTCTTTTTTTTTGGAGATAGGGTCTTGCTGTGTTGCTCCGGCTGGAGTGCAGTGGCGTGATCATGGCTCACTGCAGCCTTCCTTGACCTCCCAGACGGAAGCCGTTGTCTCTTCTCAGCCTCCCTCTCAAGTAGCTGGGACCACAGGTGTGCACCACCATGCCTGGCTAATTTTTTTTAAATTAATTAATTATTATTTTTTTTTTGACAGTCTGGCTCTTGTCGCCCAGGCTGGAGTGCAATGACACACTCTCGGCTCACTGCAACCTCTGCCTCCTGGATTCAAGCAACTCTCCTGCTGCCACCACGCCCTGCTAATTTTTGTATTTTTAGTAGAGACAGAGTTTTGCCATGTTGGCCAAGCTGGTCTTGAACTCCTGACCTTGTGATCTGCCTGCCTCAGCCTCCCAAAGTGCTGGGATTACAGCTGTGAGCCACTGTGCCTGGCCTTTTTAAATTTTTTTAATTAATTAATTAATTATTTAATTTTTTTTGAGACAGAGTCTTGCTCTGTCGCCCAGGATGGAGTGCAGTGGCATGATCTCGGCTCACTGCAAGCTCCGCTTCCTGGGTTCATGCCATTATCCTGCCTCAGCCTCCCAAGTAGCTGGGACTACAGGCGCCCGCCACAACGCCTGGCTAATTTTTTGTATTTTTTAGGAGAGACGGGGTTTCACCATGTTAGCCAGGATGGTCTTGATCTCCTGAACTTGTGATCCACCCACCTCGGCCTCCCAAAGTGCTAGGATTACAGGCGTGAGCCACCACGCCCGGCCTTTAATTTATTTTTTTTAGAAGGAGTCTCACTCTACCACCGGGCTGGAGTGCAGTGGTGCAATCTCGGCTCACTGCAACCTCCGACTCCCTGGTTCAAGGGATTCTCCTGCCTCAGCCTCCCGAGTAGCTGAGATCACAGGCACGTGCCACCATGGCCAACTAAATTTTGTATTTTTAGTAGAGACGGCTCAAACTCTTGACCTCAGATGACCTGCCTGCCTTGGTCTCCCAAAGTTCTGGGATTACAGGTGTGAGTCACTGCACCCGGCCGCCTGGCTAATTTTTAAAATTCTTTGTAGAGATGGGCTCTTACTATGTTGCCCAGGGTGGTCTTGAACTCCTACAGGCTCAAGCAATCCACCTGCGTCAGCCTCCCAAAGTGCTGGGATTGCAGGCGTCAGTCCCTGCGCCGGCCAAATTGTGAACTCCTTGAAGGGGTCTGGGGACATATGGGGGAGAAAGACCCTGGGAGAGGCGGTGGTTCTAACATTGTTGCACCTTAGAATCTCTACAGGAGTTTGTAAAAGGCATATTCTGGGGCCCTGGGACCCTTGACATCCTGATTGGGGGGGTCTGAAGAGGGAGGGGCCTAAGAATCTGAAATCTGGACAAGCTTCCCTGGGTGGTCTGAGGCCTCAGTGTGTGCAGCCTCCCAGCTGCTCAGGCAGACAGCCCTGAACAGACCTCCCCAGCAAACCCAGTCCTTCCCCAACTCGGCTCTGCCTGGCTCAGTTTCGGGTGCCGCCCCCAGGTGGGCATTTCTCATTGGCAGGTAAGGGCATGACAATGCCCTCCCTCGTCCAAAAGTGACTTCCTTGCCTAGATCTCAGGGCCCCGAAGGGATGCTTCCTCCAGCCAGCTGATATTGGGAGCAGGTGTTAGAGAGGAGCTGGGGTTTCAGAACACAGGTGTGCGGGGAGTCACCTTGCACCCGCAGAAGCCTGAACTCAACATGGAGCTGGCTCAGCACACAGACCCCTTCCCCATACCCCAAGAGGGGTTCCCAGGGAACTTGTGCGTCCTTGCTGTCGCCCCCTGGTCTGCCTATGCCTGGACACCCTCTCCTTTCTCGTTCCCCATACCTTTCCCCACAGGTGGGCTCTTACTCCGGGCTCAGCATGCCTTGAGGATGGTCACTGCAGCAGTGTTGCTGACCTTGTACTAAGTGTGCATCCTGGGATGCTTTTGGCAACACAGTTGCTAATGGAGAAGCTCTGTAAAGAAACTGCTGCCTATTTGGAGGGGGATGGTCCGGTAACCAGGGCTGCCTACACCAGGAAGACCCTGCAGCTGGAAAAGGGGCAGATGTGGAGACCATATGTAGACTAACATGGAGTGGAGTGCCAGATGCAAAGTGCAAAAGAAAGAGGGAAAGACAGAGTGTGTGGTGTGTAACATGCTTGTCTATGCACAAAAAACTTCTGGAAGGATACATGAGAAACCGTTGCTGAATCTCCCCAAAAAGGACAAGAAAGAAGTTTGAATTTCTTTTCTTTTTGAGATGGAGTTTCACTCTCGTTGCTCAGGCTGGAGTGCAGTGGCGCGATCTTGGCTCACTGCAACCTTCGCCTCCCAGCCATTCTCCTACCTCAGCCCCCCAAGTAGCTGGGATTACAGGTGTGTGCCACCACGCCCAGCTAATTTTGTATTTTTAGTAGAGATGGGGTTTCACCATGTTGGTCAGGCTGGTTTTGAACTCCTGACCTCAAGTGATCCACCGCCTTGGCCTCCCAAAGTGTGGGGATTACAGGCGTGAGCCACTGCGCCTGGCCATTTTTTTTTTTTTTTTTTTTGAGATGGATGGAGTCTTGCTCTGTCACCCAGGCTAGAGTGCAGTGGCGCGAACTCGCCTCACTGCAACCTCTACCTCCTGGAGTCAAGTGATTCTCCTGCCTCTGCCTCCCAAGTAGCTGGGACCGCAGGTGCATGAAACCACACCCGGCTAATTTTTGTATTTTTTATAGAGACGTGGTTTCGCCATGTTGGTCAGGCTGCTCTCTAACTCCTGACCTCAAGCAATCTGCCCGCCTTGGCTTCCCAAAGTGCTGGGATTACAGGCGTGAGCCACCACGCCCGGCCCAGATCTCGGTTTGAATCCCCGCTCAGTCCCTTTCAGTTGTGTGAATACGGGCAAATCATTTTGCCTCTCTGAGCCTCAGTTTTCCTCATCTGGGAAGTGGGCGCAAACCTAGCATCAACTTCACAGGGTGAAAGGCTGTGTGTTAAGCATTCAGTATGTCCCCTGGCAGTTAGGTAGCCCCTAACGAAGGGGAGGGAATTCTCTCTGTAGCTAGAGACTGTGTGTTTGCGGGACTGACGGGCACAAGTGACTACAGGAGCTCCAAACAGTGTCAAAACTCTCGGCTTCTCCAACCTGCCAAATCCCCTTTCCCTACAACTCCTAGGAAGGTTAAGAGTTGGTTTGCGGGAGGGAACCAGATCAGGGACCTCTAGGTCAGCAGTGAATTCTAGCTCAGCTGCTGAATAACAGTGACGGCATTGATAATAGTAATGTCACCTCTTGTTTATTGAGGGCTGACTCTGTGCCAGGCACCATGGCACGTGCCCAACCACCCCCACTGGGTGAAGCAGGGCAGTGCTCCCTGCCTGGGAGGTAGCCACTTCCTTGTCTTATTTTCTTTAATTAATTTTAAGACACAGGGTCTCGTTCTGTCGCCCAGGCTGCAGTGCAGTGGTGTGATCATAGTTCACTGCAGCCTCGACCTCCTGGACTCAAGCGATTCTCCCACCTCGACCTCTTGAGTAGCTGGGACTACAGATGCACACCAGGAAGCCTGGGTAATTTTTAAATTTTTTGTAAATACGGGGTCTTGCTGTTGCCCAGGCTGGTTGAGAACTCCTGGGCTCAAGTGATCCTCCCACCTTGGCCTTCCAAACTGCTGGGAATACAGGCATGGGCCACGGTGCCTGGCCTCTCTTGTCTTACTTTTCAGGGAAGGAAATGGGCCCTGAGAAGCACAGGGCCCATTTGGGCTGGTACCTGGGTCAGCCTGCTCCTGGACTGAGCTCTTGAACCTCTGCCTCCCTCCACTCTTCAGAGTTCTAATTCCTGGGCTCGGGCTTGGGGCAGCTGGGCTGGTCTCCCGCTGACTCAGCTGAGCCTGGCCCAGGAGTGGCGGGTAGAATTAGCAGATTTAGGGAGGAATTTGAGTGGCGCTTCACCATCCCTCCCCTCTCCATTCTCTAGGAGCTGGGCTAGGAGCTCCCATGGCTGTGTGTGTGCGCACATGTGTACACACGTGCACACACCACACGTTTGTGGGCAGGCCGGATGGGGTGGGAGATCCGTTCTCACCCCATGCATCCTCCTCTGGGCAGATGGGATTTGTTTGGATCCGCGAAGCCCTCTCCTGCCAAGTGACTCATCCCCTCTGTTGCCGTGGGTGGAGGGCCAGCCTGCCGGGGTGGGGGAGGGTGCTTGCTTTCCTCGAGTTTGCTCGCACCTTCAGGGCCATTTGTTCCCTGGCAACCAGGCCACCCTCAGCGACCCTGAAACCTGTGTTCCTGCAGCCAGACCAGGCAGCCAGCTCATGGGAGGCCACCAACTTCGGAAGGGTTCCTCACGCCCGCCCTCCTTGTTTGCCATCACTGTTGCCCTAGCAGCTGGAGAGGTGTTTGGGGTATTCGCCTGTGAACCAGTTTGAAACAAGAGGGGCAGCATTCGCCCAGCCCGGGACAGAGGGACATGTGGGATATATCCCGAGCCCTCTCCGAGACAGCCATTCTCCCATCTGTGGCTGTATGCACCCCAACTTGGGGTGCATTTACAAATGCAGATTCCAGGGTCCCTCCCTGGAAGAGATTACGGTTGGGTGAGTCTTGGCAGGGCCGAGAAATCTGCATTTATTTATTTATTAATTATAGAGATGAGGTCTCGCTGTGTTACCCAGGCTGGTCTTGAATGCCTGGGCTCAAGTCAATCTCTTGCCTCAGCCTCCCAAAGTGCTGGGATTACAGGCATGAGCCACCAAGGAATCTGCATTTTTTTTGAGACAGGGTCTGACTCTCTTGCCTAAACTGGAGTGCAGTGGTACAATCTCGGCTCACTGCAACATCCGCCTCCCAAGCTCAAGCAGTTCCCCTGCCTCAGCCTCCTGAGTAGCTGGGATTACAGGCATGCACCACCACACCTGGCTAATTTTTGTATTTTTAGTAGAGATGGGGTTTCACCCTGTTGGCCAGGCTGGTATCAAACTCCTGACCTCAAATGATCCACCAGCCTCAGCCTCCCAAAGTGCTGGGATTATAGGCGTGAGCCACCGCACCCAGCCAGGAATCTGCATTTTAACAAACACCTACTCCGTGGGATGCTGAGGCAGGTGAGTTTGGGGCCACCCTGAGAAACACGGCTGTGAACAGAAACAGATGTTGCAGTAACTCCAGCCCTGGTCTGCCCACAGCCGGGATACACTTACAGGTTTCAGCCTGAAACCTGGGTTTGAAACTTGGCTCCACCTCACACCTTAGCCGTGTGACCTTGGGCAGGTGGCTCTCTTAACCTCTCTAGACCTCAGTTTCCCCATCTGTAAAATTGGGAAGAGCCGGTGGGCAGGGATGTGTGCACAGCCCCTGGCATGAAGGCCCTGCTCCTGTCCCTGCTCCGAGGGGACAGGAGGGGGCTGGCCCAGCTTCACCCCTGTTTTGTAACATGTGTTTACTTTTCTTACAGGACAATTCAAGGAGTGGAAAATTGTGCTGGCCCTCCAGCCCACATGGGCTGACTCACGCTCAGCTCTGGGCTGGGGGCCCTGTGAGCTCCCCACAGTTCTCCTGGGGCCAGAGGGGAGGCCAGGCCCTGGCAGCTGGAGCAGGAGAGGGTCTACGGTGAGTCATGCTCTGCCTGCCCCTGAGTCATCCCCTGAGAATGTGCCTCAGGCCCCTACCCGCCCGGGCCCCCTGGCAGAATGCCACTTCTCCCTGCCTGCCAGGCAGCCCCGCCCTCCTGCCGGCCCAGGGAGCCGCTGCTCCGATGACCGCCTCCTGGCTCTCTCCTGAATGCACCTGTACAGCCCTGTGTGTTATCAAAATATTGAAATAGCTCCCAACCGGTAGTTAAATAGCGGTTGCTCTGAGCCCCTGGCCACCCTGGTTTTTCCCCTCCCCAGCCACTGAGGGGTTAGCCGTGGGCTCAGCAAAGGGTTCTTCGACTCTGCCCCACCCATGGCTGGGGTCCACCGTGACTATGAAAAGCCCATCAGCCCATCTTGCAGATCCAGGTTTTTGGGATTTCAGACACTTCATCTTGAACCCTGGGCCACATTCCTTTTTCTTCTTCTCTTTGAGACAGGGTCTTGCTCTGTCACCAAGGCTGAAGTGCAGTGGCATGATCACAAGTCACTGTAGCCTCAGACTCCTGGGCTCAAGCAATCCTCCCATCTCAGCCTCCTGAGTTGCTAGGACCACAGGGGCGCCACCACGCCTGGCTAATTTAAAAAACTTTTTTGTAGAGTTGGGGTCTCGCTATGTTGTCCAGGCTGGTCTCAAACTCCTGGGCTCAAATGATCCTCCTGCCTCTGCCACCCAAAGTGCTGGGATTATAGGAGTGAGTCACTGCGCCCAGCCCCCGGGGCACTTTCTGACACAACCTGCTACACATCTTGGATCCCACTTGTCAAGCCTGGCCCTAGGCCTCTCAGGGGTGGGTACATCAAGTGAGGAAGTCACACTGTCAGGGCAGAAAGAGGGGCTGGGTGGGGCCGGACAGGCTCTGCTGGCTCAGGATCCCGGCAGGACAGGCTGCCCAACCCAGCCCCAAAACTCCCATCTTCTGTCCAACGCCCAAGCCTGCTTCCTCCCTGCCCCACCTCACCTCACACTGCCCAGACTGGTGGGGCTGCATTTTTGGGGCCGGTGCCAGGTGTGATGGAGGACAGCCCAGGTCAGGAGGTCAGGGCCCCGTTTCCTCCCAAGCCAGGATGACTCAGTGATGGACAGACTAGGCCACAAGGGGCCGAACACAAAGCCAAATTAGGGTTTAGTTTGAAGCCAACCTGGGTTTGAACCCTGGCTCTGCCATGCACCCAGCTGCGGGACTGTGGGCTGGTGGCTTAACTTCTCTGTACCATGGGGAAGAGCCAGTGAGCTGAGGTGTCAAATCTCAACTGATCTATTTCCTAACTGTGTGACCCTGGGCAAATGTCTTCACCTCTCTTAACCTCAGTTTCCCCATCTGCAAAATGGGGACACTCTGACACCTGCTCTGTAGGGTCTTGAAAAGTCTCAATAAAGGAAGACATGGAATCATGGCAAATAGTAACTTTTGTTGGGCATTTACTATAAACCAGGCCACGTGCTGAGTACCAGGCTTGGAGGCTGGCACTTTTTCTTCCAGCTTGATTGAGATGTGATGAACATGCAAGAAAGGGCACATTTTAAAAAATTTTAGGCTGGACGCGGTGGCTCACGCCTGTCATCCCAGCACTTTGGGAGGCTGAAAAGGTTGGATCACCTGAGGTCAGGAGTTTGAGACCAGCTTGGCCAACATGGCGAAACCCTGTCTCTACTAAAAATATAAAAATTAGCCAGGCGTGGTGGCGGGTGCCTGTAATCCCAGCTACTCAGGAGGCTGAGGCAGGAGAATCACTTGAACCCAGGAGGTGGAGGTTGCAGTGAGCCGAGATTGTACTGCTGCACTCCAGCCTGGGCAACAGAGTGGGTGTTCAGTGTCATTGTTGAATGAATAAATGAATGAGTGGGAGGACCAGTGTACTGTTGTGATCCCGGAGAAGGTCCCCTTAGGGGAGGACCAGGAAAGGGTTAGTAGGTCCTAAGTTAAAACTATGATGGAAGAGAAGAGGTTCATTGGTTTGTTCATCCATCCATCCATCCCTCCATCCATCCATCCATCCCTCCATCCATCCATCTATCCATCCATCCATTCATCCATCTATCCCTCCATCTCTCCATCCCTCCATCTCTCCTTCCCTCCCTCCCTTCCTTCCTCCATCCATCCATTCATCCATCTCTTCATCCCTTCATCCCTCCATTCCTCCATCCATCCATCCATCCATCCATCCATCTCTTCATCCCTCCATTCCTCCATCCATCTCTTCATCCCTCCATTCCTGCATCCATCCATCCATATCTTCATCCCTCCATTCTTCCCTCTCTCCCTCCCTTCCTCCATCCATCCATCCATCCATCTATCCATCCATCCATCCATCCCTTCATTTGTCAAATATTTACTAAGCACCTGCTACGTGACAAGTCCTGTTCTAGGCACTCAGGATTCAAGATCAAGTACAATAGACTCAGGTTCCTGCTCCCAGGGAGCTTGCTGTGGGAGACAGGAGTGGGAATGGACAAACAATGTAAGTTTGAGGTCCCCTTGGGTGGATCATGGCGCCTCTTCTGTGTGCCCCAGGAGACAAAGTCTGCAGTCGGCACAGAGTCACCGTCAGGTGGGGGCCCAGGGACACTATGAGGAAAGTGGCCAGACTCCAGTCTGAGGGTGGTTGAGGACCCGGTGAGGAAGGGGAGGCCTTAGCTTGCAGGGCGTCAGGTTCCCTCATCGTGTTTTCTGCATCACTGACATTTCCCAGGAGCCAGGCTCCTCCCCAACCCCCGTGGAGGATCTCGACCTCTTGCCCCCACAATACCTCCCACAAGTCACTCATCCATTTATTGAGCACCTACTGTGTACCCGGCTCTGGGGATATAGTAGCAAACACGATACATCCCTCACATCCTGGGGGCCCCCTGTCTTGGAAGGGAGGAGGGACAGAAAAGCAAACAGATAACCACATTTTTTACAAATGAAATAACCTAAGTGCCCATCAGTGGGGGAAGCGGTGGTAAATTACAAAACTGCCCTAGTCTGGGAGGAATTCGGGGAGGCCTGTGGGCCTCACAGGGAAGCTGAGGGTGTAGCAAGTGAAAAAAGGAAGCTGCCTGCTATTAGGTGTCGTGTTTTGCCATTTCCGCTTCAGAACGGAGCTGCCCTGTGTCTCCGTGAGCTCGTCCTCCACCTGCCTGCCTGCCTGGCTCTGCCTCCACTCTTTGTTCACGCTCTCTGCTGAGCTCAAACATTCCTGCTGGGCCCAGGCAGCCAAGCCCCCATCAGCCGCCTCCCAGGCCATTCTCTAATCACAAGCTCAGGCTTAATCCCCACACACGCCCAGGACTCCGCTCTGGGCAAATACTCCTCCTTTCAGCCCTGGAGTCCCTGACCTCCCGCTACCCAGACCATCCTGTCCCCTGTCCCCAGCCAAAAGGCCCCCCTCCACTGGTTGGGGGTGGGGAGACCTCAGTGTAGCCTTGTCCAATAAAACTGCCTGTGACAATGGAAATATTCTGTATACATGGAGGCGGCAAGCCACATGTGGCTACTGAGCACGTGAAATGTGACTAGTGCAACTGAGGAATTGAATTGTTAATTTTTAAAAATTCATTTTAATCCATTAATTTATTTTTTGTAGAGATGGGAGATTCTCACTGTGTTGCCCAGGGTGCCTTGAACTCCCGAGCTCAAGCCATCCTCCGGACTAAGCCTCCCACAGTGCTGGGATGACAGTCGCCTGCCGCCACGCCCAGCCTGAATTGTTAATTTTATTGTTTATGTGTATTGTTATTTATGTAAATATAGAGCATATTCATATTTACAGAATTTAATTAATGCAAACGTAAGTAGCAGCGTGCATCTGGTGGCTGTCGCAGGGTCCACCTGGGCCCAGGCATGGAGAAGAGGACAGCTCGGGTCCCTGGTCCTCTTCTTGGCAGGGGCAGCCTAGAGGGGCTGGGTGGCAGCTGAGGCCTCAGGCACTGAGCTGGGGGGTCCCTGGAGTCGCTGTGTTGATGGGGCTGAGCTTTGGGTGTTGGTGCCTGTGGCCCCTCCCCAGCGGCCAGTCCCTTGTTCTGACCCCTGCTTGGTGGTCAGAATCACACACTGAGAGCTCCTGAAGACCTGAGCTGACCTTCAGGTGGGACTGTCCGGCTCCAATGACAAGAGGTCGTTTTCCCCAGGTTCCTCTGTCTGCATCCGCTCCACGGATGCGCTCTCTAGGAACAGCTTCCCCTTCCTGGTTCTCCTGGGTCTCCCTTTCCATTCCTACAGCATCTACCTGGGCAAGAGATCTAGGGTCTCACCCCCTCACCTCCAGATTCCTGAGGTCACTTTGGTGGCCTCCCTCCTCCTGGCTCCTCCTCCGTGCTCTCTGCACCCTTCCCCCTCCTCCACCGTGGTCAACTACAATCTATTCCCAACACAGCAACCAGAGGGCTAAAGTGAAGTCAGCAGACTCCCCTGTCCCATACCTCCCAGACACTCTGAGTACCTCAGCATCAGAGCCAGATAACCCATGAGACCCCCTCCCTCAGGCTCCCCTCAGAGTCTGCTCTCTTCCCCGCCACTTCCCTCCCACTAACTCTACCCCCGATACACTGACCGCCTCCCCAATACTCAAACACGCCAAGTATGCTCCTGCCTCAGGGCCTTTGCATCGGCTGCCCCCTTGGCCCCACTCTCTACGTGGACCCCCTGCTCTTCTTCCAAGCCTTTGTGCCAAGTCACCTTCTCAGCGCAGCCCACCTGGTCCCTACATTGTAATCTGCCCTGCACTTCCCACCCTCTTTCCCTGCTCACCAATCATGGCACTCAGTGCAATCTAACCCACAACAGAAGCCACTCACGGATACAAAAAAATAAGCCAGGTGTGGTGGTGGGCGCCTGTAATCCCAGCTACTCAGGAGGCTGAGGCAGGAGAATCGCTTGAACCCGGGAGGCGGAGGTTGCAGTGAGCTGAGATCGCGATTCTGCACTCCAGCCTGGGTGACAGAGTGGGACTGTGTCTCAAAAAAAAAAAAAAAAAAAAAAGGGGAGTGAAGGCCTGACATGCGCTTCAGCATGGTTGACCGTGAGCACATTAGGCTCAGTAAGAAAAGCCAGATACACAACGGCACATATTATACGATCCTGCCTGTGAAATGTTCAGAGGTGAATTCGTAGAGATGGAAAGGAGACTGTGGCTGCTGGGGAGAGGGGAGTGGCGAGTGACTGCTAAGGGGCACAGGTGATGATAGTGCTCTCAAATTGACCATGCTGATGGTTGTGCAACTCTGAAACTACCAAAACCGGCTGGATGGCACTCTTTTTTTTTTTATTTTTTTTTTTGACAGGGTCTTTCTCTCTCTCTCTCCTTTTTTTTTTTTTTTTTTTTTTTTTTTTGAGATGGAGCTTTGCTCTTGTTGCCCAGGTTGGAGTGCAGTGGCGCGATCTCAGCTTACCGCAACCTCCGCCTCCCAGGTTCAAGTGATTCTCCTGCCTCAGCCTTCCTGAGTAGCTGGGATTACAGGCATGCATCACCACGCCCGGCTAATTTTGTATTTTTAGTAGAGACAGGGTTTCTCCATGTTGGTCAGGCTGGTCTTGAACTCCCGACCTCAGGTGATCTGCCCACTTCGGCCTCCCAAACTGTTGGGATTACAGGCATGAGCCACCACGCCCGGCCCCTGTTTTTTATTTTTACTTTTTTTTTTTTGAGACAGAGTCTTGCTGTGTTGCCTAGGCTGGAGTGCAGTGGCACGATCTCGGCTCACTGCAACCTCTGCCTCCCGGGTTCAAGCAATTTTCCTGCCTTAGCCTCCCAAGTAGCTGGGAGTACAGGTGCCTGCCACCATGCCCGGCTAATTTTTTTTGTATTTTTAGTACAGATGGGGTTTCACTATGTTGGTCAGGCTGGTCTTGAACTCCTGACCTTGTGATCTGCCTGCCTCGGCCTTCCAAAGTGCTGGGATTATAGGCGTGAACCACCTCACCCGGCCTTAAAATTTTTTGTAGAGACTGGAGCCTTACTATTTTGCCCATGCTGGTTTTGAACTCCTGGGCTAAACTGGTCCTCTCTCCTTGGCCTCTCAAAGGGCTGAGATTACAGGTGTGATCCCCTGTGCCCAGCCAAGGGTATTGCTGTACTGCTGAGGCTGGAGTGCAGTGGTGTGATCATTGCTCACTGCAGCCTGGAACTTCTGGCCTCAAGCAATCCTCCTGGCTCGGCCTCCCAAAGTTCGGGGATGATAGAGGTGAGCCATCAGACCCAGCTGAATTGCATACTTTAAATAAATGAATTCTGTATCTCCAAAAGGCAGAGTTATCACCTTCCTATACTGTGTTGGCCACCCCCTCAAATGTCCAACGTCAAGTCCTCACTCCCCTTCACCCTAAATTCCCGTGGGAAATGCCCCTCCTTCTAAGCCCGCACAGTTACAAACATGTACCCGGGTCCTCTGGTGGTCCCTGTGCAATTACTTTTCCTCACGCAATTTCCACCAACCTTCAGGATAACACTATGGTTAACCCCATTAAAAAAAAAGTTTCCAATGTGATTTTTTTTTTTTTTTGAGACGGGGTTTCACTCTGTCACCCAAGCTGAAGTGCAGTGGCACAATCTCGGCTCATTGCGACCTCTGCCTCCAGGTTCAAGCGATTCTCATACCTCAGCCATCCGAGTAGCTGGGATTATAGGGGCCTGCCACCACGCCTGGTTAATTTTTGTATTTTTTTGTAGAGACAGGGTCTCACCATGTTGTCCAGGCTGGTCTCGAACTCCTGACCTCAGATGATCTGCCCACCTTGGCCTACCAAAGTGCTGAGATTATAGGAGTGAGCCACTGTGCCTGGCCTCAATGTGATTTTTTAAAACAAGGCTAATCAGGTGAAGCAGTGGGAGTGGAGAAAACAAAACAAAACAAAACAAAACAAACACATCTGCAACGGGTTGAGACAATTAGTTGTAAACACCACTGCACTCAGACCAGCTCCTGTTATTTTTTTTATTGCAGTAAGATATATATAAAACATTGCCCATCTTAATTAATCATTTTTCAGTGTGCAGTTCAGTGGCATTCACATTATTGTGTAACCATCACACCATCCATCTCCAAAACTCCTTTTTTTTTTTTTTTTTTTTTGAGAGTCTCGCTCTGTTGCCCAGGCTGGAGTGCAGTGGTGCAATCTTGGCTCACCATAACCTCCGCCTCCTGGGTTCAAGCGATTCTCCTGCCTCAGCCTCCCGAGTATCTGGGATTACAGGTGCGTGCCACCATGGCCGGCTAATTTTTGTATTTTTAGTAGAAATGGGGTTTCACTATGTTGGCCAGCCTGGTCTCAAACTCCTGACCTCGTGATCCGCCCGCCTCGGGCTCCCAAAGTGCTGGGATTACAGGCGCGAGCCACTGTGCCCGGCCCAGAACTCTTTTCATCTTCTAAAACCCAAACTCTGTGTCCATTAATTAACTCCCCATGCCCCTCCCCCCAGCCCCTAGCCCCGCCACCGTTCTTCTTTCTGTCCCTGTGGATTGGGCTCCTCTAGGTGACTCAGATGTGGAATCACTCAGTTCTTGCCCGTTCAGCATAATGTCCTCCAGGTTCATCCAAGTCGTAGTGCGTGTGGGTGCTTTATTCCTCTCTAATGCTGAATAATTTTTCATGTTACCCCTATTTTTTTTTTTTTTTGAGATGGAGTCTCACTCTATTGCCCAGGCTGGAGTATAGTGGCATGATCTCAGCTCACTGCAACCTCCACAATCCGGGTTCAAGCAATTCTCCTGCCTCAGCCTCCCGAGTAGCTGGGATTACAGGGGTGCGCCACCACGCCAGCCAATTTTTGTATTTTTAGCAGAGATGGGTTTTGCCATGTTGGCCAGGCTGGTCTCAAACTCCCGACCTCAGGTGATCCACCCACCTCAGCCTCCCAAAGTGCTGGGATTACAGCCGTGAGCCACTGTGCACAGCCCATGTTACCCCATGTTAAAAGGAGGGGACATTGGCTGGGCGCAGTGGCTCATGCTTGTAATCCCAGCACTTTGGGAGGCCGAGGCGGGTGGATGACAAGGTCGGGAGATCGAGACCATGGTGGCTAACACGGTGAAACCCCGTCTCTACTAAAAATACAAAAAAATTAGCCGGGCGTGGTGGTGGGCGCCTGTAGTCCCAGCTACTCGGGAGGCTGAGGGAGGAGAATGGCATGAACCTGGGAGGCGAAGCTTGCAATGAGCCGAGATCACGCCATTGCACTCCAGCCTGGGCGATAGAGTGAGACTCTGTCTCAAAAAAAAAAAAAAAAAAAAAAGAGGGGACATTGAGGCAACAAAGCTAGGGGGTGGCAGGGTCAGAACGCACATCAAGGTTGGTCTGACTCCTGTACCCGCCCCAAGTGCCCGGCCACCTGACCCCTCCCACAGGGCCACCCCTCCCATCCCCTGGGCCACCCTCCTCCCGCTGTGTTCCATTCTCTCCTTTGGGCTTCATGTAGCAGTTGGTGGAGCCCAGAAGTCTTTGTGAAGTGAATGGACTTGGGTGCCCGGCTGGGGGTCAAGGTGGGTGGGTCCTGGCTGTGTAGCCCCCTGGGTCAGACTGCCTCAGACTCAGCCTCTGCTCAGTCAAAGCTGCTCCCATGACCAGGACTGTTCCACAGAGTTGTGCAGGTTACAACCTATACACCTGTACGTAACAGCCCTGCCAACCATCATGATAGCCCTGGAGATTCCCAAATCCAGGAGGCCTCAGGGCTCTGCTTCGAGAAGGGGCAAGAAGCAACACAACGTAGAGGCCACCCGGGACGAATGAGATGTCCCCCAGGAAGCAGATAAACAGATGGATGGTTTCCAGGGGCTGCGGGAAGGGAGGAAGGAGGAGTGACAGCTTCATGGGTATGAGTTTCCTTTTGGGGTGATGAAAATGTTCCAAAACTAGAAAGTGGTGCTGGCTGTACGTGCATCTTGTGAATATACCAAAAGCCAGAGAATTGTACACTAAGAAATGGTTAAAATGGTAACTTTTGTGTTATGTGCATTTTTTTTTTTTGAGATAGAGTCTCGCTCTGTCACCCAGGCTGGAGTGCAATGACATGATCTTGGCTCACTGCAACCTCCACCTGCTGGGTTCAAGCAATTCTCCTGCCTCAGCCTCCTGAGTAGCTGGGATTACAGGCATGCAGCACACTAAGAAATGGTTAAAATGGTAACTTTTGTGTTATGTGCTTTTTTTTTTTTTGAGATGGAGTTTCTCTCTTGTTGCCCAGGCTGGAGTGCAATGGCATGATCTTGACTCACCGCAACCTCTGCCTCCCGGGTTCAAGCGATCCTCCTGCCTCAGCCTCCCCAGTAGCTGGGATTTCAGGCATGCATCACCACACCCAGCTAATTTTGTATTTTTAGTAGAGACGAGGTTTGTTCATGTTGATCAGGCTGGCCTCGAACTCCCAACCTCAGGTGATCTGCCCACCTCGGTCTCCCAAAGTGCTGGGATTACAGGCATGAGCCATCGTGCCCAGCTGATTTTTTTCTTTTTTTTTTTTTTTTTTGAGATGGAGTCTCACTCTGTTGCCCAGGCTGGAGTGCAGTTGTGTGATCTCAGCTCACTGCACCCTCCACCTCCCAGGTTCAAGTGATTCTCCTACCTCAGCCTCCTGAGTAGCTGGGATTACAGGCATGCGCTACCATGCCTGGCTAATTTTTTCATTTTTAGTAGAGACAGGTTTTTGCCATGTTGTCCAGGCTGGTCTCGAACTCCTGACCTCAGGTGATCCGCCCACCTCGGCCTCCCAAACTGTTGGGATTACCGGCATGAGCCACTGTGCTCGGACCATTTTGCCACAATAAAATTAAGCTGGGGACCGTACCCTGCTTACTGCATCTTCTTCAGCTTCAGAGCCATCCCAGGGCCCATTATGTATTCCAGGGTCTTAACCCCCATTCTCAATGTCACACTGAGCCATTCAACTCAGGACATTCCCAGCAGGATGCCTTCCAGGAACATCTGCCTTTGGATGGGGTCCAGAGTTTTACTCAAACAAATGCATCACTAATGGTTGAATCTTCTCTGGCAGTGGCCCATCTGCTGGGAAGACATTCAGAGACATGAGGTGGTTTCTGGGGTTCCCAAAACCCACCTCCACAAAAGGCAGCATTGGCTGGGTCATTCTTGCAGGGCAGGTGGGAAGCAGCAGATAGAGGCTAAAGATCCTGCCCTGGGACTGAGTTCATGCCCAGCACCCCTGGGGAATCAGCCTATCCTTGCAGCGCCTTCTTGTCCTGGAGCCAGGGTGCCTGGAGATCTTGCAGTTCAGGGCTTGGAAATCACATCTTCCCGGAGCATCAGCTGCAGCTCTAGGAGAAGAAGTCATTGGAGAACGAGAGTCCTGGGTATGAGTTCCTTACTAGCTGTGTGGCCTTGGGCAAGTTATTCAGTCTCTCTGTGCCTTGTGCCTTAGTTTCCCTACGTGTAAGATGAGGATTAAAATAGTTTTGACTGTATATGGGCTTTTAATTGAGATGAAAGCCACGTAACAGAAAATTAATCATTTTAATATTGTGGCCCCAATTCAGTGGCATGTGCATTTGCAACGTTGTGCAACCACCACCTCTATCACATTCCAAGACATTTTCATTGCTCTGGGGTTGCTTTGAGGATTAAATGCATTCGTGTTTGTAAAGCTTTAGAATGGTGCTAGGTATAGTAAGCGCCAATGGAGTGTCAACAAGTGGTAGGAATAATTAGTAGAACAGTAATAATAGGCAACTGGGCCAGGTGTGGTGGCTCATGTCTGTAATCCCAGCACTTTGGGTGGCTGAGGCGGGTGGATCACCTGAGGTCAGGAGTTTGAGGCCAGCCTGGCCAACATGATGAAACCTGTCTCTACTGAAAATACAAAAATTAGCCAGGTGTGGTGGCAAGCGCCTGTAATCCCAGCTACTCGGGAGGCTGAGGCAGGAGAATTGCTTGAACCTGGGAGGCGGAGGTTGTAGTGAGCCGAGACTGCGCCACTGCACTCCAGCCTGGGCAACAGAGCAAGACTCCACGTAAAAAAAAAACCCCAAAACCCAAAAAAAGCTGGAGTGAGTGTTGGTGGCGTTATTAATTCCCTTCCCTGGGGCTGGAGGAGGAGGGAGTGGGGTTCTCACTCCCCTCCAGGCCCCAGTTTCCACTTTGAGCTCTCTGTACCCGCAGGGCTGTCACACCTCTGTCTCCCACGCAGTCATTGTCCTCCCTCAATGTTGGGCAGCAGGAGAGGCGGACTTAACGCCTTTCGTGGTGGTAACAGCAGCTAACGGTGTTAACGTTCACTTTGCTCTGTGGCGATGCCTGGGCAGAGCTGGGCATTTCCTGGATGAGCCCGGGTTAGGACAGTCATCCCTGGATCCCATGTCCCCCACCTACTCACCCTTGTGTTACTCCAGGAGCCATGGGCTATCATTTGCTGCCACCTTGCGACAGGGATGGGAACTTTGTGTCCCATTTCCGCCCTTGATTACCTAAGCCAAGAGTCTGCTGGGCACCTGCTGCCTGCCTGCCAGGTCCCCAGTAAGATCCTTCCCAACATGCGGGCAGCTGAATAAGGCAGCCACTGCCCCTGCCCTCAGGGAGCTCACAGTCTCCTGAGAGAGACCTCCAGGAACCCACAGATATATAAAACGAATAAATGCAATATTAGAATGTGATGCAGGCTAGGAAGGGAAGAGAGGTGATTTTCACAGGGTGCAGTGACATACTTGAAATATATCAGGGGTTGTCCATCTCCCTGGCCACCTCTGACTTCCCCTGCTTGAAGGGGTGAATTCACCCCACGGTGGCACGTAGTAGGTGCTCAGTAAATGTTGAATGAGTGAATACATGGATGACAGCACTGTCCAGAGCCAATTTCTTGGGTCTTGTAGGCTAAACAGATGAGGAGTGGCAAGGCAGGACTTCTGGGAGCAAGGTTGGTCCCCTGGGAGTCCTGGGAGGGCTGAAAGGGGTTAAGTGTGAGTTAAAATGAGAGTGATGGACAAATGTCACTCTCCCAAGGGAGGCCCCCTTACTCCCTGTTTTATTTATTTATTTACTTATTTATTTTGAGACCGAGTCTTGCTTTGTTGCCCAGGCTGGAGTGCAGTGGCCAGGTAACAGCTCACTGCAGCTTTGAACTTCTGGGCTCAAGGGATCCTCCTGCCTCAGCCTCTTGAGTAGCTGGGACCACAGGCACGTGCCAACACGCCTGGCTAATTTTTTTTTTTTTTTTTTGCGACGGAGCTTTGTTCTTCTTGCCCAGGCTGGAGTGCAGTGGCGCAGTCTCGGCTCACTGCAACCTCCGCCTCCTTGATTCAAGCGATTCTCCTGCCTCAGCCTCCCGAGTAGCTGAGATTACAGGTATACGCCACCATGCCCGGCTAATTTTGTATTTTAGTAGAGACGGGGTTTCCTCATATTGGCCATGCTGTTCTCGAACTCCTGACCTCAGCTGATCTGCCTGCCTTGGCCTCTCAGTGTGCTGGGATTACAGGCGTGAGCCACCGCGCCCTGCCTAAACTAAAAAAAAATTTTTTTGTAGAGATAGGTTCTTGCTATGTTACCCAGGGTGGTCTCCAACTCCTGGGTTCAAGCGGTCCTCCCGCTTCCGCCTCCTAAAGTGTTTGGATTACAGGCGTGAGACATGGCGCCCGGCCTCTTACCTGTTTTAAATTGTCCTTTCTCTCCGCTGGCTCCTTGAGCCCCTTTCCTGCTTATTTTTCTCTCGTTAGAGTTTTTCACTACCTCACACATCATATATTTGCCTTATTTATTGAGTGTCTGTCTCCCCACCGTAGTATAAACTCCACGAGGGCAGGGATTCGTGCGTGTGGCTCACCGGCGGCTCTCCAGCGCCTGGACAGGGCTGACCCCCAGCAGGCGCTCTGTGAAGGTGTGCAGAGTGGGCGAAGGTGCATGCGCGGGCCGTGGGGCGGGGACAGGTGGAGGAGCCAGTCAGACCCAAGTGCAGCGGGACGAGGGCGAGGTTAATCTGAGCAAGAAAAGCGTAAATTCTGCTTATCTACAAATGTAAACAGTACTGTCGGCCAGACGCAGGGTCCGGGGCGGGTCGGCCCGGACTCAGGGTCTGCTTGGAGGCAGAGCTAGATTAGGGCGGGGTCGTCCTGTGGCCTACCATTCCCCGAGGCTGAGGGCCTTGGAGGGCGGGGCCAGTGAAGGGGGAGGGGACTTCCTGAGGTGTGACCAATCTAGAGAAAGGACTGGGCTGAGGGCGTGGTCAAACAAGCGACATCTAAAAATAAGGGGCGGGGCTAGAACCAGGGGGAGTTCGCCTGGGGCGGGGCCAGAGTGGGGCGGGACCAGTTAGGGGGCAGGGCCAACCTGGGCGGGGCCATGGCCGGGGACGTGGGCGGGACCAGGTCAGGGGCGGGGCCAGGCCAGGATCTCCGCTGTCCCGGGTCCTGGAGCTCTCTCGGCCCGGCAGGTTTCGCTCCCGCCCCTCCGGCCTTCCACAGCTGTCCTGGCCGCAGGGTGTTCAAGGCGGGACACACCAGGCTAGAGATCCGCGATCGGGCCCCGCCTCAGGTACTGCGCTCCAGGCCAGGCGGGCGCGGGTAAGCGCTCAGCTCCCGAGCCAGGCGGGCTTCCAGGGCACTTCCCCTAGGCTGCATTCCCAAAGGCTCCCGAGGGCGAGGGTGAGCAAAGCTGCGGGGACCTGTGTGTGCATGCGTGTGCGATTGCCTCTACGTGTGTGTACGTGTGTGTGCATGTGCGCACGGGTGTGTGTGCGTGTGTGCACGTCTGTGCACACCAGGGGAATTGCGTGCGTGGAGCTGGGCAGGTGCGTGTTTCAGGGTGTGTGTGCAAAGTTGGAGGCGTGTGCAAAAGCAGTCCCGTGTGGGAGGGAAACCTGCGTGTGTACATGTGTGTGATAGAGACAGTGCCTGTGAAATGTGGTGAAGGCTGTGTGTGTATGTCAGGGTGTCTGGGAGGAAAATGGGAGGGCAGGTGCAAGGAGACTCGGGGGTGGGCTGTAGGCCAGCAAGTCTGTGGCAAGCTGCGGGGTGCATGCGTGAATAGAACCGTGGGAGTGTAAGAATTGCAAATGTGTGTGTGTCTGTGTGGGTGGCCGTAAGGCTTCTGGGGGCCCTCAGTGTGAAGGGGTGGGGGTAGAGGAAAGTTTGGGGGTGCTGACTGCTCTTGGAAGGCTGAGCGTGGTCTGGGGCCATGGCTAATGACAGGGAAGCTGTTGGGGCTTGGCCTGGAGTAATTTGGGGGGAATATCAGCCTTCTCAATTTGAAGGCTGGGGAGCTGTGTGGGTGGGGCCAGGGGCTGCCCCTTACACTTGGTGGGTGGTGTCCCTGCTTCCCGAGGTGGGAGCTGCAACCTCACCAGTCACTCCTCGCCCCAGGCTCTGTGCACACCCCTGCCTGGTGACCTCCATTGGTGCTCCAGCGTGAACATGGTGCAAAGATACCAGTCTCCTGTCCGAGTCTACAAGTACCCGTTTGAGCTGGTCATGGCGGTGAGTGACTCCTGATTCTTGGGCCCCCATGTGACAGTTGGAGGGGCTTGAGATCAGCTATGGCGGTAGGAAGACGGAGCTCCTTAGACTCCCAGATCAGAAGGAATTAGTGAGTTACTCAGCTGACCTGGTGGGTTTAACTTCTATCCAGTGACCTCTCTGTCCAACCATCCTATCCTCGGCCCAGTGACCAAAACACAAAGTCTTTCTTCCTTCTCCTTGTTGAAGCTGACCTGCTCCCTTACTTTAGACTCTCCTGATAGAAAACAAAGGTATCAGGGGCCAAGCCACTGCTGTCATTTCATATAATGGCATATCACAGTGATAAATGGAATGGTGGTGATAATGACAACAGCTGTTTATTGAATGTTTACAGCACTGTCTTAACAGATGATGTTTCTTCCAATTCCCGATAGCTGTTATTTTCCCATGTAACCTCCATGAAACTGAGGCTTTGACAGGTGAAGGGATGACACTAAGTTCTGTATCTACGCAGAGGTGGAGTCGGGGCTGAGATCCCCACAAAGGAGACTCTAGAACCTCACATTTGACCACAGAGCCCTCCTTCTGCTCACAGACCCCCTTCCCTCCCCTTTAAGGAAGCTGACACTGGGACGAGAGAGAGAATGAGTGGGTAGGTTTGCTTTGTGATGTACTCTGTGTTGTGCAGCAAGTCAGTTGGAGGCCTAGAATTGGCTGCCAGATCCTTGGCCCCCAGGATCACTGGTCTTTTCACCCTGGGGGCAGAAGCTGGACATAGGTGGATGTGGAATTCCTTCTTGGCTGCATCCCTCTGCCTCTGAGCACTTCACTTCCCTGCTCAGTAACATGGGGACAATGCTACAAGGTTGCGGGGAGGAGTAAATGAGATAGTTCTTGGTGCTCCTTGCTGTGTGCCGGGCACACAGTAGGAGCTCACAAAATATGCTGTCGCTGTTATTACACCGAAGTCTTGTAAATTAATGTATTGAAAGTGTAAGAAACATTAGCATCCACCCCCATCTGTCCCACCCCAGCACTGACTGCTTAACCCCAGCCTTCTATCCAGGGACTTTCATATCTCTTGGTGGCTGTGTGTGCCTGTGTGTCCAGTCCTGTCTTATTCTATGAATCTACATGCGTATATGTTTATTGTCACACAGAGGATTTAAAAGCATCACCAAAATCATCCACATACCTTGTGCTGTTACAGGCAGATGGTTCTAGGACAGCAAAGAGGCAGGAACTGGCTTAGGGTCATATTCTAGCTCCCCAATTGACGAGCTGAGTGACTGTGGGGCAAGTCACTTCACCTCCATGAGCCTCCACTCCCCATCACCAATGGGAATCTCCTGGCTTCCAAATCCTGGTGTCATGCTGTGGATTAAATGAGTCAATGTGTATAAAGCTCCTGGTACGGGGCTGACGCAGATCAAATGCTCACTGAGATCCAGCTATGATCGTTACTGTTTTTGCAAGTGCCTGAGTGACTTTGCTTCTGCGTAATGGGAGTGGAACACCAGGGGATGGTGAAGAGATCCAGGGACGTGAATTCAGATGCTTTAGGGTTCTGCTGTGCTCTGCCATGCTCTGGTTGTATGTTTTTAGAAAGTTGCTGAACTTAAGCCGGGTGCAGTGGCTCACACCTGTAATCCCAGCGCTTTGGGAGGCCGAGGTGGGTGGATCACAAGGTCAGGAGATCAAGACAATCCCGTGTAACACGGTGAAACCCCAACTCAACTAAAAATACAAGAAAAATTAGCCGGGCGTGGTGGCGCGCACCTGTAGTCCCATCTACTCGGGAGGCTGAAGCAGGAGAATCTCTTGAACCCAGGAGGCAGACGTTGCAGAGAGCCGAGATTGCGCCGCAACACTCCAGCATGGGTGACAGAGCGAGACTCCGTCTCAACAACAACAACAGCAACAACAACAACAACAAAGTTGCTGAACTTTTCTGAGCCCCATTTTCTTTTACTTTTTCCAGACTGAGTCTCACTCTGTTGCCCAGACTGGAGTGCAGTGGTGCCATCTTGGCTCACTGCAACCTCTGCCTCCCAGGTTCAAGCCATTCTCGTGCCTCAGCCCCCTGAGTAGCTGAGATTACAGATGCACACCACCATGCCCAGGTAATTTTTGTATTTTCAGTATAGACGGGGTTTCATCACGTTGGCCACGCTGGTCTCGAACTGCTGACCTCAAGTGATCCACTAGCCTCGGCCTCCCAAAGTGCTGGGATTACAGGGGTGACTCACTGCATCCGGCCCCTATTCATATAGCCTTAAGTGCTATATTCATGGGCATGGCTTATTTTCAAGTGCAATGATTGTAAATATTTTCAGAACCCTAAACGTGACAAATTAAGTTGGAATTTATTAAGCACATGCAGTAGATGGTTTTCCATCCTATAGTTAATGTGTCTCAGATTCATGGCAGAGAACCATGGGTCCTTGGACTGTCAGAGAAGGGTGGGGACAGTTTCTCTCTTCTTATGAATGAATGAACAAGTGCTTGGGTCTTAGAACATGTGAGCTGCCAGAGCCTTAAACTAAGGGTGATTATTTATGTTTATCGACCACTTATTGTCACTTGGTAGGACTGGGCCCTGTGCGAGGCAAACAGACACACACACACACAATCACTTTTCATCTTCATGACAACCTTATGAGGCGCATATAGGCATACAGTCATCCCCATTTCACAAATCAAGAAAATGGGGGCTGGGTGCTTATTCATAGAATAAGACAGGACTGGACACACAGTCCTGCACTCGAGCCTGGGCAACAGAGCGAGACTCTGTCTCAAAAAAAAAAAAAAAAAGAAAAAGAAAAAAAGAAAAGAAAACAAAAACAACAGAAAAACTATATGAATAGCACTAGTAATGTACTCGCATTGCCTGTATTGGGTATGTTAAACATATTTTGTAAGCTTCAGGTTCCACAAATGAAGGCACGGCTCCATTTACTCCCTTCGCTGTTGAGTCTCTAGGTACTGACACCTGTGGGTAGAGTGAAAAAAAGGCTTTCAAATCTATATTATCTGTGGCCAGGTATGGTGGATCATGCCTGTAATCCCAACACTTTGGGAGGCTAAGGCGGGCGGACCACCTCAGGTCAGGAGTTCGAGACGAGCTTGGCCAACATGGTAAAACCTTGTCTCTACTAAAAATACAAGAATTAGCTGGGTATGGTGGCAAGCACCTGTAATCCCAGCTATTCGGGAGGCTGAGAGAGGAGAATCGCTTAAACCCGGGAGGCGGAGGTTGCAGGGAGCCGAGATCGTGCCATTGCACTCCAGCCTGGGGGAAGAGTGAAACTCTGTCTCAAAAAAAAAAAAAAAAAAAAAACTTCCTTATCTGTACCTGCGTTAATTTAAGTCATTTGTATTTTCCAGAGGGACTGCCACAACCCTGTCATTCTATCTTCCATACAGTCCTTGTCTGTGAAATGGTCCCAAGCCACAGCAACACTGCCAACAAAGCCACTTTGCCGACTGTTTACAAAACATTATTGTCCCCAAAATAGCTGCATAACTCAACGTAACTTGCACACTGTGGAAGCACAAAAGGGGTTTTCTATGCTTAATGTTCGTCTTTGTTTCGCAGTTAAACACTTGCCCTCAGATTGGGTCAGATGCCGGGGAAGTTTCAGATGAACTCAGCTATTTTCACTGCATCCGAGTGACCAGAAAAGCTGGCCTTTCAGTTTTTCTGTTTAACAAAACTGACTTCAGAATCAAAATGCTCCTAGCTTCTTCAAAACTCCACTGACAATGACACAAATGACTGAAATTGGGCTTGAGTAATTGATTACAAAATTGTGCTTTGAGGTAACCTTTCTAGACCTGGCTTTAAACATTTTTAAAAATTAATACTCTCACTTAAAAAATTTATCTAGTCAAATAAACAGAGATTTCTCTCCAAATCCCTTCCCACGAATTTTGCTTCTAAAGAGAAGGATTCTAGGGTATCTTTCCTCCTCCCAACTATTTTTTTTTTAAGATGGAGTCTCGCTCGCTTTGTCATCTAGGTTGGAGTGCAGTGGCATGATCTTGGCTGACTGCAACCTCCGCCTTCTGGGTTCAAGTGATTCTCTTGCTTCAGCCCCCTGAGTAGCTGAGATTACAGGCATGTGCTACCACACTTGACTAATTTTTGTATTTTTAGTAGAGACGGGGTTTCACCATGCTGGCCAGACTGGTCTTGAACTCCTGACCTCAAGTGTTCCGCCCGCCTTGGCCTCCCAAAGTGCTGGGATTAGAGGCGCGAGCCACTGGGCCCAGGCTTTTGCTCCCTTTTTTCTTTCTTTTTGAGACAGAGTCTCGCCCTGTTGCTGAGGTTGGAGTGCAGTGATGCAATCATGGCTCACTGCAGCCTTGAACTCCTGGGCTCAAGCCATCCTCCTGCCTTAGTCTCCAGAGTACAGCCTTAGCTGGGAGTACAAGCATGCACCACCATACCCGGCTAGTTTTTAAATTCTACTATATAAAAATTTATAAATACTTTTATAGAAATGAGGTCTCACTATGTTGCCCAGCCTGGTCTTGAACTCCTGGGCTCAAGTGATCCTCCCACCCTGGCCTCCCAAAGGGCTGGGATTATAGGCATGAGCCACTGCGCTCAGCCTTCCTTTCTTTCTTGATAGCATTCCGTATCATTGGGTTCAAAACAATGAGCTTTTATTATCTTGGTAAACAGAGAAAAACAATTAAGACAATGGAGGCAGCTGGAGTATCCAGTGTTGGAGAGGGTCCGTCAGTCCTTTGAATGCCCGGGTCCCAGAAGGTGTGTGGGGTGGTGGTGTCTTTGTGGAGGTCCTTGCATAGAGGACACAAAGGCCATGTGGCTCAGGTCGCCTGAGTCCCGAAGGCCATGCTCTGCCCAGTCCATTGTGAGTCGAGTCTAGGTTATTTGTCTCTTTTCTCAAGTGGGTGGTAAAGAACCAGGGCCGGGCATGGTGGCTCACACCTGTAATCCCAGCACTTTGGGAGGCCGAGGCAGGTGGATCATGAGGTTTGGAGATCAAGACCATCCTGACCAACATGGAGAAACCCCGTCTTCCCTAAAAATACAAAATTACCTAAGTGTGGTGGTGCATGCTTGTAATCCCAGCTAGTCGGGAGGCTGAGGCAGGAGAATCGCTTGAACCTGGGAGACAGGTTGCAGGGAGCCGAGTTCGCTCCATTGCACTCCAGCCTGGGTGACAGAGTGTGACCCTATCTCAAAAAAAAAAGAACCAGACCCACAGGCTCTCTCTCTGCTCGAGGCCTCAGCACATTCCCCAATTCTTCTTCTTCACTCCCGACCTCAGGTGATCTTCCTGCTTCGGCCTCCCAAAATGCTGGGATTACAGGCGTGAGCCACTGTGCCCCACCTCTTCTTCTTTTTTCGATACGGGGTCTCACTGTCACCCAAGCTGGGGTGCAGTGGCCTGATGTTGGCTCACTGCAACCTTTGTCTCCCAGGCTGAAGAGATTCTCCTGTCTCACCCTCCTGAGTAGCTGGGATTACAGATGGGCACCACCACGCCCGGCTAATGTTTGTATTTTTAGTAGACATGGGGTTTCACCGTGTTGGTCAGGCTGGTCTCGAACTCCTGGCCCCAGGTGATCTGCCCACTTTGGACTCCCAAAGTGCTAGGATTACAGGTGTGAGCCACTGTGCCCAGCCACTATAATATATATTTTTAAAACTACCTCATTCAGGTGTGATTGACACATAAAAAGCTATATGTCTTTAACGTATACATCTTGAATGTGTCTGGTGATAAGAAGACACCTGAGGGTACAATATTTTTAAGGTTCATCCACATCTTAGCATGTATAGATTCTGCCTTGTTTTTATGGCTAAATAAATACTTCACTGTGTATGAATAGACCACATTTTCTTTATCATTCATTAGTTGATGGATATTTAAGTTGTTTTCAGTTTGGGGGGACTATTATAAATAGTGCTGCTATAAATATTTATGCACAAGTTTTTGTATGAACATATTCTTTCCAAATAAATCTCTGTTGTTGGCCAGGCGCGGTGGCTCACGCCTGTAATCCCAGCACTTTAGGAGGCCGAGGCGGGCGGATCACGAGGTCAGGAGATCGAGACCATCCTGGCTAACACGGTGAAACCGCGTCTCTACTAAAAATACAAAAAATTAGCCGGGTGTGGTGGCGGGCGCCTGTAGTCCCAGCTACTCGGGAGGCTGAGGCAGGAGAATGGTGTGAAACCGGGAGGCGGAGCTTGCACTGAGCCGAGATAGCACCACTGCACTCCAGCCTGGGCAAAAGAGCAAGACTCCATCTCAAAAAAAAAAAAAAAAAAAAAAAAAAAAAGAAATCTCTATTGTGAATGGTACCGGTTATTCAATGGGTTTTTGAAGATTCTATTTTAAATTTTATTTAAGGCCAGTTGTGGTGGCTCACGCATGTAATCCCAGCACTTTAGGAGGCCGAAGCAGGAGGACTGCTTGAGCTGAGGAGTTTGAGACCAGCCTGGGCAACATAGGGAGTCCCCATCTCTACCAAAAATAAAACAATTAGCTGGGTGTGATGGTTTACACCTGCAGTCCCAGCTACTTGGGAAACTGAGGCAGGAGGATCACTTGAGCCCAGGAGATTGAGGCTGCAGTGAGCTGTGATGTTGCTACTGCAGTCCACCCTGGGCAACAGAGTGAGACCCTGCCTCAAAAAATAAAATTAAAAAAAATGTTAAAAATGTTAAAAATATTTAACAAACTCATACACAGCACTGAAGTTCCGCCACCATGCCTGGCTAATTTTTTCTATTTTTTAGTAGAGACGGGGTTTCACTGTGTTAGCCAGGATGGTGTCAATCTCCTGACCTCATAATCCGCCCTCCTCTGCCTCCCAAAGTGCTGGGATTACAGGCGTGACCCACCGCGCCCGGCCTCTTTTTTTTTTTTTTTTTTTTTTTTGAGATGGAGTCTTGCTCTGTCACCCAGGCTGGAGTGCAGTGGCATGGTCTCGGCTCACTGCAACATTCACCTCCCGGGTTCAAGTGATTCTCCTGCCTCAGCCTCCTGAGTAGCTGGGAGTACAAGTGCCCGCCACCATGCCCAGCTAAATTTTTGTATTTTTAGTAGAGACAGGGTTTCATTATGTTGGCAAGGCTGGTCTGGAACTCCTGACCTCAGGTAATCACCCGACTTAGCCTCCCAAAATGCTGGGATTACAGGCGTGAGCCACCGTGCCCAGCCCCAGACACTGCTCTGAGTCTATTCACTTATTAATTCCTCATAGCCACCCCATGAGATGAGTTCTGTGGGCAGCCCATTCGACAGAGGAGGAGACTAAGGAGAGGCTTATCCAGGGCTCCAAAGCAAACATGTAGCAGGTGGGGACTCAACTTCAGGCAGTTCGGCCCCTCAATTTACACCCCAACTATGAGCTCTACCATTTTTCAGAGCTGGATGGAGGATCTGAAGTTACTGAGCTGGCGTCTGGGCCAAGTGCATGGTCCCAGCGGAGGCAGTTACCATCAGGATGCCTTTACCCCTTCGGGACCCTGCAAGGGAGAATACAGCCCAAGCCTGCAGGCCCTGGCCCCTGGCACACCGGCCAAGCCCGGGAGTGTTTATTCAGCGCTACCTGTGGCCAGCCCTTTAGGCCAGCTCAGAGGCAGGTCCATTATAGCAGCCTGATCTGTAGCAGAAGAGGAAATTGAGGCTCAGCAAGGTCCAGGAGACTGTCCCTCAGTGACCAGTGTTTATGGTCCCACAGAGCCACAAACCGGGTGACTTAGAACAACATAAGTTCATTGCCTCACTGTTCTGGAGGCCAGAAGCCTGAATTCAAGGTGTGGGCAGGCCCACACTCCCTCTGGAGGCTCTAGAAGGGGATCTGCTCCTGGCCTCTCTCCCAGCCTCGGACAGTTCCTTGACTTGGGACAGCAGAACTCCAGTCCTCACATAATGACTCACTGTGTCCAGATTTCCGTTTTTTTATAAGGACACCAGTCATATTGGATTTATAAGGACACTCCAATGGCCTCGCTTCAACTTGATTACTTGTAAAGACCTGTTCTCCAAATGAGGTCACATTTACAGGTACCAGGGCTTAGGACTTCAACATATCTATTTTAGGGGTTACATTTCACAGCTGGGATTTGAACTCAGGGAATCTGACCCCACAGCCAGAGCTCACAGCCAGACTTTCCGGATTCTGGCTCTGACTTTTCTTTCTTTCGTTTTTTTTTTTTTTTTTTTTTTTTTTTTTTGACAGAGTGTTGCTCTGTCGCCCAGACTAGAGTGCAGTGGTGCAATCTTGGCTCATTGAAACTTCCACCTCCCAGGGTCAAGCGATTCTCCCACCTCAGCCTCCTGAGTAGCTGGGATTACAGGTGCCCGCCACCATGCCTGGCTGATTTTTGTATTTTTAATAGAGATGGGGTTTCACCATGTTGGCCAGGCTGGTCTCCAACTCCTGACCTCAAGTGACCCTGAGGTCACTTGAACTCCTGACCTCAGGTGATCCACCTACCTCGGCCTCCCAAAGTGCTGTGATTACAGGCGTGACCACACCTGGCCTCCTTCCTTCCTTCCTTTCCTTCTTTCCTTCCTTCACCTCTCCCCTCCCCCCCTCCCCCTTCCCCTCCCTTCCCCTCCCCTCTCCTTCCCTTCCCTTTCTCCCTCTCTATTTTATTTTATTATATTTCTTTTTTGAGACAGGGGCTTGCTCTGTTACTCAAGCTGGAGTGCAGTGGTGCAATCATGGCTCACTGCAGCCTTGACCTCCTGGAGGTCAAGTGATTCTCCCACCTCAGCCTTCTAAATAGCTGAGACCACAGGTGTTCACCACCACGCCTGGCTAATTTTTTTTTTGAGACGAAGTTTCGCTCTTGTTGCCCAGGCTGGAGTGCAGTGGCGCAATCTCGGCTCACTGAAACCTCTGCCTCCCGGGTTCAAGCAATTCTTCTACCTCAGCCTCCCGAGTAGCTGGGATTACAGGCATGCACCACCACGCCAGGCTAATTTTGTATTTTTAGCACAGACGGGGTTTCTCCATATTGGTCAGGCTGGTCTCGAACTCCCGACCTCAGGTGATCCGCCTGCCCTGGCCTCCCAAAGTGTTAGGGTTACAGGCGTGGGCCACGGCGCCCGGCCGCACCTGGCTAATTTTAAAAAATATTTTTGTAGAGGTGAGCTCTCCCTATGTTGCCCATGCTAGTCCGAAATTCCTGGGCTCAAGCCATCCTCCTGTGGTCTCCCAAAGTGCTGGGATCACAGATGTGAGCCACTGTACCTGGCCTTGACTTTCCATAAACATTTGTGCACCAGCAGCAGTACTGTGGCTTTAGGAATGACCTGGTCCCCTTTTGTCCAGCCACTGCCCAGGTGTTCCTGTGGGGCTCCAAAGCCCAGTAGCGTCAGGTCATCTCTGTTTTGCAAACCTAAATAAGGAAGATGGCTTGGAGTAGAACTTCCTAAGCAAAAGGCTTTTCCTGTGGAGGAAGGGTTACGGAGGTAAGGTTCTGTCCTTCAGCAATTACATGTTAAAATATTTAAAGACCTGGCCTTGTTGTATTGTTAAACAGCTTGTAATTTAGCCAATGCGTTATTAATAAGAAGCAGCCTGTGAAGGTAAATTATTGTGGCTTAGGCCAAAAGCAGTTACAGTTGGATTCGCTGTTACGGAGGTAGTTTTAACAAAGCGGCCGGGGCCTTATTTAAATGAGTTTAAATTAGCTCCCTGGAGCCTGTCATCTGATCCTGTTGCTAACAGATTAAGGCAAGCAATGTTTTCTACCTTGAATGCTGCTCTGATTTGCGCTGGGAGAACAGAGGTGATCCACTGCCCTGCATAGTTGTCTTCTGATTTCCGAGGGCCCTGAAATAAGTGTAAGGCCCTCGTGCATTCATTTCTGTGTGCATTTATTTATGCATTCATGCATGTGTGCATTCCACAAATATTTTTTGAGTTTTTGCTGTGTGCCGAAGGCTGTGCGAGGTGGATTCCTAGCACTTCTTTTTTTCTCCAATGTCAGAGGCTCAAATGTGCACTGATCTAGTACTTTCTTTTTTTTTTTTGAGACAGAGTCTTCCTCTGTTGCCCAGGCTGGAATGCAATGGTGCCATCTCGCGCATGGCAACCTCCGCCTCCCAGGTTCAAGCGATTTTCCTGCCTTAGCTTCCCAAGTAGACGGGATTACAGGTGCCTGCCACCATGCTCGGCTAAGTTTTGCATTTTTAGCAGAGATGGGGTTTCACCACATTGGTCAGGCTGGTCTTGAACTCCTGACCTCAGGTGATCCACCCACCTTGGCCTCCCAAAGTGCTGAGATTACAGGTGTGAGCTACTGTGACCGGCCTGATCTGGTACTTTTTGAAATGCATTGTTATTCTGTTCATTTGTTTCCTTGTTTACTTGTTTATATGGGTATTTTTCATTAAGGGAAGCTCCAGGAAGAAAAGACTGTGTCTGTCTTGTCTGGTTCTTTTTCTTTCCTTTTTTTTTTTTTTTTGAGACTGGTCTCAGGTTGTCACCCAGGCTGGGGTGCAGCGGCACGATCACAGCTCACTGCAGCCTCAACCTTGCAGGCTCAAGCGATTGTCCCACCTCAGCCTCCCAAGTAGCTGGGACTACAGGCACACACAACCATGCTAGGCTAATGTTTGTATCTTTTGTATAGAAGGGTTTTTACCATGTTGCCCAGGCTGGTCTTGAACTGCTGGGCTCAAGTGAACTGACTGCCTCTCAAAGTGTTGGGATCACAGGCGTGAGCCACTGCACCTGGCCCATCTGGTTCTTTTGATGTGGTTCCTGCCCTTATCGAGCCCTCAGCATAGTCTATTGGGGGAGGGGGTGACAGACAAATGCCATGTAGAACCATTCATCATGGGGAAAAACAGGGCATTGTAGGAACACAAAGAAGGACCCACTGGAGGCCATAGGAGGGTCATTTGAGCCAGCCAGGCTGAGAGTTGCGGGGAAGCAGGGAGTGGGGAGGTGGGGGATGTTAAGCAGGGTTTAGCCTATGCAAAGGCCAATGGGGCAGAACTTGTCTCTCAAAGAAGTGAACTAGCTTAATGGGACCCCAGTGCAAGTTAGAAAGTGGCTGGCAGCGTCATCAGGGGCCAGGAAGCAGAGACGTTGGAGGTCTGGAGGCATTCCTGAGACACTTGGAAAATTTAAAATAGTGTTTCCCCTCTGCGCAAAATCCTGACATACCATGTAAATGTCAAGCTGCTCTAGGCTGGCCTCGCTAAGTCATCCGCCCTCCCGGAGCCATCAGGGGAACCAGCTGATCCTAGGAGTCCCTGGGCCCCGCTCCTGACACGTGAGTGAGACTCTGCAGTGGGTTTGTGCACACATGGGTGGCACGGGCTGTCGTTCTCCCAGTGCCGGAGAGGCCAGTCATTCTGAGGGTGAGTCCTCATGTGGAGGGGACACGGCTTCCCAGCCCAAAAGTACATCCAAGTGTGCAGAAGTAGGAACCAGTAAGAACTAGACCTGGCTGGGTGCGGTGGCTCGTGCCTGTAATCCCAGCACTTTGGGAGGCCGAGGCGGGTGGATCACGAGGTCAGGACTTTGAGACCAGCCTGGCCAACATGGTGAAACCCCGTCTCTACTAAAAATACAAAAATTAGCTGGGCGTGACGGTATGTGCCTGTAGTCCCAGCTACGCGGGGGGCTGAGGCAGGAGAATCGCTTGAACCGGGAGGTGGAGGATACAGAGCCGAGATTGCACCACTGCACTCCAGCCTGGTGACAGAGCCAAAAAAAAAAAAAAAAAAGAACTAGCTGACTTTGGTCCTGTTGCAGCCATGGGTTAGGGAACTTGTTAAAAACAGGCAAAACTGGCCAGGGGCGGTGGCTTACGCCTATAATCGTAGCACTTTGGAATGCTAAGGCAAGAGGATTGTTTGAGCCTAGGAGTTTGAGAGACCAGCCTCGGCAACACAGTGAGACCTTGTCTCTACAAAAAATTAAAATATGAACTGGGCATGGTGATGTGTGCCTGTAATTCCAGCTACTTGGGAGGCTGAGGCAGGAGGATCAGTGGAGGCCAGGAGGTCGAGGCTGCAGTGAGCCGTGATCTTGCCACTGCACTCCAGCCTGGGTGATAAAGCAAGACCTTGTCTCAAAAACAAACAACAATAACAACAACAACCAAAAAAACTGGCAAAACTCTCCCTCTCCAGCTTTGTTGTTCATGGCTGATTCATTGTTTAATCCCTGTGGATAAACCCTGTTCTGACAACTGAGGGGGAGTTACTCATTTATTCACCTGCCCAATAAGTATCTTCCAGAACCTAGCTCTCTGAAGGTAGAGCTTTGGGCTGCGCACCTGCTGATGTCCCCTGGGAGTGTAGATGTAGGTCCACTCACTCTGAGACTAGGGAGACCGGTACTTATGTGACTTAATCTCCCAGGGATATATAGAAAGATGGTTCCATTTTCCTATTTTATTTCCCTGGCACCTGGCCATTCACTCATTCCTTCCTCCTTTCATTCCTTTGAGAAATATTGGCTGAACGTCTACAATGTCCCAGGTGTTGTACAAGGCACCAGGGAATTCAGTGGTAAATGAAACCTACATAGAGACGGTGGCATTGAGACTGTAAACAAACAAACGCAGACATAATGTCCTATTCCAAACCATGACAAATGCTTCTGATAGGGCTGTAGACCATCTAGGAGGTGGCTTATTCTTTTTTTTTTTTTAATTGCCCGGGCTGGAGTGCAGTGGTGCAATTATAGCTCACTACAGCCTCAACCTCCTGGGTTCAAGCGATTCTCCCACCTCAGCTACCTGAGTAGCTGGGACTATAGGTGCCACCGAACCTGGCTAATTTTAAAATATTTTGTGGAGATAGGGGTTTTGCTGTGTTGCCCAGGCTGGTCTCAAACTCCCGGCTTCAAGTGATCCTCTTGCCTTGGCCTCCCAATGTGCTGGGATTATAGGTGTGAGCCACTGCACCTGGCTTCACTCTATAGTTTTTTATTGTGATGAAATACACGTAACATAAAACTTCCCATTTAAGCATCTTAAGTGTACAGTTCAGTGGCATAAGTACATTCACGTTATTGTGCAACTGTCTCCACTGTCCATCTCCAGAACCCCTTCATCATCCCAAACCGGACTCTGTACCCATGAAACACTAACTCTCCACTCCCTGCTCCCCACTGCTGCTATTAACCACTATTCTATTTGCTGTCTCTGCAAATTTGACCATTCTAGGTACCTCATAGAAAAGGAATCATACAATAGTTGTCCTTTTGTCTCTGGCTCGTTTCACTGGACACAATGTCTTCCAGGTTCAGCCGTGTCGTGGCAGGTGCCAGGTGCCTCACTCCTCTTTAAAGCTGAAGAATACGTCATTGTATGACTCCATCACCTTTCATTTATCTGTTCATCTGTTGATGGACACGTGGGTGTTTTCCCCCTTTTGATCATTGTGTAAATGATGCTGCTGTGAACATTTGTGTACAAATATCTGTTTTAAGTCTCCATTGGTTTGCTCTTGTCCATTAAGAAAAAATCAACAATGTGGTACCTGGCATTGTCCCTTTAATTGCTGCAGCAACTCCAGAGCCCACACTCTTAATGGCAGTGCTATGCTGTTGCTCATTCATTCGTCCTGTAAATGTCTATTGAGTGTTGACTATGTGCTAGGCATTTTTGCAAAGCACTGCAAATTCAGGGATGTCAGGGGCTGGTGATGCTACTTCAGCAGTTGTGATGTGTGAAGGAATAAAACAGGCATACATGAGTCAGCATCCTTTTCCTCTTTTTTTCTGAGAAAAACTGAGCCTCAGAGAGGTTGCTTTGAGAGCATCCAGCTGTCAAGTGGCAGAGCTGGGGTCACATGTTGACCCTGTGCTGTGTCTCTGCCCCTCCCCCACGCGCCGCCCTTGTCCTGTCACTGAGTCCAGGTGCCCTGGCTGCAGACGCTGTTCTGACCCTGTGTCTCCATCTCATGTGTGTCCCGGGCTGGCTTTGCTGGGATGAGCAGTGGCTTTTCAGCTCCAGGGCCATCTGGGTACAGCTGCAATGATGGATTGTCTGCAACAGTCATGTCAGGGCTTCCGGAACAGTGTCAGCCTGGTTCTGCCAGGCCCACTTCCCTTCATCAGCTGGGTGACACTGCTGCCATTGGATGGCTGATGACTCATTCAGCAAGCTCTAGTTGAGCACCCCTACGAAAAGTTGGGGGGTCTACCCCATGGCACAGTCTTCAGAAGTGAAAAGGAAGGAAGCACTGATGCACGATGCAACACAGATGGGCTGAAAACATTGTGCTGAGTGAGAGAGGTCAGAGGCAGAAGGCCATGTCTTATGTGATTTCTTTTTTCTCTGTCTCTTTTTTTTTTTTTTTTTTTTGAGACAGAGCCTTGCTCTGCTGTTCAGGCTGGAATGCAGTGAGGCAATCTCAGCTCACTGCAACCTCCACCTCCCGGGTTCAAACGACTGTTGTGCCTCAGCCTCCTGAGTAGCTGGGACTCCAGGTGCATGCCACCATGCCCAGCTAATGTTTTGTATTTTTAGTAGAGATGGGGTTTCGCCATGTTGACCAGGCTGGTCTTGAACTCCTCACCTCAGGTGATCTGCCCCCTGAGGCCTCCCAAAGTGCTGGGATTACAGGTGTAAGCCACCTCACCAGGCCTTATATGACTTCATTTCTTGGAACTATCCGGAGAAGGGAATACATAGACACAGAAAGTAGATGAGTCGGATGAGTGGTTGTCTAGGACTGGGGTGGCAGGGGAGGGGGCGGAGATGGGGTTGACTTCTGAAGGATACAGGGCTTCTTTTGAAGGTGATAAAAATATTCTGGAATAGGTATTGGTGATGGTTTTAAGTTCATGAATGTACTGAATGAAACACACTGGACTGCATACTTTATATTTTATTTTTTGAGACAGGGTCTCTCTGTTACCCAGGCTGGAGTGCAGTGGCAGGATCATAGCTCACTGCAATCTCAAGCCATCCTCCCGCCCCAGCCTCCCGAGTAGCTGGGACCACAGGCACGCACCATCATGCCTGCCTAGTTTTTTATTTTTATTTTTAGAGATGAGGTCTTGCTATGTTGCCCAGGCTGGTCTTGAACGCCTGGGCTTAAGCGATTCTCCGACCTCGACCTCCCAAAGTGCTGGGATTACAGGGTGAGCCACCGTGCCTGGCCTGACCTGCATACTTAAAAAGGGTGGGCTATATGATATGATAATTATATTTTAATTTTTTAAAAAAACATTTATTTTTATTTAAACAGTTTTTGGGGTACAGCTTTTTTTTTTAACATGGATAAGGTCTTTAGTGGTGATTTCTGAAATTTTAGTGCACCTGTCACACAAGCAGTGTACACTGTACCCAATGTGTAGTCTTTTATTCCTCACTCCCTCCCAGTCTTCCCCTCCCAAGTCCCCAAAATCCATTATATCATTCTTATGCCTTTGCATCCTCATATATATATATTTTGAGATGGAGTCTCACTCTGTCACCCAGGCTGGAGTACAGTGGTGTGATCTCGGCTCACTGCAACCTCTGCCTCCTGTATTCAAGCGATTCTCCTGCCTCAGCCTCCTGAGTAGCTGGGATTACAGGTGTGTGCCACCATGCCTGGCTAATTTTTGTATTTTTAGTAAATATGGGGTTTCACCATGTTGGCCAGGCTGGTCTCAAACTCCTGACCTCAAGTAATCCGCCCACCTCAGCCTCCCAAAGTCCTGGGATTAGAGGTGTGAGCTACCGCGCCCAGCTTGCGTCCTCATATCTTAGCTCTCACTTATAAGTGAGAACATATGATATTTGGTTTTCCATTCCTGAGTTACTTCATTTAGAATAATGACCTCCAGCTCCATCCAAGTTGCTGCAAAAGACATTATTTTGTCACGCCTGTAATCCTAGCACTTTGGGAGGCGGAGGTGGGCGGATCACAAGGTCAGGAGATCAAGACCATCCTGGCTAACACGGTGAAACCCCGTCTCCACTAAAAGTACAAAAAAATTAGCTGGGCATGGTGGTGGGCGCCTGTAGTCCCAGCTACTTGGGAGGCTGAGGCAGAAGAATGGCGTGAACCCGGGAGGCAGAGCTTGCAGTGAGTCGAGATCATGCCACTGCACTCCAGCCCGGGTGACAGAGCGAAACTCCATCTCAAAAAAAAAAAAAAAAAAAAGACATTATTTTGTTCCTTTTTATGGCTGAGTAGTATTCCGTGGTGTATATATACCACGTTTCTAAAATCCACTTATTGGTTGATGGGCGTTTGGGTTGGCTCCATATTTTTGCAATTGTGAATTGTGCTGCTATAAACATACATGTGTATGTGTCTTTTTCACATAATGACTTCTTTTCCTTTGGGTAGATACCCATATTTCAATTTTTTAAAAAAGAGTTGGAGGAGGTGAGTAGATTGATATCACATCTGTGCTGAGGTCCCCTAGACTTGCAGGGGGAAGGAAAGGGGTTGATAGGGAGACTCCTGAAGAGTATGACAGGCGATGGGGGCACCTTACTCAGTGGCTGCGTAGTGGCCAGGCCCCCAAATCAGGCCTGCAGAATAGAAAAGGGAAGGGAGAGCATTGGGCTGGAAGATGTTGGTGCAGCTTGGATATTCTTTCTGCATTCTTACTGGACGTTTTGGCGTAAGTGGCATTCCAGCTTCCTTTGAATTTGGATGAGGAAGAACAGGAAGGAAGGAAGGAGGGGAGGAGGGATCATCTGTCAAGTGATTAGCAGAAATAGCTTTTTGTACTTTACAGAATCTCACTCATTTTTAAAATTTAAATTTACTTAAATGGTGATGTAGAATGAACCATGTGCCAGGCACTGCTCTAAGCACATTGCATGAGCTGACTCCTTTATTCTTCTGACAAGTAGCAAGGTAGCTACTTTTCTTACTTCCCCTTTTACACACAAAGGAATTAAGGAACTGAGAGCTTGATGATTTTTTCACACAGCTGATGAGAGGCAGAGCAGAGATCCCAACCCAGGCCCCAGAGCCCACTCTCTTAAGGGCGGTGCTATGCTGTTGTTCATTCATTCATCCTGTAAATGTCTATTGAGTGTGGACTATGTGCTAGGCATTTTGCAAAGCACTGCAAATTCAGGGATATCAGCGGCTGATGACCCTATTTCAGTAGTTGTGATGTATGAAGCAATAAAATAGGCCCACCTGAGTGCTAGTTGGGAGGTTCTATGATTATTGCACTTTACAAATGAAAGAGGGGTTACCCAGCCTGGAATTGGGCAAGTCTGGGTGGGAATTCAGGGCTATTTAGCTCCAGCCTCCCATCTCCAGATGCTAATTGTGTCAATATGGATTTTCCAGGATGGGGACCCGTAAGAGGCAGCCCTGCTTGGTCCCTGCCTGCCCCACTGTGGCCCTGCAGCTGTGGGCTCTGGGCTTTGGACCATCTCCTTTTCTGAGCAGGCAGGCTTGGATGTCCTCTCCAGCCACCTGGCAGAAGGGCTGTAACTGAATCCTTCTGTGGCCTTGTGTTCCTGAGAGCACCAAACCATGTGTTTGTTTAGCAGGGAGAGGCTCAGGTCTCATTTGTGGGTGGTCAAGCCAACTGTAGGGACAGGAGCCGGCAGCTGAGGCTCTTAGGCAGGGACAAAACTAGTGGTGTGAGCTGGTTTCCAACACAGAAAGGTCCCGTCAGCTGTTTGATCCCGTAGGACCTTGGGAGGTATGAAAGGCACAGGGGCTGGGCCCTGTTTGGTCTCTGCCAGGGCCTCTCCCAGGGCAGGGTGCCTGCGGCCCACAGTTTCTCAAGGTCACAGCAATGTTTAACAAGGAAAGAAAATAAATGTAATTATTCCAGAATACAAAAAGAAACCTGCAGGCCCAGGTGCAGTGGCTCACGCCTGTAATCCCAGCACTTTGGGAGGCTGAGGCAGGCAGATCCCTTGAGGTCAGGAGTTCGAGACCAGCCTGGCCAACATGGTGAAACCCCATCTCTACTAAAAGTACAAAAATTAGTTGGGTGTGGTGGTGGGTGCCTGTAATCCCAGGTACTTGGGAGGCCGAGGCAGGAGAATCGTTTGAACCCAGGAGGCGGAGGCGGCAGTGAGCTGAGATCGTGCCATTGCACTCCAGCCTAGGCGAAAGAGTGAGACTCCGTCTCAAAAAAAAAAAAAAAAAAAAAAAGGAAAAAAAAAGAAAAGAAAAAGAAACCTGCAGAGTTAAAATGAACACATGCTGAATTAAATGCCTACCAAGGGCAACTTCATGCCAGGCTGTCATCTGGACCTCAACTGTGATGAGCTCATGTATATGTAAATCACGGAAAGTGGATGCATTTTAATGTGTGTGATGTGATTGACATGGGTAGAGCCCAGGACCTGTGAAGGCCTCACAACCATCCTGCGAAGAGAGGTGCTCTATAACCTTCCGGGGCTCCCTGGTCCCTTCTAGGTAAGGTCCCTCTCCACTTGGCAGGCGTTTGAATTTTATTCAGCCAGTGTTTTTATTTTATTTATTTATTTATTATTATTATTTTTGAGATGGAGTCTCTGTCGCTCAGGCTGGAGTACAGTGGCATGATCTCGGCTCACTGCCACCTCCTCCTCTCAGGTTCAAGCAATTCTCATGCCTCAGCCTCCCGAGTAGCTGGGATTACAGGTGCGCACCACCACGCCTGGCTAATTTTTTGCATTTTTAGTAGAGACAGGGTTTCACTATGTTGTCCAGGCTTGTCTTGAACTCCTGGCCTCAAGTGATCCACCTGCCTCGGCCTCCCAAAGTGCTGGGAGGATAGGTGTGAGCCACTGTGCACAGCCTTTATTTTATTTTTTAAAGAAACAAGATCTTGGCCGGGCGCGGTGGCTCACGCCTGTAATCCCAGCACTTTGGGAGGGCGAGACGGGCGGATCACGAGGCCCCGAGATCAAAACCATCCCGGCTAAAACGGTGAAACCCCGTCTCTATTAAAAATACAAAAAAAATTTGCCGGGCGTAACGGCGGGCCCCTGTAATCCCAGCTAACTTGGGAGGCTGAGGCAGGAGAATGGCGTGAACCCGGGAGGCGGAGCTTGCAGTGAGCCGAGATCCCGCGACTGAACTCCAGCCTGGGCGACAGAGTCAGACTCCGTCTCAAAAAAAAAAGGAAAAAAAAGAAACAAGATCTTGCTCTGCCACCCAGGCTGGAGTGCAGTGGCATAATCATAGCTCATTGCAGCCTTGACCTTCTATGCTCAAGCGATTCTCCTGCCTCAGCCACCTGAGTAGCTGGTATTACAGGTACGTGCCACCACACTTGGGTAATTTTCTTTTTTAAAAATATTTATGTATTTATTTTTGAGATGGAGTCTCGCTCTGTCACCCAGGCTGGAGTGCAGTGGTGCAATCTGGGCTCACTGCAAGCTCCGCCTCCTGGGTTCAGGCCATTTTCCTGCCTCAGCCTCCCGAGTAGCTGGAACTACAGGCGCCTGCCACCACGCTCGGCTAATCTTTTGTATTTTTAGTAGAGACGGGTTTCACCGCGTTAGCCAGGATGGTCTCGATCGCTTGACCTCGTGATCTGCCCGCCTTGGCCTCCCAAAGTGCTGGGATTACAGGCGTGAGCCACTGCACCTGGTTAATTTTCTTATTTTATGTAGAGATGAGGTCTCACTATTTTGCCCAGGCTGGTCTCGAAGTCCTGGGCTCAAACAATCCTCCTGCCAGGATTACAGGTGTGAGCCACTTCACCCGACCTCAGCCAGTGTATTTAATATCTTCTCCAAGTCAGATGCAGGAAGGGGATCTTCAGGCAAAGAGGCTGGACCCTCAGAGGTGCCCATGGTCAAGCTGGGGAGACAGACACATTTTCAAATGCATGGGGACTGTCTGAGGAACAAGGGCACAGGGAGGGTCAGAAATGGGTTGAGTATGAGCTGAGGGTATGAACCAGGCTTCCGTCCTGTGTGGGAGTGTCTTGAGTGTTGGGCTGTCCTTCAGAGATCAAGGCACTGTTTGGTTCTAGAAGCAACACAGTGCACCAACCCCATGGTCTGACTGCAAGGGGGTCAAATTGCAGCTTGATCCCTCACAAGCTGTGCGACTATGGGCAAGTGACTTAAACTCTCTGAGTTTTGGCTTCTCCATCTGTCAAATGCGGAGGGTGAGCGCTACCTACTTCATCAGGAGCAGCACACGGTATGCAGTGAGCCCAGTGTATGCCTCGGCTATTGCCATTACTGCAATGATGGTTAGGCTTGGGCAGCTGAAAATTGTCCAAATGTGTCCTTTTGGTACTCATCGGCACCTTTTGGTCATCTGAAATTAAAGGAAAGTTTTCTGCCTGACCAGCCACCCGCTATAAACATTCACCCCAGGAGAAGGCAAGGCAGTTCTCCCGGGGCCTGGAGATGAGGCATTGATTGTCCCTGGAGAGCCCTTGCGCTGGGAGGAGCTGCTTTTCTTGCTCCTGTCATTTTCCCTGCAGCAGGAGGATGAGGTTTGAAAGCAGCAGACAGAACCTGAGGTTGGTTTCTGCCGAGGTCCCTCCATCCCCTTCCCTGCATCCCCTTCTCTGCCATCCAGGGAGGTGAACCTCCTTCTCATGCCCCACCGGCCCCATCCTCAGCCCACCCCGATCCTCACTTCTCCAGGTCCCCTGCTTTGCGAGTTACAGGCCAGTGGGACTCAGCATTTCCAAGCCACCGATGCTTGTGACGTAGCCAGAGATTCTGAGGCAGGACACAGTGATTCAGGGTTGTCGTCTGGGTCAGACAGGCTCATGCGCCAATCCCACCACTCCCCGGCCATGTGCTGCTGGGCGAGTCACTCTGTCTTCCTGAGCCTCAACTTGCTCATCTGTAAAATGGGGAAATGCTAGTTCCCATCTCACCAGGGCATTGTAAGGATGAAGCGAGGCAGTTAACACTTTATAAAGTCCTTAACAACAGTGTCCAACAATCGTGAAAGTCCTCTGATGCTGGACAACTGGCTCTGGGATGGACGCCTTCCAGACGGAGCCTCAGCTCGAATGTCCCCCCGAAACATGTGGCTCTGTCACTGGATACTGGGAGAAGTACCTTCCTTTCCTTTCGAAGTCAGAGAAAGTCATGCCCCAGCAGACCAGCCTCCCCTCCGTGCCTGTTATCTGGGGGCTCCAGACCGGGCCTTTCTAACAAGAGGTTTGTTAGGATGGGAAGTGAGTCAGGAACTCTGGCCTTTGACTGGCTGCGTGTGCTGAGTCTGTGGCTTTATCCCCTCCCTGACACCCTCCTTGAGGCTCTTTGGGCCAAGTGCGTGTTATGTTCTTCTTTGCTGGTTAGCATTGTTAGCGCCAAGGGTGTGCCGAGGACCAAGCCCGGCACAGGTATGAGGTTGTGCTTTGGAAAAGCAGGCGATCCTCCTTCACAAGTCTCCTGTTACAAGGCACGATAAACGCTTTCAAAGAAATAAAATGGTAAAAGGAAGGAGAACTGAGGAAGAGGCAGTCGTGCCTAGGAGGGGGAAGGGAGGGTGTCCCGGGAAGAAGGACCAGCATGGATGAGGCCCTGAAGCCTGAGCGTCTCCTTGGCCCAAATCCAGGCCTCCTACCCCTCCAGAAAGCCCCATGTCTCATGCCTCCCATCCCCTTCACTGTCAAGAAATTGATCAGCGTTCCAAGCATCTGGAACAGCAAGTGCAAAGTCCCCATGGCAGGGACACGTCGATGTATTGTTCTAAACGCAGCAAAGCTGGCGTGGCTGGAGCCAGATGAGGGGGCTGGGATGGGAGGTGGGTGGGCAGGGCAGATCACACAGGGCCCGAGGACCACCATAAAGAGTGCAGGTTTATTCTCGGCATCAAGGCCCGTTCTTTCTTTCTTTATTTATTTATTTGAGATGGAGTCTTGCTCTGTCGCCCACGCTGGAGTGCAGTGGTGCGATCTCCACTCACTGCAATCTCTGCCTCCCTAGTAGCTGGGATTACAGGCATGCACCAGCACGTCTAGCTAATTGGTTTTTTTTTTTTTTTTTTTTTTTTTTTTGTATTTTTAGAAGAGATGGGGTTTCACCATATTGGCCAGGCTGGTCTTGAACTCCTGACCTCAAATGATCCATCCACCTCGGCCTCCCAAAGTGCTGGGATTACAGGTGTGAGCCACCGCGCCTGGTCTCGTCAAGGCCTGTTCTGTGTATATCCTCCCCCGAAATCATTTCGTTTGGGAAACAGGAGGGAGACTGAGCAGTAGAAGGAAGGGGAGAAGGTCAGGGGTGGTGTGGCCGCTGCCTGGCAGGATTCTGAAGGACAGAGGGTGGAAAAGGGAGGAGAAGATGTGACCGCTTGGCCCGGGGGGACAGTGCCTGGCTCTGTTTCTGAGCTGCCCATGACAACAAGCCCAGCTGCTGAGCAAACGGTTCTTGGAGGGAGTGGGGACTGGGCCCAACTGGGATTCAAATCCAGGTTCACCATCCCGTGCTGTGTGACTTGGGGTAAATTAGTGAGCCTCTCTGGGCAAGTACATGAGACATATACGCACTTTCCAAATGATGAAACAGGCCCAGAGAAAGGAAGGGGCTTGCCTCGCTGGAAGGAGGTGGAGCTGGACTTCTAACCAGGCAGTCTGAACCCCTCCAGCCTCCACTGGCTTTACTCTGCTCTCTGTCCTCCGTGGGGAGATGATTTCCTTTGAAAGTGGGTCCAGCGTGGCTGAGATCTACAGGGCAGACACAGTTCTCAGGGGGTCTCCTTGCCAGCTCGCTGAGTCCAGACCCCAGGATCCCCATGGTGCATTCTCTGGGGGAACGAGGCCTCCCTATTCCAACGCTGATGTGTTTGTCGCAGCAACTGACATGGAGATATGGCAGGAGGCAGCTCTGTCCTCCTGGCCCTGGTGGAGGACAGGCAGGCTGGCCTTGCCCAGCCTGGGGTGACACCAAGGGCTCCTGGGCATGTATCCATTTCTTCCTCGGCCCCCCCCTCCCCCCGCCTCTCTTCCTGGGAGCCAGGAGGGAAGGGGGAGGAGGTGTCTGTCCTCAGATGCCGGCACTATTTTTGGAGCCTGCCTTGATCCCAATTCCGGGGCACGTGGGCTGTGACAGGCGCTAGGAGCAGACCCCGCTGGAATAAGGAATAAGGTCAGCCACAGATGCTGGGATACGCCCCCACCACCCTGACCCTGGCCCTTCTAGAACTGGGCACGGACCCTTGCCCTCCCTGAGCGTAGGTTCATGGGCTTGGGGGCCCCTCAAGCTACCTTCACCCAGCTCTACACCCCCGCCTGGGAGGACCTCCGCCCGCACAGAAGCAAGCAGCCCCAGCACAGAGCCTGGGGCTGACCTGAATTGGCTCCGAGGACAGTGAGGGGCCCTTCCCTGTGAAGGGCACAGTGGCATGGAATCCAGCTTAACCTCCTGTGCTCGTGGCCAAATCCTGTGTGAGACACACGGAGAGACTGTGGAGGAAATAATCCTGGCCATCCCTTCTCCAGCACCCACAGCAGTTTGCTCAGTTCTCAGGACGACTGTGTGCAACAGGGCACTGAGAGGTTAAGTAACCCACCCAAGGTCACACAGCTTGTAAGTGGTAGAGCTGGGATTTGTACCCAGGCAGGGCTCGAGTCTGTGCTGTCAGCCAGGGTGAGACCCTCTAATGGCTCACAGGAAGCACATTACTGAATATTTACATGAACATATACAAAAAAAATTATGTAATAGATATATTCATATATAAAATAAACTCCTTAAACTACTCATATATTTATTTATATATTTATTTTTATTTTGAGATGGAGCCTGGCTCTGTTGCCCAGGCTGGAGTTCAGTGGCACGATCTCCGCTTACTGTAACCTCTGCTTCCTGGGTTCAAGCGATTCTCCTGCCTCAGCCTCCTGACTAGCTGTGATTACAAACATGTGCCACCATGCCCAGCTAATTTTTGTTGTTGTTGTTATTTTTTAGTAGAGACAGGGTTTCATCATGTTAGCCAGGCTGGTCTCAAACTCCTGACCTTAAATGATCTGCCTGCCTTGGCTTCCCAAAGTGTTGGGATTACAGGCATGAGCCACTGCTCACAGCATGCCCATATATTTATATATGGAATATATTATGTATCCATATATGAAATAATATATTTACATGGGTACATTTATATATACATTATATATTTATAGATATGTATAGATATGATCTATATTTATTTATATTCTATCTATGTTTATAAAATTATATTATACAGAACACCTTATATTTACATTGTGTATAGAAAGATATATGCACACTATATAAATTGTGTATATTTATATTAACATATATTCATATATATTTATATATACACTTAAATAATATATGTATACATGTGGCCAGGCGCGGTGGCTCACGCTTGTAATCCCAGCACTTTGGGAGGCCGAGGTGGACGGATCACCCGAAGTCAGGAGTTCAAGACCAACCTGACCAACATGGTGAAACCCCGTCTCTACTAGAAATACAAAAATTAGCAGGGTGTAGTGGCGTGTGCCTGTAATCCCAGCTACTTGGGAGGCTAAGGCAGGAGAATCGCTTGAACCTGGGAGGTGGAGGTTGCAGTGAGCCGAGATCGCGCCATTGTACTCCACCCTGGGTGACAAGAACAAAACTCTGTCTCAAATAAATAAATAAATAAATAAATAAATAAATAAATAAATAGTATATGTATACATGTGGATTCATATGTGTGTATGTGTACATATAAACACATACACTTGGAGAGAGAAAGACACTTTTTTAAAGAAACAGTTTTATTGAGATACAATTCACATATCATACAACTCATTCATTTACAGCACATAATTCAGTGGCTTTCAGTAGATTCATAATATTGTGCAAGCTTCACCGCAATCAGCTTTAGAATAGTCTCATTACCTCGAAAAGAAGCTCTGTCTGCCTTAACCCTCATCCCTCAACACCCCCACCATCTCTTTCCTCACCACTCCTGGTCCCTGGCAACCACTAATCTACTTTCTGTCTCTCTCTATTTGCCCGTTCTGAACATTTCATATAAAAGGATTCATGCAATATATGGTATTTTGTGATTGGCTACTTGCACTCAGCATAATATTTTCACAGTTCATCCATGTTGTAGCATGAATCAGTACCTTGTTCCTTTTTAAGGCTGTATAATATTCCATTTTATGGCTAGACCACCACTGATTTATTCCCTCATCCGTTGATGGACATTTGGGTTATTTCCACTTTGCCTATTACGAATAATGTTGCTATAAATATTTGTGTATTTTTTTGTGTGGACTTATGTTTTCATTTCTCTTGGGTACATACCTATGAGTGGAATTGCTGGATCATATGGTAACTCTTTGTTTAATTGTTTGAAGAACTGCCACACTGTTTTCCAAAGGGGTTGTATCATATTACATACACGTGGGAGGGTTTGGGGGCTTCAATTTCTCCACATCCTCACCAGCACTAGCTATTATTATGTCTTTTAAAAGTTATTATAGTCATCCTAGTGGATGTGAAGTGGTATTTCATTGTGGTTTGGATTTGCATTTCCCTAGTGACTAATGATGTTGAACATAGTTTCATTTGCTTTTTTGTGTTGGTATATTTTCCTTGGGGAAATGTCTGTTGAGATCTTCTGCCATTTTAAAATTGGGTCATCTCTTTATTGTTGAATTCTAACACTCGTTTATACATTCTAGATGCAAATCCCCCATTTTCTACACACACATGTACACATATGTATGTATGTATAATTTGCAAAAATTTTCTCCCATTCTCTGGGTTACCTTTTCACTTTCTTGCTTGTATCCTTTGAAACACAAAAGTTTTAAAATTTGATGATATCCAGTTTATTTTTTCTTTTATTGTTTGTGCTTTTGATGCCATAAGTAAAAAACCATTGCTTAATCCAAGTTCATAAAGATTTATTCATATGTTTTCTTCTAAGAGTTTTGTAGTTTTTAAAAAATGCTTTTAAAAAATTATTATTATTATTTTATTTGTTTATTTTTTTGAGATGGAGTTTTGCTCTTGTCGCCCAGGCTGGAGTGCAATGGCACAATGTCGCCTCACTGCAACCTCCGCCTCCTGGGTTCAAGTGATTCTCCTGCCTCAGCCTCCTGAGTAGCTGGGATTACAGGTGCATGCTACTATGCCCAGCTAATTTTTTTCTATTTTTAGGAGAGACAGGGTTTCACCATGTTGACCAGGCTGGTCTCTAGCTCCTGACCTTCGGTGATCCACCCGCCTCAGCCCCCCAAGGTTCTGGGATTAGAAGCGTGAGCCACCGCGCCCGGCTCCAACTTCATTCTGTTGCATGTGTATATCCAATTGTCCCGGCACCATTTGCTGAAGAGATTATTCTTTTCTCATCAGATTGTCTTGACACCTTTGTAAAAAATCAGTTGGTGATAAACGTAAGGGCTTATTTCTGGATGCTAAATTCTTTTCCACTGAGCTGTATGTCTCCCCTTATGCCAGTATCACACTGTTTTGATTACTGTAGCCTGATATATCTATATATTTATAGATACAATATATATTTATATACATACTATCTATATTTATAAAATTATATTATATAGAAACACCCTATATTTACATTGTGAGTAGATAGATATGTGCACAGTCTATATAAATTGTATTATTTTTTCTTTTATTGTTGAATAGCCTGATGTTGGTATAAATATTTGTGTATAATTTTTTTGTGTGGACTTATGTTTTCATTTATCTTGGGTATATACCTAGGAGTGGAATTGCTGGATCATAAGGTAATTCTATGTTTAACTGTTTGAAGAACTGCCAAGCCATTTTCCAAAGGGGTTGTACCGTATTACGTTCATATGACAGGGTTTGGGGGTTTCAATTTCTCCACATCCTCACCAACACGTGCTGTTATGTCTTCTTCTTCTTCTTTTTTTTTTTTTTGAGACAGAGTTTCGCTCTTGTCGCCCAGACTGGAGTGCAATGGTGTGATTTCAGCTCACTGAAACCTCTGCTTCTTGGTTTCAAGTGATTCTTCTGCCTCAGCTTCCCAAGTAGCTGGGATTACAGGCACCTGCCACCACGCCCGGCTGCTTTTTGTATTTTTAGTAGAGATGGGGTTTCACCATGTTGGCCAGGCTGGTCTTGAACTCCTGATCTCAGGTGATCCACCTGCCTTGGCCTCCCAAAGTGCTGGGATTGTATGCGTGAGCCACCACACCTGGCCTGCTACCACGTCTTTTAAAGTAAATCAGGAAATATGAGTTCTCCAATTTTGCTCTTTTTCGATTGCTTTTGGTTATCTTGGGTCTGTTGTATTTCCATATGAATTTTGGGATAAGCTTGTCAATTTCTGTAAAGAAGTCAACTGGGATGTGGATATTGTGTTGAATCTGTAGACTAGTTGGGGAATATTGCCATCTTAACAATGTTAAGTCTTCTGTTCCATGAATATGGGATGCCTTTCCATTTATTTAGGGCTTTAATTTTTTTCAGCAAATGTTTTGTAGTGTTCAGAGTATACATTTTACACTTCTTTTTGTTGAATATATTCCTAAGTATTTTATTCTTTTTGATGTTGTAAATAGAATTTTTTCATTTTATTTTCAGTTTGCTCATTGTTAGTACATAGAAATACAACTGATTTTTCTATATTGGTTTTATATCCTGCAACCTTGCTGAACTCATTGATTAGTTCTAATCTTTTTGTGTGTACGTGTGTGGATGCTTTAGGATTTTCTATATAAATGTTCATGTCATCTGCAAATACAGATAGTTTTACTTCTTCCTTTCCAACTGGATGGCTTTTATTTCTTTTACTTATCTAGAACCTCTAGCACAAGCTCGAATAGACACGAAGAATGCACATTGCTACCTTGTTCCTGATTTTAGGGGAAAGCACTCATTCACCAGGGATGTTAACTGTGGCTTTTAGCAGATGGCTTTACCAGGCGGAGGAAGTGCCCTTCTATTCCTAGTTTATTGAATCTTTTTTTTTTTTTTTATCATGAAGGGGTGTTGGATTTTTCTCAAATGCTTTTCCTGAGAAATACCTTATTTTAAAATGTCCCCAGAGTCCCTGTGCTTCCTTCTGAGGGCAAAAACTCAAATGCAGAGGCAAAACTTATGTGCCAAATCATTGTCCAGGCTCTGCTGTGTTGGGCTCTAACAGGTGCTAGCTGGTGGAACGATTGTTGGTAATGACGGCAAAATCCCTGCCCCTTCCAGTGGCCAGGGCTGCCTTTCCCGTCTGATAAGTGACACAGCAGATAAGGAGGTCGCGCTGGGGGGGGGGGTCCCTCTGCCCCCCCCACCACGGCCGCTCACTGCCGCTCTGCCCCCAGGCCTACGAGAAGCGTTTCCCCACGTGCCCACAGATCCCAGTCTTCCTGGGCAGCGAGGTCTTGCGCGAGTCCCGCAGCCCGGACGGGGCTGTGCACGTGGTGGAGCGGAGCTGCCGGCTGCGCGTGGACGCCCCGCGGCTGCTGCGGAAGGTGGGCGGCCCTGGGGCTGGGGGGCGGAGGAGGGGACCTGTTGCGGAGGTGCGGGAGGGCTGGGCGCGGGAGCTGGGGACCAGGGCGGCGGGGTCCAGGAGGTGGAGCAGGGGCGTGTGAGTTGATATTTGGATGGAGGTTCCAGGATGAGGGTGGCGGGACCAGGGCCCAGGAGGGGCGAGGGCTGGAAGGCTGGGCTGGGGAGTAGCGGGAACTGGGCGGGGTTCGCGGGGCCAGGGCCGGAGCTGGGTGGTGAAGATGGGTTGGCGGCAGGGCGGAAGTCGGGGGTTGGTGTCCTGGGTCCGGGCTGGGTGGGCGGTGGCGCAAGGGACCTGGGACTCAGGGCAGGGGGTGACTGGGGCAGGCCCGCCGGACTCGCTCTCCATTCCTGTGTGCTCCACGCCGCCCACCCACCTCCGCCTCCCCGCCCCTTCCCTTGCAGATCGCAGGTGTTGAGCACGTGGTCTTCGTGCAGACAAACATCTTGAACTGGAAGGAGAGGACGCTCCTCATCGAAGCGCACAATGAGACCTTCGCCAACCGCGTGGTGGTGAACGAGCACTGCAGCTACACGGTGAGCCCAGGCCACCCTCAGCGCCCACGCCCGGCACCCACCTGCGCCCGGCACCCACCTGTGCCCAGAGCTGTGTCCCCACATTCCTTGAGCCTCTGCCAAGCCCTCCCTCCTGGGGCATTGTCAAGAAAGATGCAGGATGCTTGGTTGCCTTTGCATTCCGATGAACAACCCATAATTTTTTTAGTATGTCTCAAATATTGCTTGGGATATACTTATACTCAAATGTTATTTGTTGTTTATTTGAAATTCAAACGTGACTGGACATCCTGTGTTTTATCTGTTAAATCTGACAACCCTATCCTCTCCCTCCTCTTTCCCCTCCCTCCTTTCCTTCCTTCTTTCATTAAATTATGCCTCAGTTTCCTCACGTGTGAAATGGGCTTAATAATCATGCCTACTACACAGGTAGTATGTGGCGCCTTTAGACCAGTGCCTGGCACATATTAAGTTCTACGTAAATGTTACCTTTGACTATAATTAATAATAATCATAATTATTCTCTAGTATATACTGATTGAGCACCTACTATGTGCCAGGCACCCTGCCAAGTGATGAGCACCCAGCAGTGGACCAGGCTGCCTGACCACTGCCCTCACGGAGGGTCCATTCCAGTGGAACAAAACGGAATCAGTGTGTGTGCATTTGTCACAGCTAAGGCTGGATCCAGCAGGGAGATGTGTGGGAGTCAGAGAAGGTGGTAGGGGCACTGAAGCTGAGTGCTGAAGGATGAGAGGAGCTGCTCATGGAGGACTGGGAACAGCATTTTGGGGGTGGGAACAGCATGAGTGAGGTCTGCCAAGGTGAGGCCATGGGGCCTAGATCTTGATGACTTTAGAGGCTGGAATGAGGCACCTGCAGGCATTCACTGATGGGACCCAGCTCTGCCACTTTCTTGCTGAGTGACGTTGGGCCACACTGTCTGTATCTGTAAAATCGGGACATTGGCAGATCCTGCCTTGCTGGATCGTTTTCACGATGATAACTCCAGGATAGCAATGGTAGACCATTGTACGTGTTTTTTTTTTTGTTTGTTTGTTTGTTTTGTTTTTTTTTTTGTTTGTTTTTTTGAGAGACAGTCTCGCTCTGTGGCCCAGGCTGGAGTGCACTGGCATAATCTTGGCTCACTGCAACCTCCGCCTCCTTGTTAAAAGGATTCTCTTGCCTCAGATTCTCACGCCTCAGATTCCCGTGTAGGTGGGATTACAGGCATGTGCCACCACATCCGGCTGATTTTTGTATTTTTAGTAGAGATAGGGTTTCTCCATGTTGGCCAGGCTATTCTCAAACTCCTGGCTTCAAGTGATCCACCCACCTTGGCCTTCCAAAGTGCTGGGATTACAGACATGAGCCACCGTACCCGGCTCCATTGCCTTTTCTTTCTACGCCTCCAACTCCTCTTGGGTCCTCCAGGAGCTTGGGCTCAGGGTGTTCAGATCTTCTGGGGAGGGGCAAGCAACAGTTGTTGAAACCCCTCTTAGTGTGTGTGGTGTTTCTCAGAATGAGTTCTATCAATAGCTGAGTCAGCAGCACCTGGGGCTGCTTGCGAAATGCAGATTCCTGGGCCCCAACCTGGAAGTGTCTAGGGGCAGGCCCAGGAATCTGCATATTTTAACAGACTCCTTGGTAATGTTTCTGCCCACAGACGTTTGAGGAGGACTAGGTCTGGATCCATAAAGGAGCTCTGCCAATGAAGTTTTCTTTTTGCAAACATACAGATCTATAAATGTTTATTGATATATAAGGATATGTAATATATCTTTATATAGATAACATATAATATACAACTATTTAAAAAATCTATATCTAAATTTTATGTGTAATATTGATATATAATTTATTTATAGATTATATAAATGATACACTGAACAATTGTATTTATTTTATTATTTTTTTTTTGGAGATGGAGTCTTGCTCTATTACCCAGGCTGGAGTGCAGTGGCATGATCTTGGCTCACTGCAACCTCCGCCTCCCAGGTTCAAGCGATTCTCCTGCCTCAGCCTCCCGAGTAGCTGGGATTACAGGCACCCACCACCATCTCTGGCTAATTTTTGGATTTTTAGTAGAGATGGAGTTTCACCATGTTGGCCAGGCTCGTCTCCAAGTCCTGACCTCAAATGATTCGCCCACCTTGGGCTCCCAAAGTGCTCGGATTACAGGCGTGAGCCGCCATGCCCGACCTAAACATAAGTATTTCTAACTAATTTTCTATGTATGTGTATAATATTGAAAGGGCAGGGCTGCAGATTTGAGACCCACATTCTCCCGGCTTCTCATGAGAAGGCTTTTTGTTCCCTGACAGTTTGAACTTTGCATCGTTCTCTGGGTGGGGGCCCCTTGGTCCTGCTACCCCATCCAGGGTTGCCAGGCTTGATCTGCTTTCCACTGCAGGCTCTGCCTGGGCCCAGGTCAGTGGGAGAGCCCTAGGGGAGGGCAGGGTGCCCCCGACATTGAGTCCCTGGCATGACCCCTGCCTGGCTTTCAGGTCCACCCTGAGAATGAAGACTGGACTTGCTTCGAGCAGTCTGCCTCACTGGACATTCGGTCTTTCTTTGGCTTTGAAAATGCCTTGGAGAAGATCGCCATGAAGCAGTACACCGCCAACGTCAAGAGGGTAAGCGGTGGGTTGCGTTAGTTACTGGAGGAAGGTGCACACACCTGCTCTGCCATCAACAGCTGCATGACCCCTGGCAAGACCCTTACCCTTCCTGGGCTCAGTGTTATCTGTTAAATGGGTACTCTAGTAATGACCAAATCACCACGAGATAATGGATGGAAAGTAACTGGTCTGTAACAGGGGCACCCTAATCCTCGCTCTGGCACCATGAGATGTCCAGGCTTATGTGGTGAATTATCTGGACAACAGATAATTCTGTGGTGCTTTTTTTTTTTTTTTTTTTTTTTTTAGATAAAATGATCATTGCTTGCTCTAAAGACCTCAGATCCATCCCTGAGTAAAAACCCGTTCTTGTGATGAAACAGATGAAATTAACTTTAATAACAAATTTTTAAACAATGTGTTATCAATATAAAACTTAATTCTCCGAGGTTGGAGGCCCAGTTGAGCCCAGGAATTTCAGAGCAGTCTAGGCAACATAGTGGACTCCATCTCTAAAAAAATAAAATAAAATAAAATTAGGTGGGTGTGGTGGTGTGTGCCTATAGTCCCAGCTGCTCAGGAGGCTGAGGCAGGAGGATCTCTTGATCCTGGGAGGTTGGGGCTGCAGTGCGCTGAGATGACACTACTGCACTCCAGCCTGGGCAACACAGCAAGACACTGTCTCAAAAAAAATAAACAAAAACAAAAACAACCCCCAACCCAAAAAACTGATTACTGAGCTATTTTGCATTCTTTGTTTCGTACCAAGCCTTGGAAATTAGGTGGGTGTTGGACACTCGCAGCTTCTCTCCATCCCGACCAGACACATCCAGCCACTCAATAGCCACGTGTCGGGGCTGGGACCTGAGCCGGCTGGGGGTGACTCCCTGTGGTGATCCTGTGACCCCCCTCCATCCTGCCCCGTGCTCATGTGTCTTGGGTCTCTCTGGCTTCCAGGGGAAGGAGGTGATTGAGCATTACCTGAATGAGCTCATCTCCCAGGGTACCTCGCACATTCCGCGCTGGACGCCTGCCCCAGTCCGTGAGGAGGATGCCCGCAACCAGGCTGGACCGAGGGACCCCAGCTCCCTGGAGGCCCACGGGCCCCGTAGCACCCTGGGGCCCGCTCTGGAGGCGGTCAGTATGGACGGTAGGTGGTACAGCCCAGGCCAGTCAGCCCTAGGAGGCTGCTGCAGGTCCTCTTGCTCCATGGGGGGCCCTGGGGCATGTTGGGGAGAATTGCCTGCCGTCCCCCCTGGGAATGGGTCTGGGTCTTGGAACGACACCGCCTCCTGCCTCCACTGAGTGCTTTTCTCTCTCTCCATCCTGGTCCAAGAGCAGAACTCATTTGTTTCTTTTCTTTTCTCTTTTCTTTTCTTTTCTTTTTTGAGACGGAGTCCCCCTATGTCTCCCAGGCTGGAGCGCAGTAGCACGATCTCGGCTCCCTGCAACCTCCGCCCCCCGGGTTCAAGTGATTCTTCTGCCTCAGCCTCCCAAGTAGCTGGGATTACAGGCATCTGCCACCACACCCGGCCAATTTTTTCTATTTTTAGCAGAGATGGGGTTTCACCATGTTGGTCAGGCTGGTCTCAAACTCCTGAGCTCAAGTGATCTGCTTGCCTTGGCCTCCCAAAGTGCTGGGATTACAGGCGTAAGCCGTTGCACCCGGCAAAAACTCATTTATTTCTAGATCAGGAATTAACCTCTGGTGCCTTGACATTGCCTCTTTCTCTGGTTTTACTATTTACTAACTTAGCAATTATTATGAATTTACTAATTATTACGATTGCTATTGCTATTTTAAATTATACGAGTAATGCATGATCATGGTAGAAAAAAATTCAAACTGTAAGGAAGATGTAAGAAGTACGATTCTTTTCCTCTCCCTAAAGGCTAACAATAGTTTTGTGTTTCTATGTCCTGAAGCTGTTTAGGTGCATATATGCACATAAAATGTATATATACCCACACACATATGTGTGTACATGCATACATACATGTGTGTCTTATGTTGAATACGTGAGAACATATACATTCCATTTGATATTTTGCTTTTTTTTCACTTACTAATGTTGCCTGAAAAACTTTCTGTATCAGTGCCTATGTCTTCTTTTCATACTTCATAGTATGGTGTGGTTGCACCATAACTAATTTATTAATAAATATTAATTATTTATTTAGAGACAGGGTCTTGCTCTGTTGCCCAGCTTGGTATGCAGTGGTGCAATCGTGTCTCTCTGTAACCTTGAAATCCTGGGCTCAAACGATCCTCCTGCCCCAGCTTCCTGAGTAGCTGGGACTATATAGGCACAGGCCACCATGTCTAGATAATTTATTTTTACTTTTATTTTATTTTTAATTAATTAATTAATTATTTTTGAAGTGGAGTCTCACTGTGTCACCCAGGCTGGAGTGCAATGGCACGATCTCAGCTCAATGCAACCTCTGCCTCCCGGCTTCAAGCAATTCTCCTGCCTCAGCCTCCTGAGTAGCTGGGATTACAGGCATGTGCCACCACACCTGACTAATTTTTAAATCTTTAGTGGAGACAGGGTTTCACCATGTTGACCAGGCTGGTCTTGAACTCCTGACCTCAGGTGATCCACCTGCCTTGGCTTCCCACAGTGCTGGAATTACATGTGAGCCACTGCCCATGGCCTTGATTATTTTGAATTAGTCTATTTAGCTAGTTCCCTATTGAAGGAAACAACCCTATTTAGGTCGTTTCAGTTTTTAAAAATACAAACAACATGGTACATGTGAGTACTTAATAATTTTTTTAAAATGTCTGTAAGTATATACAAAGCATAACATTTTAAAAGTGGAATTGCTGGTTCAAAGTTTACATGCAAGTAAAATTTTGGTAGATTTAACCATTAGGCTTCCAATGAGGTTGTACCAATCATTGTTCCCACTGAATGTGTAATTGCATCTATTCCTGACTTCACTCCAGCTCCCCACAAAAGTCTTAGTAAACATCTCAAACTTCTGAAAGGGAATAAAAGTAGTCACTTGTTGATTAGTGACAAGTTTTTTCATTATGAGCAAGATCAGGCATGATTTTTCATGTTTAGTGACTGTTTTCCTTTTTTTTTTTTTTTTTAATAATACATACTTGTTCTTGTCCTTTGTCCATTTTCTTATTTGCCCATTGCTTTCTTATTGGTTTGTAAGAGCTCTTTGTATATGAAGGCAACTAGCCTTTTGTCACAGTTCAAGCTTTTATGGACATGGAAAATGTTTACAATATAATGTTAAAAGGAAAAATCCTAGGATACAAATTGTATGTACACCACAAATCCAGTTCTAGCCATGTGTAAGATGTGTACTCAGGTTGATAATGTTTTTCCTTTAGGGCCACTGCCGTGCAGGGACTTCCCTAACTCTGACACACTTGGGTGGCAGTGCCATGGAACTAATAATACATCTGGGGCTCTGTTTAGGGAGAATGAAATTCATTCATACAACATGTATTATTCTTTTTCTTTTTTTTTTATCTGTCACCCAGGCTGGAGTGCAGTGGTGTGATCTCAGCTCACTGCAACCTCCGCCTCCTGGGTTCAAACGATTCTCCTGCCTCAGCCTCCCAAGGAGCTGGGACTACAGGCGTGCACCATCATTCCCGGCTAATTTTTGTATTTTTAGTAGAGACAGGGTTTCACCATGTTGGCCATGCTGGTCTCGAACTCCTGACCTCAAGTTATCCTCCTGCCTTGGTCTCCCAAAGTGCTGAAATTACATGCAACAAGTATTTATTCTGCACCGACTGTGTGTGCTGGTTGGCTGTTGTTGTATGTGCACATTTTTTTTTTTTTTATAACAGCGCCCGCTCCTGCCCCCTCCTGTGCACGCTCTCTGTGGCCTGGTCCCCTGTACCTTCCCCATTTTGCACAGGTCGCTCCTTCCTTCTCCATCTGTGCTGTCCGCCAGCAGCACAGGCACTCAGGGTGGCGGGCAGAGGACATCCTCATGCCCCTTCTGCCCTCTCCTGAATCACTGAGTCTTTGTGCTCAGAAGTAGAAAAAGCCTTCACATCTGCCCGGGGCCGGAAGGATGCTGGGAGCTCCGGCCTCTCTCGTTTTTCTCCCTCATCCCATCCTCACTCCCTCCCTGATTCCAGCATCTCTGCCTCTGACCACACAAGGTCTGGACAATTCGCCCTCTGCCAACATTCTCCCACCTCTGTTTACCTAGATGGCTCCTGGCACAGCAGTTGGCGTGACCCCCCACTGTGGGCTTTTCTGTTTTGGGGGTGCTGCTGGCCGTTCATTCAGCCTGTTTTCTTATTTAGCCATCTGTCTACAAAGAACTGGCTCTGCCCACGGAGGCTGCTGCTTTGTGTGACGTCTCCGCCCACTGCTGAGATGCCACGAGGCCTCTGCACGCCAGCATCTGCCACCCTCATGGCTAAGAGTGGGGGAACAGGACTCAAGCTTGGGGCCTGGCCTCTGCACACTGGCAACATTCCGACTACAACCGCCCAGTTGTGGGGGACAAGGCTGCACAGTGGGAATGTTCCCTGTGGTTCCCAGGCTGCTAAAGAGAGCATGGCTGTGTTGCAAGGTCCAGGCTCTGTTAAAAGCTGCTGTCTGTCAAAACCCCACAATGGGGCCTGGGGATGGGGCAAAGCAAAGAGAACTGGTGTTTATCAGCCACCTCCTTTGTGCTGGGTGCACAACATGCATTTACTCATTCGAGTTACTCCACCTCTCTAGGCCTCAGTTTTATCTTCTCTCTCTCTCTCTTTTTTTTTTTTTTTTTTTTAAGACGGAGTCTCACTCTGTTGCCCAGGCTGGAGTGCAGTGGTGCAATCTTGGCTCACTGCAACCTCCATCTCCCAGGTTCAAGCGATTCTCCTGACTCAGCCTCCTGAGTAGCTGGGATTACAGGTGTGTGCCACCACGCCTGGCTAATTTTTGTATTTTAATAGAGACTGGGTTTCACCATGTTGGCCAGGCTGGTCCCAAAATCCTGACTTCAAGTGATCTGCCTGCCGTGGGCTCCCAAAGTCCTGGGATTACAGTCGTGAGCCACCACTCACAGCAGTTTTATCTTCTCTAAAGTGGGGATAATAGTGACGCCTGCCTCACAGGGGTGTGGAGAGAGCTCAGTGAGACCAGGTGGCTTCTGAGAAGGTAGTGAGTGTAAGCCCATATTGTTAAGAATCCTTAGAACATCCCCAGAGGGTGGGAATTATCTTCAATTCCCAGGGTCAAAGAGGAGAAATCCCATCTCACAGTGAGATCCAGGTTTGCCTGATGATGCGTTTTCAGAACCCCCTTGGACATGGGCTGGAGAAATGAATGCATTCAGAGTCCGGTGGCTGCTGTCTGGGGCGGGGGCTTAGCCTGGTTTGGAACCACGTTTTAGAGTCAGTGAGGCAGCCAGTAAGGAATGGCACACAGACCACATGGTAAAGAGACGCAGCGTCTCCCTCTTGTCCTGAAGCTCCCCCTTCTCCTCCAAGGGGACAAGCTGGATGCGGACTACATTGAGAGGTGCCTGGGCCACCTCACGCCCATGCAGGAGAGCTGCCTGATCCAGCTTCGGCACTGGTTACAGGAGACCCACAAAGGCAAGGTGGGTGCAGGGGGTACCCTGGAGCAGTGGATGAATGGGCAATGACTGGTACTCAGCCTCCGTGCATGGGAAGGAAAGGCGAGATGATAATGCTGACACATTATCTCTTGCTTATTTATTTATTTATTCATTTATTTCTGTGAGACAAAGTCTCACTCTGTCCCCCAGGCAGTGGTGTGATCCTCACTGCAACCTTCGCCTCCTGGGTTCAAGCAATTCTCCTGCCCTAGCCTCCTGAGTAGCTGGGGTTACAGGCGCACACCACCACGCCTGGCTAATTTCTGTACTTTTTGTAGAGATGGGGTCTCACCATGTTGCCCCGGCTGGTTCTGTAATTTTATCTGCTGGGTCAGGGGATACCGTTCTGTGGGCTTTTTACTTCTTTGTCTCTCAGATTCCCAAAGATGAGCACATCCTTCGGTTCCTGCGGGCTCATGACTTCCACCTGGACAAGGCCCGGGAAATGCTGCGCCAGTCCTTGAGCTGGCGCAAGCAGCACCAGGTGGATCTCCTCCTTCAGACCTGGCAACCCCCTGCCCTGCTGGAGGAGTTCTATGCAGGGGGCTGGCATTACCAGGACATAGGTGCGTGCCTCCACCCACATCATGTATAGGGCATACTTTGGTCACTGCCAAATGCACTTTATTTATTATTTTGAGATGGGGTCTCACTCTGTCACCCAGGCTGGAGTGCAGTGGTGCCATCTCGGCTCACCATAATCTCCGCTTCCCGGGTTCAAGCAATTCTCCTGCCTCAGCCTCCCCAGCAGCTGGGATTACAGGCACCCGCCACCACAGCTGGCTAATTTTTTGTATTTTTAGTAGAGATGAGGTTTTGCCATTTTGACCAGGCTGGTCCCAAATTCCTAATCTCAAGTGATCTACCTGCCTTAGACTCCCAAAGTGTTGGGATTACAGGCATGAGCCACCGCACCCGGCCCAAATGCCCTTTAAATGCCATGCTTCATGCTAACATCTTACTATTTTTCCTTTTGACTCTTCCAGGCATCTAGAAATGCTTTGAAGTGACAACCTAGCTAGGAAGAACCAGAGCTGGAAGGCTTTGGGGCTTGAGGAGGAGACATTTCTCCACTGGGCTGAGTGAGCCCACAATTACTCACAATAATTGTGATCGTAAAGGTAACAGGTGCATACATTTTGTATGCATTTCCAAGGGCAGTTGTAGCAAATTGGCACAATCTTGGTGGCTTAAAACAGTAGAAATGTGTTCTTTCACAGTTCTCGAGGCCAGAAGTCTGGAGTCAAGGCGTCACCAGGGCCGTGCTCCCTCTGAAAGTTCTAGGGGAGAATCCTTGCCTGCTTTTTCCAGCTTCTGGTGGACCCAGGTGTTCCTTGGCTGGTGGCAGCTTCACTCCAGTCTCTGCCTCTCTCTTCACATGGCCTTCCCCTCTGTGTTTCTGTGTCCTCGCCTCTTCTCATAAGGACCCCAGGAGATTGGATTTAGGGCTCACCCCAAATCCAGTGTGATTTTATCTTGAGATCCTTAACTAATTAACTAATTACACCTGCACAGACTCTAGTTCTTTTTTTTTTTTTTTTTTGAGACAGAGTCTGGCTCTGTCACCCAGGCTGGAGTGCAATGGTGTGATCTCAGCTCACTGCAACTCCGCCCCCCGCCAGGTTCAAGCGATTCTCCTGCGTCAGCCTCCTGAGTAGCTGGGACTACAGGCGTGCACCACCATGCTTGGCTAATTTTTGTACTTTTAGTAGAGATGGGGTTTCACCATGTTGGCCAGGCTGTTCTTGGAACTCCTGACCTCAAGTGATCCGCCCGCCTTGGCCTCCTGAAGTGCTGGGATTACAGGAGTGAGCCACTGCACCCAGGCATGGGTCACATTTTAATGTCCCCATGGATATGAGTTTTGGGACACGATTCCACCCATTACAAATATCTTTTCTGGATTTTTAAGTTAAATTGCCACTGAAGCCTGTGCCTACGACACTTTCCAATGTCCTTTATCTAAACGTTCATCTAGGGCCGGGCGCGGTGGCTCACGCCTGTAATCCCAGCACTTTGGGAGGCCGAGGCGGGCGGATCACGAGGTCAGGAGATCGAGACCATCCCGGCTAAAACGGTGAAACCCCGTCTCTACTAAAAATACAAAAAATTAGCCGGGCGTAGTGGCGGGCGCCTGTAGTCCCAGCTACTTGGGAGGCTGAGGCAGGAGAATGGCGTGAACCCGGGAGGCGGAGCTTGCAGTGAGCCGAGATCCCGCCACTGCACTCCAGCCTGGGCGACAGAGCGAGACTCCGTCTCAAAAAAAAAAAAAAAAAAAAAAAAAAAAATAAACGTTCATCTATATCAAGTAGGGTAAACGCTTGACTCTCCTAAAGAACCGGCTGGCATGGTTTCTCTTAACGATCAATCTTCCTAATTTATGGAATCCAAATTTATGAACTCCCCTTATTGCTGAAATTTACTTGTAACCCCCAAATCAGTATTCACAGAACTTTTTCAGTCATGCTGAGACATATTCAGAGTGGCGAAGTATTGGAGTCGCCCATCACGCATGCTGTCTGCTGAAGTTGAATGACGCGGCTCCTGCCTTTTTGTTTCAGTTCTCATACCCTAAACGAGTGTCCTTTTTGTGGCCTATTTAATGCCACATTGTTGCATTTTTGGGCTTTTCTTTGGTGACTTTGCTGTTTAAAATGCCTCTTCGTGTAGTGCAGAATTGCGCCTAGCTTTCCTAAGGATGAGCAAGTGGCCACGTGCTCCATGCAGAAAACACCCAAAGTGCTCCACTAGCTTCAGGCAGGCACCAGCTACAGGGCTGCTGGCCGTGAGTTCAATGCTGACAGATCAGCAATATGCATTCAAGTGTCCTTAAACAGAAACACAAGCCGGGCGCAGTGGCTCACACCTGTAATCAGAGCTCTCTGGGAAGCCAAAGCTGGAGGATCGCTTAAGCCCAGGAGTTCGAGACCAGCCTGGGCAACATAGTGAGCTCGCCCCCCTCCACCACATCTCCACAAAAAATACAAAAAAATTATCTGGGCATGGTGCTGCATGCCTGTGGTCCCAGCTACTTGGGAGGCTGAGGTGGGAGGATTGTTTAAGCTGGGGAGGTTCAGGCTGCAGTGAGTCGAGATCATGCCACTGCACTCCAGCCTGGGTGACAGAGTGAAACCCTGCCTCAAAGAACAAAGAGGCCAGGCATGGTGGGCTCACGTCTGTAATCCCAGCATTTTGGAAGGCCGAGGCGGCAGATCACTTGAGGCCAGGGGTTCGAGACCAGCCTGGCCAACATTGTGAAACCCTGTCTCTACTAAAAATACCAAAAATTAGCCAAGCGTGGTGGTGCATGCCGGTAGTCCCAGCTACCTGGGAGGCCGAGGTGTGAGAATCGCTTGAACCTGGGAGGCAGAGGTTGCAGTGAGCTGAGATTGCTCCACTGAACTCCAGCCTGGGTGATACAGTGAGACTCTGTCTCAAAAACCAACAAATCAACCAACTAACAAACCAACAGACAAAAAACACCACATAAAACAAGGTTATATATTGATTGGTTGACAAAAAGTATTATGGGGCCAGCTGCGGTGGCTCATGCCTGTGATCCCAACACTTTGGGAGGCTGAGGTGGGTGTACACCTGAGGTCAGGAGTTTGAGACCAGCCTGGCCAAGATGGTGAAACCCCATTTCTACTAAAAATACGAAAATTAGCCGGGTGCGGTGGTGGGCGCCTGTAATCCCAGCTACTCGGGAGGCTGAGGCAGGAAAATTGCTTGAACCTGGGAGGCCGAGGTTACAGTGAGCCGAGATCGCACCACTGCACTCCAGCCTGGGTGACAGAGCAAGACTCTGTCTCAAATAAATACATAAATAAAAATGTTTTGTAGAGAAGAGGTCTCATTATGTTGCCCAGGCTGGTCTCAAAACTCCTGTGTTCAAGCAATCCTCCTGCCTCTGCCCCCCAAAATGCTGGGGTAATAGGTGTGAGCCACTGTGCTGGCCCTTATCCTCATTGTAACACTTCTGTTTTTCTGCCTTTCACAATAAGGGGCGTCAGCCCCTCTTGGAAGCAGGCAGGGTGTTAGTAAGTGAAGGCTGGATCGGGCCTTGGTGGGTTGCAGCCTGAGGAGGTGAAGCTCTCACCTGCAGCTGTGACCTGCCCCTCGGAAGCAGTCCTCTAAATAACGGGCTCTTCTTTCTGCTTGGCCCCATCCACAAAGATGGCCGCCCCCTCTACATCCTCCGCCTGGGCCAGATGGACACCAAAGGCTTGATGAAGGCCGTGGGGGAGGAGGCGCTGCTGCGGCATGTGAGTCAGGGGCCTCGTTCCTGGACGCCGTGCCTGGGGCCGGGCCTGGGAAGGACTGTGTGGGGTAAAGCAGCGAGGCGGACGTTGAGCAGCACTGTCTCTCCCTTCCAGGTTCTCTCCGTCAACGAGGAAGGACAGAAGCGGTGTGAGGGGAGCACAAGGCAGCTGGGCCGTCCCATCAGGCAAACACCTGGGCTGGGCACAAATCCCCCCTAAACAGCAAAGACGGAGGGTGGAGAGGGGTCCACTGTGCATATGTGCTGGGCTGGGCAGCGTGCCAGGGGCTTCATTCTCCCCCAGTTTCTACAGTGGTCTTCTGGGCCTTGAGGCAGGGCCCGTAAGCATCCCCGTTTTCTATGCATGGGGAAACTGAGATTCAGAATGGTGGCCCCCATCGAAGCTTGTGAGCCGGTCAGGACAGAGCTGGATTTGAACCTGGGGTCCTGTCTGGCTTCTAGCTCGAAGACTTTATCCTCCCACTCCACTCAACAGTCTCCTTGACTTTGCTTTTTTTTTTTTTTTTTTTCTTTTTTGAAACGGAGTCTCGCTCTGTCGCCCAGGCTGGAGTGCAGCGGTGCAATCTCAGTTCACTGCAAGCTCTGCCTTCCGGGTTCAAGCGATTCTCCTGCCTCAGCCTCCAGAGTAGCTGGGACTACAGGCACCCGCCACCACGCCTGACTAATTTTTTTGTATTTTTAGTAGAGACAGGGTTTCACTGTGTTAGCCAGAATGGTCTCGGTCTCCTGACCTCGTGATCCGCCTGCCTCGGCCTCCCAAAGTGCTGGGATTACAGGCGTGAGCCACCACTCACAGCCTGACTTTGCTTTTTGAGATCAGCTCTCCACCACGAGTTCTCCCTTGGCTCTGTCATGGCACATCCAGGAACCCAGTGTCCTCTGCAGGAACCCACTGTCCTCTGACTCCCCCGCATTTCTGTTCCTGAACTGTTTCCCGGAGCCAGTACTTACGGTGGCATCGCCCCCAAAGGCAGCAAACCTTTCTGAGCAGCAGCTTCCTCTTCTGTAAAGTGGCTTTTTTTTTTCCTTTGAGACAGGCTCTCACTCTGTCACCCAAGCTGGAGTGCAGTGGTGCAATCACAGCTCACTGCGGCCTTGACCTGCTGGGCTCAAGCAGTCCTCCCACCTCAGCCTCCCAAGCAGCGGGGACTATAAATGTGCACCACCTTGCCCAGCTAATTTTTTTTTTTGCAGAGATGAGGTCTCACCCTGTTGCTCAGGCTGGTCTAAAACTCCTGGGCTGAAGTGATCCTCCCACCTTGGCCTTCCAAAGGGTTGGGATTACAGGCGTCAGCCTCTGTTCCCAGCCTGTAAAGTGGCTTTTACAAATGGATTCTCAAAAATAATAAGGGTTTAAAAATAATGCAAACACGGATCTTGCACTTGCTATGTAGCAGGTGCCCTTCTAAGCACCTTGATTCATTTCCTCCTCCTAAACAGCCCTGTGAGACACGGGCAGGCAGGAGCTGCTGCTTCAGCTTTTCAGCCCCAAATATCCCGATCTTTGTGAAAATTAAAGTTCCTTTGCTGTTTGCAGATTTTTTTTTTTTTTTTTTGACAGAGTCTCGTTCTGTCGCCCAGGCTGGAGTACAGTGGTGCAATCTTGGCTCACTCCAACCTCCACCTCCTGGGTTCAAGTGATTCTCGTGCCTCAGCCTCCCAGGTAGCTGGGATTACAGGTGCCTGCCACCACGCCTGGCTAATTTTTGTATTTTTAGTAGAGATGGGGTTTCACCATGTTGGCCAGGCTGGTCTCTAGAGATTTTCTAAGGACACGTATGTTGGGGTGGAAGTGGGAATCAATCCATTAGTGTCCTGGCCGGAAGCATAATTCACCCCAGATGGCTCAAATGAGGGAGTGTCATGAAGGGATGCTTTGGAGAGGTGTGTGCAGGTTTAAGCGAACAAATCTGGGAGGTGGAGGCTCCCGGGCACCAGCCGCTGCAGTCAAACAGTTATTTTCCTAATGAATGAATACTAATGAAATGGAGGCACAGAGAGGTTCAGGACTTGACCAAGATCACACAGCAAGTGGCAGAACTGGGATTTGAACCTTGGCCATCTGACTGTGGAGTGCATGCTCTCAGCACCTCTGCTCTATTTAGTAGTTAGCATCTTTTCAACAATTAACTCATTTATGCCTGAGGTTGCAATGTTTTGAATTTTTGCAATCAGACCTTGGTGATGACCTTGAGCAGTAGGATAGAAATAACTCCCACACGCTTAGCATTGCAATAATGGAATGCTAGGCCTAAATGGCCACTTGTGATAACCAGCTATAATTGAGGGCATGTGGTGTGCCCGTCCTTGCAGAGAGCTTTGTATATACCATCTCACTTGATCCTAACAGCAGTTGCTTCAGATGAGGACTGTTACTACCTTTGCCACTGTCCTATGAGTAAGTGGGTCTGTGCCCTGACCTAAGGCTCTCAGGGGTGCAGGTGAGACTTGAATTTGGGCGCTCAGCCCTGAAGTCCACAGTCTGATCCTCTTCATCGCATGGGCTCCCTACTGTGGCAGGAGCCCCCATCTGCTCCCAGCCCTATCTCTCGGAGCCTCCCTGTTCATCCCCTGTGGGGAGGGTGTTGGTGGCCTTGGGAGGCAGCAGAGCCAGGTGGAGCTGGGGCTATTTCTGCCACAGCTCCTGGACCTGCCTGCTAGACCTGGAGGGACTCAACATGCGGCACCTGTGGCGGCCGGGGGTGAAGGCCCTGCTGCGGATGATTGAGGTGGTTGAGGACAATTACCCAGAGACCCTGGGTCGGCTGCTCATCGTGCGAGCCCCCCGAGTCTTCCCCGTGCTCTGGACACTGGTAAGAGCTGGAGCCTGGGCCAGGACTCTCCCTGGGGGTGGGTGGGATGGGAGGGGTTCCGTCTGCAAGCAGCTCTGCTCTCTTTTCCTGTTTCATTTCATTTAGTAACTTTTTGGAGATGAAACTCACATAGCATAAAGCTCACACTTTTTAAGTATAGACTCCAGTGGTCTTTCCTGTATTCACTGAGTTAAGCAATTGTCACCACTAGCCAATCCCAGAACATTTCTGTCGCCCCAAAAAGAACCCCCATGCCCATTATCGTGGGTCTCAAATTCCTGGGCTCAAGCGGTCCTCTTGCCTTGGCTTCCCAAAGTGTTTGTGTTATAGGTGTGAGCCACTGCGCCTGACCTGAAATATACTCTATATTGTAACCCGGTGGGTACACGCGTGCATGCACCCATGTGCGCGCACACATACACCCACGCCCACACACACACTCCTCTGAAACAAGGGTGCAGCCAGCCACTTGCATAGTGTGGGCAAAAGCCTGGAGGCTGGACCCAGCTTGATGCTTTGGAGGAACTGAAGAAACAGTCCAGGGTGGCTGAGCAAAAAAGAGCAAAAGGGACGACAGCACCTGAGGAGGCTGGAAGATGTACAGGGGCAATAGGGACCCATGGAGGGTTCAGTAGCAGGGGAGGGTGGGGGACAGACTTAGGGGCCAGGAAGTTCTCTAGCTTTTGTGGGTGCTTCAAGGCTCTGTTCAGGTGAGGCTAGGGGGCAGGAGCTGCTTCTGAAGCTTTTTATCCTGAATTGTCCTAATCTCCGGGAAAATTAAGTCCACCTGCTGTTTGGGGTGGTTTTGGGAGTGCGAGCACATCAGCCGGGGTCCTGGCTGGAAGTGGACCTCACCCAGATGGTTCAAATGAGGGGTGTCCTGAAGGGGCTCCTTGCAGAGGTGTGGGCAGGGGAAGGAGAGACCCCAAGCACCAGTGACTGCAGTAAGCCTGGCCACCCCCAAGAGGAGGGAATGTCCTTGCAGAATCCTGGGGAAAGCTGGGACAGGGGTGGGGGCAGGGAGCTACTGGGGGTCAGCCTCAGCCTCCTGGGGCCCAGCACAGCACAGAGCGCAGTGGGGCTGGGGACAGGAGAGGGCCCTGCACGGGGGGATTGCAGTTTCCTCACCTATCTCTTGGCTTGTGGCATTCCCTGTAGAACTGGCCTGTTATCTGCCATGCCAAGGGCTCCTTCCTTCTTTCTCTCTCTCCCACTTCCTTCCTTCTTTATCAACATGTGGCTTAGAGCTCAGTGTTAAAATGGATTCCATCTGGAATAAACAAACTGTGGAATACTGTTCCATCCATGTAATGGAATAGCATTCGTCCATAAGAAGGAAGGAAGCACTGATCCTCCAACACGGAGGGACCTCGAAAACCTGATGCTCAGTGAAAGGGGCCAGACACGGAAGTCCATGTACTGTGTGATCTCCTTTATATGAAATGTGCAGAATAGGGCTGGGCGAGGTGGCTCACGCCTGTAATCCCAGTACTTTGAGAGGCCGAGGTGGGTGGATCACCTGAGGTCAGGAGTTCAAGACCAGCCTGGCCAACATGGTGAAAATACAAAAGTACAAAATTAAAATACAAAAATTAGCCAGGCATGGTGGTGGGAGCCTGTAATCCCAGCTACTTGGGAGGCTGAGGCAGGAGAATCACTTGAACCTGGGAGGTGCAGCTTGCAGTGAGCCAAGATTGCGCCATTGCACTCAAGCCTGGGAGACAGAGCGAGACTCTGTCTCCGAAACAAAAACAAAAAAGAAACGCCCAGAATAGGCAAATCCACAGAGACAGAGTGTAGATGGGTGGTTGCCCTGGGTTGGGGGAGGGGAGATGGGAAGTGACGGTGGGGTGGGAATGGGGTTTCCTTCTGGGGTGATGAACATGTCTAGGTAGAGGTGCTGGCTGCACAAGCTAGTGAGTGCACTGAAAGCCACTGAACTGTGCACTTTATAATGATTAATTCTATGTTGTATAAATTATATCTCAATAAAAAAATACATCCATGGTCAGGCGTGGTGGCTCACACCTGTAATCCCAGCACTTTGGGAGGCCGAGGCAGGTGGATCACGAGGTCAGGAGATCGAGACCATCCTGGCTAACATGGTGAAACCCCGTCTGTACTAAAAATACAAAAAAAAATTAGCCGGGCATGGTGGTGGGTGCCTGTAGTCCCAGCTACTCGGGAGGCTGAGGCAGGAGGATGGCGTGAACCCGGGAGGTGGAGCTTGCAGTGAGCCAAGATCATGCCACTGCACTCCAGCCTGGGCGACTGAGCAAGACTCCGTCTCAAAAAAAAAAAAAAAAAAACCATCCATCTTGCCTTATGTCCTGGTTTCAGATCAGCCCCTTCATCAATGAGAACACCAGGCGGAAGTTCCTCATCTACAGTGGCAGCAACTACCAGGGACCCGGAGGCCTTGTGGACTATCTGGATAGAGAAGTGATCCCTGACTTCCTTGGGGGAGAGAGTGTGGTGAGGCTTCCATGTCCACAGACAGACCTGGGCTTGAGGAGGGGGCATGCCTAGCTGGGAGGCTGGGATTCCCGGAGTGGGGCTGGGAGGTGGAGGGGGGCTGGGTGCGGCATGTGCACTCTGCCTAGGGCAGGTCTTGCTGGCTCTCAGCAGCCACAGGGCTTGCTTTAGAAGCTGCTTCAAAGAGAGGTGATGCTGTTCTGAGGTTGGGCCTTACTCTGGGTCCTTCAAACATAGTGAGTGAGATAGAAGTTTCTGGAAGCCTAAAGATTAGGCCAGTCAAAGGCTTACGCATTCTATATTCCCATCAAAGACATTGCCAAGCAGCAGTGAGTTAACCTGCTCATTCACTGCAGGGGAGGTGACTCGAATGTATCTGCAGCTCTGGACCCTGGAGCTGGGACTAGCCTCCAACCCACAGCCACACAGCCTGAAACGATCAGGAACCCCCTTCAAGGGAGGCAGTGTCCAGGCCCCTTTTATTGCCTCCCCTGGGGTGAAATGACAGGCTGGGGTGATCCTAGGTCACAACTCTGTCATCTCATATGGCCCCCAGTGGCCCGGGCCCTCTTTGTTTCTAACAGAAATACCAGACAGTGAGCTTGCGTCATTTCTGGATTTTAAAAAAGTCTTTTCCTAGGAATTTTTCCAGGCTTGCCTGTTCTCTCCGTTTGTGATGTGCGGCACACACGACTTATTTTTAGCAAACGGTTCTGCAGATCTGAGAGTGGCTTATGGAAAGACACTGAACAGTGTCCTGCTAATCCCAGTGTTTCTACAAGTGAAACGGGGTGGGGGTAATCATTGTTTGGTGGTGGCAGGGGGAGTTCTGCCAAGGCCTGGCCATCTAGGGTGCCTTTGGTTTGGGGAAATCTCTCGATGAGCACGGTGCAGTGACTGTTCCACCCCCGCCTGTGACGGGGAGAGGCAGCTGCTATGGGGTGCGGTGTGGAGAGGCCCCCCAGCCTGGCTGTCAGTCCGGCACCGGGGTAAAGGGACATGAGCATGGGGCTGTGACGAACGTGGGTTTGTGCCCTGGCTCACTCACTTTCTGCTGTGTGATCGTGGGCGAGTGGCCTGACTTGCCCGAGCCTCCATTCCTTCCTCTGTGAAACGGGAAGAATAATAGTCTCTACTGCATTGGTGGACCTGGGGATTAAATGGGGTCATGGAAGCCCACAGCCCATTCAGTAAGGGGTTGCAATTATGAGTGGCTTTGGGGGTCACACATCACCCTTCTGTGGGTCAGGCCAGCCAGGCCTCAACTGGCCCTGACCTGCTGCCCTTTATCTCTGACCTGCAGTGTAATGTCCCCGAAGGAGGGCTGGTCCCCAAGTCCCTCTACATGACAGAAGAGGAGCAGGAGCACACGGACCAGCTGTGGCAGTGGAGTGAGACCTACCATTCAGCCAGCGTGCTCCGCGGAGCCCCCCACGAGGTGCCAGGGCCTGGCCGGGGAGGGCCCGCTGAGCTGGAGTGTCTGTCGTCTTAGGTCAGGTGACCCCAAAACACAGCTTGAGATGAGGATTCTTTTTTCTTTTCTTTCTTTCTTTCTTTCTTTTTTTTTTTTTTTTTGGGATGGAGTCTCGCTCTGTTGCCCAGGCTGGAGTGCAGTGGTGCAATCTTGGCTCACTGCAACCTCCACCTCCCAGGTTCAAGCAATTCTCATGCCTCAGCCTCCCGAGTAGCTGGGATTATAGACATATGCCACTGCGTCCAGCTAATTTTTGTATTTTTAGTAGAGACGGGTTTTCGTCATGTTGGTCAGGCTGGTCTTGAAATCCTGAGGTCAGGTGATCCGCCCGCCTAGGCCTCCCAAAGTTCTGGGATTATAGGCGGGAGCCACGGCGCCTGGCCTCTTTTTTTTTTTTTTTTTTGAGACCGAGTCTCACTCTGTCACCAAGGCTGGAGTGCAGTGGCGCAATGTTGGCTCACTGCAACTTCTGCCTCCCAGGTTCAAGTGATTCTTCTGCCTCAGCCTCCCGAGTAGCTGGGATTACAGGTGCCAGCCAGCATGCCTGGCTATTTTTTTTTTGTTTGTATTTTTAGTAGAGATGGGGTTTCACCATGTTGGCCAGACTGGTCTCGAACTCCTGACCTCAAGTGATCCACCCACCTCGGCCTCCCAAAGTGTTGGGATTATAGGCATGAGCCACCAAGCCTGGCCGAGATAAGGATTCTTATGCCAGTGATCTGTTGCAGGCGAGGTCTCAGGAGAAAACTGAGGAGAGGAGGGCACTCCTGTAAGGAATGAGCGTGTGCCTGGGAAAGGAGACCCCAGGGGGCACCCACAGCCCCTCCTGCCACTGTGTTCCCCACCCCAGCTCTACTCTCTCGGCCGTGACTCTCAGACCTCGCCTGTCTCCACACAGGTGGCCGTGGAGATCCTGGAAGGAGAGTCGGTCATCACCTGGGACTTTGACATCCTGCGAGGGGACGTGGTGTTCAGCCTGTACCACACCAAGCAGGCGCCCAGGCTGGGCGCCCGGGAACCGGGGACCAGGGCCAGCGGGCAGCTGATCGACAAAGGCTGGGTCCTGGGCAGGGATTACAGCCGTGTGGAGGCTCCCCTTGTCTGCCGGGAGGGGGAGAGCATCCAGGTTTGCATTTTCTGGACCACTCATTCGCTCACCAAGCAGCACTGAGTGTCCACTGCGTGCCAGGCTTCTGGGGATACAGCGGAGGACATACTGGGCTGCTGGTCCCCAGCCTCAGGGACCCTGCAGGACAGGGCAGAGGAAAGACACACAGGGTCTCATGTAATGAAGTGCTCACCTGCCCAATGGCAGCCGGTGCAAAATCGAGAAAGCACGGGGTGCTCTGCTGAGAGGTGGCTGGTGTCTTGGGGAGGAGCACAGGGTCTGGAACCTGAGTTTCCCCATCTGGGAAATGGGACTTCTAACAGGATCCAACTGTATTTGTTTCTTGGGGCTGCAGTAATGAGTTACCACAAACTACATGGCCTAAAACAACAAAAATTTATTGTCTCACAGTTCAGGAGTTCACAAGTCCAAAACCAAGGTGTTGGCAGGGCCACGCTCCCTCTGAAGGCTGTAGGGAGGGGTTCATTCTATGCCTCTGTCCTAGCCTTAGGTAACTCCTGGCAATCCTGGGTGTCATTGGTGGGTAGATGCATCACCCCAATCTCTGCCTCTGTCTTTAAAGGGGTTTCTTCTCTGTCTGTCTCTCTTCTGAGTCTCAAATCTCCCTCCCCTCTCTCCTGTAAGGACACTAGCCATCACAGTTAGGCCCCATCTTAAATCCTGTTTTTTTTTGAGACAGGGTCTCACTCTATCCATGATCAGGAAACTTTTGCGGGACTGGGAATGTAGTGATATGATCACAGCTCACTACAGCCTCTACCTCCTAGGCTCAAGCGATCCTCCCATCTCAGCCTTCTGAGTAGCTGGGACTACAGGTTCCCGCCACCATGTCCAACTAACTTTTGTATTTTTTGTAGAGATGGGGTCTTGCTATGTTGCCCAGGATGATCTTGAATGCCTGAGCTCAAGCGATCCTCCTGCTTCAGCCTCCCAAAGTGCTGGGATTAGAGGCGTGAGCCACCATGGCTGGCCTCACCCTAAATCCTTAACCACAAAGACTCTATTTCCAGATAAGGTCACGTTCTGAGGTTCTGGCTGGACATGAATTTTGGGGGTACACTGTTCAACCCACTGCATTAACTCAAGCAGGGGGAAGGATGAGCATATTGGAATTTGAAGTTCAGGTTGCCTGCATACATTCAAGTGGCTTCAGTATGGACGAAGACCTTGAGTTGTGGCTGGATCTGGGAGGGGGTGAGAGGGGATGATGTTCCAGGTGGAAGGAACAGAAAGAACAAAATTGAAGCCGCAGGGAGAAGGCAGGTGGACACGAGGGTAGCTTGAGTGCTGGGGAGGGGTTGGAAGTTAGTTTGGATAGAAGGGGAGGTGCTAAGGTCCTGAGGTCAGTA